>NC_000009.12:117595552-118220552 GCF_000001405.40 Homo sapiens
GTGGTAACTTGAGATCACAGCATCAAGAATAGTACTTGACAGGTAGGAGATATATAATGTGAAATTCCTCTTTCTTTTCTCTGAAATCCCATTGCAGTCACAAGCTAAACTGCGCAATAGAGTATTTAACTTTGCTCTGCTTTATTCATCAATATGTACGTATGTATGTGTATGAGTGTGTGTGTGTGTTTGTGTGAGTGTGTGTGTGTGATCTCAGCCCTGATCTATTGACAGACTGAAGGCACTGCTTGGAATAAACCCTAGGAAAAATGACAAAGTCACTAAAGCTGCCTTTCCTTAACCCACCATTTTCAGGAATTTGTTGAATGGGAAAAGCACCAGGCTTAGGAGCTTTGGTTGAGGGTCCCAGTTGTGCCAATTACTTTGAGCAATTTTATGACTTCTTTCAGGCTTTTGTCACTCATCTGCATAATAGGAGTAAGTGATTGTTCCTGGGTAAGATTATTGTGAAGCGTAAATCAGATGATGCATATGAAAGCACTTTAGACTTAGAGTGGTTTTAACAGGGAGAACATTATTGAGGGGATCCTGCATTTGATCTTGATATAATCAACCCCTACATTGACACTCTTGCCTGGCTGCTTTCCCAACTTCTAACATATTCCAACAACAGGTTCCACGTAGCAGAAGGTTTCAGGCAGACAGCAAAAATAGAAACTTAGGTAGAACTACAATGTGGCTTTTGTGATCTGCCCATTCATAACAATACCAATCCCATTGTTAGGGATATGGTAAGCAGGAGACCCAGGGGGCAGAAGCAAGTAAGTGTCACAGTCTCAGTACCCTAGAAAAAGTGACTGAGGTCATGGTGGATCCTCAGTCCTCGAGTCAGTACTGTTCAAAGTACTGAAAGAGGAAAGAAGAGAGGCCACAGTGCCAGGAATATTTTTCACTGGTGGGTGATGATAACCTATTTTACAAGTGGTGTTTTATTTCAGTGAGAAGTAGGCTCTTGGGGAGGAGGGGAAACTGTGCAACTTTGAGACTGCCTGGGTATCCATGGCTTACCCAAAACACCTTAAATACTGAGTCTGAAGCTAATGATTTATTTTCTGTCTTGGACAGAATTGGCACAGGCAGTGCAGTAGGGTATGGGGAGGTTAGGGAAGCGTGGGGGATTGGGGGTTGGGTGTGGGGTGGTCCTTTGGCAGGATCACACATAAATAAGTGAGGAGAGATCAACAAGGAAGCCCCAAGCATTACTGTTAGTGTTCCCAGAGTCTGGTTTCCTTAGAGGGTTGGACATCCCATTGCTTACTGGTAATTACCAGCTGCAGTCAGCTAGCTACACAGCAGGCTGAGATGGCAGGTGATGGTGCCTCCCTCACCCCCTCCCCTCTCCTCCCACTAGCTGACTCTCCTTGGGTGCCCTTGCCATTTTTTCTGCAGGTTTTTGCTGGCCATGCTGCAGCATCAGACACAATTAGGGTATCCTGTTTATTCTTTTCTCTTTTCCCCATGGAATCTTTGAAAGACAACTAGGGAAAGGGAGTGAAAAGAGACGAAGGGTCATCAGATAGCAGGGGAGGAGATGACCTTTGAAACAATCTTTTCTGGGTGACATCTAAGTAATCCAAGCCTGCAATTTCCTCCATGAATGTTCAGTCTCTTCGCATAAGCCCCCTAATGGCAGTGTGGGCGATGGATGGAGACAGGGCAGTTGAAGCTTAGAATATATGCCAAGGAGATATTAAAAACCATGTAACTACCTGGAAGTGATACAAAAAAAAAAAAAAAAAAAAACAGGCAAGAAAGCAGACGTCTGTTAAAATTCTGGAATATGTTTTCTGTTTATTTCTCTATTGTTCTGCACACTATTCTACTTATTGTTTTCTATTTTCTATTTTTATTTTTATTTGTTTAGATGAAGCCTCTTTCTATCACCCAGGCTGGAGTGCAGTAGTGCGATCGTGGCGCACTGCAACCTCTGCTTCCCTGGTTCAAATGATCCTCCTGCCTCAACCTCCCGAGTAGCTGGGACTACAGACACTCACCACCATGTCGGGATATTTTTTCTATTTTTAGTAAAGACGGGGTTTCACCATATTGCCAAGGCTGGTCTCTAACTCCAAACCTCAAGTGATCCACCCGTCTCAGCCTCCCAAAGTGCTGGGATTACAGTCATGAGGCACTGCTTGGCCTATCCTACTTACTCTTCATAATGCCTTCAATCTCTCTCTACTTCCTCTCTATTCCCAAAGTCACCATCCTAGTCTCAATCCTAATTATCTTTCTTCTTGACAATTACAGTAATAGGCTCCTTGCCCCCAGCCTCTGCCCCTTCCAGTCTCCTTGCAGATGTCATCAGATTGAACTTTATAAAATATCACTTTGCACATGTCATTTTCTTGCTTAAAAACTTCAATGACTCCCTCTTGTCTGCAAAGTAAAGGCTAAAAATCTTATTCTGAGAAACCAATGCTGTCAAAACCTTAGATATTCTGTGTCTCCTGTCAAGGATGAGAACAGACCTTATTTATCTTTCTGTCTGCAAACTAATGTAAGCCTCATGAGGAAAAGAAGGATTTATTCTTCAGCATTTACCCATAATTAGCATTGAAGCCCAACCCTCCCCTGCCTCCTCAGGCAGAAGCTGAAACTGTACATTCTATCTCTGGGAAAAGGTGCTTTGGCGGAGTTGCTCCAAAAACCCCCTCCCAGTCACTACTGTGCCCTGCCCCTTGGGGCTGAGCTAAGGCTGCAACTATCTCCTAGGGAAATGGTGCCTTGGCAGTTGCTTTGAAATCTCTCCCTGTTGCCACTGTGCCCTGACCAACAGGATTCAGACTGAAACTTCACACGGTCTCCCATGAAAATAGTGCTTTAGTGGAGCTGCTCCATATACCCTTCCCAGTTGCTGCTGTAACATGTCCCCAATGCTGGAACAGAAGCAATGCCAGGCATCTGGGAGAAACAATGCCTTGGCCACCCATTCAGAGTAGTCACACCCCTCTTTGTTTGAGTTGAAGTGGTACTACTCTGTCTTCTGAGAAAACAGTCCCTTGTGCTCCCTGGTGTCTAAATTGAAGCAGCATCGTGTGTTTCAGGAAATGATGCCTTGGCTGCCAGAACAGTCAAGCCATCTAGGCCTGAGCTGAAATGACGCATCACCCACTGAGGAATTGGTGTCTTAGCTTAGCTGGGAAGTGTGCATCCTAGGGCTGAGCTGATGAAGTACCCCATGTCCCAGGGAAATAAGGCAGTGGCTGAGCTGAGACACCCCACACTACAGTATAAACAACTCTAGTACTTCGCTTTCCTGGAGCTGGACTAGCCCCTTAGAGTTTGAGTTGCTGAGACACCCCTCTTCCTGGGGAGTGAAATCACCACTGTTCTGTTCCCTGCCCTACAGGTTCCAAATGACATCTGTGTTACACTATTCTGGGATTCTTACTGCCATGTATGTGACCTCATAGAGTCTGAGATACTGCCGAGCCCTAACATCTCAGGATTTAGAGTCACTACTCCACAGTGTCTCATTCCCTGGGACCAGAAAGGTCGCTGAGCCCTATTGGCTCAGGTTCCCAAATCACAGCCACACCTTGTTTCCCAGGCCCAAACCTCTACAGCACATTCTCTTCCATGGAGGCAGGCCAGTGTTATGCTCTGTTCCCCAGGAGCATAAAATAATAGCTACCCAACCCTTGGGCTCAAGCTGCTAGAGGGTGCCTCAGAGTCACAGATTCTGGCTCTGTAGGCAACTTACATCCAACTTTGCCACAAAGATGGAACCTGTATCCTAAGACCCAGTTGCTATTTTAGGTTTATGAGTCCCTGAGCCTGTGACCCCAGATCCATAGCTGATCTGAGATGCTACACCTGGAAGCCAGCACTGCTGCAGCTGCTCATAGGCTATGTTAGACCTGACACCAAAAGTTATCCCCTTGGCTAAGTCTCCCTATTGTGGGAAAAATGAGAATACAAAAACCCTCAATGATTTTGACACGAGGGTCATGAACAACAAATGCCACCACCACTTCTGCCACAAATTCTACAGCCTAGGGCACTGAGGCACCCACAGTTAATGCTTATGGTGAATGCAGCTGAAGAAGCTTCATGAAGACTACACCACTGCACCTATTCAAAACAAAGTTTCCACATCCTTCCCAACCAGCACACTAAAACCCAACTGTAGGTGAAAGTCTTTTTTTTTTAAGCCACTCTAGAAAATTTGGAAGAAATGATTGTTCCACCAGATGTACAGACATCAACACAGAGACACAAAAATACAATAAAAAAGACACAACAGGCTGGGCATGGTGGCTCACACCTGTAATCCCAGCAGTTTTGGGGGCTAAGGCAGGAGGATTGCTTGAGCCCAGTAGTTCAAGACTAGCCTAGGCAATATGTCTTGAGACTAGGCAGTGAGACCTCTTCTCTACAAAAAAAATTTTCAAAGACCCAATAAAAGCAAGGAAATATGACACCATCAAAGGAAAATAACTCTCTGGTAGTAGATCCTAATGAAAGGGAAAGCAGTGAATTGCCAGAAAAGAAATTAAAAATATTGATCTTAATAAAACTCAATAATCTCATTTCGGTTATGAAAAAGAAAAAAATACTCAATAAGATAAAATAAAATAAAGCTAGGCATTTCACCAAAATCAGGAAAACAATTAATGGTCTGAATGAGAACTCCAACAAAGGGAGAGAAATCATAAATAAACCCCAGAATCCTTCAGCTGAATAATTTAATGGATGAAATAAAAAATGCAACAGAGAGATTCAACAGCAGACTTGATCAAGCAGAAGAAAGAATCTCTGAATTGCCGAATTGAAGATAGGTTGTTTGAAATTATCCAGTCAAAGGGGAAAAATAAGAATAGGAAAGAGTGAGAAAAGCCTGCAAAATTTATTGCACAGCATTAAGCAAACACACATTTGTATTAAAGGATTTTCAGGAAGAAAGGAGAAAGGAAAAAGCATAGAAAATCTTTCTAATGAAATAGTCAAAAATGTCCCAAGTCTTGGGAGAGATCTGGACATTAGCCAGGAAACTCAGGGGTTCCCAAATAGATTCAACCCAAAAAGTTTCTCCCTGGGGCACATTATAGTCAAGTTGTTAAAAGTTAATAAAAAATTTTTAAAAACAGCACAAGAAGAGCATCAAATCATATGTAAGGGAATCCCCACTGGACTAATAGTAGAATTCTCAGCAGAAACTTTACATTCGAGAAGAGAATTGGGTGATATATTCAAAGTGCTGAAAGAAAAAAATTGTCAGCCAAGAGTGCTATACCCTACAAAACTATCTTTCAGAAATGAGGGAGAAATTTTGTTTGTTCCCAGACAAACAAAAACAAAGGGAATTTATCTCCCTTAGACTAACCTTACAAGAAATATAAGTGATTAACATAGAGGCAAAAATCTTCAACAAAATACTATCAAACCAAATCCAGTAGCACATTCAAAAGATCATTCGCCATGACCAAGTGGGATTTATCAAGACGCAAGGATGGTTCAACATACACAAATCAATAAATGTGATACATCACATCAACAAAATGAAGGGCAAAAACCATATAATCATCCCGATAGACACAGATAATATTTTTTAAGTAAAATTCAATATCCCTTAACAATAAGAAATAATTTAGGTATAGAATAAATGTACCTCAACACAATAAGGACTGTAATGGCAAACACAGACACAACATCATACTCTGTGAAGAAAAGTTAAAAACTTTTCCTCTAAGATCTGGAACAAGGCAAAGGTGCCTGCTTTCCCCATTTTTATTCAACATGTCAGGGGAAGTCCTTACAGATGATTTAGGAAAGATAAAGAAATAAAGGGCATCCAGACTGGAAAGAAGGAGGTCAAATTTTCCCTGTTTTCAGATGCCATATCTAATATGTAGAAAATCCTAAAAGCTATACACGCACACACACACACACACACACACCCTCTTAGAACTGATAAACAAATTCAGTAAAATTGCAGGATTTAAAATAATCATACAAAATTTAGCAGTGTTTCTGCACACCAACAATGAACTAGTGGAAAAATAAATCAAGAAAGCAATCCTATTTACATCTGCTACAAAAAATTAACAAAATATCTGGAAATAAATTTAACCAAGGTGGTGAAAGATCTCCACAACAGCAACTATAAAATACTGATGATTTTGAAGAGGTCGCAAAACATAGAAAGGTATTCCATGTTCATGAATTGGAAGAATTAATATTATGAAAATAACCATACTACCAAAAGCAATCTACATATTCATTGCAATTCCCATAAAAATACCAAATACATTTTTCACAGAAATAAAGAAAATCCTGAATTTTTAAATGGAATCACAAAGAAACCCTCAGTAGCCAAAGTAATTATGAGCAAAAAGAACAAGGCCAGAAGCATCATACTACCAGACTTCAAAATATACTGCAAGGCTATAGTAACCAAAGCAGCACTATTCTGGCATTAAAAACAAATATGTGTAGCCAGTTGTGGTGGCTCACCCCTGTAATCCCAGCACTTTGGGAGGCCAAGGCAGGAGGATCACGAGGTCAGGGGGTCCAGACCAGCCTGGCTAATATGGTGAAACCCCGTCTCTACTAAAAATACAAAAAAAAAAAAAATTAGCCAGGTGTGGTGGTGCATGCCTGTAGTCCCAGCTACTTGGGAGGCTGAGGCAGAAGAATTGCTTCAACTTGGGAGGCAGAGGTTGCAGTGAGCCGAGATAGTGCTGCTGCACTCCAGCTTGGGCGACAGAGGGAGACTCCAGCTCAAAAATAAATAAATAAATAAATAAATAAATTAAAAAAACATAAAAACAAATATGTGCACCAATGAAACAGAATAGAGAGTACAGAAATATATGTATGTATTTATAGCCAACCAGTTTTAAACAAAGGTGCCAAGAATATTTATTGTGGGAAGGACAGTCTTGTCAATAAATGGTGTTTGAAAAACTGTATATCTCAAAACACACACAAAAACAAACTCAAAATGGATATAGAACATACACAAAAATATACACAAAATATATACAATAAAATATACACAAAATAAACTCAAAATGGATATAGATATAAAACTTAGACATAAAACCTAGAACTATGAAACTACTTCATAGTAGTTAACTTAAATAACCACTAACATTATGAAGAAAATAGGGGAAAGAATTATGACATTGGTCTGAGTAAAGAGTTCGGAAAGGAGACCCCCAAAGCACAGGCAACAAAACAAAAAATAGACCAATGAGATTTTATCAAACTAACAATCTTCTGTATAGCAAAGGAAACAATCAATAGAGTGAAGAGGCAATCTGAAGAATGGGAAAAACATTTACAAATGAATATCCAACAAAGAATTAGTATCCAGAATTTATAAGGAACTAAAACAACTCAACAGCAAAGAGACAAATAATCCTATTAAAAAATGGGCAAGTGAGCTGAATAGATATCTCTCAAAAGAAGATATACAATTAAAATTCATTGACAGTTATATGAAAAAATGCTCAACATCACTAAACATCAGGGAAATGCAAATCAAAACCACAATGAGGTATGTTCTCATCCAAGGTAGAACAGCTATTATCAAGAAAACGAAAAATAACAGATGCTGGGAAGAATGAAATGAAAAAGGAGAACCCCTACATACTGTTGGGGGAAATGTAAATTAGTACAGTCATAATGGAAAACAGTATGGATGTTCCTCAGAAAACTAAAAATAGAACTACCATGTGACCCAGCAGTCCCACTATTGGGTATGTATCTAAAGGAAATGAAATAAGTATGTTGAAGCATTACCTGTACTCCCATGTTTATTTCAGTATTACTCACAATAGCCAAGATATGAAATCAGCCTAAGTGTCCATCAATGCATGAATGAATTTTAAAATGTAGTATACACACATAATGAAATACCATTTGATTATAAAACAAAAACTCTGTCATTTGCAGCAACATGGATGAGCTTGGATGATATTATGTTAAACGAAACAAGCCAGGCACAGAAAGAGAAACACTTATGTTCTCGCTCATATCTGAAAGTTGAAAAAGTTGATATCATAGAAGTAGAGAATAGAAGAGTGGTTACTAAAGATGAGGAAGGGTAAGAGGAGAAGAAGATAACCAGAGGTAGGCTGATGGATACAAAAGTACAGCTAGATAGGAGGAATAGTGTTCTACAGCTCTCTAGGATGACTATAATTAACAACAATTTATTGTATATTTTCAAAGCTACCGGACCAGATTCTGAATGTTCCCAGCACAAAATAATGATAAATATTTGAGGTGACAGATGTGTTAATCTATCAATTACCCTGATTTTATCATTACACATTATATACGTGTATTATAATATCATATTGCACCCCATAAATATGTACAATTTTATGTGCCCATTAAAAATAATAATAAAAACAAAAATACAACACTCAAATGATATTTTTGAATAAATACTTTAACTCATTAGTGACATATGGCATAGTAAATGGTGATGCTTAATAAAACTTTCTCGAAAAAAAGGATGAAAGGAGACCAGTGGGAAACAAAGACGTTAAATTAAGACAGGCATCAATTGCAGATGGAGGCCTACCTATAGTTACAGGTCTCCAGAATCAGAACAATGCAGTAGAAACTTGCAGAAGGAGTTAAAAACGTGGATAAAACAGGGAATGAAGTACACCTGAGATTCAGGCCAGGTAGTGGGAGTGGAAGAAGGCCAAGGCAAGACAGGAAGGCTGAGAAACTATAAGCAGGTTTCATTTGGGAAGCCAGGCAGCTAAGGAAGCTAACTGATGAATGGGCTCAGGAGTCTAGGTAAGAGGACCAGAGATAATGAGCCCAGTGGGTGAAAAGCCAGAGACTCAGAGAGCTGACACATCAACCAATATATGTTGGGTTAACTTAAATAACCACTAACATTATGAATAAATTACTTTATAAGGGTGGTGCTTAAATTCTGGATATCATGAATGTCCTCGAGACTTGGATAAAAGCTGAGGGCTCATTTATCAAAAAAAAAAAAAAAAAAAAAAACAAACCCATATGCTTTTGCATACAGTTACAGAGGTTGAGAAATTTCTCTGAAGGCTAAGTAAACCTACTTTACGTAGCTTGGATATCTCATGTGTGCGTTGAAGTTTTTATCATCCATTAATACATTGAATCCTTGCAAATCTATGAAACTGGTAACAATTATTTCTATGTTAAAAAAACAGAGCCTCAGTGAGAAGGTATTCCTTACCCAGGTAAGAAGTAAGTGGCTATATATTTAGAGATAGAAGTCATGTATTTTGATTTCAAGTTCAGTGTTATTTTCTTCCACCTTACCTCTACGCAAACAAGCTGTACTTACATTTCTGCATAAATCAGAAAGCACTTTTACAAATATTGATTGAGTATCTGTTATGTGTCAAGCACTGTGGTAGGCACTTGGGAACAGACAAATATCCCTGCCCTTGTAGAGCTCCAGATCCAAGTTCAGGTCCGTTCCTCTCAGTCTGATAACTTGAATCGAAAAATGTTCTTGTTATAAAGTGTCTATTCAGGTATTCAGTTCTTAATGAAAACATGTGATTGAGTAAGTATCATCCTAGGTACTAGTTGTCAAAGACAGAATTGTATCAACTAATATTAAACATTCCTCATCCTTTGTCACTAACTAATCGAGGACTTCATTCATTTTCATTTCTTTCTTTCTTTATTATTTTCCTTCTACTTTAAAATCTAAAGCTTGAAGACCCTCTGTTTTCACATATTACCAACAAAAATAAGGCCCAAATAAAACATCTAACTTATAGTTGTTCAGGAGAAAACTAATAAAAACCAGACTGAGAGCTGGGAGGCCAGCCCCCTCACACCAGCTCTGTCATTTATGGTGTTCTTGTATTTTCCCTGGGTCTCAATTTCTTCCTCTGTAAAGCAAACTGTATATTTCTGTGCCCATTCTCTATCCTAACATGCTAAGATGCAATGAATTCCTGCAAGCGTTGAACGTGCCTGAGAGAAAACCTTTATAACTGCATGGTGGTTAGACATCGATGATGAGAGGAAAGTCACCCCTTCAATGAGTAGCTACCCTCTCTGGCTCTACAAGTTGAACAATTCTTAGATGAGTGGGAGTGTAGGAGGCAGGAAGGGCGAGAGGCAGGAAGAAAGCTCAGTTTCTCATCAGGAAAGGAGCAGTACAGATCATCGGGTTGAAGCAGTGAGCACAGAATGTCTGGCCATTTCTCTTCTGAAAAGGTCAGTGCCCCGCCAAACCAGGGCTGCAACATAGTGGCCTTTTAAAAAGCAGACAGCCAGAGAAGCTGCCACTGAGTTCATAAGTGTGGGGAAATGGATTCTTGTTATGTCAGAGCAGAAAGGGACTCAACTGCATCTAGTCCAATTCTGCCCTTCTATTTTACATGCAGGGACACTGAGGTATGGGGGTGGGGTTGGGAGAGGTGACCAAAGTCACAGAGCTTGCAGTCAGCATAGTTGTGACTAGAGTTTAGCATTCCAGAACATGCAAGGAATTCCTATTTTTGCTTAAATGAAAGCAAAATTCCCTATTGTTCTGTATATTGCCTCATTTAATAAAGTCTTTATTTTTTCCTCCATTTTTACTTGCTTGGTATCTCAGAATAAATAAAATGTGCTAACAATAGCTATCCATTTTTGACAGAGATGAGGGACCAAAATTGAAGGTGTGACTCATTAAACCTCTAGGCATGTTTTTAGAGTTATTTTGTAAATGATTAAATATTTATGAGAGTTGACAAAATTATATTTTGTTCTAATTTTTAATTTAAATATACTCTTCTCCATTCATGTCTTCTTTGCTGTCCACCTAGTCAAAGTTATCTCCTTAATGAAAATATTAAAAACCTCCCTCTTTGCTATAGCTAAAATACCTCATTTGATCCTCACAATAGTTATTGGCCACCACCCTATACAATGCCTCCTGGATTGATTTATAGTCCACTTCCCTCTCTGCTTGACAAACCCACCTCTGTTTATTAAAACAGTGTTATTGGTGAAAGCAATCCAGGCAGACCCACTTGCCTTTGTGCTTTGAGAACAAAGTGACACTTGGCAAATCATTAAACCTCCCTGTGCTCAGTTGGATCTTCTGAAAAATGGAGAGAGAGATAATCCCTTTTAGATTATTGAATGGTTAAATAAAAATAATACTCAATGTTTCTCTGCCTACTCTGCATAAAAAAAGCACTTCGCATATCTTATTTCATTCACTTATAATCATTCTTGTTATTACCTCCATGTTACAGCTGAGGACATAGAATGAGAGAAATCTCAAAATGGACGAGGTGATGTAGAATTTGAACACTCAAGCCTGTCTCGCTCATAGAACCACACCTTTCTAAGAACACCACATGGATTACTATGTAGCACTGATTCTTTTTTTTTAAATTATTATTATACTTTAAGTTTTAGGGTACATGTGCACAATGTGCAGGTTAGTTACATATGTATACATGTGCCATGCTGGTGTGCTGCACCCATTAACTCGTCATTTAGCTTTAGGTATATCTCCTAATGCTATCCCTCCCCCCTCCCCCCACTCCACAACAGTCACCAGAGTGTGATGTTCCCCTTCCTGTGTCCATGTGTTCTCATTGTTCAATTCCCATCTATGAGTGAGAACATGCGGTGTTTGGTTTTTTTTGTCCCTGCGATAGTTTACTGAGAATGATGATTTCCAATTTCATCCATGTCCCTACAAAGGACATGAACTCATCATTTTTTATGGTTGCATAGTATTCCATGGTGTATATGTGCCACATTTTCTTAATCCAGTCTATCATTGTTGGACATTTGGGTTGGCTCCAAGTCTTTGCTATTGTGAATAGTGCCGCAATAAACATACGTGTGCATGTGTCTTTATAGCAGCATGATTTATAGTCCTTTGGGTATATACCCAGTAATGGGATGGCTGGGTCAAATGGTATTTCTAGTTCTAGATCCCTGAGGAATCACCACACTGACTTCCACAATGGTTGAACTAGTTTACAGCCCCACCAACAGTGTAAAAGTGTTTCTATTTCTCCACATCCTCTCTAGCACCTGTTGTTTCCTGACTTTTTAATGATCACCATTCTAACTGGTGTGAGATGGTATCTCATTGTGGTTTTGATTTGCATTTCTCTGATGGCCAGTGTAGCACTGATTCTTAATCAGTGTGATTTTTTTAACCCCAGAAGGCATCTGGCAATGTCTAGAGACAATTTTAACTGTCACAACTTGAGATGGGCAGTGCTGGCTTCTATTAGGTAAAGACCAACGATCCCGAAAAGCATCCTATACTGTGCCAGGCAGTGCCCTCAAACAAAGAATTTCATGGCCCCAAATACCAATAATACCAAGGTTGAGAAACCCTGCTGTGTTTACTCCATTTTGTAAATTTAAGCATAATTCATTCTTGTAGATGGACATGATAGGGTGCATGCAAAGGGTTAAACACTCCATAAGCGTTGGCTATCATTATTACTACTGCTACCTCTAGACCCACTTCATATTTTGCCTTCTCTGATTTGGGGCCATCCCAGATACATGCTAGTTGGAAATATTTCTCTCATCTCTTTCAATAACCCTTAGCTTTTCCTACATTTGACACATTATTTATTATAGTTATTTATACACATCCTTTGCCTTTTTCAATACACTGACAGTTTCCTAAGGCAAACAGTTGTGTTTATTTTCTTTTGTATCTTCCCATGTACTAGTACAGTGCCTGTCCTGTCTTGATTGAATCTGATGAACTGAACAACCTTATGAGGAAAGGTGGGCAGAGATTATTATGTTTGTTAAATAGAGGAAACAGACTCAGAGTGCCCAAGTTGTTTAAAGCCCCATGACTTACAAATGATGAAGTTTGTACTAGATCTCACCTTGGAGTTCAGTACTAGCTTGTTTAGCTGCTGCTTATGTAACCAATTGCCAACCACCAGACTGTAACCCATTACTTTAGAGAGAAATTTCAAGAAGAAAAACTGACATGGAAGTTTGTTTCAATGTGTATTCAGTCCAGACAGACCTATTATGGAGTCCACAAAAAATAGCTGGAGAGAGAGTAACATGAAGGTCAATCTACTGTAGAAAACTCATAGTAAGGAAATCAGACACCTGAAGATGAGGACTGCATTTGAATTAGCTAGTTGTGGAGCACTAGAAACTCTATGGTACTTCTTTGCTCCTCACTTTCCTTGTTTGTAAAATGAGGACATAATGACTACTCAAACAAACCCACAAGTTTGTTGTGAGGAAATGTATGTCAAGTACACTTAATCCTTGTTATTCACAGTAACTGTGTTCTATAAAGCTGTTGCAAGCATTGAGTTAGCAGACATTGAACCAGTGCTCCTAAGGGAAATACAGGGTTAGGTTCCTGCAAGCCTCTAGTCACAACATTTTTATCAACCAATCAATATATAACCTTGTTTTATGTGTATTTTTGTTTAAAGATATTTAATATACATTGTTAATTCATTAACATTGAACTCATGGCCAATGCCACTATAACTTAGGTATGAACAAAGCTTATCTAGTATTCAAATTTTATCTGCAGAGCACATCACAGCTTTCTTAGAAACAGTAGACAGCACTTCAGCACTGTGCCTGCAAATAAATAGCAAAATCACCAACAAAACCCACAAAAATGCAAAAACCATGACACTAAATATGCTGCAAAAATGACACAAGTTTACTGGATGAGAGTGCAACAAGAATGTTGAGTATAACCTTGTTGAAGCCTAGCTGGGAACATGCCCATCACACTACTCATAGGTCTGCCACTCTGCACATATCTGTGAATGATCACAAAAAAGGTGCTAGTATTGATTTAGGGGTTACAAATAAATTTCAGCAAGTAGAAGAATTTGCAAATACAGAATTCATGAGCAATGAGTATTGACTGTAGGTAAGTTTTTAAAAATTGGGGTGTCAATAAGACAAAGGATGAAAGGTCATTCAAAAGAGAAGGTAAAAATGGCCAATGAGCATATGAAAAAATGTTCAACATTACTGCTCATCAAGGAAATGACAATTAAAACCAAAACGCAATACTACTACACATCTACCAGAATGGCCAAAATGAAAAAGACGGACAATATTCAATTCTGTCAAAGATGTTGTGCAGCAACAAGAAGTCTAGGGAAATATATGGAAGTTGAACTGCAAATGTTATGGCCCAACAATTCTATTTCTAGATACATACTCAACAAAAATGTATACCTATTTTTACTAAGTGACATATATGGCTGGGCACGGTGACTCATGCCTGTAATCTCCGAGCACTTTGGGAGGCTGAGGCGTGCAGATCACTTGAGGTCAGGAGTTCGAGACCAGCCTGGCCAACATGGCAAAACCCCGTCTCCACTAAAAATACAAAAATTAGCTGTGCACAGTGGCTCGTGCCTGTAATTCCAGCTACCTGAGAGGCTGAGGCAGTGAAACCAGGAGGGGAGGTTGAACCCAGGAGGGGATGTTGCAGTGAGCTGAGATTGCACCACTGCCCTCCAGCCAGGGTGACAGAGTGAGACTACATTTCAAAAAAAAAAAAAAAAAGAAACAAAACTAAGTGACATATATATGAAATGGTTTTATCCCTAATCACCTCAGAGTGGAAAGAAGATAAAGGTCCATCTAGTAGGATAAAAAAAATATATGGTTAAATTCACAGTGAAATATTATGCAGTTGTGAAGAAATTACAGCTACACTCAACAACATGGATGACCTTCAGAAACATAATTATGAGTCAAGGAGGCCAGGCATAAAAAAAGAAAATATACTGTATCTCTTTGTTTAGATAAATTTCAAAGGCAGGCATCACTTATCTCTAGGGTTTGAACTCAGGGCAGTGTTTACTCTTGGGGTAATGGTGACTCAGTGGGAAGGTGGCTACTTGAGAGGTGCTGGTGATATCTGTTATTTGACCTCGGTATTTCACAGTATCCTCATTTTGTGAACTTGTGCACTTTACTGTATATGCTATATACTTCAACAAAATAAAAAATAGACTTTAAGGTGGAAGCAGAGACTTAACACACACACGCAATTTACTCAGCATCTCATTCAATCGTCACAACAATCCTGTGTTTTTAAACTTTGCCTGATAATAAAAATCACCAATGACACTTCTCAAAATTAGAAAATTACCAGATCCCATTCCAAACTGAATGTATTAGAATCTCTAGGGGAAGGTACCGAATGCCAGCCTTTTAATTAAGTGATTTTATAATCAACCAAGTTTGACGTATATTGACAGATACGTGTCCTGAGAAGTAAGATTTAATGTGATCTCTAACATATAACAAGAACTTAATAAATGGTAGGTCTTTTTATTTTTAGATACAGTTGCTTCCATTTTACAGAGGAAAGATTGAAGCCCAGAGGAGGACTAAGCTAAGGTCACAGAGCTGGAAGCAGATGCCTTATATGAATTATCTCATTTTATGCTGATACCCACTCTGGGGAGTATATTCTGTTAGCCTCATCTTACCCATGAGCAAACTGTAGCTCAGGGACTTTAAGAACTTGCCCCAAAACACCTAGCCAAGGGATGATGGCATCAGCTCAGTTTAACTTACAAGGCTCTGATGGATTTGCTTCTTAAAGTTCTGCCATACAATAGGAAAAGTGGAAGGAAGACAAATCCAGAAGCACTGAAGTCACACTTTGGTGGTGTTTTTTTTTAACATATTGGGTGCCTGGTCATTAACATATATTCATTTTCCAACTCAACATCTCCCCCTGTAAGCAATTAGGGCAGGCTGCATACTTTCCCAGCCTTATCTTTGAATGGAAAATGTGAGAAGAAAAGAAAAACTATGCCTAGGATAGTTGTCACCTGTGCCATCCACCCTCACAAATAACGGACTTCATTTGGGCTTCTGGTACCAGTGATTGTGGAGAATTTGAAATTAGCCACCACACCTTTATTAAAATTCTTCTTTTTGGAAGTTAGCTGTTGAGAAGTCCCTGTTGAAAACAGATTTCTCCTGTCCATATTTTTCTTGGCTAAGTAATATTTCTGGAAGTTGAGGTTGTGGCTGCTACCTATTATGCAATGTTTCATCATTAGTGTCAAGGAGAAAAACGCTTTTGTCTCAGGCGGGAGCGAAGAGGTGTGTTTCTGACCTCCTTTTCTCATATAGTAGAATATGCTTCAATCTCATTGCTTACTACTTTTTCTAGTTCATTGAGGTAGGTTAAAAACCATGGTCACATTTTAGTGGGCAGGGTCTTCAAACTTTAAAGAAAAGAAGTGGCCACTGAACTCCATTTCTTCTCTTCTTGTACCTGTGTATCATCTATTTCCACCAATTGTTGCTCATCAATTTGAAAGGATCAGGACATTCTTTTTGAGTGGGAGAGTCAGAAATCTCTGCTTTGTTATTTGTGGCTCATTTCAGAACATTGAACACAGGCTGGACAGTTTAGGCTACTTTAACACTGAAGACCACAGGAAAATATAATGTTTTCTTGTGTGATTGGCTTTCTTTTCTTTTGACATTGATGGATATAATTTTGACTTCACTGACATTTCAAAGGCAAGATCCTGACCTTGAATAAAGCTTCAATGAGAAGGTGATAGAAATCCCCATTCAAGACTTCCAGCTAAGCTAAAGTCTCCAGTCCAGCTTTTATTGACAAAACCATAAGTGGGTCCTCACTTGCTTAGTGCTCATGCGCATATGATTCCCTGGCCAGAGGACCCTCTGTTATATGCTCATATTCCACCATGATCATAGTCATCTCATGTTCATGACTGTCAGTATAATAATCTTTATTATCAATGTTAAAAAGCCATGGCCACTACTAAATAAAAGACTTGACCACAATGGACTGATATCTCATCATTGAAGCAGCATGATGCTTGATATACTGAGTGATGCCCAGATGCATAGACCTTTTCATCCTTCAGAAATGATTGATGTGGTTCAGCCCTCATCTCTCTTTCCCTCTGGGAGATCATTCACCATGCAGACCTGATCATGTTTATGTACAGTTCCAGTTGAGACACAAAGATGACAAATAATGCTTAGTGCTTATGCAATCCCTCCTTCCCTATGAGATTACTAAACTGACAGAAGTGCTCAACATTCAGCTGGGAATGCAGAAAACAAACCGGACTTGGTGTTAGAAAAACCAGCTGCAGCCATTTTTCTAACACTCTGGCTTTGATCAAATACTACAGTTTTGCTCCGAGCAATTTTGCTCCTAATCATTTAACTCACATGTGGTGGCGAAAGGTACATTAATCGATCATGTTTTAGATTCATTGACATTCAGCCCAAACATTCTGGCCTTGTAAGAACAGTCCAATTTCACAGATGCCTGCAGGCAGTTGCTAAGCTGCTACCCTGTGCTTCAGAGAGGGGTAAAGTATCCCTTTGTGCAAGAGACAGAAATTCCTAAATCAAGAGGATGGTGGGGAGGAGAAAGAGGAGGAGAAGGGAGGGCAGTGAGAGAGAAACCCTTCTTTCTTCTTGTTCAACTTTTCCATTGCAAAGTGGGGAAGTCAACTGGTTAAGGTTGAGGGGACACATAAAGCCAAGGCAAGCTTTTAATTAATGAGACAGGGCAACAAAAAGGCAGGAATATTGGCTTTGGAACCAGGCAGATCAAGACCTGAGACCTGGCTCTGCTATTAATCTGCTGTGTCTCTTTGGAGAAGTTTCCTCTCTTCTCAGCTTTTCAGTTTTCACAGCTATAAAATGGGGATAAAAGGTTTTTATATTGATTATAAGAAACATTCCTAATATGGGTACTAGCACATTGCTTGGCTTTCAATAAAAGACAACAGTTAGTTTTCTTTAATTCCAAATGTTGAATAGATGCAAGAACACAAAGGTAAAAAGGATGCATACCTAGTCCTCTGGGTGCTCACCATGTAGTAAATGAGATGCTGTGTTACCTGATTGCTATAATAAAGGAGAGTGATTCTAGGTTCAAGTTGGAATACAGTATCACAAGCGTGCCTGTTACCCAAGTAGAAAGCTTGAAGTCATCTCAAGTTTTCTCCATCTTTTTCTTCCAACATGTAATTATTCACTAAGTCCTACCACTTTTATCACTAAAATATTTCTTGATTTAAAAACTTTTATTTTTATGTCTGTCTTTACTACTCTTGCTCTTGTTTGGGACCTAATTATCTCTATTCCAGCTTATTGAAGTTCCCCCCAACTGATATTTTCTAATCTTTCTTCACTTTAATTCACTTTTCAAACAACATATCTTTTTGAAATAGCTCAAATTCTAACCAACATTTGAGTGTTTCATATCATCTCCTAAATAGGGTCTTATTGTTTGTCTCAGTAGTCAGGATCACCCATTTTTTTGTTCCAACCACCCTTTATACCAGTGGTTCTCAACTGGAGGTGATTGTCACAACTTGGAAAGAGGGCTTGCTGCTGGCATTTAATGGGTAGAGGCCAAGGATGCTGCTTAACATTCTACAATGTACAGGGCAACTGCCTACAACATAGAATTATTCAGCCCAAAATGTCAGTCGTGCCAAAATTGAGAAAACTTTCTTTCTTGCTGAGGTAATGGTCATGAAGAATAACCCAAGGGCCAGAGCAAGGTTGAAAACAGAAAAAGTAAATGCTAAGTTGTTATTGCCACTCAATCAATGGGAGGCCTAGAGAAAGCAAGGTGGACTATAGACCAGAATGAGAGGTTCAAGACTGAGTGTGCCTTTCTTTTATATCATTTACTACACATGGAGAAAATGAGCATAAGTAATAAGGAAGATGGGTTGTAATGGACAGCTGGGTGTCAAACAACCTTCACAGGAACACTGGGACAATTCAGATGTGGGGTGATCATTTTGGGTCGAAACTGGGAAGATGGAAAAGGAGAGAATGTTATATTTTTTCTAAGATGCCTGCATTTTAAATTTTTGTCAAGAAAGTACACCTTGTAAACAGTAACCATCTCTCTCAGAGGTCAGAACAGAGATCTACATTAAGTAAATGAAAAAAATGTATAACACAATTTCTGAAACTACAAATTTATAACATCAAAATAATTCAAGTAACAGAAATTCAACAAAAATAATGATGATAATATTAACAGTTAGGATAGTGGTTTTGATTAATATATCACCTTTAACATGAAGAGTTTGATGAAATGAAAAAATTCAAGTTAAGTTTCTATAGTGATGTAAGACATTGTGTGATAAAACCTTTAGTGGTGCTATTTTCAGACAAAATATAAATGTCTAAGGTTCCAGATGTAAAGCAGTGCAAAGTTTTCATTATTTATTTATTTATTTATTTATTTATTTATTTATTGCCAGAGGTCTCTGAATAAGAGATAATTTGAAGGAAGAATTTAATGACAAGATTTATGCGAAGAATATACAGGCGTGCACCTTCTCGATATGAAAATAAGCAGAGCTGAATTTCTTAGGTGGCTGTGGCTGATTTGTACTTGCATTAGGACCTCTGTAAAGTGACATGTATAATTCATCACAAATATTATTATTAATATATCTTAATATAGAAGATGAATCGTTGTGTAACTAAATTGCATCCTGCTTCAGCTGTTACCTAATTAAAAAACTGAGACCAACAGTCAGAGAGAAATATTAATGGCATGCAATTTGGTTTAAATCTTAGTTCACAAAGAGATCTCAAAAATAATTGTATGTTTTGCCATGAGGAATACCTGTTATGCAAAACCATTTTCCTACCAATTCCCTTGCTCCCCAGAACAAATGAATGACTGCTCCATATTTACCTGTTTATTTTATCTCAGGTTGTCAATAAGACCATTAGACAACATTCAGCTTTAGAGACTGAGAAGGAACAGAAAAGATAAAACTGTAATTACAGGGTGAAATAAGGAATTTATTTTTAACCTCATGGAGGATTGGACTTTAGTGAGACATGATTTTAAGTCTGGAATGAAAGATTTGCAGTACGGAAAAATAGTTGAATGTGATCACTAACGCAATCTTGTTTTTAACAGGATGCTTTCTAAATGACCATAGCTTACTTCCGTGTAATACTGAGCAGTTGATATGTGAGGACTTATAAGTGGGTTATTTCGTTTGATCTTCACTGCAACCGTGACATAAGCAGAGCAGGAGGCACCATTCCCATTTTACAGATTAGGGAAAAAAATTGTTCACAAAATACAAACGGTTTCTTTGAAGTCACACACAAAGTACCCTACCTCTTATCTAAACTGGGATTCTGGGGGACACTAAGATGGTCATTATTGTCACTTCTAAAATCAATATACTAAAACAATTTCTAAAAGCATGTTAAATTAAGAAAGTGATGTATTATTTATATAGTTTCTGAATCTATTATTTGATCCTCATAATAATCCTCCAAGCTAAGTAATATTATTTCTAATTTAAAGATAAAGATATTAATGATCAAAAACATTATGAGACTTACTCAAGATCACCATTTTGGGGGCATGGCTGAAACTCAAGCCCATGTGTTCTGAGCATAAATTCAATAAGGTTCTATTATTCTTATTCTGAAATGTAGCTACAGTGTCAGTGGATGCCAAATTCCTAAGACTGTTTAACTTCCAATAAGACACTTGGAACTCCAAAGTAAAGAACCAGATAAATGTATGTGTCATATTGAAGTTCCAAGTACTGCCAGGGATAGGAAAAATACTTCTTTTTTGGTAAGTCTGCCTTTCCCAGTGTCTTAAGCCTTAGTGTGTGTGGGCAGCTCTCAACTCTGCCTAGGATATCCTGTTGAGGAAACTGACCAATCTGATTCCCTATACAAATGGAAAGAAATACAAGAAAATAAACATGCAAAACAAACGGCCAATTAACTCTTTTCTGAGAGATTGAAGCAAGGAAGATGCTCAAAAAAAGTAATTTATTATTTTAAATGTAGCTGTGTGCCTTTAAATGCAATCTGTAATGACTTATGACTCCAGCGACCCATCTTGATTACTGCCTGTTGCCATTCATTATCACCATGGAAACAGCACTGTTGCCAGCTGTGTGCTTGGTGGTGGAGTGGAGGCGATGCTGTTGGCTAAGGACAAGAGGCTAGTACCTGTGGGGTTCTGGATTTGCAGGAGTTTTTTTAGGGAAGAAGAGAAAAATTGGGAGGACATGGTGCCCTCCCTCCTGCAGCAAGCCCCTAGGTGGGGTATGATTCAGAAAGAAACACCAGAACAGATGGTCTCAGTGCCCTTATCTCTCTCTGGAAACAAGACAAGATGAGATCAGAAACATTCCAGTCTGGGAGATAATCCACCGGGCAGCAGAAGGCATGAGGAAGGGGCAAACTGTGTGCAAATTTCATTAACACAATTTCTCATGGAGGCTCTTCAAGCATGTGAGCCAATCTTCTCAGCTGCCTCAACCCTAAGCTTCTAGTATATGAAAGCTCCAAGGGTGATCTGCGAAATCCATCTAGCCTCTCTCCACCTGACTTCGTCTCAATTTCATCCCTATCTTCCCTCTAATTTAGTTTTCAAACCCTCTCTTCACTCCTTCCTATATATGCCCCTTAGTCTTTTATACCTGCCTGCTTTCTCTTGTCTTCCCTTTCATATCTAATTAATGATACTAACATGATAGAGTAGGGTGGGAAAACGACATAATCCATTACAATATCCTCTTGTCACAGATGTGAAAACTGACATCCAGAGTGGTTTCAAGAACTCCCCAAAACCACATGGTGAGTTCTCAGCAGAGTCAATACTGAAACCCAGGTCTCCAAATTTGCAGTCCAGTGTTTCTTCTAGCAGAGTGCTGCTCTATCATATTCTCTCTTCACTTCTGAGACTAATTTCCTGCTACACAGAAGTACAGACAAATTTCAGTTCTCCAGGCCAGTTTGATTTATCCTTGCTTTCATGGAGCATTTCTCTCTGCAGAACTTGGTTTGCTGCAGAGACAGAAGATTCATCCTTATGAGATATTCTGGAGGGAAGGGAGAGGGGACAAGATGGTTTAGTCATCTTTCCACTTTAGTTAGAGTGAGTATTAAAAGTACCTGGACACAATATAGCTCTAAATGGGTATACGAAAAAGTGCTAGGAAAATAAGAATGTTATGACTTTGCACTGCTAAACTCTGCTTGGGCTCCAGGCTGTTGGGGGAATGAGAGACATCATCTCTGAGTTTGCTACAAAAGTGTTTCACACAAACATCATTTGGTTAGCAAATAGATTTTTACACATGACATTACATTCAACGTCTGAGATCTCTGAAGAATGCCTGCAGTCAATGTCTGATGTTAAAATAGAGGCAGGTTGATAAATTTAATAACATACATTCAGAACTTGAAGACTATTGATCTGGGCCTCAGTCCTGACTCTGCAGCTGAGGTATCTACAAAGCTGTGATTGAGCCCCTTTGCCTTAACCTCCATGCCTTTGTTTGGACATCAGATTGTATTATAGGACAGACATTTCCCCTAAAAGGCCTTCTCAACTTCAGTCTAATGGTAATGATAATTGCAGAGGCAGGAATTGTCACCGTTTATCGACCCTTACTATGTGCCTAGGGATTTTGCAGACATTATTATCTCATTAATGCTTACAACTGCCCACATAGATAAGTATTGCTATCCCATATTAGAAATAAGGATATAAATTCAAAGAAGTTAAGAAACTTGCCTAGGGTCATTATGTTCTAATTTAAACAGCAGAGCTAGGATTCATATTCCGGTCTGTAAGACCAACATCACTTCACCAAATGATAATGTCTTTGAACGTTCTATGATTTTTGCTATCCTTTCTGACTTCTTTTTTTTTTTTTTTATTTGAGACGGAGTCTTGCTGTGTCATCCAGGCTGGAGTGCACTGGCGCGATCTCGGCTCACTGCAAGCTCCACCTCCCGGGTTCACGTCATTCTCCTGCCTCAGCCTCCCCAGTAGTTGGGACTACAGGCGCCCGCCACCATGACCGGCTAATTTTTTGTACTTTTAGTAGAGACGGGGTTTCACTGTGTTAGCCAGGCTGGTCTCGATCTCCTGACCTTGTGATCTGCCCGCCTCAGCCTCCCAAAGTGCTGGGATTACAGGCATGAGCCACTGCGCTAGGCCTATCCTCTCTGACTTCTTAAAAGCCATACATTCATTTACTCCATGGGTATTTATTGGGTGACTAACATAGACAACTTGTTAAGGAGTTGGGGATACGGTGATTTCAAAAAAATGAAGCTTCTACACTCCTGAAGATCACAGTCTATTTTATGTATATGGGGAAAACAGATGGTATTCAAGTAAACCAATAAATATCCATGTATCTTTAGATAGAGATCAATGCTCTGAAGAAAACAAATGGAATGGCATAATAAAGCCATTTTAGATGGCTTTCATAAGCTAGTGACATTTAGGCTGAAAATGGAAATATAAGGATGAATCAGCCTTCCAAAGAGCTGGGGGAGGAGGTATCAGGTAGGGAACAACAAGGGCAGAGTTACCAGGAGGGAAAGAGTTTGGCATGTTTAAAGAACAGCAAGTAGGATGGAGATAAAGGGAAGATATATCTTAGTGAGCAAAAAAAGACAACGGCAAGTGATGAAGTCAGAGGTAGACAGGAGGCACTGTAAAGTCACTGGGCTCCATTATAAGTGTGAGAAGACATCAAAAGGATTTAAACATATATAACCAGGATGAATATATGTGAATATACACTCTCTGGAGTATAAATATAAAACGGTTTTAATTCCTTCATCAGCTACCTCAACTACACTTCGCGGAAGTTTCATTAACAATGTCGTGGTCTTGTTCCTTTACTTCTAAGGTTGTTCAGATATTAAAGTGTTCTAGATATTATATTTAACTCTTAGTCTTAGTCATTTTAATATCATTCTCAGTCTCACTTTGAGGTTTATTCCTTCTTGCCTTCTCAGTATAGACCACATTTGTCTAAGGTTTTAGTGTAGGCATCTACAAAGGCTTTCTTAAAAAAACCCAGATAGTAGACATTTTAGGCTTTGCAGGCCAAATGTTCTCTGTCACAACTCCTCGACTCTGCCGTTGTAGTGTGAAAGCAGTCATAGACAATACATAAATGAATGAGCATGGCTGTGTTCCAATAATACTTTATTTACACATACTAAAATTTGAATTTTCTAAAATGTTCTCATATTAAAAAACTTTATTCTTCTTTTGATTTGTTTTTTTCCTAACTTGTCTCACAGATCAAACAGAAACAGGCAGGATTTGGCCCACAAGTTATAATCTCCAGATTCCTGCTCCAGTGGCATGGAGTTAGAGGAGCTGTATGGGGTATGGTCCACTTTTTATACAATTTACCTCTCCCCTATTTTCTTGTCTCTCATCTGGTGAGCAGAGCCAGGGCAGATTGACGTCTTCTATATACCTGTCTCTTTTAGACCGTTTTTATGTCGCTAAAAAGAAACACCTGAGACTGGGTAATTTATAAAGAAAAGAGGTTTAATTGGCTCACAGTTCTGCAGGCTGTACAGGAAGCATGGTGCTGGCATCTGATCAGCTTCTGGCAAGGCCTCAGGGAGCTTTCAATCATGGCAGAGGGCAAAGGGGTAGCAGGCATGTAACTTGGCAAGAGCAGGAGCAAGTGAGAGAGAGAGAGAGAGTCGGGGAGGAGGTACTATGCTCTTTTAAACAACCGGATCTCATAAGAACTCAGAGCGAGAACTCACTCATCACCAACAGGATGGTGCTAAGCCATTTCTGAAGGATCTGTCCTCATTTATGAAGGATCCACTCTCATCCACACCTCCCACCAAGCCCCATGTAAAACATTGGGAATTACATTTCTACATGAGATTTAGATGGGACAAACATCCAAACTATATCAAAGCCCATGGTTTGTTTGTCTGTTCTCACTGTTGGTTGTCAGCATTTCTCTGGCTGACATTGAGTGGGAGTAGTAGAAACTGTGAATGTCTCATCATTATTCTCTCAGCCTTTTTCTTTCTTATGTAAGTTGGCTGACTTCCAGCTGCAGCACCTATATCCTTTTGTTGAGGTCTTTCTCTGGCTGCTAGATCCTACTGTTTGTATGCAGTAGTAGGTTGAAAGTTCTGGAAAATTAATATTCTGCAGGTGCAGCTCTCAAGCAATGATTGACAGCAGTGAGTAGATAAAACTTTCAGCTTTCTTTCTTCATGAATAATCCTAAGATGTGTGTTCTACATTGGCCCCAGTGCTCCCCAGAAGGATGTAGCCCCAGCTGTCCTCAGTGGTGACTTGTTTGATAGCACATTTTTATTGGTTACTTTTCTATCACTGTTTTACTTCCTCACTCCAGTAGGTTCACTTCTCTAATAAACATCTTGAACTTGAATCATTTTCTTAGGGTCTGCTTCTAGGGAAAGTAAAACCAATAAAATAGGTATGTGGATAGACTCTCTGTCAGCTAGTGTCCAATGTTAGGTCCCTTTTGGGGCATGTGATGGGAGCCTTAGAAGTCTTTCTGTAAATAGTTAGAGGTTTGTGTTGTCTTCAATTGCCTGAAATTTATCACAGAGAGATAGAAATTTTGACTTAAATGCATGTGTCTCTAAAGGGCAGATGTAGGATCATCAAAGGAAAGGTATGGAAAGGTATAGCTCAGAAAAGGAAGGGAGTTTTCATAGTCATATTCATCATGAATTAGATTGGTTTACCTTATGAGTCAGTGAGCGCCTAATCAGTGGATGTATCCAAATAAAATTCCACTGGCAACTTCTTAGTAGGAATGCTAAATAGAATCCAATCTTCCGACTGAGGTTATACCGGCATATGCTTTAAGATTCCTTCACATTCTTGCAGTCTTGAATCTTGAGATTAAATATAGAAATCTTAAAGTACTGAGAAAGGCAAACAAACCAAATGTCAGGAATTGATTTATCACAGAGAATAATCCTTATTTAAGTTGTGATGACTGAGTTTAGGAAATTGTTTCTTACCCAAAACCTTATAACAGGTTTTAAAGGATAGTTTCCCGAGGGTTCTGAAATCATTGATGTGGAGAACAGTGACTCATAGTCCAGCCTGACACATCCTCATACCTATAGAGAAATTGATCCAGACTTGGACAACTGTAAACTCCCTCAGGAAGAATTATGGCACAATTATCTAGCTATCCGGTTGCTTTCTTTCCTTTTTTTAAGAGAAAACTGTGGGAAAAATAAAATGTTGTATTGCTCTTAAAATCATGACAAATATTTATTGGGGTAATTCTCTAGTTATCACCACTAATTGCAAACCCTGATCACATTGTAAATCTTATTAGTCTCATACTTATTGAAGAAACTCATCTGACTTGGGTACTTGGTTAGTGGGTCTTTTTTATGCCCTAGAGAATGGTATTTTAAAATTTCACTTGGAAACTGGCAAGGGTGATGGAGATTAGAGATTGGCCAGAAAATGCCAGAAAGAGAATGAATCATTTAGAATCTTAAGCAATGGAATTAGGGACATTTTCAGAGACTTTTAGAACAAAAGCTTGTGATTCAGTGTTGTGCAGAGGACAAATGGAATTAGCACATAAGTCATTGTCAGCTGATCAGCATTTTTGTCTTGATTCTGTTCCTATTTCACCAAGTAATAATAGATAAGTCAGTTCTTTTCACTGAACTTTATTTTTTTTAATCTGTGAAGTTAAGGAATTAGACTAGTGATCACTAAGTTCTCTTCAGCTTTAAAATGGTGTGATTCAGAGTTGTATGTATTATTATCATTTTCCAAAGCAATTTTCCTAGACATTCAGTTAATAATATAAGATGAATACACACATGATGACTACACACACACACATACACACACTCACAGAGTGAGATGCCATCTTAAAAAGGAAGTAGAGTGACTGGACGGGCACCACCAAGGAACCAGAAGAGATCTATCCATGTGGGTGTTTAAATCCTCTAAATTACAGTTGGCAAGAGATAAATGAGGAGTAAGAGTGTCTTAAATCATAGAAAATGCATTTCTTGGGAAACTAAGTGGCAGATCACTATGGGTTACATTCTTCTTGCATTTGCCTATCTTTATTAAGAGATGAAATTAGCCCAAGAAAGTTCTAGCCGAAGACAGAAGGGGGCAGTATCAGCTTTCATGTATACACTAAAGGGAAACAAAGTTGGATCAGGTGTGCTGATAAATGTTTAACAACAGGCTTTCCAGGTAGAAAAAGCCCCTATATGACATTCCTGATGACCTGGGAAAATACCACCAAAGTGGAGATGGAAATAAGTGTGTACAACTAGCTCTTGTGATCCGGTATGAACTGACTGCGGTGCACTGGTTGTATGTAAAGGAAACATTATTTAGAAAGTAAATATTTTGATTTTCATTTTCAGCAATGGAAACAGAGGCTTAGCAGGATGGACATCTTGATTAATTTTATACAGCTAGACCATGAGGGAGACAGAAGATTAAGAATAGCAGTTATACATGCCAACCTCTGCATTAGCTTTAATCCTGATTCAAGTGTTGAGATTCCAAGTCTCATATTCTTCCTGTTAATGCCTGTGGTAACCTTTAGGTAGTTACCTCTGGTTGTTTTCATTCCCTTTCCTGGGAGGCATAATCAGAGTGTTCCTGTTTTCAATGTCATTAAGCTTCAAGAGGACCTGAAAAATTTATTAATCTTCTCAGCCAAGAGTCTGAACCAATTGAGAAATAAGTCAAAGAAAGAAAACAAACAGGCTGGGCGTGGTGGCTCATGCCTGTAATCCCAGCACTTTGGGAGGCCAAGGTGGGCAGATCACGAGGTCAGGAGATCGAGACCATCCTGACTAACACAGTGAAACCCTGTCTCTACTAAAAATAAAAAAATTAGCCGGACATGGTGGCAGGCGCCTGTAGTTCCAGCTACTCGGGAGGCTGAGGCAGGAGAATGGCATGAACCCAGGAGGCGAAGCTTGCAGTGAGCTGAGATCATGCCACTGCACTCCAGCCTGGGGAACAGAGAGAGATTCCGTCTCAAAAAAAAAAAAAGAAAACAAACAGAGTTAAAATATAAACCTTGTTGTAGATAAAGTTGATACTGAAGAAAATGACTTATGCTGCAAGAAAGTAGCTTTCCTCATGTCGAATCCCAGGATTAGACAGACTTAGAAATCCAGTGACAGATTATGTCAGGCTAAGACAGGCCTTTCCTTGTTGACATTTATGGCATTGAAGAGCAGAGAAGAGCATGTCCCCCCTGGAAGCAGTTCTTCCACAACTGGCAGAGAGAAATGGAGAGGTTGTTTATTTCTGGATCTTCTTCCTAAACTCAAAAATCAAATAAGTCACTCCACTTCCCTTTGTATAAAAATAAACCTCAATCTTTCTTAAAAAAAAAAAAAACAGAAGAGAGCTAGGCCTGGTGGCTAAAGCCTATAATCCTACTTTGTAAGGCCCAGGTGGGAAGATTGCTTGAGGCCAGGAATTACAGACCAGCCTGGGCAACATGATGAGATCCCATCTCTACAATTTTTTTTTTTAATTAGATGGGCATGGTAATGTGTGCCTATAGTCTCATCTACTCAGGAGGGTAAGGTGGGAGGATCACTTGAATGCAGAAGGTCAAAGCAGCTGTAGACCTGTAGACAGCCATGATGACACCACTGCACTCAGCCTGGGCAACAGAATAAGATCCTGTCTCTCAAAAAAAAAAAAAAAAAAAAAAAAAAAAAAAGAAGACAATTCATTCCACAAGACCAGTATTACCCTGATACCAAAGCGTAACAAAGACATTACACACAAAAAAAGAGAGGCTAATATCCCTTAAGAATACAGATGCAAAATTCCTCGACAAAATATTAGCAAACTGAATCCAGGAGCACATAAAAAGGATTACAAAACAAGTGGTATTAATCCCAGGAATGCAAGGTTGGTTCAACCCCACACCATAATCTCAATAGATGCAGAAAAAATATTTGACAAATGCAACACTTTTTTATGATGAATACACTCAATAAACTAGGAGAGGTGAAAGGCCATCCACGAAATGCAAGTGAAACTTCCTTCACATGGAGGAAATGGGGAAGATACCTCCTCCCTAAAAATTAAAAAAATGTGTAAATTTGGTCAATCAGCTGGATATTCTGATGCCTACTGAGTAGGAATGGCAACTGTTATGACTGAGAAGAATGGAAGGAAAATTTTTGAAGCAGATCCGCATAGGTTGTGTGGCATAACAGAGTTATACAGATCTTGGATTGAAAAATGGCCTTATGGCTTATCAGCTGTATGATTTAGGGGCATCTTAAACTCTGTGAGATTCAGTTTGGTCACTGGTAAAATGAATATAATAATATTTCCCACAGTTATTACAGAATCAGGGTTAATATTTGTAAAGAGTCTAGTGCATGTCAGGCTCAGACTAAGAACTTTGTAATGGTAGTTTCACTATTGTCAATAGTTGTGGAGGGCAGGGTGGTAGGATGGGAGGGGTAGTCAAGTTGGCTAAAGGGACATCCACTTAAAAAACCTAGTGGGACAACAATTAAAAGAGAAGAAGGATCTCTCTGGCTTATTCTTATGGCAATTTTTGCAATCCTGGGTAAATCATAAATTTGATTCTGGCTTTCACTTTCCTCATCTGTAAAATGGAACAAGTGAGTTAAAAGATCTTTGGAATCTCTCTTATCTCTAAAATTCAGTGACTCCATGAAGTAGAAGATGGCACAGAATGGAGGTGGGAGAATGTCAAGTGCGACCTTTTCAGTATACTTGTAGAACGTGTTTGAATACAAGCTCCAGTTTGCTTCCACCAAAGCTAACAAGAAGAAAGAACATCAACACAATGACACACTTCTTTTTGGCTCTAAAAGGCTTCCAGATTGTGTCTAATTTTAAACCACTTTCTGGAGACCAAAGAGATGCCTGAGGACAGCTTGACAATAAATCTTTCAGCACACATAACTCTTCTCTTTGTCATTTCAGTATGAGGAACATGAGCATTTCAAGTGTCCTCCTCCAGAGTTGTCAATCTGGCACCTGTCACTGGCCTCTGATTATGAAAGTATTTAATTTTTCCAAGACAAATTGGCAGAATGTCCAAAGAGAGGGAAGAAATGACACAGGGGAGATGGAAAATGCTGATTTGTGGGGAAGGCTTCTGCATGGCTCAGAATCCAATAAACATTCTCAAAAGGAAGTCAAATCCAGTGGTTTCCTTCATATCAGTATCAGTAGCGTCACTGTGGACAAATTCAGTAATCATGTTAATAACCCATTGAATGTCCTAGCCTCACAGTGCTCTAAGATTGTCTCCTGTAAGGACCTGTATTTTCACAAATTCTCTGTAGGCTCCCACATTCAAAGTCACAGTTAAGAAATGGGTCACCTTATAGAAGTTTCAAGATTCTGCTTTCAAGATTTCAAACTCAGAAAGCCTTCTTTATAATCACAACCTTAAAAGAACTTTGATAGCTTCCCACACCTATAGGATGATGTTCAAACCCTTATACTCAGAGATCAATTGTCATTTGTCTTCAACCTATTTTCCCTGCATTGAGACATTTCCATCACTCTGAACTAATCATGACTCCTGGCTGTATGTTCACCTTGTTCCGGAATCTCTTGTCTTAATATCTCTACTTCAGAGTTTCTCAACCTTAAAAGTAATTGAATTTTGGGTAAGGTCATTCTTTGTTGTGGGAGTTGCTTATAGATGGTAAAACCTTTTGAAGCCTCCCTGGTCTCACTAGATACTAATAGCACACCTCAAATTGTGACAACAAAAAGTATCCCCTGGGAGGTAAAAATACTACTAATTCTTATTCATTCTATATAATTATATTTTTGTACCCACTGGATGACACAGTCAATAATAATTAATTGTACATTTTAAAATAACTAAAAGAGTATAATTGAAACATTTGTAATACAAAGAACGGATAAATGCTTGAGGTGATGGATACCTCCTTTACTCTGATGTGATTATTATACATTGTATGCTTGTATCAAAAGATCCCATGTACCTCATGAACATAGGCACCCATATGTACCCATAAAAGTCTTTTAAAAATGCCCCTGATTGAGAGCCACTGCTTTACCTGAAAAACTTCTAATCCGCCTTTAACTCAATTCAAATGTCACTTCTTCTGTAGAGTCTTTTCCAACTTCTTTAGGAAAACCAATACATTTCCATTCGTGACTTTATTATAATTATGGTCAGGAATATTACATTGTAGTTATTTGTAGTTTATCTTCTCAACCAGACTGAGCTTTACTCGGAGAAGAGCTTTGTCATATTCTTAATCGTATTCTCATCCCTCACTATAGTTTCTGGAGCTGTAACCATGGCTGGTGATCAAGCTCTGTTAATTTATCAGATATTTTTATCATTCCTATGAATTAGAAAGATCAAATATTATTTATTATTTTCAGAATGTGGATAATGTTTCCTTTAGGCAGATGCACTTCCAATTGTAAGTAATAGGAATATAGCTCAAACTGGCCTGGGGAAAGCAATATATATAAAATGGCTCATGTACTTAGAAAAAAAATCCAGATTTGGACTTCAGGCATAGCTGAATCCAGATGAATAGATCCTGAGTAGGGAACACATAATAACTGCAGATTAGAAGTAAACTAATCTGCAGTAAACTTGTACATTAGGTAAAGAAACTGTACTGTAGTAAACTAGTACAGAAGGTAAAAAAATTTCAGTGAACTAACCTAAACCACAGAGTCAGGCCAAGGGTTGAGAATGGGAGTAAATGATAACATGGATTTTATTCATTTGCTTAAGCGTTGATTCTCCTAATGTTTCTGTAAGTAGAGACAATGATTTATTTGAGATAAGAACTCAAGTGATGGGCATGGATCCACACTATTTTTTTTTACATAGCATAGAAGTGTACTCATGGTTCATTGACTAACATAACCAGAGCAAGTGATATGCTTCCCAGGTCAAAGGAAACTAAAACTGAAGGATATTATAGTTCTAGCTACATCAGTTCCCAGGAATAACTTAATTTAGGCAATAAATCTGCCATTCCTTGACCCATGTCACCCAAACTTAATGTCTGGGTTTTGGGGCTTGAACTATTTTCTGTGCCATCAGCAAGTCATTACCCCTTTAACTTTGCCTGCATGGTAGGCCTAAGAATTTTTAATGTATGCTCTCTTAGCATCTGTTATTGTTGCTGTTGTTGATTTTTGAGTGGAAGTCTAGCCACAGTTCACACAACAGAATATCTGGTACTTGAAACTAGCTCCTTTGACACATAAGTAATATGTTTTCTTTATCAGTATAGTATGAATCAAAAGCTGATAAACTTCATGACAAAAGAATACCACAGATTGGGCAGGTAGGTGAATTTTCTTAGACACAGATCAACCAGGGATCTTCACAAGATCTAAGAGGGGTTGCAATTTGGAGATACCATTGCAGGCAGCTTTTGTTCAAAAGAAGACTTTCCTTAAAGCCACAAGGTACAAATCTCTGAGCTGAAATAACATGTAGAGTAGAAAGCACCAGACTAGCAGGGCGACAACCTGGACTTTATCTACTTTGGTGAGACCTTGTTCAAGTCACAGAATTACAGAATATCAACTAGAAGGAAATTTAACCATAAGTTGCAAGCCTCTTATTTTTGATGGTGTGGGTGTTGGTTCACAGAGACAAAGGGGCTAAGTCAAAACTGTAGATTGGTAAAATCAGGATTAAAACCAAGATCTGTTAACTCTGCAGTTGCCTACTAATATCTCCTTTGATGTCCATAATGTTCCCGTTATACAGATATTATTATTTTCTCTGTTTAAGAATAAAATCATCTGTATCCAAAGAGACTTCACCTTGGGGTCCTTAAGTAAATATAAGGATTGAAATTACATCCCTGGAACTAGTGTTTCAATTATAAGCTCAGAATGATTTTTAACACTATCTGTGAAATAATGTGCTGAAAACTAAGGGGTCTTCCTGTTTTATTACTGCTAACCATTGCCTCTGCCACATAAACCCTTCCTTGGAAACCATAGCATGTGCCATAGTGAGCTTACTTGAAAGTAGTCTCCTAAGAGAGTCAAAACAGCTGCATCCTGAAGAAATAGCCTTTTGAGAAGGCAAAGAACAATCAAATAATAAGGAGATGGTATGAATTCACTGGTGTGCTTACTCCTTTAGTTGCATTATTATAGTATGATTAGACATACTTTGATTAGACTTTGTCTTACTTTACAAATGAAAGAAAAAAACAGACTCAGAAACCTAGCATGATCAGATCAAGCTCACCCAGTGATTAAGTAGAGATGCAAATCTTATGTGATGCCCAATCTGCCCCTCACCATGCCATTCAAAAAGCAGAGTAGAAACAAAGATAAACTGATGTATTCACCTACTAAAATTAAGATTAAATGTTTACAGTTCTCTAGCCTCAGCTTTCTCAATATTCCACATGAAGCTGAAATCACACTTGGGCCCAGTTCATAGAATTATACTCATCTTTCTTCCCTGGGATCTAAGTGTGTTCCCTCCAAATGGAATGAAAGAGATTCTTCATCTCTATCTCAGGTTCAGGTAACACAGGCTTGCCCTCTCTCATCTCCCAGAAATATGAGCCTACTGATAACTCCTTGGCTTTTAAAAATTTCACATTTTATAAGAGTTTTAGGGAAGATTTGAAGAATTTTTTAAACATCTGAAAATAAAATAAAAGTTTGACAATGACTAAATTGAAGGCATTTATAATGTGTCACAAAACAGAAATGGTTTAAGAAAGAAATATATCTGGGTCCATATGCTAGATCTGCCATTTACTAGTTATATCAGTGTAAGCAAAATCTACCACTCTGAGCGCTTCTGTATTTCCTCACCTAAAAAAAAGAGGGTAATATTAGCTACATAGTCCCTGATATAACAATGATAAAAAAATGCATCTAATGACATAGTTATCTTGAAGATTAAATGATATAAAATAGTTGCATACTTAGTACTGACCCATAGTATGCCTTCTATATATATATATCAATTACTATCATACTAGCTAAAGATGATTAATATTTTTAAACTCAATTTTTACTCATCTATTAAATAAAGGTAATATTCCCTGTGGGATTGCAGAGATCATCAAACGAGATTTATGGGAAAACACCTAGCATAATGCTAATGGGTGTTTAACATACATGAATTGACAAATGTTAGAAAAAAAGACAAACATTTAAATGTACATAGGTATGCTTTATGTGCCTTCTTATCCCGTCCTTAGCCTGTGTTTTACCCCTGAGTGGCCACATTCTTAGAATTATTTGCAGTAGAGAGACACTGATGCTAGTTCCCATGCATATGAAACTCAATCATAGAGCTGGAGACACAAGTTTAAATGCCATGGCTCTCTAAGGAAATAATCAGGGATGTGCACTTGTCTGATCATCATGGTATTATTTCAGTATTAAAATGTCATCAAACCCCACAGTCTACTAGCAGAGAATGGTAAATTAAATTATAAAATATCTACATAATTAAATCTTACACAGCCAATAAAAAACATTTTATATAGGATGTTTGATAAACTTGTCTGATTATAGGGGTCTCCTAGTGTGATTTATAAAAGCACTGGCCCCACCCTAGACTTATTGAAGCAAAATCTCTGATGACTGGAAATGTGTATTTTAATCAAGTGTTCTTAGTGGTTTTTGTGATCAGGCAAATTTATGGAATTCTATTATAAAAAGTGTATTTTTAATGCTAAAAGAAAAAATACTATTACATAATATGTACTACCACTTTACTTTTTCACAAAAAGAAAATTAAATTAAAAAGTAACAGCAGCTTTTTTTGGTATTGAAATTATCACTGCAGTAGTTATGAGCATGGTTTTTCATGTCAGAAGACCTGGTTTGAATTACAGAACTGCTATTTCCTAGCTCGGTAACACTAGAAAAGTATTTAAAACCAATCTGCATTAATGCCTTCATCTTTAAAATGGGGGAATAAAAGTACAAATCTTCTGTGTCATTGAGAGATTAAAATAATATCAATTCAATTTATTGTTAGAGTTATTAGGTGAACTCCCAGCTGTGAGGAAATAAAATGGTACAGATTACTTTCTCACTGCTACCAACTATAAGCTGGAGAAGACATAGGAAACAACTATTTGCAGAGATTGTGGACAGCTTAGGGCTGGGAGCTTCATGTAAATAAAAACAAAGGAGGTGAGTCGTCTTGTCTAGGCTTTCTGCCTGGAGATAGTTTTTACTCTGTGTTGCGCAGAAGGGAACACAAAGAGAGTTTAGTGGTCTTGCTAAATTTAAGAGACTGGAGTTTCGGGAAGAAAGGTGCTAAGAATTGGCAAGGCAGAGCACCTAAGAGGAGAAAAAGGTCCTAAAATCTGCATAAGGGTCCTTGTGAGTATTTAGCTTATTAAAACCATGTTTATGCACAAAGTGAAATCCCAAAAGGTCAGAAGATAAAAATGTTGCAAGAAAGAAAAATTACCAGGAAGCTGTAAGATAAACAACTTCCAGGCTTACCTGTGGCCGGTAATTGTTTATGCTCTCTCTGTCAAGGACAAGAAAGTGAGGAGGCTGGATGAATGGCTACATGAGACACTTATGGGATACCCCATAAGGGCCATGCCTTATGAGTTGTGTTAAATTAGCTCTAAAATAAAGGCTACTCTAGTCCCTAAAAGACCTTAAAAACAAGTCTCTTAATCAAGGAAGCAAAAACTATAGCCCATAGGCCAACTTTGGTTGAACTATCATTTCTGGAAATGAAGATTTATCACAACACAGTCATGTCCATTTGTTTACTTATTTTCTGTGGCCATTTCCATGCTGCAGTAGCAGAACTGAGTGTTGCAACAAAGATTGTTTGGTGTATAAGCTTTAATATTTCCTATTTGATTTTTTAAAAAAGTTTGCTTACTCCTCTTCCAAATAACTAAATTAATTAGATGAATAAAGTAACTTAAGTATTAAAAAAGTCTAATCTTCCTTAGAAGAATACAACAAATTTCAGCATACAGCTACATAAAAATAATAATTTCCTTTAGTCAATAAAATAATAATTTCCTTTAGTCAATAAAAATAATAATTTCCTTTAGTCAATAAAAATTTACTAGACAGATAAAGAAACAGGAAAAAGGCCGAATGCAGTTGCTCATGCCTGTAATCCAAGCACTTTGTGAGGCCAAGGTGGAAGGATCATATGAGGCCAGGAGTTCGAGAGCAGTCTACATAACATAGCAAGATACCGTCTCTACAAAAAATAAAATAAAAAATGGCCAGGTGTGGTAGCACATGCCTGTAGTCCCAGCTACCGGGGAGGCTGAGGTGGGAGAATCGCTTGAACATAGGAGTTTGAGGCTGCAGTAAGCTATGATTGTGCCTCCGCACTCCAGCCTGAGAGATACTGAGACTCTCTTTCAAAAAATGAAAAATAAAAATAAGAAAAAGAGGAAAATATGATCAATAATGAGTAGAAAAAAGGCAATATAAACTGATCTAGGAATGACTTAGAAAATACAATTATAAATCATGGATATTAAAAACGCTTTTATAAATATGTGCCATATGCTTAAAGATATTTTTTAAAAACATAAAGATGAAAGAGAAAGAAACTGCAGATTAAAGGCTGAACCAAATGAAACTGATACACACGAAAGAATAAAATATCTGAAATAAAAACCTCACTAGACACTGGTGATGAAAAAAAATCAATGACCCTGAGGACACAGCAATGAAAACCAACTCCCCCAATACACGCGCGCGCGCGCGCGCACACACACACACACACACACACACAGAGAAAGAGAGAAGATTAAAGACAAATAAAGAGAGCATCAATGCTCTTTATAAAAAATACCAAGTGGTTTGTATTTGAGGAAACAATGTCCCCAATTTTTCCAAATTTAATAGGACTATAAATTCATGAAGCCAAAAAATTTAATAAGCCCCAAGCAGAAAAAGCATTAATATACATATACACATAAACATGTATACACACAAAACAACGTTATAATAAGCTGATGAAAATCAACGGTAGAAAATCTTAAAAGAAAAAGATAAAAAACACATTATATACGGAGGAACAAAGATAAGAATAAGATCAGACTTTTTGTTAGAAATTATGCAAGCAAGAAGACAATGGAGTGAAATCTTTAGAAATCTGGGAAAAATTAAACTACTCAACACATAATTCTACACACAGCAAAAAAAGAGCTAAAAAACAAAGGTGAAATAGAAATATTTTAAGAAAAATGAGAGCTAAAAAATTCTTTAGCAGCAAATTGAACTATAGAAAATTTTTAAAAATGGTTTACTGGGAGAAGGAAATGATAACACATGGAAATTTAGATTAATGCAAAGAATGAGATATGCGAGATATGAGAAGTATATGGATAAATATAAAATACTTTCTCTTAATTTTAATCACTGAAAAGATAATTGGCTTTGTAAGGGAAAAATGCTGTAAACCATGAACTTTCAGGTTGATAAAAATGTAGAAAAACATATATGACAACAAAGGACGAATATCCAGAATCTACAAGGAATTAAATTAGAAATTAATGACAGAGGCCAGGTGCGGTGGCTCACATCTGTAATCCCAGAATTTTAGGAGGCCAAGGCGGGCAGATTGCTTGAGCTCAGGAGTTTAAGACCAGCCTGGGCAACATGGCGAAATCCCATTTCTGAAAAAATGCAAAAATCGGTTGAGTGTGGTGGTGTGTGCCTGTAGTTCCAGCTACTCAGAAAGCTGAGGCAGGAGAATCCCTTGAGCCTGGGAGGCAGAAGTTGCAGTGAGCCAAGATGGTGCCACTGTACTCCAGCCTGGGTGACAGAAGTGAAACCCTATCTCTCCAAAAAAAAAAAAAAAAAAGGAAAAGAAAAAAAAAATAATGACAGAAAGATATGTGAAAAATTTCCACCTCTTAAAAAATGTACAACATACTATTAAAAAATCATATTTTATTAAAAAGAAGTGAAGAAAAGCAGTACCAAGAGGAAAGGCGAGAAAGACTCACAAACATTCATTCCGTCAGTGATTGATTTAAGCCTATTCTAGAGAGATAGCAGAGACTAAGATAGACACAGTCCTAATCTTCACGGTGCACACAGCTTGAGAGGACTATTCACATTTTGCCATTTTAAAAATTGATTTCTTTACTCTTTTTGTTATTTATTCTGGGGCTGCACTTAGCTCTGAAGTGTCCTTCCACTTTTCTGGACTTGCATTTGTCATTTTTGTGTTTTATTTCTCTTCCTCTGCATATTTTTTAGGTGGTGGTTACCAGAGCTCTTTTCCTGGCTTTCTTATTTTATGTTCTTTTTACGTAGGGTACTCTTACTCGCATGGCTTCTGTTATCACTGTAAAATCTTAGCTTTTAGTTCTAGGTCTATAATTCCAAGTACCTACTGGATGTTTACACTTGAATGTCCCATGGACATCTTAAAATCAATGAACTTAACATGAAAGAAATCAAATTTTTGTAGATTCCAGTGAATCTATCATTCTTTCAATAAAAAATTAAAAATGTAGAGAACGAAATCTCATAGAGCTGAACCACAAACAAGGGAGTTATTCTTGAGTCAAACCTCTCTTCACTAAGCTCTGGTATTTCTTTCTCCTTAACATTTTATTTACCTATTTCTTTCTCTCTGTTTCTGCCTCTATCATCACTCAAGTTCAGTTCTTTATTACCTCTCACATGATTATCATAGTGTTTTTTTTTTTTGTTGTTGTTTTGTTTTGTTTTGTTTGAGATGGAGTCTTGCTCTTGTTGCCCATGCTGGAGTGCAGTGCCACAATCTCAGCTCACTGCAACTTCTGCCTCCTGCATTCAAGCGACTCTCCTGCCTCAGCCTCCCGAGTAGCTGGGATTACAGGCACCTGCCACCACACCTGGCTAATTTTGTATTTTTCAGTAGAGACGAGGTTTCACCATTTTGACCAGACTGGTCTTGAACTCCTGACCTCAGGTGATCCACCCGCCTCGGCCTCCCAAAGTGCTGGGGTTACAGGCGTGAGCCACTGCGCCCAGCCAATAGTGTTTTAAATGTAGACTTTTAATCACTTCTCTTCTCCAATTCATCCCCTAAAGAACAACCAGAGTGACTTGTATACAGCACACGTCTCACTAGATCAGTTCTTTCTTTTATACTCTCCCCAAAAAATCTTCTGTGGCCTACAGATTACAGCCAAAATCTATCACAGTTCACAGTATATGATTCCTGACCTGACCCAGACAAACAGTTTGGCCTCATCATGCCACTACATAGATGCTATATTCCAACAGTAGTTTCATTGTTTTTCTTACATTGAGCCCAAACATTCTAGGGAAAAATAATTGACCCAGTAGTAGAAATGCTTGGGCTTTCCCACTCTGGCCATATTTGACTAGTTGGAACACTAGGTCCATCCCTGAGTAATAAGGCTTATCACACTGTGTTGTCATAGAGCTATAGACCCTTCCCTCTTCCAAATGTCACACATCCAGTTATTCAAGTCCTGAAGATTTTACCACTTACATTTTTCTCAGTATCAGTTAAAACGGGACCCATCCACCTCACTTTGGGCCTATCGTATTTAGCCTGCAATAGGCTTATAAATTTTCTCCTTGCTTCGCTCCTGACTTCCACTATCCATTTTCTACAATGCAGCCAAAGTCATTTTTTCAAAACCATATCAAGTACTTTAAAATGTGTCAGTGGTTCTCTATTATACCCAACAGATTTGAGCTTCCTAGAACTTTGTTTCAGACTCTGTCTCTTCTTTCAGAATGTGGATCATCCAGCTGTGTGCACCTTGAGGACTGGGACTGTGTCTATCTTCGTCTCTGCTGTCTCTCTAGAACAGGCTTAAAACAATCACTGACTGACCTAATGAATGTTTGTCTGTCTTTCCTGCCTTTCTTTTTGTAGTTCCTTTTCTTCACCCTAACCCTAGGGCAAGATTTGCTAATTATCTCTGCGCTCTCACCTCCCAACACTGGATTGGTGTCCGGGAGACACACTAAACACAGCCACTGAATCTCCTTTGGGTCTCCATTTCCCCAGATGAAATGTGGCTTCCTGAACCATGGCAAAGTAATTTCCCCATAGTATTTCTTGCCAAAGTCATGGAGCAAAATACCCTTGCTAACTCTAACCTGCCTGCCCAGTGAGCTTCCCCTTGGAGTCCAGGCTCCACATTCCTTTACAGCTCATTGGCCAAGGAGTTATAATTGATATACATTAATCCAATGCATGATGAAATCTGTTCTATTATAGGTTCCAAGCAACACTTGGCCTGAGAAATGCATAAACTCTTCTAATTCCTTATAGCTTCAGTGTTTAAGGATAAAGAAGAGAGTGTATTATGATACTTTTGTGGTATCAGACACATACCAACAAAAATGTTATAGTCCAAAATAGAGGACGGTGACATTTCAGAGATAAATGCAGCCCCTGAAAGACATCTAGAAGTGTGATAGATCTTGACAGACCCTGAGAATACTAAAGGACACTGATAAGTCATGGGAGGTCACAACAGGCTGTGACTGGTCTTAAGAGGTCCTGGCAAGCCCCTGAAAGATGGTCAGGCTCCAAAAACTTCCAAAAGGTTATGACTGATCAAAATTCAAGACCGGAATTCAAAAGAATTAAGGTCACAGAGCTTGCTTTGGAGAACCTGAAAGTAGCAAGTACAAGAGATGATCAAAAACCCAAGGTGAACTGACAGGTAGTGACAGGGAAGGGGAATGAAAACAGGCCTCAGATCAAAGGCCTGTTTAAATTGACTTCACTTCTCCCCATTCCCCTTAAGATAAAACCCGACTGGCCAGGCGTGGTGGCTCACGCCTGTAATCCCAGCACTTTGGGAGGCTGAGGTGGGTGGGTCACCTGAGGTCAGGAGTTCCAGATCAGCCTGACCAACATGGTGAAACTCCATCTCTACTAAAAATACAAAAATTAGCTGAGCCTGGTGGTATGCACCTGTACTCTCAGCTACTTGGGAGGCTGAGGCAGGAGAATCACTTGAACCCGGGAGGCGGAGGCTGCAGTAAGCCAAGATTGCACCAGTGCACTCCAGCCTGGGCAAATGAATGAGATTTCATCTCAAAAAAATAAAAAAACAAAGATAAAAACCCAACCACTTCACCATGACCCTCAGAATCAGTGCCTCATTTACAACTTCACTTTCTTCTCATTTATGCTCCATCAAACTCTATGTAGAAAGCACTCACAGCTTTCCCCAGCTTGAGGCTTCAGAACATTTGCTCCCCTTCATCAGGAACAGTTCTATACTCCTCTTGTCCCTCATCTGGCTGATGGTCCCTCATCTCTCAGGGTTCAGTTTGTAAGTCACTTTCTTCTGGAAGCTTTGCCTGATCCCTCTAGCCTGGGCTGGTGCCCTTCTCCATATCAAACTGGGGAGGAGCAGAGCAAGACAAGTGTGAAAGGTTTTAAGAAATGGTGCCAGGATCTAAGAGGACCTGAAAAGGGGTTACTGCCTCAGGGGAAGTGATAAGCCAAGATAGGGAATGGCAGGAGGTCAGGATCAATGGTAGGTAGGGAGACTTTGAGAGGAACAATACCGAATGGAAAAAAAAAAAAAAAAAAACCTTTGAAAGGCAGCAAGATATGCAGAACCAGAGAGGATGCATGATGGACATCAATGAAGTCATACTGTCAAAGACACATTCCAAGGAGCATGGAGCAAGGCATGTCTGCCATTGACAAGGAAGATGGGCACTTCTAGGAGTGAGTGTATTTGTGAATGTGCACAGCATGTGGTGGAGAACAGTCTGCAAATTTACAGTGAAACCGCCTATGTCATTTGTCCTTCCGCAGCCCAAACCCCTTATCTACTCCTTCAGCCTGGCCAAACCCCATCCTCTCATTCTGCAGTGAGCTTCTGTGGACCTTGGAATGTTGATTCCACATCTCCAACCTTGCATGTTTCTTACAGCTTGAAATTCCAGAGATGAGAAGGCATATTTATAGATAATTCTGAAAAAGTCCCAGAGAATGCCCCCATTAGCTTGGCTAGGGTCACGAATTTATCTTTGAACCAATCACCGTGGCCAGAATGACCAGAGTGAGGTGTCTTGAATGGCCAAGTCTGGACTATGGCACTCTCTCTGGGCTTTGACAGGGGAAGATGTTCAGTACTCATGTCCAAGTAACATATCTAATATTATATAATGGTTCTTGTTCACAGTCTTTGCACTACCATTTTGCTGTGTCTTTTGGGTGTTTCCAGGCTCACAAAGATCCACGAGACAATTTAGAACTTTAAAATTAAGTCAGAAAGAGCCTTGGGCAACTCTGAGAAAGACCTAGATAAGTTTAAACCAATAATAAATGAATGCCCTCACTTTCTGAGCCATCTCACGCACTAATAAACAGTCCTTTCTGATCTGCCCATCCCTTCAGGGTCTGGGTGAGTTTGACTTTTATTAACTTTGTTTCTCTTCTCTAATTCTCCTCCTATTTAGAGCCAGGAGAATTATAGGCAAGTGGCCAAGTGCCAGAATAGCTTTAGGGAGACTTGCTGATTGAAGGGACATATTTCAGTCCTCACAGTTGGACTTGGCCACCTGGTGTGTTGAGTGACCTTGGGCCAGCCATTTAACCTCTCTGGATTTCTCTGCTCTCTGCTTTTTGAAAAGAACTAATCCATTTTTGTCTTTTCCCGGCACGTAGAGTGGGGACTAGAGACATCTTGGATGGCAGGACGTCTGGTTGCATGCCAGACAGATGATTTGCGTACTCGTAATTGACTGTTTTTTTTCACCTGCACTCACCTAGTGCCTTGAATCTCCCCGTTCCTGCTGTCCTCAGGTAATGATCTGCCATTTCTGGCTCATGAGACATTCAGTGAAATACATCCTCTCCAAGCTTACACGTGGGTGGGAGAAGGAGGGCAGGAGAAAGAAGGTAAAATCAGAAAAAAAGGGAAATGGAATAAAATATTTGGAATATAAAAGCTTTATTTCAGGTTGCATGTAAACCCTGGCACCAACAAGAATGTTAAATTATTTATTTATTGTCCAGAAATGCTAAGATGTAACTGTAGTTGGACTGAGTTGCCTGTACTGTTTGTTCTCTGCTTAAAGAGCCAAATTAGAAGAAATAAGGCTGATGCTAGAGAGCTTCACGAAACTTTCTGCATATTCTACAAGTTGAATAATTTATCCCTAGATAACTAAAAAGAATATAGGTTTAACATAAAGAAAAATGGATTATCTCCAAGTCAAAAGCAATTAATATTAATTAGCTATTAATTATAAATTAATTAAGCAATTATTAATTAATTAGTCTGGTCAGCAGCAACCAGATGAAGTCATTTATTCATTTAGCAAATACATATGTACTGAATACCTTCCATATTCACTCTGCTAGTCATGGTAAACAAGCACCATAATAAACAGAACAAATAAGGTGTCTTCCCTCATGATGCTTGAATTCTACTGGAGATAAATGCTAAACATTTAACGATAAATAATAGAATAATTGTATACAGTGATAAGTGTTATGAAGAAAATCCAATAGGTGGAGAGCTGCTCGAGTTGGAACTAATTTAGAAATGGTCAGCCGATTGCTTCACAAGAAGATGATGCGTGGAATGGGAGTGGAAAGATAAAGAACATTCGGCAGCTCAGAGCAAGAGTTGGGTAAGTGGAACCAACAACTAGGAAGTAACCTCATCGTCTAGTTTATGGAACCAACAACTAGGAAGTAACCTCATCATCTAGTTTATCTCCATCATTAAAAAAAAATTCTCTTCTGGCCTCTCTGTCTGACTCTCCAGAGCTGGGATGAGTTCCTTTTTTTTTTTTTTTTTTTAGACAGAGTCTCGCTCTGTCCCCCAGGCTGGAGTGCAGTGGCGCCATCTCAGCTCACTGCAACCTCGGCCTCCCTGGTTTACGCCATTCTCCTGCCTCAGCCTCCTGAGTAGCTGGAACTACAGGCGCCGGCCACCACGCTCAGCTAATTTTTTCTTTCTTTTTTTTTTTTTGTATTTTTAGTAGAGACGGGGTTTCACCGTGTTAGCCAGGATGGTCTCGATCTCCTGACTTCGTGATCCGCCCACCTCCCAAAGTGCTGGGATTACAGGCGTGAGCCACCGCGCCCCGCCGAGTTCCTTTTTTTTAACGTTGTCTTTCATCTCTAGCCTCTTTTGTAGGGCTGAATCAGCATTTTCTGGATTTTGTGGAAGTTTGAGACACATCTTCCAGAGCTTGTCTGGACTTGGAGTTTGAAGAAAGTTTGGAGCAGCTAAGCACCTCCAAAGGTTGTGAGATGGAAAATGGAAAGAAGTTTACTTTGAGAAATAAAGTGAAGCTTAGAGAATGAAGGTGAGGCTGAGAATGGATGAAACCGGAGACTGAGAAGGGATCAGCTTCCGGAATAGCACATCTTTCTTAGTTTTGGATTCTCTATTGCCACTTACTGAAAGGTCGCTGAGGCCAGTCCTCTATGGAGAGGGATCATCACACACATTTACACATCGCTTTATGTTTTGTAAAATACTTTCATCACCATGTCTTCAATCATCATTAAAAAAAACAAACGAACCTGAATGAGGAAAAGAGGAGAACCACCATGCTCACTTCATACAAAATGAAACTAAAGTCCCAGGAGAGCTTGGGTAGAGCATTCAAATTCAGAGTTCTACCCAAATCATCTACTGCATCATGCAGCCTTTAACATTAACCATCAGGGAGTGGATTTGATCCTTGCTGGCAGAACAGACATACATCTTGCTGTTTCCTGCTTTCTCACTCCTGGCAGACAACACACACCAAACGCAGCCCTCTTTCCAACTGAACCTGGACCTTGCCTGGGTCCTTTTAATCACACTATTCCAAGCAGCCACTACCAGTGAATTGGGATTAGCCTTAAAATAAAACCTTTTTCCAATCTTAAGTCACATGATGCCTAAGGTCTATTTTAACTTTGTTAAATGATTTTATATTTAATTGTGATGGTTCTAGAAACTAGCTTTTATCCAACTAAAAGTCATCAGAAGCCTATGATATCGTGGGCATCCCTTTATTCATCATGTGAGCAAGATATGTTTTCTAGAGTTTTGTGCTCACAACCTGGTGGAGGTGATAGACAGACAAGTAACTGAACAGATGTCTAGTTTTTATGTATTTTAAAATATTTTAGAAGAACATAGGAGGCAGAAGGTAATGTCCATTAGGGATAAAGGTGGTGCTAGCAAAAGACAAATCTGGAATCCTTGTGGACAATATGTATTTTGAGTAGATTTCAAGGTGGAAGGAATGAAAAAGGCATTTTCAACATTAAAAACCACTTAAACAGAGGCATCAAGGCACAGAGAGAGTTGTGTGTGGGAGAATGTCAATTTCTTGAAGGTCGAGAGTAAGTTTCTGTTCTGGATGCCTTAGTGGATGAGCAGTTGCTTAATTGGAATGCTTTCCATGTATTGATTGATTGAAAAATAAAAAAGATCACTCACAAAAAAGTAACTATGGGAGATGACAGATATGGTAATTTGCCTCACACTAGTAACCAACTTACTTTCTATATGTATCCTATAACATTTTGTTGCAAACCTCAAGTAAACACAATAAAATTTAATTTTTTTAAACCCCAAGGAAAAAAGGAAATGATGCTTATCTTTAGGAAGCTTACAACTGAACAGGAAAGCGGAGAAATATTTGGATATCAGAAAATGTGGGTTCCAGTTCTGACCCTAACTGCAACTTTGAGAAGTCACTCTCCCAAAAGCCAAGTTTCAAAGGTTAGAAAATGGCTTTATCTTAAGTGCTGACCCTGATGAGTCTGGAGCAGTGTGCTGAAAATATGCCTCAAAGACACAAATGGCATTGCTATTTTCCTGCTAAATGAATTAGCAAAGTCTGCTATGGGAGGGGCTGGGAGAATGGCAATACCAGTGCCATATATTGTCATCCCCACACAAGTCCATTTCCAAGGTCCCTGTGAACTCTATGTTCCAATGATTCTTTCAATAACCCTATGCTATCTATATTGTAACCTCAAAAGACAGCAGGTGGAGGAAATAAGATAATTTATCCTATGTCCACAGGATACACACACTATTGGAAACAAGAAAGGAAAACTCCTGACTACTCTCTTTTATTTTCAGATAACATTTTGAAAAATTCTTGGGCTCAGCATCCTTGGTTCCTGGCCATCAGCCCTGGTAAAATCAGTCCCTTCTGGTCCATTACAAATTAAATAATCATAGCTCTATTCATCAGGAAAATATATGCAGAAAGGCTTCATACTCCATCAATTAGTATGAAGGCTTCGAGCCTTTCATTGACTAACTCTGAGCACTTCATGGTGACTATTTCGCTCGTACATCCACGGGAGTAGGCAGAGACTGCCTGCTATTGCCTGGCTCGGTGCTTCCGTGTAATGATTCTTCAAGTGCCTGCATTGGGAGTATACATCTGCCTGGCCACATTCCTGGCATATGCCTTGCCCAGGTCCTTTTAATCACACTATTCCAAGCAGCCACTACCAATGAAGTAGTACTGTGTCCGGAATTGGTGGGTTCTTGGTCTCACTGACTTCAAGAATGAAGCCACGGACCCTTGCGGTGACTGTTGCAGTTCTTAAAGGCGGCGTGTCCGGAGTTTGTTCCTTCTGATGTTCGGATGTGTTTGGAGTTTCTTCCTTCTGGTGGGGTTCGTAGTCTCGCTGGCTCAGGAGTGAAGCTGCGGACCTTCGCAGTGAGTGTTACAGCTCTTAAGGCTGTGCGTCTGGAGTTGTTCCTTCCTCCCGGTGGGTTAGTGGTCTCGCTGGCTTCAGGAGTGAAGCTGCAGACCTTGCGGTGAGTGTTACAGCTCATAAAGGCAGTGTGGACCCAAAGAGTGAGCAGCAGCAAGATTTATTGCAAAGAGCAAAAGAACAAAGCTTCTACAGCGTGGAAGGCGACCTGAGCCGGTTACCACTGCTGGCTAGGGCAGCCTGCTTTTATTCTCTTATCTGGCCCCACCCACATCCTGCTGTTTAGTAGAGCCCAGTGGTCTGTTTTGACAGGGCACTGATTGGTGCATTTACAATCCCTGAGCTAGACACAAAGGTTCTCCACCTCCTCACCAGATTAGCTAGATGCAGAGTGTGGAAACAAAGGTTCTCCAAGTCCCCATCAGAGTAGCTAGATACAGAGTGTGGATTGGTGCATTCACAAACCCTGAGCTAGACACAGGGTGCTGATTGGTGTGTTTACAAACCTTGAGCTAGATACAGAGTGCCGATTGGTTTATTTACACTCCCTTAGCTAGACGTAAAGGTTCTCTACGTCCCCACCAATCTCAGAAGCCCAGCTGGCTTCACCCAGTGGATCCCGCACCGGGGCTGCAGGTGGAGCTGTCTGCCAGTCCCGCGACTTGCGCCCGCACTCCTCAGCCCTTGGGTGGTCGATGGGAGTGGGCGCCTTGGAGCAGGGGGTGGCGCTCGTCAGGGAGGCTTGGGCCGCACAGGAGCCCACGGAGGGGCGGGGGGGAGGAGGCTCAGACATGGCCGGCTGCAGGTCCGGAGCCCTGCCCCGCGGGAAGGTGGCTAAGGCCTGGCGAGAAATTGAGCACAGCAGCTGCTGGCCCAGGTGCTAAGCCCCTCACTGCCCGGGCCGGCGGGGCCGGCCGGCCGCTCCGAGTGCGGGGTACGCCGAGCCCACGCCTACCCGGAATTCACGCTGGCCCGCAAGCACCGCGCCCAGCCCCGGTTCCCGCCCGCGCCTCTCCCTCCACATCTCCTCGCAAGCTGAGGGAGCCGGCTCCAGCCTTGGCCAGCCCAGAAAAGGGCTTCCACAGTGCAGCGGCGGGCCGAAGGGCTCCTCAAGTGCCGCCAAAGTGGGAGCCCAGGCAGAGGAGGCGCCGAGAGCGAGCAAGGGCTGTGAGGACTGCCAGCACTCTGTCACCTCTCAGTACTAGGTACTAAATCTGTTAATATTTGTAGAAGAGAGAGTGTTCATAGGACATTGTACCGAACAACTTGTTAAGCAGATATAACATGCCTGACCCACTGCGAGGCATAGGAAGAGGTCTCCAGAAACACAAGGTGGACTTTCTTCCTTTCTGTGCTGTCTGTGAAAATAAGCAGTTGGGCTGGACTGTGTCTATCAGTGAAATACAATATGAGGAACAGAAGTGTTCCGCTTGGGTTTCCGGTTATAGGAGCATGGTGATTTTTCAGGTGATACTCATTTAGATTACAACTTGATAGCGGCTTCTTCTGAAACCAGGTGAAGAATTCGTGGCTAATATTGCCACAATTTGTTGTTTACTGTTCCTATCTGCTTTGTAACACCTGCACTATGCTGTCCTTCTTGCATCTCAAACAACATCCTCTCCTTTATCTAGAGCCAGATTTGTTTGGCTGTTAATGTGATTTGCCTCTAAGAAACATTCTCTGAAAAGTCCAGAACAGCCTATGTTTAACCTTAGTAGCCTTTGATACGTCTTTTTGCAGCATGCTTATGTCAGGACATAAAAAGTCTGAATGTGAATTACGAATGGAGTTGTGTGCCATTTGTCGTTCACAACTGCTCTGTGGTCAATTTGTTTTCTTATTGACTTTTTTTTCTGTTCTCATCTGTTATTTTCCAGATATTTATTGGGTACCTAATACTGTGTATTATTACCTTGGAATAAGTGGAAAAAGAATATAACTATAGTGCATCTTGTCTCTTAAAGCAGAGTCAAAATTCCTCTAGTAAAAGTCAGTTTTGTTTAGGCTTACCTCGTCATCTACCTGAATGGACCTTAGTGATTTGTTTAATTCAATCCTCTCTTTATATAGTTGAGAAAACTAAGGCTCCTAGAGGAAAAAGTGACTGACTCAAGGGTACGCAGCTCCCATGGGTGTAACCTAATTCTGATTCCTACTCCAGGGTTTCTTACCTATATGCTGCACAGTGCCCAACACTGTGCAGAAAAGAGGAAGGAAGAGGTCATCAGGGCAAGTTAAGCAGGGTAGCTAAGAAATTAGTGAGTCATTTATTTGCTGTATTTTCTCCATTCAATATATACTTTTTAAAGACTCGTTACTATTTGTGAGGTGTGAAAAAAACAGTCTCTGCCATCTGCCAGTTCACTTCCTGGTAGGGGAGAGAAATCCACACACATTTAATTTGCATACAGTTTAGAATTTTGGTAAGTGCTACGATCACAATAAATAAAATGAAACGTGTTTGAAGGTCAGAGATTAATTGTGTTTGGTCCTATGAGCAAGTTTCTTACATTTTAGAACTTAGAGTACACGAGGGAAGAGGCATTCCATGAAAAGGGGCTAGCGGAGGAACATAAGTGTAAAAGGCCTCCAAATATAGTTTGCAGCATATACCAGCAGCAAAGACAGGAAAGTACCCCACTTAGGATCTGCTGGAGGTTAATCCTGATCTTACGCCACTTCCCATTTAAGGTTTCATTGGTTTTCACGTAAGTGTGCATGGATGCAGTGTTAGCTCTGGCCACATGATGGCGGTGCAGGGCCACAAAAGGGTCGCAAAGCCTCTGAACTAATTTTGAAGGTTGTGTTTGTAAAAAATGCCGGGAAGGAAGAAGGGTGCCCCAGACCAGGGGTCAGAGCGGCTTGGAGGGGCTTCTGGGAGAAGACAGCAGCCCTCAGATCTGGAGAGGCGGGTGCCATTATTCTGAACCTCTGGTCTGTTCAGAAACTCCGGAAATAATTTAGATGTTACATAACCTGTAGCCAGTGAAGAAAGCAGCCCTTTTGAATAGTACCCATTTAAAAAAATAAGAAGGCTTATAATACCCCACCTCCCAGTTTCCCTGAATGCTTTCCTTCTCTGTCAGGGTTGTGCCTGTGGTGCCTTGTTGCCACTTTGGTTGAGTAAAATGAGAGGTAGTTATCCAATGTGTTGGGAAAAGGAATAAATTGTTTCTTAATTACAGTACCCCTCAGACAGTATACGGAGAGGGAAAGGACACTAGTCCAAAACCCTTTGATCTGGGCTTGCCTTGCTCAGGCCACTTGCTTGGTTTTTCTCATCTCTTGAGTATATGGCGTGGGGGGTGGTTTTGTGTGTGTGTGTGTGTGTGTAATGGTGTGTGGTTGTGCGATTGCACCTATGTGTAGTGGAGGGAATAGAGATACATGTGGTGGTGCTGGCACAGGCCATAGCTAAGGGCATTTTTGGCTCTGTGTAGAGTCTGGGATAGAGAAAGAGGAAGAGAGTGAGAGAGAGAGAGAGAGAGAGACAGAGACAGAGAAAGAGGGAATGAATTCCCAGAAGATTCCTGGGGTTAAGGAAATGATTTGATTAAAATCTCTGGCAAAGAGTGAGTTTTGAAATCGATTATTTAACCCATGTTCTTCCCTGACTTCTCACTTTTCAGTCCACCCCTGCATGCTGTCTGTGCCTGTCTTGTTCTTTCTGTCTTGGCAGCCACTCCTGTCTCCTCTCTTTCAATCTCTATTACCCTCAGTTTCCATCCTCTTTTCTGTTGCTTTCAAATAAAAGCTTTGTGGGAGAGAAAGAGGGCCTAGGGTCAGACTATACAGTGCCCCCAAGAAAAGGAAGAAAAGAATGATGGAAGAATCCCTGCTGTCTGTGTGGCTGGGGGTGGTGGGGGAAGCAATGTTGGAAGAGAGGGATGATAAATAGATAAGCCCCCACGTTGAGGAGGCTGCTGTCCAGGAGAAATCCTGCTTCAGAAGAGGAGGAAACAAATAAAGACAAATGTCCAGGAGCTGGAAATGGGTGGAGTTGATGAGATGGGGTGTTTGTTTGCGTGTGGAAATTGTAGCTTCTCTCTCTTTTCATTCTACAAAGACAGAACTTCTCAATTTTTAAGTCACAATACATTTCCAGAAATCATTTATTTCTAAACATTACCAGTCAAATCCCCCATTCCTTTCTGCTTTTAGAATTTGAGTGAGATTGATTTGTGTTTTTAATTTTAAAGGGCAGAAAAACAGGCTGTTCAAGTGTTCCGCTGGCATGGGAATTCCGGGCATGGTCTTTGTCCTCCTCCCTTCATTCTTTCCCACTCCCTCTTTTCTGCCCCCTCATCCACACCAGGGAGGGTCCCCAGGATGCCAAGATAATAATTTTGATTTGGTTTTATTTTTATATTTATAATGCAACGTAAATTTTTTTCCAGAATTGATATTTGTAAAGACCATTTTCAAATATACACAAGTCAGAGAGGCAGCGTGGGTGGGATTTGAGAAAGAATGTGTTGTTTTTCTCTGTTATCATTATTATTTACTAACCTTTTATTCAAGCACTGTAATGGAAGATCGACAAAACAACTCTCATCCCATAATCAATTATAGCTGGAAGACAATAAATAGCTATTCAACGTTTCTTTCATGTTCTGGAAAAAATGGATATATTGACTGCCTTTAAAGTTGGGGCCCTTCCATAGACGCTGGGTGGGCTGTTGTAATTGGCTCTTCTAATCCCATAATCTTTATGAGCTTGGCATAGATGAACATAACAAAAATCATGATAAAAACAATAATTTACTTTGGTGTTAGCTGTTAGAGTTTGTAAAACAATGGCATAGGCATTATGAAATTGAATTATTTCAACTGCCCTGTGAGATAGTAATTATTTTCCCCATTTTGTCAATGAGGCAACTGTGATTCAGCCAGACTGAACTTGGGCCAGCATTCCCCTCACTACATCCAAGCAGCAGCAGCCTAACGCATCCTCTTTCTGCAGATGTACAGACCAAGTCTAAATGAGGTGGCACACATTCAACGAGGGTAAGGTAGGATGGGTACAAAATGCCCACAGATGCCCCAGGAAGCAGACCAAGAGCAGGGAAGTCATTTGGAAACAGACCTTCTTTCAAGTTCTGACTTCACTCTTACTAGATCAAAAGCTGTGGACATAAGACATGACTTTTTCAAACTTTAGTTTTTTCAACTATACAATGAGGATAAATGTGCCTGCCTTTTGAGAAGATTAAATGAGATGAAATTAAATGAAATGAAATGATGTAAAGTGTTTAGTATGGATTCCACACATGCTGGTTGTTATTATGCCACATACCGTCTACATGAACCATCCATTCCGAGACCTCTTATTTTATTTTTTTATTTTTTTATTTCTTTTTTGAGACGGAGTCTCACTTTGCCTTGTCACCCAGACTGGAGTGCAGTGGTGCAATCTCGGTTCACTGCACCCTCCACCTCCCCAGGTTCAAGCGATTCTCCTGCCTCGGCCTCCTGAGTAGCTGGGATTACAGGCACATGCCACCATGCCTGGCTAATTTTTGTATTTTCTAGTAGAGATGGGGTTTTGTCATGTTGGCCAGACTGGTCTCAAATTCCTGACCTCGGTGATCCACCCACCTTGGCCTTGCAAAGTGCTGAGATTACAGGCATGAGACACCATGCCCAGCCTCCTAGACCTTCTTTCAACCAATATCAGACACAAGGGAGAGAGAAACTGTATTATTTATCTATTGCTGCATAACAAATTATCTCAAAATGTAGCAACTTAAAACCATGATAAACTCTGCCACCTTTCATAGTTATGTGAATCAGAATTTAAGGAGAGGCTTATGGGTGATCATGGCTCAGCATCTCTCAGGAGGTGGTAGCCAAAATGTTGGCCTGGGCCATAGTCATCTAAGGGCTCACCTGTGGTTGGGGTATCTGTCTCCCAGGTGGCTCAACTGTCAGGTCCATGATGACTGCTGTGAATGGCCCCAGTTCCTGGTCATCTGGATTTCTCCATAGGGCTGTTTGCTGAATTCCTTCACAGTATGGTGGCTGGCTCCTTACAAAAAGAGCCATCCAAGAGAGCAAGATGGAACCTGCAGTGTTGTTTATGGCTTATCTTAAAAGTCAAACCACCATCTTCACAACATCTTACAGGTGACATTGGTCAGCTCTACCCAGTATGGAAGTAGTCTGCACAGGGGCACACTATCAATCAAGTAGAATAACAAAGGGCAATCTTGGAAGCTGGCTGCTGCAAAGCCTCCTCCTGCAAAGCCTGCAAATCCTGCTCCTACTCTAGACTCATAGTTTTTTACTAAGAATTTGTTTTGGGAATGCCTCAGTCTTTTTAGTTAAATGGTCATGATGGGGTAACATTGGCAACAGACCCTCAGAAATCAAGGTGTCCACTTCATAAAGCACTACATGGACACATCAGAAAAAGTGTGAGATGGGCAAGCGCTCCTAACTGAAGCATCAAGGACCAATGAGTCTACAGGACCCACTGTTCTCTCAACTTCCAATGCAGCCCTTCTTCTGCTACCTTACCCTGAGGACTTGGACATTCCAGCGTATCGCAGAACCGGAATTCAGCTCCCATTGCCCACAACAGTGCTTCCCTGCCTCAGGTGGGTCCTCAGAATCATTAAGCGTGCTTGTTGAGTTTAAAAATTCCAGGGTACCTCGTGGAGAGACTTACTCGGGAGGCTTGGGAGGAAGGCTGGGAATCTGTGTTTTGGACCATCATCTCAGATGATTCTTAATATCAAGCAAATTTGGGAAGGTACTGAAGAGCTAATGGGAGGCATATAGAGCTGAGTTCCTCTCTCAGTCACACCACGTGTGCATTGAAGTTGCTCATAGCCTTTGGCCTCACAGCCATTGCTAGTCTCGCTCATCTTCCCTGGCTGGCTCTTCTACGTCTTGCCTTGCATGTCTGTGTCTATGGATGCCTAATCCTACTCCCCTCCACTGCCAGCGCCAAATTGACATCCTGCAAAAACACACAGAATGTTTGAGTGTTTTGTCTGTTTGGACAAGCAGGGGGTTCCCTGGGCATTTGGAGATAATTTCTTGGTTAAATTATATATTTTTCTCCTTTCATGTTTGAAAAAAACAAATTGGCTTCTTTACAGTTGCCTAATCTTTCCCTCCTCATTTCCTGCTGAGAAGACAAATCTTCTACTCTTTTTTTTTTTTTTAAAAGTCCCCAGCACACTCATAATCAGTCAGTTTATAAACCAACGTTCCAGCCCAAAGTATTGCATGAGTAAGGGGGAAAATCCTTTGTTTAACCACAGACTATTTCCCTAAATTTCCATTGTTTGAGAGTGACCTCTTGGATGTCACTCATTCTGCAGAAAAATTGTGTGGTTTTATTCTGGTCCACGGTTTCTATGCTTGTATATTGACGGGGTTCCTATCATGTGTTCTTTTCTAAAAAGTCAACAAGGAAAACAAGTGGGTTAAGCCCTCAACTAGTCTACTAGGAGAAAGCTAAGGGGGAGACATAATTTAAATGCAAGGTAGAATGTGAAGGCAAAGTGTCGTGGTTCATTCCTGTAATTCCAGCACTTTGGGAGGCCAAAGCAGGAGGATCCCTTGAGCCCAGGAATTCAGAAGCAGCCTGGGCAACATAGTGAGACTCCATCTCTAAACAAACAAAAAAATAATGGGCATGGTGGTACACACCTGTAGTCCCAACTCCCTGGGAGGCTGAGATGGGAGGATCACTTGAGTCTTGGAGGTCGAGGCTGCAGTGAGCCATGCTTGCACCACTGCACTCTAGCCTGGGTAATAGAGCAATATCCTGTCTCAAAAACAAAAAAATCGAATGAAAAGTGTCTTAAAAGAACTGAACCTAAAGTAACATAAAGTGAACATATAGAAAACTCAAAGGAGGGAAAAACATTCCAAGAGACAATCACAGAAGGCATTGAGCATAGAAGTTTAGGGCATGAGACTCTGCCGTTAGATCACAGGATTCAAACTCCAGCTTCACCAAACACGAGTTCTTTGATTTGGGGGAAGTCCATTAATCAATCTTTCTGGGTCTCAGTGCCATTGTCTGTGAAATGGGGATAATAAAAGTTCTCAACTTTGGGTGGTTATGAGAATTCAGTGAGTTAATATAGAGTAACTAATCAGTGTCTAGTATGTAGCATGGGCTCAAAAAATTAATTGCTTTTGAGCTGAGCTTTGAAGGATGGGTGAGACTTTGGCATGTATAGGTGGAGGTGGGCAGGGAGATTCTTCTAGACTAAGAAAATAACAGGAGAAAACCCCAAAGCGGGAGAGGAGTGATTGTCAGGCATCTATGAGAACAGAAGTGCCCTTTAGTTGAAGAAAAGGGTGAGTAAGGAGTGGAGGAAGATCAGGTGCAAGGATGTGTTGAGATCCGATCTCCCCCCTTTTTAATGGCTTGCTTACTTCATTGATTATACTACTATTATATCATGTTAATTATAGAATGAATCCTTGTGGGGCATATATGGTGGTAAATACAATTATTTTAACTCTTCTTAAGTTGAAGAAATGGTTACACTAAAATAATGGGAACTTACATTGCTCTGTTTCATTTTGCTCAATATTTCGTCTCCATAATTTCTGGTAAAATAGCCTCAAGCCTGACAACAAAAACGGTCCAAGGCTATCAGGAATTGATACTTTTATGCCGGCAGCTGGGAGACATGTAACCTTCCAGAAGATTTTACAAAATTTAAAGTTGATAGTGCATTTGTCTTGTTTGAAAGACATCTAATTCTTTCTTTCCCTTTTTCTTTAGTTTCATAGAAATGATCCCTTCGTAACTCAGCAGCTCATATACAGTGATAAAGTATCAAGTCCATCGTTTTCCCAAATCAAGAGCAATGCATCCCACACAAATGGGCAAGAATTGCAGCTGACAGAGGTAGGATTTTTCAAAGATCCCTTGGCCCAGTTGGATCCTTTAAACCTCAGGAATTTCTTTCTGATGTGAAAGGCATGGAAATTTGAAAAGAGAGCTGACCTGGTGAGGACCATAGAGAATGGGGTATGTTCTTTCTGGGGAAAGGGGGGCAAGAAAAAAAAAGCTACTTGGAGAAAGGAACGTTTCTGATAAAGATTTTTAAGGTAGATAGCTGGAGAACAAGAACTATAAACTATACTTTCATCGCCATAGGAAAACTATAGTGAAATCTTCAGAAGAAACCAAGAAATGTTGGGCATGATTGAAATTCTGGAATGAAGATGCAGAGAACCCAAGGGCTGATTCTGCATGGATGAGAGAGCTGGTTTATATCCAGTATCACAAACAGTAACTTCTTTGATACTTGTAACAATATTATAAGTAGAGATAAATTCTGTTATAGATGAGGAAACTGGGCATTTGAGCGTTACAGCTGGTCAATGACAGAGCCCTGGCTCTATCCCAGAAATGTGGGATGCTAAACGTGTGCTCTAGAGGTCTGTATAATCCTGATGGTTGATGCAGGGACCTGGCCTCATTCATCTTTGTATCCTCCATGTCCAATACAAACCCTGGCATAGAGTAGATTTTTCAGTACTTGTTTGTTGAGTGAATGTTTCAAGAGCTCCATTGTCTCCTAACTAAAGCATATAGGTGTGTTGGTTTTATGGGAAGAAAACTGCTCAACCAGCACCAACTCTGGTTGGCAGAGTTGTGCATCGATGTGCAAGAGGATGCATGATTCTAAGGAAACCCTCCTGGGTCAGTGGAACTGTTGCAAGATGCTGGCAGTGGATTTACAAGGAATAGAGGAAGGCATGGCAATGGAGTCCAATCATTTACCTTTAAAACTGTTTATAGACTAAAGTGTATATGTGGCCCATGTTGCCAAACCTTTTGATAAATATACTGGTCTGGAGTAGAGTAAGTCATGGCTGTACCTTCCAAGTAACAGACTGTCCTCACAAGCTGTATACCTAATTAGACTCTGATAATCTGTATAAATTAGCATTTGCTAGTGATAAATATCACACACCAAGCCTTAAATAATACATTAGACTTAATTGAATAAATGCATATATTATGGCCTTATAATGCATATTTGCCATAATGAGTTATCTTCCATGCACAAACAAACAGCAATTCTGATTAATCAGGTGGGGCAATTGTGCTGTTAAAACTCCAGGTTCTGCAAGGAAGTTCTCACTGTTGGTAAGATAAAAGCAATAAAAATTCTTTCCTTGACTATGTTGGATAAATTTTCTCTTTAGGAATCTCCCTATCTTTGAACCTTCAGGATTTTGCAGTGATGTCAAGGTTTACACCCATGTCTTCACTCCCAAAATTTGGATTTGAGCCTCAGATCTACTATTTACTAACTCTATGATCTTTGACAAATCACTCGAATTCCTGATGCCTTAAGAATCCTTTGTAAGTTCCTGTTGTCTCTATCAGTTCAGAGGGGAACAATAATACTCATCTTACTAATGTGGGACAATAAGTAGTGTTACATGGAAAGCAGCTAATGCAGCAGCAAGCTCATAGAAAGTGCCTGGCAAATGGAAGCTATTATCATTATGGAACATATTTTAAAATTTGCTATCCATTATCTCATTCAATCATGATAAGAAATATGTGGCTGGGTGTGGTGACTTACAAGTGTAATCCCAGCAGTTTGGGAGGTTGAGGCAGGTGGATCACCTGAGGTCAGGAGTTCGAGACCAGCCTGACCAATATGATGAAATCCATCTCTACTAAGAATACAAAAATTAGCCAGGCATACTGGCATGCACCTGTAGTTCCAGCTACTCAGGAGGCTGAGGCACAAGAATTGCTTGAACCTGGGAGGCAGAGACTAAAGTGAGCCAATATTGTGCCACTGCACTCCAGTCTAGTGAGTGAGTCTACTCACCACTCCAGAGTAGTGAGACTCTGTCTGAAAAAAAAAAAAAAAGGAAATATGTGAAGAGAGGGCAGATGTTATTTTGCCCAATCTTTAAAATCAAAGAAAGTGCCCCTGAGATTAAATTATTTATTTATTTACTCAACAAATATTTACTGATCACACAAGGCCAAGTGTAGGAGATACAGTAATGAAAAGGTCTGGGCCCTCCCTGCCTAGTTGAATTTACAGTATAGTGGGGAGGGGCATTAAGAAATTACCAATAATTATGATATTGCCATAATGAAAGTATACACAAAACGCAGCAGCACAATCTGGGAAACAGCACCCAAGTCATTCTCTGAAAGCCAAAGAAGTTTTTGAAGAGATTATAAGAGTTGAGTGGGAATATGGACAACAAAGAGTTTGATTGTTGCTTGTAATGGGGAATATTTTCCAGGAAAAGGGAAGAGATGTGTCAGAGATCAACTGGGTACATCAGGAGTCAAGGCAAAAAATTACAAACCATTAAATGAATCTGGAGTAAAGTTTCTTACCTTGGGTGCTATTAACATTTGGAGCCAGGTAATCATAGTTTTAGGGGTTGTCATGCAGATGGTGGGATGTTTAGCAAACATCGCTGACTTTTACTCACCAGATACTAGTGACTGTAGCATCCTTTTCCATCCCCTCACTGTGACAATCAACAATGTCTCCATGTCTATTGCCAAGTGTTCCTGAGCAGAGTGACACAGTCTCCTGCAGTTGAGGATCATTGATCTAGAGCATTGATTACAACGGAAGGCGTCTAAAGGATGAGGCAAAAGTGAAAGCCAGATTATGGTGAGCTTCTTCTGCCATATGAAAATAAGTTTTATTTTCCTTTTAGGTGATTGGGAACAATCTTCTTATAAACACATGGGGGAATCCTCTTATTATAACTCACATAAAATCCACATTTTCCCAATTTACCAGTCTGTGAATTCATTATGAGCGATAATTCAAGTTGTAGTATCTCCCTGCCACACCCGTTGACACAGGACTTGTCCATTTTTTCTCCTCCTGCAAAACCTCCTCCTCTCCCATCCCCTGAAGAGTGTTGTTGTTGTTGTTGTTTTATTTAATTCCTGGAAGTTTCTTACGTATGCTCAGGGACACATTTTGCTTTGCAGCTCCCCGTGTTCCCTCAGGAACTTCTGCTGTGTTGGACAGCAGAATTTCCCACAGATGGCCAAAAAGACATTGCTAGGAAAGCTCTTACAAAGCCATGTCCTTTCTGGTCCAGTCCTAGGAACTATAATGGAGAATATGGTCCAATCACCCAAAAGCATTTTCAGCATACATTCATCTTTACTTGCAATCCTCAAATAACACTACAGTAATGCCATGCATAGGCCACATCCACACTCATTAAAATGTCCTACGTTTTCCTTCCAGCCTTTCTGTCACAATTCCATAAAACAAACCACACATACAAAAATAAATTAGCTAAAAATAAATTAGCTAAAAACTTATTCACCCGCATCTCTGTGCAGCCTTTCTTTGTGCTTCAAGGAAAACCTTCTCCAGCCAAAGTTCATGCACCTCCTGTGCTTTCTTCCTCCTTTCCTTTAGTCTCTGTGGCCTTTGCTTTATTTTCTGTTTTATGTATTATAAAAACCTAAGCAAAGCATTTGTTCCCATCCAGAAGTTGTAGCAGTCTGCATGGCCACTGTGACTAATTTAGCAATGGTGCACTGGTGGCCATCCTTGCTTCGCCAACCCCTGCCGTGACACCTCTTTTCCATGTGACACGACTTTCCTTGGAGGGTATTTCTGCTTCTCTGTCCACTGTGCACCATGGTTTCTCCGTGGTTCTAAAGTTTCCTAACAGTGGTTGCCACTGACCTGCCAGTGCCACCGTTCATCCCTTGAGTCATCACAGAGCAAGAGATTCTCAGAAGCCTGAGGCAAAGTTGAAGGGGATATTTAACTCCTCCTCCTCCCCCATTTATGTTACAGCTTATTAGAGAGGTCCTATGGCAGTGTAGACTGTTCCTCCTTGCTTGCCTGCATTTGCTGAACTAGAGCTTTCACTGTCTGCTTGCAGCACATATACCCTTCCAGTTCACTGGCTTAGCAACAGATTCAAAGAACGGTCTTAGTACTGTACCTGAAATTATGATCCACTCTGATGATTAGACTTTGTTCTTGGGTCACCTGACTCAGCTGTCCTTACCTTTCATTCGTAGGTAAATATAGACATAGACACAGATCTATAGAAAATTATACAGATATAGATGTAGATATAGATATAGGGAGATAGCCATCTATAAATACCGATATCTATAGATATAAATATCAATGCAGACACTGATCTGTCTATATCTATACCTATATAGATATCTGTATCTACCTATACATATCTCTATGAATATTCATTTATTATCTCCCTATAGATATTCATTTAGTGTCTCCCTATAAAAATCTATATAAATATTGATATCTATCTCTATCTATACCTGTTCATATCTATCTATACACTGCCTCTCCCACTCACATCCCGTGGTGATTCTTATGAATTAGGCTTCAGCTGGGCCACCTGCTTGCCAGACACATCCACCATGCCTGCTCTCTATTTTGGATGCAGCCTACCTGCAAACAAGTATTTCCACTGAAATCTATTCCTTTATCCTCATTTTTATGTATATATTCATTTCTCACTATCAGGTTGTATGTTTTTCCTGTAAGCCACCACAAACCTTTTGTGCAATGAGATAGGTGATGAATAAAGCATGGATGAATCCACGCATTAGATGAGTATGTGAAGTGGATATGGAGAGCACATAAGAACCAAGAGCAGACAGAGCCCTAAGGAAAGACCTGGCTGACCTGCCGGAAGGAAAATAGGTAATTTAGGATAAGCGATGTATAACCTCTAATCCAGTGTAAAAGTACCAAACAGATTACAATGGTGAATGCTCATAAGATTGTCCCCATTTGTGTGACATTCTCAGAAAATAAGATATTCTACTTAATTGACTTTTTTAGAAAACTGAAGCTTATTTCTTTCAAAAGAACATACTGGCCTTTTTAATCATGTTTACAGAATTCTTTCTAAATAGAAGATTACAAACTAATCTTCTATAGAAACTGATAGATTTTGTTTTACTTTTATGTGATTGTTTGAAATTGGCATTATAAACATCTGATCTGATACCATACCCTAATACAGTAGTGCCTTGGTGTCTTGTTTCTTAGCATTTTAAATAGCTTCTATGTATTGGGTGCTTACGTTGTGCTTGGCACTGTGTGTAATGATCTCATCCATTATCACACTGGTTTCTCATGAGACATGTCCTATTGAGGCATGCCGAGCTTTTGCCCTTTTACTAAATAGCTTCATTTATGCTGCTTCTTAAATTCTTATGGCTGCATTTTGTGATTTTTTCTGTCTCCCTTCTTATTGTCTGGAAAGCTCTTACTCAGCTTCTAATTTTCTGCTTTTAATCTTCTAGGTATTAGGAATCCTGAAAACCATACTTCAGAGGATTATGTATCAAGAAAGTTGGGGTCTAGGTGAGAGTCTTGTGATTTGGTTGAATTAAAATTAATGCAGCACTTCCAGCCCTGCAGTCATTCAGGAGTCCCCAACTTACTACCAGTGGGAGCCAGGTTGAGAACACACAGACCTCCCAGCCAGCTGTCTCTGTATCTACAGAGTTGAACTGGACTTAGTTTTTGTATGATATCTCTTGAATGAACAAACTTGGATATTATGGGGAAAAACTATGTTTTGATTTTATAAATGTTGTTATTGATAGGTGACAGGGAGGTAATAACTGCTTATTAGCATTTAATGTGTCTGATCATTCAATTAATCTTGTAGAAATTACTCTTAGACTTTCAACAACATGTAACTATAAGCACATATCATTTGTTTCAATTTAATACAGTGGCTGAAAAGGATATCTAAGAATTGTTTGTACCTCTGGGCATATCTTAGTGAGAGACTTCTCATAGCATTTGTTTAAACCTTATGAAAACTGTATTTAGTCATGGACTGACATGAATTGTTCATTGGATTCATTAGGGATTATATCTAAGATAAGATTTATTGCATTTATAATAAAATGTGTGAATGAAGAAATAAAATGTTAATGTTTCTTAATATCTGGTAGGATCTGCTAGAATGACAGATGCTGTGGGGATATGGCTAGAAGGTAAGGATGCTGAGTTTTTGTTTGAGTCTTTTTTACAATTCTTTCTTTCTAGGTTGGTAGACACCATGGTGAACCCAAGAGGCAGAGCTGTGAATAGATATTTTTATAGAAGCCTTGAATTTTGAAATGATAAAAATATTCACAGTAGAGTGCTATGTGGAATGCTTACTGCATGTGACTCTATGACTTAACATTGGAGCTTGGATCATCTCTACTCATTTTGCCTTTACCCTGAAGATAATCTTCCCTCAGTAACCCATGATTTAGACAAAAATAATGTGATCTTAGAAAGGAAGTTCAATATCCAGAATTGTGGCTCATCTCATAACTGTGGAGAGCCGACTCAGTGTGTTCTAGAAATAACAAAAGATTGGAGAGAGGGTTCAAGGATCCAGATCCAGGCCCTACCTCTATCACCTGGTGTCTACCTCTATCACTTGGTGTCTTGCAAGTGACTTGCAGTTTTTTTTTTTTTTTATACTTTAAGTTCTAGGGTACATGTACACAATGTGCAGATTTGTTACATATGTATACATGTGCCATGTTGGTGTGCTGCACCCAGTAACTCGTCATTTACATTAGGTATATCTCCTAATGCTATCCCGCCCCCTCCCCCAACCCCACGACAGGCCCCGGTGTGTGATGTTCCCCTTCCTGTGTCCAAGTGTTTTCATTGTTCAGTTCCCACCTATGAGTGAGAACATGCGGTGTTTGTTTTTTTTTGACCTTGTGATAGTTTGCTGAGAATGATGGTTTCCAGTTTCATCCATGTCCCTACAAAGGACATGAACTCATCCTTTTTTATGGCTACATAGTATTCCATGATGTATATGTGCCACATTTTCTTAATCTAGTCTATCATTGATGGACATTTGGGTTGGTTCCAAGTCTTTGCTATTGAGAATAGTGTTGCAATAAACATACGTGTGCATGTGTCTTTATAGCAGCATGATTTATAATCCTTTGGGTATATACCCAGTAATGGGATGGCTGGGCCAAATGGTATTTCTATTTCTAGATCCTTGAGGAATCGCCACACTGTCTTCCACAGTGGTTGAACTAGTTTACAGTCCCACCAACAGTGTAAAAGTGTTCCTATTTCTCCACATCCTCTCCAGCACCTGTTTTTTCCTGACTTTTTAATGATCGCCATTCTAACTGGCATGAGATGGTATCTCATTGTGGTTTTGATTTGCATTTCTCTGGTGGCCAGTGATGATGAGCATTTTTTCATGTGTCTGTTGGCTGCATAAATGTCTTCTTTTGAGAAGTGTCTGTTCATATCCTTCGTCCACTTTTTGATGGGGCTGTTTGTTTTTTTTCTTGTAAATTGGTTTGAGTTCTTTGTGGATTCTGGATATTAGCCCTTTGTCAGATGAGCAGATTGAGAAAATTTTCTCCCATTCTGTAGGTTGCCTATTCACTCTGATGGTAGTTTCTTTTGCTGTGCAGAAGCTCTTTAGTTTAATTAGATCCCATTTGTCAATTTTGGCTTCTGTTGCCATTGCTTTTGGTGTTTTAGACATGAAGTCCTTGCCCGTGCCTATGTCCTGAATGGTATTGCCTAGGTTTTCTTCTAGGGTTTTTATGGCTTTAGCTCTAACATTTAAGTCTTTAATCCATCTTGAATTAATTTTTGTATAAGGTGTAAGGAAGGGATCCAGTTTCAGCTTTCTACATATGGCTAGCCAGTTTTCCCAGCACCATTTGTTAAATAGGGAATCCTTTCCCCGTTTCTTGTTTTTGTCAGGTTTGTCAAAGATCAGATAGTTGTATATATGTGGTATTATTTCTGAGGGCTCTGTTCTGTTCCATTGGTCTATATCTCTGTTTTGGTACCAGTACCATGCTGTTTTGGTTACTGTAGCCTTGTAGTGTAGTTTGAAGTCAGGTAGCGTAATGCCTCCAGCTTTGTTCCTTTGGCTTAGGATTGACTTGGCAATGAGGGCTATTTTTTGGTTCCATATGAACTTTAAAGTAGTTTTTTCCAATTCTGTGAAGAAAGTCATTGGTAGCTTGATGGGGATGGCATTGAATCTATAAATTACCTTGGGCAGTATGGCCATTTTCATGATATTGCTTCTTCCTACCCATGAGCATGGAATGTTCTTCCATTTGTTTGTGTCCTCTTTTATTTCCTTGAGCAGTGGTTTGTAGTTCTCCTTGAAGAGGTCCTTCACATCCCTTGTAAGTTGGATTCCTAGGTATTTTATTCTCTTTGAAGCAATTCTGAATGGGAATTCACTCATGGTTTGGCTCTCTGTTTGTCTGTTATTGGTGTATAAGAACACTTGTGATTTTTGTACATTGATTTTGTATCCTGAGACTTTGCTGAAGCTGCTTATCAGCTTAAGGAGATTTTGGGCTGAGACGATGGGATTTTCTAAATATACAGTCATGTCGTCTGCAAATAGGGACAATTTGACTTCCTCTTTTCCTAATTGAATACACTTTATTTCTTTCTCCTGCCTGATTGCCCTGGCTAGAACTTCCAACACTTTGTTGAATAGGAGTGGTGAGAGAGGGCATCCTTGTCTTGCAGTTTTATCTCTAAGTTGAAGAGGGTAGTAGTGCCTACTGTAGAGGATTATTGGGAAAATTACATGCAATAATGTGTGTCTATGGAGAACACTGTGGAAACTTCAGTACGCCATCTATACTTTGTGTTAGTATCATTCAGGCAATATCCCTAATATTTCATCTCCTTTCACATCAGTATGGAGGCAGGAAAAATTAAGGAGTGAGTCCTTGAAGTGAATAAGGGCCACCAATTTAATGCCCCATGAAATTTAGTAGCCTGTAAGGGGGCCTTTTTGAAGTGAGCCACCAACTATCCTTTTATGTTTCTGTGTTGCCTTGAAGTAGTTTGTATACAACTATATTGATCCTCACTAGCCATAAAGGAAAAGACTTTGCTTCTGCTTCCCATTGTAAAAAGACCCCATGTAGGTAGTCTCCTGGGAAATCTAATAGGGACTCCTCCTTTTGGTCCTGTACACCACTTTTGATTTTCATAGCATCTCAAGATCTCTGTCTTTGGAAAAATTACTCTGCACAGTAAGCACATTCTTCAGGGGGAAGGTGAAGAAGAACTGATATATGGTACACTTAACATACACAGGTACATTTTACGCTCCATCATAATTAGTCCTCAAACTAACCTTGGGAAGAAGAGAGTATAATCCCTATATCATGAATAAGGGAATTGATGTTCCTAAGTTATTTATTTGATTTCCTACTGATAGCGATGGTCAGTGATGAACCTAAACTGTTCTCTCTAACATCTAAATCAATGCTAGCTTCACTAGACCATGCTGCCTCTGTGGAGGCAGGTAGAACTTGCCTCATGTTTAAGAAGGGCCGGAAGATTCACCAAAGGGATAATAAGACTTGTATTATGGTATTTTCCTGCCATATTGTACACTTGAGAAAACCATATGACTTCTTTGAAACTTCTGTTTTCTCCACCCTTGCACATCTCCCCGGCTTGTTGAAGATCAAATGAAATAATGAAAGCCAAAGTGCTTGGTAGGCTGACAAGTGCTATGTGAAAGTGAGATGTTGATACTATCCAAAGAAATCTTACCAAGTTTTGTCTGATATTTAAGAGGGTGCAAGTGAGAATATCACTCAGCTACTACTTACAGAAAGCAACATTTTTTCTACACCCTGTGAGTTGGTGTAGGAGAACCAGCTACTTGTGTTCTTGGCAATAACTGTTACCAGTAATATTTCAGTTAAAGTGACCGCTAATTAATCAGAATTGCATTGAATTTATAGTATAATCCAATTTTAATGGCAACACGTCTGCCACTTTTGGTATCTACTCTTAAGTAGAGAAGTTTTCTGGACCCAGCTTCCCAGTCTATTAACTTCTTCATTTGGGCTGGAAACCATTGTGTCTATTATAACTCCTTTAGAGCTATTTCTTGATAAGGAAAAATATGGAATGGCTTAGCATGGTAGTATTTTAATCCTCAAGGTTACTAGAATTATATATAATAAAAATATTAGAACTTGAAGGGAAGAACTTACAGATCAACTAATTATTGATTTGCTAATTTATTTAATTCTAACCTTTATTAAGAACTTCCCTGTGCCAGGCACTACACTAGGGATCAGGAAGACAGAAATGGAAGGCAAAAGTTTTTGCTTTTCAAGGGTCCCAAGTCTGGAGAAATAGTCTGCATTTTGTAAATTCCATAAGTTGTTTGCTGAAGGTCATGTCATTATTAGTTAGTGGACAGATCAAAGAAAACTAACCTGGAATATTCTAATCCAAAAAAGTTTGTAGGTAGACTTTCTCCTCACTAACTCCTTGAAAGCATTAGAATATGCTCTTCTAAGGCTTGTATTCATTTGTTGGGTTTTCAGAGCAAGGTATACAGCCACATACTGACATTGTAAGTCCAGGCTCATTATGGGTGAGTCACATGTGCATGTTGGAGAAGGACATAGGGGGTTTCAAGGTGATGAATAGCTAGGGTTTGCAGTCAGCCATTTCTGCCCTTGGCACATATCTGTTATGAGGACTTGAGAAGTCATTTAATCTTGCATGGCTTTATTTTAAATGGGAGCACTAATACCTACCTTATAAGCAGTTGGATAGAGGATGAAAAAAATGTGTAAAATTCTTATTGCAGTATTTATCACAAAATAAGTATTTAAGCATCCTAGTTACCATGATGATTCATACCTATCCCAGACTGGGAAGAGATCTAGCCCCATCTTGACTCTGACACTTGGTATCTTTTGGATCTTGGGAAAGACAATTTATTTCTCCAAGTTTATTTTTCTTTCTCTGGATGATGAAAATTTTAATAACTTTCCTTAGGGGTTAGTGAGGGGATTTTCCTTTATTTATACATTTATTTTATATACCCATGTCAAACTCCTCTTATGCACCAGGAAATGTTCTAGCTCCTGGAGAATCAGTAATGAACAAGGGTAGCATAATACATGTGAAGTATCTGGGAGATCGTAGGAACTTAAATGCAAGCTAACCTCATTGCACTAATAATCACAGCAGATCTGCTATTACCATTCAATCAAACTTGGTTATAAAAATAATTAATATTATCTACTCAAAATTACTGTTTCACCCACAAGACATATTTATCCCCTTATGCATTTGTGATTTTAATACACTGGCAGTCTCAACAGCCTATCCCAGGTTACTGAGACCACCAAGATAAAACGTTAGAATTTCCACACATTGGTATGTATTCCCTCTTCCATGGTACCTTCCATCTGACCTCCTCCAGCCTCTGAATTTCTATTTAATAAGAAGCTGAGTGGAAAATCAGACCTTCACCCCTGGAAATCCATTTGCTTCTGCCTGTGTTTACAAAACTGATGATGCCTTGCAACAAACTCGATCTTCTTACTGACTTCTAGTCACAGTGTATTTGGGGGATTAACAATGATAATTTAGTTCTAAGCCCTATTCTCTTGATTTAAACAGTTGCACCAACAACTGTGAGCTTCATTTCTTTCCTAGGTCTGTCTACCTCCCGATGTACTACACCTGTGAAATAGGTCTTGAGAAGTACCTTATTAGGCATTGGGGTGATATACTGCTTAAACAGGAGAGGTCTGTCCTAGTTGCTTATGAATGCCTGAATTCCTTAGCTGAGTTCTGGAGCCACCCACAGATCTGCTATCTACCCCTGTGGAGCTGACTTGGAAGCCGTGAGTTGCAGACATTGATTTGCTGACCCTTAATCTGGGTGCAATCAAACAGAACACCCTGGTATGTGGCTTATGCACTCACTTGGTTCAGCTAAGGACAAGGACCTAAGTCCAGGTCACTTCCCCTGGCTCTAACACATCATACCCTGATTTACCTGTAAAAGCAAGTGCTTCTAGGGCAGCGACTTACAAACTAGGTTTCTGAGGAGGTAGCTTTGAGTTAGCCTGGGCGGAGGCAGGGGAAGGACTTCTTTGGGTCCCACATGATCTATCTTAGGCAGAACAGTTTTGATTATATTTATTTGCTATATATTTGGCTTCTCTTAAAAAGATAATTTAAAAAATTATTCTTGGGCTCATTTATTTATGTTTGGAAACAACCCTTTAGGGTAATTGTTTTGCTCTTTTATCTTCCTAATCCTTTCCTTGCACTCTTAAATATGGTGACCCTAGGATTTCTCCATAGCTGTATTAGTCCATTCTCACACTGCAATAAGGAAATACCCGAGACAGGGTAATTTATAAAGGAAAGAGGTATAATTGACTCACAGTTCTACATGGCTGGGGAGGCCTCAGGAAGCTTACAATCATGGTGGAAGGGGAAGCGAGGACCTTCTTCACATGGCAGCAGGAGAGAGAAGAGCTAGAAAGAGCAGGGAAACTCCTTATAAAACCATCAGATCTTGTGAGAGCTCACTCACTATTATGAAAACAGCATGGGGGAACCCACCCACCATGATACAATTGCCTCCCACAGGGTCTCTCCCGTGACACTTGGGGATTCTGGGGATTACAATCCAAGATGAGATTTGGGTGGGGACACAACCAAATCATATCAATAGCTATTTGTTTTATTTCTCCTAACGTAGAGTTGATGTGGAGGGTTGGCTTGTTAGGGGTGGAAAGGCAGTATTCCCTACCTCATGATCTCTGTCAATGCCCTTCTAAGCCACCCCGTCATATACAGCCTAATCAAGGGCTTCATAGATTTTAATGTGTGCACAACGGGTTATTTTATTAAAATGAGATTCTGATTCAATAGGTTGGAATGAAACCTGAGATTCTAACAAGCTCTGTGATGATGCTAATGCTGCTAGTGTGTGGACCACCCTTTGAGTCAAGAGGGCCTAGGTAAATGTAATGTGTTCAATACAAAAACACAACCTCAAGACAAATTCCTCTTTACCCCATTGCTAATCTAATTGTGGCTCCTATGTAGAAAACCTGGAGTTGCTACTGTTTCTTCACACTACGTTGCCTGGTATGAATCTTTCCCTATTCTGCCTACAATCAGGCCAGCAGATCTGAGTAGTGGGGGGAATACCTTGATACCAATCACTTGGATTTTTTCTTTTTTGTAACTGAAATTGGCAGGGGGTGTGGGACGGGAATCGCTATATGACAGACACCATAGCAGGCACTCACCATACAATATCACGTCTAATATTTTACATTTTGTAGGTACATGTATAAGAGCCATGTCCTGTTTAAGGAAACTGAAGTGATAGAGCTTAAGCTATAGAAATGGCTCAGTTCACTTTGTGCTGCTATAACTAACACCACCACCTGGGTAAGTTATAAAGAACAGAATTTATTCCTCATAGTTCTGGAGGCTGGGAAGTTCAAGGTCAAGGTGCTGGCATCTGATGAGGACCTTCTTACTGCATCGTCATATAGTGGAAGGCAAAAGGGAAAGAAAGAGCAAACCCACTTCCAGAGCCTCAAAAACATCATTATTCTGCTCCCTTTCCATCCAATAATGTAAATAGGCTGTGTCTTTTGTAAAAGTATTTTGGGAAAACAATCTCCTAGAATGACTCAGCAAAAATCAGCCTTTTGAAACTTTTATCATTCACTCATCTCTTTTCATCACCAACTCCATCCAATTAGTTTTTGCATCCTAGGGATCCTTCAATTCTCTCACTTGAGTGGTTTCAGTATTCAACTAACTGGGACCATGCCTGCTGTCTTGGCCACCACAAATTCATCCTGCATGCTATTATTAAATAAGATTTTCCAAAGATCTTTGTGTACTCTTCTCCTGAGACTCCTTCAATGACTCTCCATTACATACAAAATGAAATACAAGTTCTCTCACCTGGTATTTAATGTCCTCTATGACCTGGCCTCAGCCAATGTCTTCTGCCTTGTGTTTTAAATAATCATTACACAGTTACATTACAGCCATACCAGGATATTTGCCACTGGAAAATACAACATAAACTATATTAGTTAGGGGTCTCCAGGGACACAGAACTGATAAAATGTGTGTGTGTGTGTGTGTGTGTGTGTGTGTGTGTGTACAGAGAAAGATTTATTTTAAGAAATTATATCATTGTGGGGCTGGTGAGTTTGAAATCTGAAGGGCAGGATAATAGGTGGGAGACTCAAGGAAAAGTTGATATTGTAGCTCTGTTTGGAAAGTCTACTTGGAAAATCTGGAAGCAGGATTTCCTCTTACTTAGGGGTCATTTGCCTTTTCCTCTTGAGGCCTTCAGCTGATTGGACGAGGCCCAGCCACATTATGGAGGGTAATCTGCTTTACTCAAAGTCTACTGATTTAAATGTTAATCTCACCTAAAATTATCTTTATAATAACATGTAGATTAGTATTTTACCAATAATTTGGGTACCATGGCTGAGCCAAGTTGACAGGACATATAAAATTAACCATCATTTGAACATCCACACTGCTGGGCCTGGAATGACATTCCCACTGCCATAAGGTATTTCTAGGTTGTCCAAATAAAACATATTTCCTTTATGGTTTTCCCTGCTACTCTTTGCATGTACAGCCAATGTAGTATTTTCCCTAGTTTGCCTTGTTTTGATCTAAACTATGTACATACGGGCTTCTTACTCAGATCATGGGCAAGTTTCTATGGGCTATAGGTGTGCATCTCCAGAGTGTTCACTGCAAGTGCATTACATTGGTCTGAACCTCCAAAAGTACACAAGAAATTAGTGTAGGCTGATTTCTTTGTTTCTATAGAGGTAGTGAATTGCACTGGGTGTTGCTTGTAGGAAAAGACTTCCTGGCTGAAATTCTAGCCCTGATACTTACTGTGCAACTTCAGGCAAGTGACTTAACCTCTCTGTTCCTCACATCTATTCTCTCATTTTGATTATTGTGAGGAATAAATGCATTAATACATTTAAGCATCTTAGAACAGTGCTTGACATATGGTAAATGTTCAGTAAATATTAACTGATAGTATTATCTTTATGGATATATGCTTCCAAATGTTGGAGTGGAGAATGGTGTTCTGCCTATTAAGAGTTCTCAAGATAGGAGATGCCCATTATTTGGAATCTTAGACCCTAAGAGTAGACAAAGACTTTATTGCTGCTTAAGTGCTGAAGGTCATAAATTCCTTGAAAATCCAGTGAAGGCTGTGTATAGACACACCTCATTTTATTGCACTTCATTTTATTGTGATTCACAGATTTTGCTTTTTTTTTTTTTTTACATATTCAAGGTTTGTGGCAATCCTGCATTGAATAAGCTTCTGAGCACCATTTTTCCAACAGCATGATGTGCTTACATCCTATCTCAGTGTCATCATGTTTTAGCAATAAAATATTTTTAAATTAAGGTATGTACATTGTTTTTTCAGACATGATGCTCTTTTTTTTTTTAAACAAATTCAAGGTGTGTGGCAATCCTGCATTGAATGAGCCTATGAGCACCATTTTTCCAACAGCATGATGTGCTTACTTCCTATCTCAGTGTAGTCATCTTTTAGCAATAAAGTATTTTTAAATTAAGGTATGTACATTGGTTTTTCAGACATGATGCTCTTGCACAGTTAATAGACTATAGTATAGTGTCAACATAAGTTGTATATGCACTGGGTATCCAAAAAGTTTTTGTGACTTGCTTTATTGCAATATTTGCTTTATTGTCATTGTCTAGAACTGAACCCACAATGTCTCCAATGTATGCCTGTGCTCTTTCCCCAGAAAAAATGCATGTGTATACATATAATTACTACACACAATTTTAAGAATTCACAGGGCATACCTCCCCATCCGTAAACACTTTAGGGATACATGTTAAGAATCCATAGTGTCAGCCGGGCGCGGTGGCTCACGCCCGTAATCCCAGCACTTTGGGAGGCCGAAGAGGGCAGATCGCAATGTCAGGAGATCGAGACCATCCTGGGTAACATGATAAAACCCTGTCTCTACTAAAAAATACAAAAATTAGCTGGGCTTGGTAGGGCATGCCTGTAATTCCAGCTACTCAGGAGGCTGAGGCAGGAGAATCACTTGAACCTGGTAGGTGGAGGTTGCAGTAAGCCAAGATCACACCACTGCACTCCAGCCTGGGAGACAGAGCAAGACTCTAGCACAGTGGTTGCCAATGTAATACTCAATGCTGAATGAATACATTGAGTCGAAAGGGTGTACCTCTCACTAAGGACTTCACCCATATCCAAGGAACTGTTCTGAAATTGTTCGTCCTGCAATAGTAATGAGATAAAATAAACTAAAGATCCCTTCTCCAAAGAGCCATATTAAGAAGATGAAGAGACACAGACCAGACTCAAGAGAGGCAATGGGTTCTGAGAACCTAAAAGAAAAAGTGTGCTCTTGGGCTCCACTGACCTGGGATCAAAGCCCAGCTCACCTATGATATCTTCTGAAGAACATCTAGCCTCTTAGAGATTTCGTTTCCTCGTTTGTAAAACATGAATGGTACTTTCCTGGAAAAGGTTTTCCAAAACTTAAAGGAGAAAATACAAGAAGCACAATGCACAATGTTAGTAGCAATGACATCAAACACAAGTCGTGGAAACAAGGATAAAAGTGATTTATGCTTTGTGTAGTCACTGCCAGGAGCATCAGAAATGCACAAATCCCTGTGCGCTTGTGATTGTTGAATGTAGCCCTGCCCACCCTGAAAAATGGTAGCAACCGCCATGGGGTCTTTCTTTTTCTTTTCCTTTTTTTTGGAGACAGAGTCTCACTCTGTTTCCTGGGCTGGAGTGCAGTGGCACATCTCGGCTCACTGCAACCTCCATCTCCTGGGTTCAAGCAATTCTTGTGCCTCAGCCTCCCCAGTAGCTGGGATTACACACGTGCACCACCATGCCCAGCTACTTTTTTTATTTTTAGTAGAGACAGGGTTTTGCCATATTGGCCAGGCTGGTCTCCAGCTCCTGACCTCAAGTGATCCTCCCGCCTGGGCCTCCCAAAGTGCTAGGATTACAGGCATGAGCCACCATGCCTGGCTCCCATGGTCTTGGGCAAACCAACAGAGAGTATGTGTCAGGGGCTTATGGAGTATCTCATAAGGCACCATAGTTTGTAAAAATCAAAGCACAGTTGTTTCAAAATCCTAACTACATATTAGAATCACCTGGGAGCTTTAATGAAAAGGGGATTTACAGGCTCTCCTCAGATTCAGAATCTGCCTGTTAGTACACTTTCAGCAAGAATATCAAATTGAGGCCGGGCGCAGTGGTTCACGCTTGTAATCACAAACACCTTGGGAGGCCGAGGCAGGCAGATCATCTGAGGTCAGGAGTTCGAGACCAGCCTGGCCAACATGGTGAAACGCCGTCTCTACTAAAAATACAAAAATTAGCCAGGAGTGGTGGCAGGTGCCTGTAGTCCCAGCTACTTGGGAGGCTGAGGCAGGCAGGAGAGTCGCTTGACCCCAGGAGGTGGAGGTTGTAGTGAGCCGAAATCGCGCCGCTGCCCTCCAACCTGGGAGACACAGAGTGAGACTCAGTCTCAAAAAAAGAAAAAGAATATCAAATCGAGTCCATTACTCCCCTGTGTTAACCTTATCCCTAAAGATCTTGTGAATTCTACATCTGTGACACTCCATGTGTTCCTTGTATGTACTTTGTGGGCAGATGGGCTTCATATGTATTTCAGGAAGTAAGTGAGCCCTCAGAGTATGGCAGTGGGTGGGGCAGTTAGGAAGCTTTAAGTCTGGTATTTAAGAGATGGCAAGTGGCATTCATTATTTAGTCACTAAATAGACACTGTGTACCCTCATAGTGCCAGGCTTGTGTGAGAGACACAGAGAGGAATAAAGCACAGACACTTGTCTTCCATCACTAGTTTCTTAATAGAACAATACCTTTGGTACTTATATCCTGATCTTTCTAATTAGGCTGGGATACAGATGGGCATAAAGTGGGAGAGGAAGGTAACTGTGGGGTTTATTAAACTGTGGGATTCATCCATGGAAGATAAAAAAATCACTAAGTGCTTGCTACATTTTATTTAGGCTGGGATTAGGCAGGATCCAGTTTTAATGAAGAAAACATTGAAAGAAGGGTTTGTGTCTTGTCATTGCTGTTTCAAAATACTTTATTTTTAAAAAAGTTAAACTCACAAATAAGATGCAAGAATAAAAAGAACTTAAACAGTTATTAACATTTTATCACATTTGCTTCATCATTCTCTATATTACATACCGTCTTTTGGAACCATGTGAAAGTTACACACATCATACCTTTCATCCCTAAGTGCTTCAGCAATTGAAAGGAGGGGCTCTGAATGCTCAAAGTCTTGGGAAGTTTGAGAGCAGAAGCAATTTTATGACATAAGGAAGAAAAAAAAAAAGAAGAAATTGCTCCAAGAAATATAATGGCAAAAGATGGTTTAGATAAAGGTGTGCTCAGTAGCTGTGTGCAAAAATGTTTGAAAAACTGCAGATGAAAAGAATAGAGTGATACAAATAGCCAGGCTTGATGAGAACAGAGGACACCAGCATCCCAAACCATGAGCCTCATCGCTGGCAAGACCAGGATTGAATCCATCCTTAAGTCTTAGGCATATAGTACCCCTTACGATGCTGTCTCTAGAGAGCATATCTATTTACATGTCACAAAAATAGGAATGCAAAATAATTTATTTGGGAATATGGAAAAGTTGACCTTTAAACCATCAAAGTAAAATAAAGAACACCTGAAGTGAATTAAAATGGCATCGCCTCCCAGAACTGTTTTCACCCAATTTATACCTTTATTTACCTACTGCAAACGTGCTAAATGAGAGCCAGTTACAATACCCATTAAAGAGGGTCCTAAAGTAATTCTTTTAAATTGGTTCTAATGGCCTTAAAAAAATACCCACTGTATTTTAGAGGAGTAAAGTAAGAATGACAGGGAGAGAAATGTTAGTGCTACTTTTATCCACTTTGCTTTCTAGAGCAACTTCGACCTTTGGAAGGGGAGGATGGTGAGTAGGGTGTTAGTTACATCATAATTATGCAGAGCTCCTAGTGTAATTTTGAGAATTAAAGGAGATCATGTATGTGGAGCATCTATCACAGGGATTGAAGCGTAGATAATGAACAATATAGGGCATTTTCCTTTTTTGTCTATTCAAACTGTAAAAAAAAAAAAAAAGAATATTCTTCATACAGACCCTAATGATCCATGAAGAAAGGATCTTCATGTCAAAAGAGGACTTGGAAATGGTAGCAAAGACCCAAGAGAAAACTTACTTACCCTTATTAAGAGAAAAATATTTGGGGAATTAATTATAGCACTTGAAATAAAGTTTAAGAAAGAATAGGGTGGTTTAGATTTCAAATGCATGTAATACAATGGGGCTTTTATTTATAGAATGAATTTTCTCTTTGAAGCCTGATTTTTCCACCTCATTTTCCAGTATATTGTCTTTTAATTATTCTCTTAGGGGCAGTCATGAGGCCCTTTGCACAAAATCCCCCAAATTATATCCAAAATTTAATACAGTGCTTGGCACATAGCAGATGCTTAGTAAATATTGATAAGAAATTATTGCTAGATTATACAGAGAGGGTTTTCATAAGTGTGCAGCAGCTTACGAGGCAGGAAATAGAATGTCTATGGTCACTACTGATTTAGGCGTGAAAACAGGGAAGGCTTTGTGAATTAAAGAGATAACTTTTTTATACAAACATTTTATCAATCTGTCTATAATTTTTATCTTTTGTATCAACTCGTATTTGCCAAATATCTACCATGTACTAGGCACTGTACTGGCTGCTAGGGGTAGGTTTATGGGATTTGTGGAAAGAAAACAGTAATTAAGGCTTGGTCTGGATTTTTTTGTGTGTGAGACTGAGTCTCATTCTGTTGCCCAGGCTGGAGTGCAGTGGCATGATCTTGGCTTACAGCAACCTCCTCCTCCCAAGTTCAAGTTATTCTCATGCCTCAGCCTCCCGAGTAGCTGGGACTACAAGCGTGACCCAACACGCCCAGCTAATTTTTGGATTTTTAGTAGAGGTGGGGTTTCACCATGTTGGCCAGGCTGTTCTCAAACTTCTAACATCAGGTGATCCACCCGCTTCGGCCTCCTAAGATCTGGCTTTAATGAAAATGAGGCGGTGTAATATACACTAATAGCTTCATGTAGGTAAACAAGACAAAACCAAATGTGGGAGAGGATGGGATGCATTAGCCATGAGGAGCATGGATGTTTCATATGACCTTTCATTCTCATTTATTCCAAAAGTGTATGCACGTTTTCTGATTATAAAATCATATTAACCCACTGTAAATAATTTAAACAATATATCTTAAACTATGTGATGGGTTCGCATGTACCTATGACAATTTCTCTTTATTATTTCAAAATTATACTTATAGATTATATATATACTTTGTATTATGATGTATTTAATTTTTTTAAGTTTTAGAAAAATAATTCAAACAGTTTAGAAAAGTACAGAGAAGAAATTCTGTCAATCACGTAAATGTCAATTGCTAATACTATGTTGAAAATCCTCTGAAATCTATTATTTCTTATGGGTACTCTTGTACTCCTCCATTTCTTTCACTGCACCTAAACACATACATGCATACACACACACATACACACACATGCACACACACACACAGAGAACATTTTGTATAAATGAGATCATACTGTCCATGCTTCCTGTGGTCTGCTTTTTTCACTTGACAAGATATTATCTCTCTATGTCCATAAATGTAGAATCCTAGTGTCCTTTTGATGAACACTCACTTTCTCCCTGTATGAGCAAAGATTGTGCTTTAATTAATATGTGCCATAGGATGGATATCTAAATTGTTTTCAGATGTTCATGTGTGTATATGTAGGTGTGTGTGCATGTGTGTGAATGCATGTTTTAATTTTCTAAAGAATTTATGATGATATTATTGCATAGATATCTTTGGAACTTGGCTATGAGTCATCATAGGATTAATTTCTAGAAGAAAGTTTTCTTTGTTTTTATTTTCTGCCCTTTTTGAAATAATACTTTTTCTATTTTGTAGGTTTTTTTTTTTTTCCTAAGAAAAGGACACTCTAGACCCAGCACTGGGTGATAACACACAATTTGACTTGTTTGAGATATATTCAACTTCATCATTTGTTACTGTGGTTTTCATGAATAAAATTTCATGATTGCTTTTCTTTACATAAAAATTAACCAAATATTTGCAGTGCCATTAGTTGAAATTAAATTAATGTAAACAAATTTTTAATTTTCATGAAGTTGATGTTTCTTACATTTTTCTTAAAAATAAAATTTTGCAGATCTCAACTTACTCCATTTTTTTTCAGAGAGATTTAGCAATTATTACTTGGAACTAGGGAAAGAGATGGCTCCTTTACAAGGACAATTTTGATTAGGTAGAGAAGGTAAGGTTTATAAACTTATGCAATCCATGATTTTAGGCTCCATCCTTCCTGTGGTTTATTCTTGAATCACCCAGATTTACTTCAGGCCTCTTTCAAAGACCTCCTCTTACATAATCTCCCTTTTGTGTTTATTAAATGATTCAGGTCAAAACATTGACCAAGATGATTCAGGTCAAACAAGGATGTGTTATGTCCTTGAGCCAAGCCCCATCTTCTCTTTCCTCCTCCACATTTTTGCCTAGAAATATCTACTGTGACCTAGGAAGATAAGGTATTCAAAGAATGCCCTGAAATGACTCATGACCACTAAGAAATAAAAAGCCCTAATATATTAAAAATTGCGATACAAAAAAAAAAGGTCTGGTATACATTGGCATCAATAGACATTCAGGACAAAATAACTTTTGATTTGCTATTAGAAGGAGGAAAGAAAATATGGACATCTTTCTTTATTTGTAAAATCACCGTGGATATCTTAGAGCATTGTTAGAGTGACTATAACAAAATCATTCATTTGAAGCACAAAGTGTATAAGCTACATTAACTCCGTTCTTCCCACTTTCCATTGATAGTGTGTTTATGATCATTAATAGCAGTTCTGTGACTTGAATTGTGTCCACCCCCCAGATTTATATGTTCAAACCCTAACCCTTATGTGATGGTATTTGGAGGCAAGGCCTTTGGGAGATGATTAGGTTTTGACAAGGTCATGAGGGTGGGGCCTTCACAATGGGATGACTGCTCTTGTTTAAGAAAAGTCACCCCAGAGCTTGCTCTCTGATTCTCTCTCTCTCCCCTCTATGTGAGGACACAGTGAGAAGGTCGTTGCCCAGAATGCAAGCACAATGCCCTCCCCGGAAATCAATTATATTGGCACCTTGGCCTTGGAAAAAACTGTGAAAAAATAAATTTCTGTTATTTAAGACACCCAATTTATGATTTTTTTAATGTGAGCTCGAGCTGCTTAAGACAGTAGAAGTAGTATCTTAATTTCCAGCATCTGCTTCATCACTTTTTCTTCTTTTCTCCTCTGCTGCTTCCTCCTCCTCCTCCTCCTTCTCCTCCTTCTTCTTCAAGTTTGTTTCCCCTTTCTTGCTTTTCTCCTTTTCTCCTTTTATTTCACATTAACGACTGTTTTAGTTCTTATCACTGTTGTTTTTCTTCACTCATTTATTTCATTCTTTTTACTTTTTTTCTTATGATTTCATCATATTCACCTTTGTTTCCCTTTTTCCACATTTCTTTTTATCATTCTCATTTCCCTTCATGTTTGTCTTTCCTGTGATTTAATTCCTTCATCATTCTTCTCTCTTCCTCATTTTTTTCCTTTCTTTTTCTCTCCTTCACTTCCTCTTTCTCTTCTTTGTCCTCCTTTTTTTTCTTTCTCTTCTTCCATGTTTCCATATTTTTCCTCCTCTCCTGGCCCAGCCTATTTCACCATCCTCACGTCTTCTTCATTTCTTGTCTCATCTGTTCTGTTTCTTGTGTCCAGAAGGAGCACCAGTGCTTCCCTTTCATCTTTTTTCTGCTAAGATGCCTCTAGGAGTGGATGTATTGTATAAGCAAAGGTGCAAAACAGCAGGAAGACAGATGATGAGCAGCCCGCCCTCAGGAAAACTCTCAATATAAAGAAACAGCTCAATCCAACCTCTCTGCCCTGTCTTTTTTCTTCTTTATTTTTTTCTTTTTAATTAAAATGCCTGCATTTGAAACTTTTTTGCTTTCTTCAAAAAAGTTTTGCTGACATTCCTCAAGAGGAAAGATAATGGGCACAAGGTATTTTCCAGCCTAGCAATGAACAGTACAGAGAATGAAAAAAGACACGAATAACAAAAAGAAAGCGTAAATTTAATCACCATTGTCATTTTATCATTGGTATTATGAAAAATAACAATCTATCATGTATTGAAGTTCTCTGTATATGCCAGACACACACATCATTTCATTTAATTTCCATGATATTCCTATGAATTAGACATAATTAGTATACCTGTTTTGCACAATGAAAATCTAGGCTGAGGGGATTAGAATTGGCCCAAGATTTGCATGCAGGGCCAATTGGGGCTGGTTAGGACAGTGCCACTTTTATGGAGCTTCCAATATTTGTGAGGCAACATGATGTATTAAATCATGCAGACCTGGTTTAAATTCTGATTCCATCAGTTTCTAGTCCTAGACCATATATATGCATTGTCTGAGTAAATTTTCACAATTATCTGTTAAGTTAATTATATTACCCCCATTTTACAGGTGGGGAACCTTATGTTCAGAGGGCATAGGCAACTTGTCCAACATCACACAGCTGTAACTCCAAAATGTAAATGTTATGTACTACATCGAGGTGGGTTTAAGGACTAATATAATTTCTTAGGCAAAAAAGGCAGAGGAAATTCTCCAGGGATGGAGAAGGGAAGCTGTAGTTGAAACACGAAAACAGGGAAGACATGAGCATGGTACTTATAAGACAGTGAAGATATGAGCATGGCACTTACAGGACAGTTAAGACACTGATCTTTCTGGCTTGTTCTTGCTTACAAACTTGTGTGGTGACTTATCTTTGTAAGTTGAAATTTCTTTATATTTAAAATGAATATTTCTAAATATAATAACACCTGTCCCTATAATTGTTACATATATCAAATTTTACACAGCCAGAAAAAATAAAGTAAAATGCAATACGTAAAATAAAAGAAACACTAGCAAAATTTTTCCAAGTATTGTAGCATATGTGGCAGACTTGCATCAATGAGATGAGATTGTATTTCCTTCTTGTTTTTTCTTCAATATTTTCCAAATTTCCTAGGGTGGTCACGTGTTTTTACTTAATAATAAAAAATATTTTATAAAAAATTTCCTGTTCAATTTTACTCATATGATTGTTTTAAGTGTACTTGAAAAAATGTGATAGATATCACATAAGTGTAAGTTATTGATACTGATATGATTGTCCTCCTCTTAGTCAACTTTAGTCATGAAAAATACTGAAATACACTGTGACTTATCAAAGATTAATTTTTATTCCAAGTACTTAATATTATATTTTAATTTTTTTGATAATTCATAATGACACCTATAGCACATATATATGAAACTTTTTCATCTAAATTATAAAAACCACTTTCCCATACCTCTCTTTTGGCATGTATTGTGTGGAAGTATTGAGAACTCACAAATAAAGAGTGTAGGACAGAATGTATTAAGGCAAGTCAGAGGGAACATTTTGGAAGCAATAAGATTCAAGCAGGATGTTCAAAAACATCTGCATGTGGTAAGGAATAAAATCATTGAGATAGAAATAATCAACATATATACAGTGATATAGTTTGGCTGTGTCCCCACCCAAATCTCATCTTTTATTGTAATCCAAATTGTAATCCCCACATGTCAAGAGAGGGACCCGGTGGGAGGTGATTGGATCATGGAGATGGTTTCCCCCATGCTGTTCTCATGATAGTGAATGAGTTCTCTAGAGATCTAGTTGTTTGATAAGTGTCTGGTACTTCCCCCTTCAATCTCTCTCTCTCTCTCCTGCTGCCTTGTGAAGAAGGTGCTTGCTTCCTCTTTGCCTTCTGCCATGATTGTAAGTTTCCTGAGGCCTCCTCAGCCATGTGGAACTTTGAGTTAATTAAACCTTTTTGTTCATAAGTTACTCAGTCTCAGGTAGTATCTTTATAGCAGTGTGAGAACAGATGAATACATACAGATAGGCTCTGAACATAATTAATCAGAAGGGTGGGTTATAAAATTTAAGACATAAGGTTGGAATATTACAGAATACAGGAAAATCACTTGATGAAGCATTTATAGATCAGGAACAATCAATACAGTAGAAACAGTTGAATACCTGGGGACCAAATACCCAATACCTAAGTTCACTCTCTACTTGATGTATTTAATGTCAACACAAGACACTGAAAATGAAAGATGGTCAAATATTTCAGAGGGGAGAAGAAGAGGATCTATCCTTTCCTAGAAAAGCATACACTAGAAGACTGTTGAGGACTTCTATATTCATTTTTTAACAATATATTTTCCAGTGATACTTAAATTCCAAAAGAGCTTGGAATCAACCATAAGTAAACCACCCTTAAAAAAAAAGAGTCTATGTGTAAGTCTGTTCTTTTCCACCCAGGCTCTGATACAACTACTCATGAGAGTTTAGGGCAAATCCTTTAACTTCTTTCATCCTTAGTTATTTTTTAACATTAAAATTTAAGCATTACTCCTTGTTCCTTTTTTCCTTTAGACAGTTCTTCTGAAGACTATATTATTTGAAGACTACTAAAGCACATTTAAAATAGAAATATATCATCTAGAATTACAGGTAGTAATTATATCTTCCAATTAAAAGGAATTAGAGGTGACTGTTTATTTCAAGCACATTCACAAACAACTAATTAAGCCATATTATAGGTCAAACAACCTTCTCTAGATTTGATATATGATAGATGATGATGATGAAGTTAATAGCCAACTTTGGAGTTTTTACCATTTTCCAGGACTGTTCTAATTCCTTTACGTGTATGAACTACCTTTATCTTGCAAAGAACCTTGTATTGGTGATACTACTCTTGTCATCTTTGTAGGTGAGAAAGTAGAAGCATTAATAAGAAATTTGTCCAAGGCCTCATACCCAGTAAGAGATGAATACAGAATCAGGATTCAAACCCAGGCAATCTGAATCTAGTGTTACAAGACTAACATTGAAAGAAAATATGGAAATAACATTGAATACAAAGTCATTTTAAAGCTACTTTAAAATTTTTAATTAAGTATACTATAAATATTTCTTTGATAAAGATTTATCAGTTCATTGATAAATGAACTGCTTTATGTTCATTGACCATCGTTAAAGACTTTGGAGACTTATAAATAAAACCTAGGGAAAGAAAATTGAAGGAGGAACATATATTTACCAAAGGTAAACAAGATTTGGAAGAGGAAGGGGTGGGGGCCAATGGAGATAATTAACATGCTCATGAACATATGAGAATTTATTAGCTAGCTATTGTTTCAATAATGATGCATAAAAAACCACCCCCCAAGTCTCAATGGTCTACAATGAATATTTATTTCTCCCTCACAGTTATCCAGGTCAATTAGGAAGCTTTAGTTCAAGCTATGGGTTGATTTTGATTGGCTCCATCTATCTTTTATTCCAGAACTTGAGTTTAAGGAACAGTGCCTCTAAGGGTGTATTCTTATGGTACAGGGCAGAAGTGCAAGAGACAAAGCTAAACAACACAAGCCAGTGCAAAGCTTATGGTTGCAATGGTTTAATTTTCATTCACATACATTTTATTGGCCAAGCAAGTCACATGGCCAAACCCCAAGTTGTCAGAGTGAAAAAGCTATAATCCATCCTCAGAGAACAATGCAAATATTAAAGGGGAAGGAAAACCATGTTCCAATAATACACTCAGGAAGTTCATCTGAAGTTTAAATAACTAAACCCTACTTAGTGAAAGGCAATGTAACTATCATTACTGGAGGAGGTAAGAAAAATTTTGATAGGAGAAAATATTAAACTTAATGGATAAACACATCACCACTGGGTGGTACTCATATCCCAGGACAGCTTTGTGAAGAATAGATCTGTATTAGGATGGTCAGAAGAATAAATTTTTAATACAACATTTACAAGTTGAATTTTTATAACACAAGCTGTGAATACATTTTCATTTCTACTTCATTATGTTAAAATGTGTAAAGTAATTAAAACAGTGCCTCAAACTAAATAATGCTATGAGTGTTTGCTACAATGATGGATAATGATGGTGTTGATGATGATGTCAAAGTTGTAGGGCATATTGCTCTTTGTATATTTCATTTCTCCTGAATTAACTCAGCAACAGGTTATGTAAGATAACCCAGAATCCTTATACCCTAGTGAAGGCACAATACCTTTCTTCAGGTTGCAGGTCCCAGGATCAAAAGACAAAAAGTAATATCTTCTGGTAGTACCAGACATTTTTAGTAACAGGATTTTTCTCTAAAGAATTAAAAATAAGCTACAAAGAGGTTTTGGGATTTAATGAGAAATGTGCAAGAAAGATTTGTTTCTTTTCCACCCACATTCAGTTTTAACTGCCAAGTATATATTGTGGTTGGGAATACTTTCTACATAAAGGGACAAAGTTTAGGAGAGAAATTGGTCCTTAAAATATTGGCAAAAATATGGCTAGGAATGACCCAATCTGGGAAGGGTTCATTATGTGCAGCTACATAACAGATAATCTTCTAATTAATTTATTCAAGCAAGGTAATATCTTAAAAAAGTTGTGCAAATCTTAAAAATATTCAAATTAAGTAGTTAATGTCAAAAATATTTAGCCAAATATTTTTGTTCCTGAGTGATCCACACATAGCAAGAAAAGAAAATACTTTTTTTTTAAAAAAGCAAATAACTAAATATCAAGTAACTGATAGCACTAGGGGAAAAAACAGAATTCTTGGGATAGCAAGGGATCTATTCATCATATTCCCTTTCTATTTGGAATACTAAAGGAGAATTTGTTTGGAAAAAGAATACCTTTCCAACTCCCTATTGTCATAGTTTGGGATTAAAGCCAGTACGGTCTGTTCTTTATGAATGTGTCTAATCATAAAAGTATCCCAGAATCTGAGAATGTTTGCACTAGCAGCCCTTGATGACCAACCTGAGACAATGAGGTGAGAGAGTTTATGTTACTTTCTCAAGTTCACTGTTAGTGGGTAACCTGGCAGGGACAAATGACTCAGATCTTTTTATGCTAAGTCCAGGGTTCAGTTTATATGGTTTTGTCTCTCAACTGCTTATCTTTGAGAAGAATTAGCTTATGTTATTGTTTTCCTTGTCAGCAGAATGGAAGCATTGGATTAGATCAGTGGCTTTGCCGAGATTTTCCCTTCCACTTGGTTACTAAGATCCACTTCTTTAGAATCATTCTTCATAGGAAAAAAATGTTTCTTCTCCATTTTTGATTACTTTGTGCAGCAATTTCAAAGACTTACCAATCAAAGAAATCAAGGAAGGTATTGGATAGGAAAACTTTTGAGGGTTCCACATATAGCAGTTTCAACAATAATCAGATGTATTTCCTACTGGTCCTTTTTGCATTCAAGAATGATTATTTTTCTGAAAGAAAAAATTTGTTCTGAAATTTCTCAGAGAGCTGAGCTTTGGAAGGCATTCCATTTAGGAAGATGGAGTCATATCCTTCCTGTTGCATTTAGATAAATGTGGCTAATAGACAACTTTTTAACACATGCTTTCTGGCACGTAAATCAGCACTTCCAGGTTTGAATCTCAGGGATTCGTACTTTCAATTGTTGCCAAATATTCAACATTTGGCTCTCTTGATCTTTAGTATTAAACTTTTTTTGACTCCATCTTCTTTCTTTCAGCCACTGTTTTCATTATCTAAAAACAGACACTTAAAGAAATTAGTGATAATCAGTCTTTTCATAAAGCTGAAAAAGGCCTGAGATATTGTTTGGTTTCACTTTCAAGAGTGGTTAAATAACTGCTCAAGACTTCCATATGAATAATTTCTCCATTTGCAAGTTTTTATCTTTAACTTCTTCTTGGTTTTCTCAATGCCACAAAACCTTCTTAGTGACAGGTATTGGGAAAGACAAACTCTTTAGGCCTTCCTTCTTCCTTTGAGGACCAAAGACCATTTCACTTTTAATCATTTTATATATTGTCTCAACACTGCCTGCCTCTTTATTAACCACCTCTGTGAAATCTATTGCTATTAATCATCAAACACATGTCTGAGTATTACTGGCAATTATCTCTGAATGCTTGTTACCTGTTGGTTTTATTACTTGTTTTCTCCTAGAAGAATAGATTGTTTCAGGTCCATAACTCTGTTTTATGTGTATGCATTTGTGTGTATGTTTATATTATTAAATGTAATATACATTACATTTTAATTTATATTTTAAATTTAATTATATATTAAAAGTAATGGCAAAACTGCAATTACTTTTGCACCAACCTAATATTCTTACATTTTAAAATTTTTCTTTTAGATCTCAACTATCATTGCATGAGGTAAAACAATATTTCAACCAAGGATTACTAACACTTTGTTGCCTATGAACGTACATTCTTCCTGTTGCGTATGAAGGCAGAAAGTCAGTTACAATCTATGATTCCCCTCCATTTCATGTTATATCTACTGCAACAATTTTTTGAAGTCTTCCATAAGCTCCTTGATTTTATTCCTCCAGAAATAAGAAGAATGTGCATCTTGGAGTTTGTTTTATTTTAATTTATTAGATACTTGGGGAAATCAGAAATGAAAGAAGCAAAAATATGTAATCATTACTTTTTCAGTCTGTTTTTCTTTTCTTTTCTTTTTTTCACCCTTTAGACACTAGAGATAACTTGTTCACTCTCTATTCTTCTAAGGGTAACTACACAACAGAAGGCTGTATACTCTCACTTTTGGTTGGGTTGGAGTAGAAATATAATTTCTGTGTCTTAATGGTATTTTACTCATAAATGGTGCCTGAGGTGTACTAAGCATAGAAGAACAAATGAAATAAATGCTTATTCTTCTCTGAGGAGGATATTGTACTATAGTGGAAGAGGGCCTATTATCAAAGAACTTTCAGAGATATGGTTAGGAGAAAAAAAGGGATGAAAAGAAAGAAACTTATATTTGTTGCATGTCTACATGTACTATTTTATTTAATCTTTCCAACAATAGCTCTTACGTATAGATTTCAATAAATCAGAGAATTTGCTCAAGGATGCTCAGATGGTAAGTAACAGAATTGGTATCTAATGAAGGTCTTTCTGAATTCAAAGTCTACTGCCTCAAGATAAGGTACTGTGTATAGAAAATGTATACATGTAAAAATTAAAAGAAACATAGAGAATGTTCTTCTAGTACTCAGAAGAGGAGTTTTGATACTTGTAGATGGGTTATTTAGAAAAAGCTTTATGGAATGACCTTGAAACTGGATAACATGTAGAATGAAAAGATCTAAGTAACTCTAGTTTGTGCTCTTGTGTACACATGCATTGGAATTTTCTGAAAATTCTCTAGGCTTCAGTTTTCCATTGGAGTTTCTGAAGTCTATGGTTTATTTTAGTGTTAATTGCTTAGGAACAAGGAGCATAGGCTTCTGTGAAGATGTGTTGTCTTGCTTTTGAGATGTTGCCTGGAATAAGTACTGTTAATGCATGCACACAGTTATTTAAACTACTTGTTATTCTAGGAAGATGTTTTTTCTTTGCTTTGCTGAAGACCTCTCCTATTGAATATTTGAAAGATGTTTAGTTTCCAAGATATTTCTACTACTAATTTATCCATTTAGTCAGTATCGATTTATTGGGTGCATCCTTCCATACCTAGCACTGTCCTGTCTACTCTGGGATTTGCAGAAATGCACTGTGGGAAATAATAGGCATGGTCCCATTTATCAAAGATCTTATAATTTACTCTGAGTTATAACGACTGCAGCTTATATTTATTGATTTTGCTATGTGTCCAGAACAATTCTAAGCAGAGTTCCAGATTTGTTATCTCATTTAATCTCATACTGTATGAGGAAACTACTGTTCACTCTACAGAAGAAGGTCAGGCACAGAGAGGCTTACTAACATCACTGAAGCCACTTGGTTAGTAAGCGGAAAAGTGGTAATCCAAATTGCACAAGTGAGAAGAGTTGATATAAGTATTTAGTACTGCTGCAAGATAACGGACATTACAAAAGAGAATCAGAAGAATACAGATGAAGGAGATTAAAAAATCAACTCAGGATGAGGAAGTGGAAGCCCATTATCCTCACTGACACAGTAAATAGTGTTAGAGCCTGAACTAGAACCAAGATTTAAGACCTTATTTTGTACAGTTGGCTGATTGTAGCACTTCACAAGCTATGATATAATTTGCTAACCAGTGGTAGAATTAAGAAGTTCTGTGCAAATAGAAAATATCTCAAAAATCTCTGACCAAAAGCCTATACTTACCCGTTTCAGAGGAGATGAGAGATATATTATGAGTGGGCTTAGGAGTGGTGGGGTAGGTACCTTTATTTCTATCATTGAGGTTGAATACAACATTGAAACTTAGTCCTTTATGTTCAAATTTATTTATTTCTCATTATTCATCAGTGGACCATTCAAAGATATATTTCCCTGAATTTGGTTTTTTACCTCTGCCATGATATAAACACTGTGGACTTTCCTTAAGCTGGCATTTTAGGTGGTAAGTACGTATTCAATTTCCATGAAAACAACATCAATGTAAATCTGATGAATATCTATCTATTTAGTCCAGTCCTAAAATCCTAAAATACTTTCACTTTTGCAGAGGCAGCACATAGGAATAGGACTCCATTTGGGAAAAACTTGAGAGTTAGTCATATACCTTGGGCTCTCTGTTTTACTTTTGAGCTAGCATTCTACAAAGTAAAGCTTCTTATTTTTTTTTTTTTTTTTTTTTTTTTTTTTGCTATTATCTGAGTTCTCTGTCCCAGGGTTCATTTTCTTACTTAGTCTGTTTCTCCATGCATCTATCTGTTGGCATGGGGGAGGGGCAGTTAGTTAACTTAATAAAACAGTGTGAAAGGAAAAGGGAAGGTGATCACTTTCTAAAGTAGCTGCACTGTTACTTTAACAGGTAAGCTGAGAGCTAAAATAGAAAATAAAAAAGTACATATGAGTACAATAGAAGTCTGATTCTCACACCACGATTGAGGACAAAAAGAGAGAAAGTGAGAATGAATGGTTGGCAGGGCTTATTATGAGTCAATGAATGTGAAATCTTTCTCAAAATGAGTTGGTTGGTGGAGCTTATTATGAGTCAATAAACGGGCATTTTATCAATTGCAAATTACCATATGAACTTAAGGGAAGTAATGGGAATTTCCTGTAGGATAGGTGGGTAATTTAGGATGCAAATCCAGATTAGTAAAGTCCTTTTAAAAATCAGATAGTAGAGTGCAGAGCTTAGATTATGAGTCCCTATTTAAAGATGGGGTAATAAAGTTCCTGAAAGATCTAGTGATGTGTCCACTCAAATCTCCTGACACTGGAGCTAGGGCCCTTTCTTCTAACCTCAATACCACCAGCCAAGTACACAATGAAGCTAAAGGGAATGCCCAACAGGGTGTGGTGGGGTGGATCATATAATTTCAGTCATGGCACAGCGTCATTATTTGCTCTAGCCCCACCAGTAGTGCTCAACAAATAAAATTAGGGCTATAGACAACTCTAAGTTGTAATTTGAGGAAAAGAAAAATAAAGATAATAATATTTTACATATCTAGCACACACCTATTGCATACTAGGCTCTGTACTGGATGTTTTCTTAATACTTTTTATGTCATCCTTTGGACAACCTCATAAAGACCGCAGTTTTATCCGAATTCTATAGACGGAAATAGAGTGGTGGGACAAAGTTACACAGTTGGCAAAATGTGAAGCAGAGATTCAAACTCAAATCTGTCTATTTCTAAAACATGCTCCATTTCAATTCTGCCATGATGCCTTCACTCGAGTGGAATATGAACATTGCACTGCTATATGAATGCTATATTAATTGTTGTCTAGTCCTCACCATTTATTTCTCTCACATTTAAACATTTGACCAAGGGTTATGGAATCTTTCCTGACTAGTTCTGGGAGGAATTATACTCAGGAGAACATTACAACTTCCTCCCTTTCTCCTTAGAAATACATTCTTCCTTCAGTAGGTAATGTCACATGACTTTTGAGCAAAGAAGAAACTCCAGGTGAAAGTGTTTCCTAAGGTTAGACTTTGAATTCGATGAATCCATATCCCTTGAATATTCTTGTAGGGTATCTTCTCTTCTTGTTGTCAGTGGGATTCTGAAATTTTATTGACATTTGGCAGACATTGCGGCTGGAAAATTATTGTTTAGAAGTCTGGCTTAATTTGGGAGATTCCTTACTGTAAACCCAGGAGAGATGCATTCTGAGATCTGGGGGAAGTCTAAAGTGCTCCAGTTTCCTTTATATAGTTAGATATTGAATTTTCAATCCCCCATGTAGAAATGTGATGCCTTTTGTTGTTGAATTATCTGTTATTGAACTTTTATGTGTTTGTATTTGGAGCTGATAACTTCTGACAATCTCTGCTTAAATGAAGATTATGTTTTGTGCAATGAAGAAATCCCCTTTCTCTCACAATTAGTCAGTCTACCTTCTCATTTTCTTTTTATCTTGTTCTTATGTCAACCATTTAATTGAGATGTTAAGGTCCCTCACAGTTCTGAGTGGCAATTTTAAACCAGATTTCTCCATAGACTTAGAAGCTAGCAGCATTTGTTAGATGAGGCTGATCCAATTATTTAGGCTGAAAACTCTGGAGAGATAAGATTTTCCAAGCTGTGACGTTATGTCCAGGCTTCTCTCTTTGTTAAAAATAAACATTTCTAAGTTATATGCTCTTTGTTCGAGTTGGTTGTGTAATTGACGGGGGAGAAGGGGGATGTCCTTTAGGAAGCTGAAATGGAGTGTAGCACCTTATAGCTATAGTTATCTTCTTTTCTTCATGTTTTTTCCTTTAATAAAAAAAAACAGTCTTGTACCTAATTTTCAAATTTTCTGGGGATTTGTTACCCCTTTGATATTGTTTTATCACATTCTTCTTTACATAGCATGCCAGAAACTCTGAGGAGGAAAAATTAAAATTTAGTTTAGCTCCTTCCTTTACAGGTGAAGTCATTGAAGTGGGGATGTAGTTGCTATTTTGTGCTCAAGATCACATAGCAAATGTTAGCGACAAAGACATGAAAAATAGAATAGTTTTCCTGTTCTGTCTTTGTGTGTGTGTGTGTTGTTTTCCATATCTACTTTTATTTATTTACTTGTTATTAGTTAAAATCCTTGAAGGGTACAGCATCACATGAATTCTCCATCCAATGGCCTTAGCAGGAAGGTTGCTTAAGAATTTGAAACAAATCCTGCCACTGTTTCCATGGGCATGAGTTACCTTTAACCAGATTACTCTGGTTTTGTACGATTTGCTGCCAAGAGTCACCGTGCTGTTCTTTGCTTTGTATACATTAGAACATCTCTTGCCCAAACAGAATTCAGTTTCATCTCAGGCATAAATACCTACGATTTTAAGAAGAGCTATGTACTCCCTTTGTTTCTGAAGCCTCTACATATAGCCAGCAAAATTGGCCTTGTAACCATAGTCTTCCGGACCTATTTACCTTCTAGAAGTCCTGTTTCTAGCAGACCTGGGCACCCATTCTCTGAGCATCAGGGGACCAGCACCACCAGTCCCTCATCTCCTCCCTCCTGTCCTCTCGTTTTCTGAAGCTGATAGGAATCATTTCGTGCTATCTTTACTCCATTCTCCTCCAAGATTACTGAGCTGTTTTTCTTAGTTTCCCAATATGATAATATGCACATTTCATTATTTCTGAAATTCATTTATTCAATTCATTCATCAGTCTTGTTCGTTCATATGATGGATGGAAGAATATGAGTATGTTATTGTGCAAATCTCCCTCTGCAGTTGTTTTTAACATTTATATATCTCCACTAAATAGGATTATTGAATGTAAGTATTCTTTGGCTAACATAAGAAAACAGAAATACAGTGAAAGGATCTTTGAGGGTATTTCAGACAATCAGACTTGGGAATAAACAGGAGCCAAAACACCCTGGAAGGGAGAAAGAAAAGATAAATTTACAATAGACATACAGGTAAATTATTAGGAAAAATTAGAAAATGGATAAGGCAAAAATCAAAGCAGCTCTGGGTAAATAAAAGGATGATTTCTGGCGGAGACAGCATTTGAACTAATCCTTCAAGGATACGGAGGATTTTTATGTGTTGAGGAAAAAGGGGAAAAGCATGTATATATATGTGTGTGTGTGTGTGTGTGTGTGTGTGTATATGTATATATGTGTATACACACATATATATATTTTGCAAGAACTCAAGATGACCTTTGGGAAACTCAGCACATGAACAATGAAATAGTTGGGTGATGTTGGAAGGTAAGTCACTGTTTGATGAAAGGCCAGTGTGAGGGTATCAACATATGTCAGTTGCTTCTCACTGACCAAACACCAATTTCTTTTGACTTAATTTGCGTCAATTATGACTGTTTTACACTTCCATCTTTTTTTATCTTCTTCCTCTCCTTTCTTCCTCCATCAAGTGTCTTTCTTGCTGCTACTGTTCTTTTCTTTTTTATACCTCATTTACCTCTTCTTTATTGCTTTTTCTTTCCCATCGCTTATGCTGTGATTACTGTCCCTACTCTTTGGATATTAACTTTGGTGCAAAAAGTTCCATGTTTGAGCGCCTATGTTTGAGTTCCACTTTTGATATGGCAGCATGAGGAGCTCTGTGGACATGTTCCTCTCAGAAACTAGTGAAAATTAGTAAAACACACACACAAAACTATTAAAAGTCTGTGAAAATAGTTCAAAGGGCAAATGATGAAACATTGATTTAAGAAAATGCACTAAGACGTGGTGGAAATAGTGAGAGTCTATAGTATCTGAACCCAGACTCACTCACTCCCCACTCCCAGCTCAGTGAGACAGAAACTGGACTCTAGGCTGATCCTCTCCAGAACATGGACCTCTATTACCCCACAACTCCCAGCTGAGGAGCTACCTAGGGCAAGATATCACCATTTCTCATATTACTTCCACCTACCTGTTTCTGAGGCTAAGTTCTGGGCAAGTGAAGGCAAAATTGGATGTTCCTTTGTTTTCTGCTCAGTCTCCACTATATAGAATGAGGGCTCTACCTTGGACATTCATCACTAAGTATTAAAATTCCAATCACCCATATCCCATTTGTTAAGGCAGTGAGTGGTTTCGTGCTGGGAGAGGGAAGCCTAGAAGACCTGAAGCTATCCTCATCCACTGAGCACTCAGTTTCTAAAATGAGGGGTGTCACTCATAGAGAAGTATACCATACCACTCACTGGCCGGAGCTGTTTTAGAAATTTTGCCTAGGTGGGGGAAAAGGCCTTAAAACAGATAGTTCTTAATCTCTTCCCCAAACAGACTGTTCCTAATCTCTGACTTAATTTGCAAAAGAATCAAGATCTCTCTCAAAGACAGTAGAGATTGTGATAAAATGTAATTGAGAGGATAGTAGAAAATATATTGGAAATATGGGCTAAACCATAGGCCAGCTAGTTTTCCGGAGATAAATTGAGAAAGAGACAGCTGAGAGGGACACTTCTGTGGTCAAAAGGGATCTTTAACAAAGACTTTAGAACTATTCCTTCAAAGGAGGCTGAACTTTATTGGATTAGCCTATATAGGAATTTATGCTCCAGGGCATTGTTGAAAACAATAGAACAGGTGGCCAGCAATTAGTGGAGTTTTACAGCTGGGTGTGGTCAGGTGAGAGACAGGCAAAGAGAGCCCTGCTAACACCACTGTCTTTCTCGAGTGAATGCTGGCACACCTATGGCTGTACCCACTAAGAAACAACATCAGAGGCTTAACAGTGTAGGTGGGAGTAAATGAATAGATTTTACTAAAAAAAAAAAAAAAAAAGCAACCAGTTACAAAACAAATATACCAGCAAATTACAATAAGATTCAATGAGAAAGGTAACAGACCTAGAGGTGCTACAATATGTTATCTGAAATATTCTGTTTTCAACAAAAAAACAATGAACCATGAAAAAAAAAAAAAAGAAGAAGAAGAAGAAGAAGAAAAGTATGGCCCATACACTGTAAAAAGAAAAAGCAACCTAAGCTGCCTAGGAGAGTAGATGTTAGATATAATAAAGTATTCAAAGTGGCCATTATAAATATGTTCAAAGAACTAAAGGAAACCATGATTAAAGACGTAAAGTTAATATTAAATAAATAATATCAATAAAAAGAGAAATTATTAAAATGAGCCAAATACAAATTCTGGAGTTGAAAAGTTTAACTGAAATAGAACATTCACTAGAGGGGCATGAGGATAACTTGTAATAGATAGAAAAAACAGTTAAGAAACTTGAAGAGAGATCAGTAGGAAAGATTTCTTCCGAAGAACAGAGAGAAAAAGAATTGAAGAAAAATGAAAAAGAGTTTTATACATATGTAGGACGCCATTAAGCCTACCAACATGTATGTAACAGGAGCACATAAAGGGGAGAAAAAAAGAAAAGGAGCAGACAAAAATATTTTTAAAAATGACTCAAAATTTCCCAAATTTTTTGGAAAAAAACCCCCCAAAACTACACATTTAGGAAACTCAATAAATTTCAAGTAGGATAAATGCAGAGATCCACAGATAGACACATTATAGTAAAAATGTTGTGAGCTAAAGATAAGGAAAATAGTTTGAAAGCAATAAGAAAAAGATGATTTGTCATTTAAAATGGATCACCCCCCCCCCCACCCCCGCCACACACATAAGATTAACAATATACCTCTCATCAGAAACAATGGGAGGCCGGAAGATAATGGAACAACTATTTAAAGTGCTCAAAGGAAAAACCTGTTAATCAAGAATCCTATGCAGAGGAAAGGGAACATTTGTACACTGTTGGTGGTATTGTAAATTAGTATAGCCATTTTAGAAAACTGTATGAAAGATTCTTAAAAAACTAAAAATACAATTACCATATGATGGAGCAGCCCCATTTCTGGGTATATATCCAAAGGAGTTGAAATTGTGCTGAAGAGATGTCTGCACTCATTGTTTGCAATAACCAAGATTTGGAAACAACTCAAGTGTCCATTAACAAAGGGATTAAGAAAATGTGATTCATGTAAATAATGGAATACCATGTAGCCTAGAAAAAGAAGAAAATTATGCCATGGGCTGCAACATCGATGAACCTAGAGGACATTATAGTAAGTGAAAAAAGACAAAGAGCAACAAATACTGTACAATCTCACTTATATGCAGGATCTAAAAAAGCCAAATTTATAGAATTAGAAAGTAGAATGCTGGGTACTAGAGGCTGAGTGGGAGTAGACAAAAAAAGGTCAAAAGATACAAAATTTCAGTTAAACAAGAGAAATATGTTCTGTTGATCTATTGCACAGCATGATGACTATAGCTAATGTATGATATATTTCAAAATGGCTGAAAGAGAGGATTTTAAATGTTCTTACCACAAAAAATAATAAATATATGAGGTAATGGATATGTTAATTAACCTGATTTGATCATGCCGTAAGGTATACATGTATTGAAACATCACATCATACCCTACAAATATCTAATTATTATTGTCAATTAAAAATAAAACTTAAAAAATAAAAATGCCCAAATTTAAATACTTTAAAAAAGAATCATAAATTCAACAGAGCCATCTTTTAGAAATGAAAGGGAAATACAGACATTTCCAGTAAACAAAAACTGAAAGAATTTATTTTTTATTAGCAGACCTAACTTACAAGAAAGGAAGTAAGTAAAGGATGCTCTTCTACTGAAAAGTGACTCCGGACAGTAATTTGAGTTCACATAAGAGCACCAAAAGGTAATTATGTAAATATAAAAACCAGTAAAAATGCATAGCTTTTTTTCTTCTTTTTTCTTAAGTGACTTAAAAAGGAATTTTATAAAATAACATGCATATAATGCATTTTGGGCCTATAATATGCAGAAATGTAATATATCTGATAATAAGAGCACGAAGGTAGAAGATGGGAGGAAAGTGGTACAGGGCTAAGGAAATGTGGTATAGGACTCCAGATGAGAACTCTAAAGCTCAGATACAAGTGATGAGAACTAGAAAAATTGAAAGAGAAGGTTTTTGTAACAAAAGCAATAGTTACATACTTGTTCTCATTTATTATCTTAGCTGACAAAGGTCATCTATAAGAAACTCACAGCCAACAACATATTGAATGATGAAAGACAGAGTAGTTTTCCCCTATAAGCAAGAACAACACAAAGATGTCTGTTCTTAGAACTTCTATTCAATATTGTACTGGCGGTTCTAGCCAGAATAATTGGGAAAGAAAAAGAAATAAAAACATCCAGGTTGAAAAAAATAAAGTCAAGACATCTCTATTTATAATTGATAGCATCTCATGTTTAGAAGATCCTAAGGAATGCACTAAAAACTATTAAAACTAGTAAATGAGTCAGCAGAGTTGCAGAATTTAAGATTATACATAAAAATCAATTGCATTTCTATATACTTGAACAGTCTGAAAATGAAATTAAGAAAACAATTTATAATTTTATAAAAATAATAAATTTAATAAAATATAAAGTATAAGTATATATTAATAAGTATACATTTTAAAAGTATAAGTACAAAACTTATACTCTGAAAACTGTAAAATATCATTGAAAGAAATTAAAGAACATCTAAATGAATAGAAAATACCTTATGTTCATGGATTGTAAGACGTAAAATTGTTAAAATCATAAGATTTCCCAAATCAATCTACAGGTTCAATGCAATACCTATCAAAATTCTAGCTGGCTTCTTTGTAGAAATTAACAAACTAATTCTAAAATTCACATGGGATTTCAAGAGACTTAGGAGACCCAAAACAACCTGAAAAAGAAGAATATATTTGAATAGCTGACATTTCTAGAATTCAAAACTTACTGCAAAGCAAAAGTAATCAAGACAGTGTGGTATTGGCATAAGGGTAGACAAGTAGATAAATATTACAAAATTGAGAGTTCAGAGATAAGTCTATGTGTCTATGGTCAACTGCTTTTCAGCCAGGGTGCCAATATCATTCAGTAGGAAAGCAATAGTCTTTTCACAAATGATGCTGGGAAACTCGATAGTCACATGCAAAATGATTTCTTACACCACACTATGTGCAAAAATTAACTCAAAATGAATGAAAGATCTAAATGTAGGATCTATGGCTAGAAAACTTTTATAAGAAAACATAGTGATAAATCCTTGTTACCTCAGATTTAGTGATGGATTCTTAGATAAAATTCCAAAAGCATTATATCAAGAACAACAAGAGAAACAAGAGATAATTTGGAAATCAAAAGTTAAAAGCATTTGTTTCAGAGGACACAATCAAAATAGTGAAGACAACTCACAGAATGGGATAAAATATTCACAAATCATATATCTCATAAGAAATGAGTATCCAGAATATATATAGAATACTTCTAACTTGATAATAAAACAACAAATAACTCAATTAGAAAATGGACAGTGAAATTGAATGGACATTTATCCAAAGAAAATATACAAATGGCCAATAAAAACTTGCAAAGATTCCTGGCATCATTAGTCATCAGGAAAATGAAAATCAAAACAATGAGATACCACTTTATATCCAGTACAATAGATATAAACAGACAATAGCAAGCATTGATGAGGTTGCAGAAGTTGGAACCTTGATACATTGCTGCTAGTAGTGTAAAATAGGGCAGTCACTTTGGAAGACAGTCTAAAAGTTTCTCAAGTGATTAAACAGAGTTACAATATTACTCTGCAGTTCCACTCCTAGGTGTATATCCAAGACAAATGAAAACATGCCCACACGAAAACGTATTCACAAATGTTGTATCGGTATTGTTCATAATAGCCAAAAGGTGAAAAGAAATCAAATATTCATCACTTAGTGAAAGGATAAATAAACTCTAGTATATGCATATAGTGAAATATTATTCAGCTGTAAAAAAGAATGAAGTAACTTATGCATACTATTAATATAACACAGATGAACCTTAAAAATATTATGCCACATAAAGAAGCCAGTCACAAAATGCCACACATTATATGATTCTATCTATGTAAAATATACAGAATAGGCAAATTTATATAGAAAGAAAGTAGATTAATGTTTGCTTAGGGCTGTGATAATGAGATCCTTCCATTATCACAGTGGAAGTGAGTGAGAGTTAAAGGGTTAGGGGTATCTTTTTATGGTGATGAAAATGCTTTAAAGGTGGCTGTGGTTATAGTTGAACATATGAATGAATATAATAAACACCATTGAATTGTACACTTTAAGTTAGTAAGTTGTAAATTTCAATAGCTGTTTAGGACATCAGTGACAGTTTAGTGATATATCATTATCAAAGTGACTCCCTGACTTATATAAGCACTGGACCTCAATGTTGGCAATAGTTATAATGATAAGAATCACATTGATTTGCTGTATTTCAGATGTCTTAGACCGTTTTCTCTCCGTGTGTGTCCTTTCCTAGGGTATTTTGTGATGGCTTTCCCCATTAAAGGTTTCCCCATTGCTTAATTATTTGTTGATTTGTCTGATGGTACAGTGTAATGATAAAACTGGAATTTTTTTTAAAAACTGAGTTTGAATTCCAGCTTTACTGGATTTAGCTATATGAAAAAGTGCATGTGTATATCCAGGTTTTAGTTTTCACATTTTTTAAAGTGATTTCTTTAGCCTCATGGCAAGAAGAGCTTCCGTTCTTGGCAATTTGATTCCATATAATGGTAGAACATGGTCAAACCCGTACCAATTGACCCAGCCAAGTTTCCTGGCATCTGACTTAATAATGATATTATTCTTTGTCTTTGCAGTAATGGTGATATTGATAGTGGAGTGAGGTGGGCAGGACATGCTGTGGACTAGCATTTTCAGAGCTATGTTCTCAATTGTCTACTTCCCTGTGCATCTGTTTTTTTTCTCTTTGATTTCTTATACATGATTTACCACTTTTCTTTTATAATGCCCTTCTCTTCAGACTTTTCAGCTTGTTAATAAAGTCAGTTTTCATGTTTTGACCGCAGAACCCATCTCTCTCCTTATCATCTCATTGTGTTACCCGTAGCACAGTATGCTCCCTGTTTGCATGGGGCTGATTTGTCTGCACCTGCAGTTCACAGGGGCATGACTGAAATCTGTAGGGGAGACCTAGTCCAGCTGACATAAACTCACATTTTTATTGGACACATTATACTTCCAGTTCACAGACTGAATCTTTTAACAGTTTACATACTGTTGATCATAAGTAGGAGTACAGATATTCCTTTGCACCCCACACCCACCATGACCAAAAAACCTAAAATAAGTTGATCAGGAATGCTGAATTATGAGTTTCATTTTCCCACATGAAGGACAGGGCAGTTCAAAATACAGAATTCCAATCTTACCATTGCCTCCTGTGTAAAGAGAGATGGAAGTCACACATAAAGATTCTATAGATCAGCATTGAGCATTCTGCAACCATATGTTGCCCTCAGCTTTGCCATATGGCTCTGAGTCTAATTTCAAACTCACTTTTCAGCACATTTAAAGGTGAGGGATTTGGATACGAATAAACTACCTCTGTGGAAACCACTTTTCGAGAACAGAAGGGAGATTTTAGAATGGCCAGTCCCCTGGCATGTGCTCCTCAGTTGGGCTGGGACAAAGCGAATGTTTGTGATTGGTGGAAATGACACAAATGCCTATTGGGAAGCTCCAAGGCAGCTGGGCCTATGGGCTTCACTGTGCAGCCTTGATAATGGCGTCCAGATCACCTCAGAAGAAGAAAATGGGGAGAGTGTTCACTTAAGCTCCTAGAGAATGAGGATTTATTTTTCTTCTAGTTGCATCATTCTTGTGCTTCACATTGTACTTTATTATAGGGTCAAATCATTTTATTTTGTTTGGGGAAGTTGTGTTATATATAGTTTCCCAATATTTACATTTCAAAATGTATCCTGCTATCAAATTCATTCATTCATTTTAGTCTCTTCCTCCCTTCCTTTCTCTCTCTTCTTTCGTTCCATTCTTTATTCCTTCCTTCCTTCCTTTCATTCTTCCTTCCTTTAGTCTATTTTTACTACAAGGTGACATGCTATGTAGATTACATATATGTGCAAGGCAAAGTTCATATCCTGAGGGAATTCCTGATTTGGGGGGAATATGAGCTGTGATAAAATGCCCTTCAATACAGAAGAGTATGCATAAGACCCAGGACCATATTTCTAAAGAAAAGCAAGATAACTTTTACTTGGTATGCATGAGTGTGTGAGACTGGGAGTAGATGATGCTTTTTAGAAGGAACGGGAAGACTCTATAGAGGAGATGGACTTTGAGGTGAGCCTGAAGACAAGGAGGATAAATTTTGTTTTTTGTTTTTTCCAAACACCCTTAGTCAGAGGTCCCCAGTACCTGGGCCGTAGACTGGTACCAGTCTGTGGCCTGTTAGGAACCAAGCCACGCAGCAGGAGGTGAGTGGTGGGCAAGAGAGCATTATTGCCTGAGCTCCACCTCCTGTCAGATCAGCAGTGGCGTTAGATTTTACAGAAGCGTGAACCCTATTGTGAACTGTACATGCGAGGGATCTAGGTGTTGCACTCCTTATGAAAATCTAATGTCTGATGATCTGAGGTGGAACAGTTTCATCCTGAAACCAACACGGAAAAAATTCGTCTTCCACGAAACTGGTCCCTGATGCCCAGAAGATTGGGGATTACTGCCCTAGGTCACCACCCCTTTCCATACTCAATATCAGGAACCCTGCTTAAGGTGATATGTACTTATTTATGTTGTGTTGAAAGTAAACTCCAACATACAAAGGAACAGGAGTTTTATCAGCTGTTTGCTGTGCATTTTCTTGTCATGGAAACCTCCAACTGACTAAAAGATGTAGGATGTTAAGAAACCAACCTAGAATAAATAGTTTGTGATCAGAAAGATACGGTGGATATTATTTTTACATGAGTAATGAGAGTAATGTAAAATTACTTTTACATGAGTAATGAGAAGTCTATATTAAGCATTAACATAGACTAAACACATCTTAAAATTACCATAATCTTAGCCTATATAATCTCATTTTCTCCTTGCAACTAGTACAGAGAAGGAAACTAAAGCTTATAAAGTTAAGTGATTATTTGAAGTCACACAGCTAGGAAGTGATGGAGCAAGTACCAGAAGCCAAGATTTCCAATCTAATGCAGAGTCCATGAATTTCAGTTATTATTCCATGCCATGTCATTGAGAATATTAGTTTATGGAAGCATTCACTGGACATTTAGTCTGAGCTCTAGAGGAGCTAAAGGAAAAAGATATGGTTGCTTTGGCATAAATCAAAAGGGCAGAGTCAAAATTGAAGCATATTTATGTTTAGTACTCTCAACATACTTTTATGTTACCCTGAATGCAATTCCTTCCCATAATGTCACATCTAACCTTTTATTTTTTATCTTTATCTCTGTATCTTCCTTCTCACTAGAGCTCCAACCTTCTAATACCAAGGCACTAGGAGGGTTTTTTCTTTTTCTTTTTTTAAAATTTAAATGTTGACTCAAAGAAAGAGAGGAGGCAGGTACTCATACAGCATAAAATACAAAAATTTTGGTGGAAGAGTTTCACCTTCAGTAAGCACCCCATCTTTTAGTTTACTTTAATTTTTCTGCTCACCTGGTGGTCATTCTACCAAGGCAGCCTCTTAACATCATCCACTACTCCTTAGAATTTGTAGATTCTTTGTCTTTCTACCCATTAACAACACCAAGCCAAGCAGAGAATAACTAACAACTCATGTTGAAGTTTGTGGCTAATAGAATGCCTATACTTCAGAAGGAAAAGAAGAGTTAAGGATCAAAAGTCTGTCGGGGTGGGAGACAGCAAGTAAGGAGCAGAGTCTGAGAGGAACACAATTCTGTAGCAGAAGAAGTAGCTCACATGAGGTCTCTCACAAAAGCTAAGGATAAAGCTGAGGACATCCCGAGGATCAATGAAAAAAAAGTTAATTTTATTAGGGATGTTGCTGTGAATCCTGCACCATTCTTTGGACTATGTATAGATTGGAATATATCTTTTGAACCTCAAGGAAATTGCACACTAGATACTTTTCTGTGCTCCATGTGTATTTGCCCAACTTGCATATTTGTCCATCATTTCCCAGTCCGATTACTTCCAGATTCATAGACTTCTCCAGAATGGAAGGTAGAAGAAAAGAAGAGTAATTGTAGAATAAACCAGCTACTTGACAAGTAATGTAAGTTACTCATGCCCTGACCCCATTCCTTCCAAAAACACATGTCATACACCTCTGGGTTACGCAAGCATGTGCTGTCCACAGTGATGTGTTATAAGGTGACTTGCAAGTCTAGCCTAGGATTGTGTCAGATACCAGCTCAAAGTATTTCATCACAGGTTGTCTTCTAGAAAAAGACAGAATAAATTCCTTTTAGATTTTTCCTTCTTTTTCTCAGTGGAAGTTGCTAAAAAGAGGAGAAATGTGATTGACCAGTCATCAAAAAAAATGGCTGATTACATATAATCTACTAATTCCTGCATTCATTTAATGTTAATTGAGCACTTATCATGTACTGATAACAAACAAACACTAGCTACAACTCTGAATGTAACAGATCCAATCTGTCCTCACTTGGATCTTATTAGCCTGTATATGAAATAAGACCCAAGTCAATTGAGACTATTACCAGGAGTTATCTTCACAATCACTGATACAACTAACATGCATTAAACTTCTCCTAGGTATTACTGGGCACTGTGATAGGCATAGGGTGTACAGAGATGCACTAGATTTGGCTTCTGTCATAAGGGGGCTAAAAGCCTAGTGGGAAAGAAAGATAATCCCTCTTGAACATGAGAGATGGTTGCTGTGGGAGGACTGAAGAAAAGGTGACAAATGCCTACTTGGAGACGTTGGGCATGTATCACTAAGATGCAAAGTCTTAACAATGTCCTACAATGCCCTAAGTAATCTACCTGGCAACGTGTGCCTCTCTACACTGGTTGGTTCTAGCACTTCCTGTCTCTGGATCTTTGGACTGGCTTATCCTTCTAACTCAGGGCTTCTCAACCTTGGCACTACTGATATTTTAGGCTGGGGGACTGTCCTGGATCTAGCACATAGTGAGATGTTTAGCAGCATCCCTGGCCTCTACTCAGTGGATACCAGCAGCAACACCTCCAACCCCCAAGTTACGACAAACACAAATGTCTCAAGAGATTGCAACATGCCCCCTGGGGCAAAATCATTTCCAGTTGAGAACTACTATTCTAACTGGGGTGTTTCTCTCCAAAGTATCTGCATAGCCAGGGACTCCTTCCAGAATTGGCTCAAAATATCACTTTCTCAAAAAGACCCACACTGATTGTCCTATATTTGATAGCACAATAGGATGACTAAAGTCAATAATAGCTCAATTGTACATGTTGAAATAATTTGAGTGTAACTAGATTGTTTGTAACTCAGACAATAGGACTTGAGGGGATAGATACCCCATTGTTCATGATGTGTTTATTTCACATTGAATGCCTGTATCAAACATCTCATATACCCCATAAGTATATACACCTACTATGAACCCACATAAATAAAGAGATAAATAAATAAATAGAGAGAAAATAAATACATAAATAAATAAAACTCCAATACCACACACCACTCTTCATTCCCCTCACTCTCTTAAATTTTTGTCTATAGATCCTAACATCTTCGGACCTACTATATAATGCACTTATTTATAATTATTATCATCTCTCTACTAATTAGAATATACATTCAACTTGAGTGAGAGGGACTGCTTTCTTCACTGTTGTAGTCTTCTGCCCAGAACAGTGCCTGGCAAAATGTTAACCATCCATACATATTTGGTGTATAAATAAATGAATGAATTATGGTCAACATTTGTGTAAAGTTGTAACATTTACAAATACATCCACACACAAGATCTCATTTACCCCTCAGATAATATTATTAATTAGGCCATAGTGTTATTTTTGTTGTATGGTTTAAGGAAACTCAATGATGTTAAAAATTAGTGACACCCACAAAAAATGATGATGCCAGAAAGTAAAAAGGATAATGAAATATTTTAAAGTATAGCCTTCAGATTTGGTTTGGCTGTGCCCCAACCCAAATCTCATCTTGAATTGTAGTTGCCATAATCGCCACGTATATCGTGGGAGGGACCTGGTGGGAGGTAATTGAATCATGGGGGCAGTTACCCCCATGCTGCTGTTCTCATTATTGTGAGTGAGTTCTCATGAGATCTGATGGTTTTATAAGTGCCAGGCATTTCCTCTGCTTGCACCTCTCCTTCCTGCTACCATGTGAAGAAGGACATGTCTGCTTCCCCTTCCACCATGATTGTAAGTTTCCTGAGGCCTCCCCAGCCTTGCAGAACAGTGAGTCAATTAAACCTCTTTTTTGTTGTTGTTGTTGTTTTGTTTTGTTTTGTTTTTAAATAAACTACCAAGTCTTGGGTATTTCTTCATTGAGGTGTGAGAATGGGCTAGTACACCTTTTCTATATTACACCATGCTCTTCCACGGTATGAATGAATAAGCTTGGATTCACTGGCCAAACTGGGAGTCAGAACAAAGAGGGAAAACCCTCTTGCCTGCAATGAACCATCCTTTGCCTATTTATTCATGAATAAATAGACAAAAAGGATTTTTCTACCTCAGGAAAAAACATAGTGTTTACTGCAACAAGACTTCCTTTCAAATCCACTTGCTATGACTCTGTCCTTCTCTGTTGCTTGAACTAGGGTACATGAATCTCAATGTAATATAGGGATGTAGAAAAGTATAAGAGAAGCCCCAGAATAATCAATAGACCTCTAGTAAGATAGTCACATTGCTCAATATGCAAAGGTGACAAATACTCTAAGATACTCACTACATGTTAAAAATAAATACAGATATATTGTTCAGAGATGTATTCATCAACTACTTAACTATGTATCTACCCATGCATTTAATAACTGTGAGCATCATACCAGGCCTCCATTCTCATGGAGTTTGTATTCTACTGGTAGAGGCAGATAATAAAGAGATGAGAAATTCAAAGTAATTTAAAAAATAACACAGGAAAGGTCATAGACATTTTGGTCTGGGGAGGAGATGGCACTATGTAGGCTGATTACCTGTGAGGGTGCACTCACTCACCTCTTGTACTTGTGAAGAACATACTGAAATGTACAGGGTGTTTGGGAGGAAAATAATGAGATGCACAGGGCAGTACTTAATGTGAAGACCTCACCATAGAGACAGGAATTAAGTCACCTGGAGCCAAGAGAATACCCTTTATGCCTTTGCTTAAAAGCACCATTTTCTGTACTATATACCACAAGAGCATTGGTCCATGGCACATTAATGGATTCTGGACTGGTAATGGGTGTCCAAGGATAAAAGAGGGTTGAATGGGTCAAAAAGTTGGGAAACATTGAGTACTCTATCTCCTTTCATAGATGCAAAATAAACATTAGTCTAATACATGTTCTAAGGAGTCCTTAGAAAATAAATCTGTTTTTCTCTGTTTAACTATTTGTTTCTTTTACTTACCTGAACAGAGCTTTTTTTTCTTCCTAGTAACAAACTGTTGTTGTATATAAGGTACCACTGATTATAAGGTGTACCATTACTTTATTTGCCACTAAGAAAGAAAAAAAACTCTGCCAATTATAATTGTACTATATTGTCAATTATATGAGAACCATTCTGCTTTGAGAGGTGTTGACATGAAAAAAACATGAAACTTAAAAACTTGAGATGGTTGGATGGAATGAGGTTTGGTTTTTAGATATGTCAGGTTAATGGGACCTTTTTTAAAATCACTATGCAATGGAAATTATAGGATTCTAAGGTTGTGGCATAAATACAACCTGCTGATCAACAGAATTTTGTGTTCCTCTTCCACAGTATAGTATTGGTGCTGTGAAGTGGTGCTCACCATTAAGTGTGTGTGTGTGTTTAAGTTTTGGGTAGGGGGAAGAGCCTTGAAGCTTAGAAGATAGAGATCCCTTGCAACTTGGTATTGTGTTGGGTCTAGTTTTGGTCAAATGCAATGAGAGCAGAGATAATGCATGTCACTTCTGAGCAGAGGTAGTTAAATACATGATATCATCCCCTACTTTCTTCACATTCTGCAGTAAACTTGGAGGCTGCATGTTGAATATGAAAGTATAATGAAATAAAAGAAGCCTAGAACCAGGAATCATACCTGGGGTAATCCAATCAGAAATATCCTCATTGAGTGTTTCATGAGCCAGGAAAACTTTTATTAAGTCACAATAAAATCTGGAAGTTTATACAGCAATTAGCTTAGTCTAACACTTGTCAGTTTTGTGCATATTTCTTACAGCATATGCATTACCTGCCAAATAAAAGCAAACACTTCTAGGTCCCTGGCAAATATGGGATTCCTCCATTGACTGACTGATTATGGGTCCTGAGTTGAACTTGCTCTGCATGAAGGATGTAGGCGATCAAGTGGCTTGTTTTGCCTCTGGCCAAATCTCTACCACTATGCTTAAGATGCGATTAATTATGTACAACAAACCCCCATGACACACGTTTACCTATGTAACAAACCTGCTCATCCTGCACATGTACTTCTGAATGTAAAAATAAAAGTAAAAAAAAAGAAAACAAGAGGTGGTTATTATTCTACTGTGGGAGAAATTATAGGCCTAATGGTAACTAATCACCACGGTCTTACCTCATTATAATACTGCATCGGTAAGTTCATCAACATAAGCAAGTTAGATCTGATAACCAAGGGGCTTACAGTTTCTAATTTGTATTTGACACATGGTCTGCCTTCTGGAAGAGCAACATAGAACCTAGATGTCTTTGATTAAGGTCAGTAAATGATTGAGTGTTAATCCCATTCATTTCCCAGGAAAAGGAAACCTCTTTACAAGTCACCACCAGGGATTCTCCAATCACACATAGGAAAAATTTCCAGGAAGACTTCTATAAAACACATGTATTAACATCTCCGAAAACATAGTTGAAAGGACTTCCCTGGGCCCTTTTCCTTAGTTCCTCATCTAGACTATCAAGCGGTTTCCTCTCCAAATGATGGGAAGAAAGTGCATTTGTCTATTACACACTTGTATTACTCTATTCACTTAAGCACTGTGTCCCAGTAATGGGGTCTAGTTATGTCTGGCTTGAAATGACCCACATATTTGTTTCTCATTCTTAGGAAGTGGAGTGTTTCTGTATGTGTATATGTGATGGGGGTAGGCCAGGAGATTTTTTATCTAGGCAATACCCAGCCTGAAATCATTATTAGCATGACATGAGTTAAACGTATTTCTATTTTAGAAAGATGTTTTCAACAGCAGGATGAAGAATCAATTGGAAGAGCTGGTACATTGAAAGAGGTGAATCTAGACTTTGGGAGGCTTCTTAAAGTATATTGAACTAGTCTAGGCCGTGGGATATGTTCAATAGTAATGGTAGTAGAAATGGCGACTGACATTTTGGAATTATTTTACAGATACAATTTCTACAACTTGGTGGAACATTTTTTAAAATGTAGGTTTTATTATTCGGCTATGGTGAAAACAACAGATCAGAAGATGATGCCACTGGAAATATAGTTTGTTGTTTACAGTTCCTAAGAAGCGGGGGCATGCCACACCATGCAGGGCCACATTGGTAGCACCAGAGTCCGTCAGGAGGCAGAGGGAGCAAGAGGAAATTATAGGCACAAGCTTTTATTGTTGTTACTGCAGAAAAGGCAAGGCAAGGCAGGGTAAGCAGGGATAGGACTGGCTAGTTTGAATAACCTCAGTGGGCTCTGGGGTAGAGGGTCTGTCTCTAGTTGTCTGGTACCTGGACCTGTGATGATTAGGGCTGAATAACGGTGTCTACTTGGGTGTAAAAGCCAGGTAGAGGAGGTGGTTCAGAGGAAGGGCTCTGGATTGCTTAGTGTGCATAAGGCATGCTCCAGAGCAAATCTTTTGCTATTTTTTAGAACTAACTAGCCCTGGTAAGTGCAGTCTCTTCCCAGATGCCAGAACATCAAGAACACAGAAAAGAAGACAATTGGGTTAATACATGTTTAGCATGAGAAATGAGGAAGTAAGGGAAATAAAGTCAAAGAGATTTCCACCTTGGATGACTATGTCAAAGTGAAACACCATTAACTTTCCAGGGAACTAAACTTTATTGAGCACCTACTCTGTGTCAGGCACTGCTCTAAAATCTTTACATGAATAATCTCAATACTCAGAGCAAAGCTTTGACATGGAGGTTGTTTTTATCTTAACTCTACTGGTGTGTTGATGGAGTCTACAAGAGTTTGTGCCCAGTCCACCACAAAATGGTCCCTCACAGCTTGGTTTTTGACACGTTGGATTGGAAGTGCTTGGAGGATATTACAGTAGAACTATCTAGGACTTAGCATGCATAATATTCCTGTTTTAAATCAGGTTCTTATTTAACAGAAACTTACATTGCACTTGCTACTTTCCAGACACTGTCCTAAAAGCTTTACAAATGCCAGTTCATTTAATCCCAATACAATACTTTGAGATACATATTATCATCTTCATTCTATCCACATTTTCAATCCTCATCATAGCTCTCATTTATGGAATGTAATGATGATGCTCTAGACTAGACGTTTTACGTAAGTTAGCTTAATTCAGTAATTCAAAACACATGCGATTATCTTCGTTTTAAAGACCAGAAAACTAAAGGTTGGTAGGTTTGTATAATTTGACTACCATTGCGTATCTTTATTTTAATACATTTTATAAATGCAAGCTTCTGCTATGATTAAAAGTGATTACCACATTTTACAGACCAGAAAGTAATAATAAGTGTTGGTGAAGATGTGAAAAAATGAGAACTCCTGTACACCATTTGTGGGAATGTAAAATGGTACAGATGCTGTGGAGAATCATATGGTGGGTGCTCAAAAAATTAAAAATAGATTTACCACATGATCCAGCAATCTCACTTCTGAGTACGTATCCAAAAGAATTGAAAACAGAGACTTTAAGAGATATTTGTACAACCATGTTTATGGCAGCATTATTCACAATAGCTAACGTGTGGCAACAATGCAAGTGTCCATGAACAGACAAATGGATAAGCAAAATGTGGTCTATACATACAATGGAATATTGTTCAGCTTTAAAAAGGAAGGAGGCTTTGATCTATACTACACAGAAAAGAACCTTGAGGACATTATGCAAAGTGAAATAAGCCAGTGACAAAAAGATACATACTGTATGATTCCACTTCTAAGAGCTGCCTAGAGTAGTCAAGATTATAGAGACAAAAGTAGTGCATAGATTCAAGGGCCTAGGGAAAGGGGAAATGGGGAGTTATTTATTAATGAATAGTGGTGATGATTGTACAAAAATATGAACATAATTAATGCCACTAAATTGTACACATACAAATGGTCAAGATAATAAATTTTATGTTATGTCATGTTATGTTATGTGATTTTACCATAATACAGAAAATGAAAAAAGAAAAGAAAGAAAGTAAAGCTTAGCGGTTTACATGACTTGACCAATGCCTCAAAGCCATGAGTCACCCAGCTGAGATCTGAACTTCAGTATATTCCATTCTGAAATCCCAGACTTTTCCCAATCTTCTTGTACTTTTCAAACTGTGTTTCAGTTGAGGTTTATTTTCAGTTTTGTATGTGAGTTTCTTCACAAGAAGGGGCGGGCCAAATTGTGTCCTGCAAAAACCTACATATCGAAGTCCTAACCCCTCTACCTCAGACTATGACTGTATATGGAGAGAGAGCCTTGAAAGAGGTATGTAAGGTAGAATGAGGTCATTATGGTGGGCCCTAATCCAACATAACTGGTGTCCTTATAAGAAGGGGAGATTAGAATTCAGACACACTTGCTGACACCTTGAGTTCAGACTGGAAGCCTCTAGAATTGTGAGAAAATGAATGTCTGTTGTTTAAGCCACCCAGTCTGTGGTATTTCCTTATGGCAGCCCCAGCAAACTAATACAAATAGTGTTTCCACAGCTGAAACAAAATTGGAAAATCACCGTCATCCTAGAGAGTTACAAGGGCTATTTTAATAGAACCTGATTGTTTTCCTAAATTCACCAAGCCCAGGCAGAGGTCAGATGACTAATTGGGATAAAAGCCAACTAGCTTCCTCTTGCTGTTTCTTTAGCCACTGGTCTGCAGGCGTTTTCTTCTTCTAACTTCCTCTCCTGTGACAAAAGAGATAACTATTAGAGAAACAAAAGTCCAGAATGCTAAGGTTGCCGCTTTCACTTCCTCTCACCCTTTAGCCCAGAACTGCTTTGAATACACCAATTGCTGTGGGGCGGCTCGAGGAAGAGAAGACACCAGTGCCTCAGAAACTGCTCGGTCAGACGGTGATAGCGAGCCACGCATTCACAGGGCCACTGCTGCTCACAGAAGCAGTGAGGATGATGCCAGGATGATGTCTGCCTCGCGCCTGGCTGGGACTCTGATCCCAGCCATGGCCTTCCTCTCCTGCGTGAGACCAGAAAGCTGGGAGCCCTGCGTGGAGGTATGTGGCTGGAGTCAGCTCCTCTGAACTTTCCCTCACTTCTGCCCAGAACTTCTCACTGTGTGCCCTGGTTTGTTTATTTTTGCAAAAAAAAAAAAGAGTTAAATTACCTTAAAGACTCAAGAAGCCACAGAGATCAAATAATTCATTGTTACAGGGCACTAGAGGCAGCCATTGGGGGTTTGTTCCATTTGGAAATTTTGAGTGCTAACAGGGGCATGAGATAACATAGATCTGCTTAAGGTCCCTGCTCTGCTACCTTGTGGCTCTGTGAAGAAATTATCAAACCTGTCTGAGACTAGTTTTCGCATCTGTAAGAGAATTATAATACCTTCTTCACTAGAGAGTAAGCAGACTGCTTCAGTGTCATTTCTTCCCACTGGTGGTCTTTACACTCAGCTTCAAGCAGTCACCCTGCTCCTTTCAATCTCAGGAAAAAGATGGCTTTTGTGTGTGTGTCTCTAGAGAAAGAACTTTCTAAGTGGGTGTCAGACTTCTGTATGCAGTAATATAGTTTAGTCCAGAGGATGAAAAAAATAAGAGAATGAAAAAGGAAAAGAGAGAGAGAGAGAAGAAAAAAGCAAGAGGGAAATATGTATAATGTCAGCTAATGCAACAGTTTCTTTCTTAGTGAAATACCAATCAGCTGGTTGGTAATCTTATTCATGATGGATCTCTTTTGTTTTTCCCCTGCGCAGACTTCACAGTTGCTTTAGAAACCCATAGTAGAGCCGAACAGCTAAGAAAATGATTTACAGTGAGGCAGGGTCAGAAACTCAAGAGAGAAAAAGCCAGCTGCAGTCCTGAAGTTGAGGATATAGGAGAAAATCAAGTAATATTTAGCAAAGACTAATTCATTATCTTGAAGCCATCCCTTCCCTCAATTCCCTGCCCATAGTCCTCCTCCTTGTCCTCTTCTCTGTATCCCTCTGCTGTTAGGTTAATGGAGATAGATTTTCTAATTAGGCTCACTGCGAGATAAAACCACAGCCAAACTTGACTTCTTTTCCCCATGTACCTTTTCCTGTCAGTCCCTGAAGCCTGTCCATCCCTGCCCATCCCCTTAGTTCCACTGTAAGGCAGGCCCTCATTTCCCCTGGCATTGACTCTTACACACTAACTGCTTTCCTGATTCCAGTCTTCTTCCTTTAATTCATTCTGCACGTTCTTGTTTGTTATGTACTTGCATTTGTTGTTATTATTTTTCCTTAGGCTTCAATCTAACAAATTACTCTCCTTAAAAACTTTTAATAACTCTCCATTGCCATTAGAACAGCTTTCTACCACAGGGCCTTTGCACTGGCTATTTCTTCTACCTAGAATGCTAGATCAGTGCTATCCATTGGCAATATTATGTGAGCCACATATGTACTTTTAAAGTTTTTAGTAGCCTCATTAAAAAAAGAAACAAGTGAATTTAATTTCGATAATAGTTTTATTTAACTTAGCGTATTTAAAATAATGTTTAAAATTTTAATATATATTTACCTATTATTGATATTTTTACATTCCTTGTTTGGTACTAAGTCTGGAATTTAGTATATGTTTTACATTTACCACACTTCTCAATTTACACTATTCACATTTCTTGTGTTTGATAACTGTGTATGGCTAGTGACTACCGTATTGGTCAGTGCAGCCCAAGTCCTTTTCATGCTTTAATCACTCCATTCAGATCTCTGATTAAATGTCCCCTCCTCAGGGCAGTCTTCCTTGATTGCCCCATGTAGAGCTCTCCAGCCTCACTTATTTGCCTCAAATCCCCTTATACTGCTTAATATTTTTTTTTCTAGAGCACAACATTTTATATTTTTGTTTGTTTATTTTCTCTCTCTCCCTTTGTAATGGAATCGGTAAGGAGGCAGGATCATTGCTGGTTTTATTTACCACTATATTTCCAGTGGCCAGCACACAGTAGCCGCTAGATGTGTAAGTGATAAATGATTGAAATAATTGCTGCAGGACAAAGTCTGAGGCCCTCCTGATCTGGCTTGCCCTCTTACTTAGATTTCACCACTCCCACCACTCACCAGCTAATCTGAGTTTGTTTTCCACTCTTTACGTGCTCACGTTGTCCTCTCCTTAGGACATGTTTTTCTTCCCCTTTCCACATATCTAAACCTTACTCATCTTCCAAGACCCACTTTAAAATCTTCCTTTTCTGGGAAGCCTTTCCTGAATCCAGACTTGATCTCTGCTTTCTCTGAACCACAGGGCATATTTTCTAAGCCTATTTTATGGCCCCTTGAGATAGTGTTAGCTTTGCTCCTATCTAAACTCTTACTCTAGACTGTGAGTCCATTGAAGTCTGGAGCTGCATCATATTTTTCTTTGTAATGCCCACAGCACTTGGCAGGAAATGCCTACAATTTGGACTTAAGTAAACCTTCATTTAATCAGTTATTCAATCAGTTAGTGATTCAGCAAATATTTATTGAGCACCAACCATTTGCCAGACACCATTCTGAGTGCTGGAGACAAAGCAGTGGGCAAACCCATCAAACTTGCAATGGAATACAGGAGATGAACAATACGATGAGAACAATCAGATAGACAACATAATGTTAGATGGTTGTGCTTCCCGTGAAAGGGAATAAAAGAGGGCAAAGAAAGAGTGCCTGGCACTGTTTCTATTAGACAATATTGTCTTTGAGGCTCCATGGCTTGCAACATTTAAGCAGACATACGAATGAAGATCTGCATGTTTGAACTCTGACTTTGCGCATATTACTTCATTTCTTTGAATTTCCATTTTCCTCATCTTTAAATGCTTATTTGAAGATTAAGTGAAAGTATATAACAAACAAGAACTATGCAGGCATATGGTAAGGGATTAATGATAGATGATAATAATTAATGTTGACATCTATTGATCACTTATACTGTAGCGGGCTTTTAAATAAACTCTTTAAACACCTTATCTCATTTAATCCTTCAAACATTCTATTGGTTTCAAACAACAGAAAACTACAATTAGCTGGCTTCTGCAAGGAATTTTGTTGGAGGAAATGAGAGCATTCAGAAATTAGATGGGAGCGTTAGAGAATTAGGCTTACAAAGAATGTGGGAAAGTAGGCTAGAAAGCAGTGTAAAAACAAAGACAGCATAAAGCACTTGACCTTATTTACTAGGTTCCACCATGGGAATCCATGCACTCTAAAGATTTCCCCCTATTTCTACATCACTTTGCTCAAGGGTCAATGAGCCAAGAAAAAGAATGCAGTTGTCAAAATCTGGGCCATGACTAAGGAAGGTCTGGACATCTTGACTGCCAGACAGTCTCCCCAATGATATGGAGTATTTAAAATGATACTGGATATTTTATTTATTTTTTGTATTTTCAACTTTTAAGTTCAGAGGCACATGTGCAGAGCATGCAGGTTTATTACATAAGTAAATGTGTGCCATGGTGATTTGCTGCATAGATCATGAAAATATGGAACGCATCATGGATTTGTGTGTCATCCTTGTGCAGGGGCCATGCTCATCTTCTCTGTATCCTTCCAATTTTAGTGTATGTGCTACTGCAGCAAGCACGATATTGGATATTTTATTACCTACATTTTACATATGATAAAATGAGGCTCACTGAGGTTTTTCTTTTGTTCGTTTTATTTTGTTTTGTTTTTAAAGACTTGGCCCTAAACCACACAGAAGAGCTGGCATGAAACCCAGAGCTTTCAGACTCCGGAGCCTCAGCCCTTCACCCCGATTCCATTGCTTCTTGCTAAATGCTGCCGTTTTATCACGGAGGTTAGAATGCTGAGCACGTAGTAGGTGCTCTTTACTTTCTAATCTAGAGTAAGACAATTTATAAGCATGAATTGAGTGAATGGATGGATGGATATATGGATGGAAGGATGGACAGATGGATGAAAGGTTGACTGAATTTTGTGCTTGCACAAAAAGAGGCCCCTCTCCACCATCTCTGGTCTAGGAGAGGGGAGTTGGGAGACCATGCAGTAAAGATACTTCATGTCATGTGTAATCATTGCAGGTGGTTCCTAATATTACTTATCAATGCATGGAGCTGAATTTCTACAAAATCCCCGACAACCTCCCCTTCTCAACCAAGAACCTGGACCTGAGCTTTAATCCCCTGAGGCATTTAGGCAGCTATAGCTTCTTCAGTTTCCCAGAACTGCAGGTGCTGGATTTATCCAGGTAATGAATCCACTTTTACATACTGCACAAGGTGAGGTGTTCATTGTCCTGTCATTTCATTATTGGACTGGAAAGCTTGGTTTGTGGAGTCTCATCTTCATTCACTTATTCATTCATACAACAGATGTCTTATTAACTATATAACCTTGAGCAAGCTACCTCTATTCTCCAGGTCTCAGTTTTCTAATCTGTGAAGTAGGCAGTTGGCTGAGACAGCTTCTAAGGGCAATTCTAATTTTAGGTTTTCTTTTAAGACAGGAGAGAAAATTAGCTTAAATTCTTTCATAAGCAGCTATTTATTGACTACTTGCTATATGTTGTACACTCTGCAAGAAGACAGGCATATATTGATATATAACACACAGCCCCTGTTGTTAAGGAGGCATATCTTCTTGAAAGAGTTAATACCTTAAAGTCCTGGGTATGGTCCTGGGTACATAGTATATAGTCAACACATTTTAATTATGATTTTTTGGATCTGGAAACTGATATAAAGATAGCGACATATAACAGTAGGTGATAAATTATGTTTAAACTAAAGGTAACTAATTGTATTTTTCAGAAGAGGGGCCTTCTCTGTGGTGGGTAGTCAAGAAAGATTTCATGAACTGCATAAGATTCAAACAATGTCTAGAATATTAAAACTAGTGTACAGGATAGGGAATTAGGAAAAGACAAGTAACCCAAGGAGAAAGATGTCAAGATTAAAGGAAAACATCTGCTGTGGGCAGGGAATAATGGCTAAGATTTTCTTTTCTGATGCAGGGAAGTATATCGTTTGTTGTGGCAGGTGAAATGTCATCTTGATATTTTAGGGGAACCAAATTCTAAAAGGGTTTTCATCATCGGGGCCTTATTTGCAAATCGAACTAGATAATGGATCATGTTCTCTGCAATGGTTTGTAAAACATTTCAAAACATTTTACATATTTTTTATTATAGAAATTATTGATAAAGACTAAGGTCACAGTATAAAAATCCTTTTTAGAGCAGACATTTCTGTAGAAGAGTGAGCATACGACCTATTATACTCTAATTTGGATATAGATAGGATGTAACAAAGGAGTAATGGAACAATTCAAAGGCAGTGGTATAGTGCATAGAGTCCTGTTGGGGTCAGAAGACCTGAGCCAAGTTTACCCCCAACCTTTATAACCATGTAACCTTAGGCATATTACTTCATCTCCCTTAATCTTAGTTTTCATATCTGATCAATGGAAATGATGAAACTTATTCTGCTGGATTAAATGTGATAATAAATATTAATATGCTGTATATATTTAAATTTTTATAAAATATATTTTATAAGCATAAAGTATTCTTACAGAATTTCATTAGGTTTTTAAAATAATTTCAACTTTTATTTTTGATTCAGGGATTTACATGGTTATATTGCGTAATGCTGAGGTGTAGGGTACAATCGATACCATCACTCAGGTAGTGAGCATAGTACCCAATAGTTAGTTTTTCAACCCTTGCTGCTTTCTCTCTATCCCCTCTCTAGTAATCCCCAGGGTCTATTTTTGTCATCTTTATGTCCATGTGTACTCCATGTTTGGATCCTACTTATAAAGTGAGAACTCATGGTATTTGGCTTTCTGTTCCTTTGTTAATTTGCTTAGGATAATGGCTACTAGCTGCATCTATGCCATTATGTTCTAAATTTCAGTTTCCTGCATGAAAATTTTGTCAAGTACTCTATTAAGGTAGACCACCTCTCCCTTTTTTTTTTTTTCAAACAAGAAGTAGTTTTTCACCAAACAATGTCTCTTATGTAATTCATCTTCAATCCACTGGATACCCAATAAACTTGCCCCAGAAACCTTAAATCTGTGCTTACAGAGAGGCCAGCTTCCCTTCTTGTTAACCCATAGGAGATTCTGAATTAGGGCAAGCACAAAAGATAGCACAATAGACATCCTTTGCCTTTTCGTACAGTGTTCACATACAGTAACTCAACTAGTCTTGTAAGAATGCTTTGTGATAGACCAGGCAGCCTTCTTTCCCCTATAGAAATATATATATATTTCTTTTTATAGGTGAGGAAACTGAAGCTTGAATAATTTAAATGACTTATATACATTATCATTGCTTGTTAGCCACAGACCAGAGATTTAAGTTCACATCTCCAGAATCCAACTTAAATGTTTTCTTTGTCTTAATACTCTACTTCTCTAAAGTGATTATCACCAATGTAATGATATAGAGACACAGCAAGACCCTTTCCTTCTCACCTAATGTATAGAGCAATGCAGAGATAGAATGATGGGCTATAACAATCATATAATTGAAAGAAAGAACTTCAAAAATAATCAAGTTCAGCTGTTTGATTTATAAATGTGATAACTAAAACCTAGAGAGGAAAAGAGGTACTCAAGATCACACAGTAGGAGAGGACTGCAGAAACACCAAACCCAAGCTCTTTTGTCCACTCTTCCAGCGTTCTTTCTACTATACTGCCTATCCTTTATCTAGTTACCAATAAATAACAAAAGCTTGGACCACAATGCTTTTATTGTCTAGGAAACTCCTGAAGAAGCTAAATAAAATGGGTGGGGAATATTGTAAATGTAATTCAGGCTGGATTAAGAAAGAACTTATTTGTACATTGTAACTGACAAGCACCTGCAATGCTGAAAGGAATTTTTCATTGGCTTGCTGTTTGCTGGCTGCATCAAAGCCCTGTCTCTAGGACATGTCTCTGAACATTGTGTGTAGCATGGCTTTCATTTCTTTTAGGATAAAATTCAAAACCCTTTATCTGGTTGGTAAACCTCTGCCTAATTGGGAACCTTCTTTCTCCACAACTCCATATTGTACACTCCAATTTCATCTCTGTTCTCCAACCATGGAAGCTATTTGTCATGATTCCTCCTTGTGTCATTTTTTTTCTGTCAACCTTGGGGCTTTTGTGTTTGCTGTTCACTTCACCTCCTTTTATTGTTAACTTCTACTCATCTTTCAATTTTCAACTTAAGTGTTCTCAGAGAAACCTACTTTGATTTTCTTGGTCCACAACGGTTCTCTGGATGTGAACTCTTATAGCACATAATTTTCACTTTTTTCCACAAAACTCGCTCCTATCACCTGTTACAAGCATTTACCTCTGATAACAAGAACTTTCAAATATCTAGCTGTCATGTAAGCACTTTTCATAAACATTAAGAGTATCTGTGACACTTATGTGTAATTTTTCGTATCTCTGAAATTGATATTTACCAGTCATTTATCTTGGCTACCAACTAACAACTATCCATATTATCTGTACCAATCAGATGTATAATCACAATTTTGTGTGACAGAAAATGGCTAAACTTGATCCAAGGCTATTACATGCTTTATCAACTGCACAATCTTTATATATGTCAATTATTGATCTTTAACTGATTTCCTTCTTATGGATTTTCTCCTCTGCTTATCATGTATGCCTAACATGACAAAAAAGAGCCTATCATTGCAGCCAGTATGATAATACTCAGTCTGTGGGGCTTCTTATTTGCTTATTCCATCATCATCTGTCCTGCTTGATGTCTTTGCCTATGCACAATCATATGACCCATCACATCTGTATGAAGAGCTGGATGACTAGGATTAATATTCTATTTTAGGTTCTTATTCAGCAGAAATATTAGATAATCAATGTCTTTTTATTCCTGTAGGTGTGAAATCCAGACAATTGAAGATGGGGCATATCAGAGCCTAAGCCACCTCTCTACCTTAATATTGACAGGAAACCCCATCCAGAGTTTAGCCCTGGGAGCCTTTTCTGGACTATCAAGTTTACAGAAGCTGGTGGCTGTGGAGACAAATCTAGCATCTCTAGAGAACTTCCCCATTGGACATCTCAAAACTTTGAAAGAACTTAATGTGGCTCACAATCTTATCCAATCTTTCAAATTACCTGAGTATTTTTCTAATCTGACCAATCTAGAGCACTTGGACCTTTCCAGCAACAAGATTCAAAGTATTTATTGCACAGACTTGCGGGTTCTACATCAAATGCCCCTACTCAATCTCTCTTTAGACCTGTCCCTGAACCCTATGAACTTTATCCAACCAGGTGCATTTAAAGAAATTAGGCTTCATAAGCTGACTTTAAGAAATAATTTTGATAGTTTAAATGTAATGAAAACTTGTATTCAAGGTCTGGCTGGTTTAGAAGTCCATCGTTTGGTTCTGGGAGAATTTAGAAATGAAGGAAACTTGGAAAAGTTTGACAAATCTGCTCTAGAGGGCCTGTGCAATTTGACCATTGAAGAATTCCGATTAGCATACTTAGACTACTACCTCGATGATATTATTGACTTATTTAATTGTTTGACAAATGTTTCTTCATTTTCCCTGGTGAGTGTGACTATTGAAAGGGTAAAAGACTTTTCTTATAATTTCGGATGGCAACATTTAGAATTAGTTAACTGTAAATTTGGACAGTTTCCCACATTGAAACTCAAATCTCTCAAAAGGCTTACTTTCACTTCCAACAAAGGTGGGAATGCTTTTTCAGAAGTTGATCTACCAAGCCTTGAGTTTCTAGATCTCAGTAGAAATGGCTTGAGTTTCAAAGGTTGCTGTTCTCAAAGTGATTTTGGGACAACCAGCCTAAAGTATTTAGATCTGAGCTTCAATGGTGTTATTACCATGAGTTCAAACTTCTTGGGCTTAGAACAACTAGAACATCTGGATTTCCAGCATTCCAATTTGAAACAAATGAGTGAGTTTTCAGTATTCCTATCACTCAGAAACCTCATTTACCTTGACATTTCTCATACTCACACCAGAGTTGCTTTCAATGGCATCTTCAATGGCTTGTCCAGTCTCGAAGTCTTGAAAATGGCTGGCAATTCTTTCCAGGAAAACTTCCTTCCAGATATCTTCACAGAGCTGAGAAACTTGACCTTCCTGGACCTCTCTCAGTGTCAACTGGAGCAGTTGTCTCCAACAGCATTTAACTCACTCTCCAGTCTTCAGGTACTAAATATGAGCCACAACAACTTCTTTTCATTGGATACGTTTCCTTATAAGTGTCTGAACTCCCTCCAGGTTCTTGATTACAGTCTCAATCACATAATGACTTCCAAAAAACAGGAACTACAGCATTTTCCAAGTAGTCTAGCTTTCTTAAATCTTACTCAGAATGACTTTGCTTGTACTTGTGAACACCAGAGTTTCCTGCAATGGATCAAGGACCAGAGGCAGCTCTTGGTGGAAGTTGAACGAATGGAATGTGCAACACCTTCAGATAAGCAGGGCATGCCTGTGCTGAGTTTGAATATCACCTGTCAGATGAATAAGACCATCATTGGTGTGTCGGTCCTCAGTGTGCTTGTAGTATCTGTTGTAGCAGTTCTGGTCTATAAGTTCTATTTTCACCTGATGCTTCTTGCTGGCTGCATAAAGTATGGTAGAGGTGAAAACATCTATGATGCCTTTGTTATCTACTCAAGCCAGGATGAGGACTGGGTAAGGAATGAGCTAGTAAAGAATTTAGAAGAAGGGGTGCCTCCATTTCAGCTCTGCCTTCACTACAGAGACTTTATTCCCGGTGTGGCCATTGCTGCCAACATCATCCATGAAGGTTTCCATAAAAGCCGAAAGGTGATTGTTGTGGTGTCCCAGCACTTCATCCAGAGCCGCTGGTGTATCTTTGAATATGAGATTGCTCAGACCTGGCAGTTTCTGAGCAGTCGTGCTGGTATCATCTTCATTGTCCTGCAGAAGGTGGAGAAGACCCTGCTCAGGCAGCAGGTGGAGCTGTACCGCCTTCTCAGCAGGAACACTTACCTGGAGTGGGAGGACAGTGTCCTGGGGCGGCACATCTTCTGGAGACGACTCAGAAAAGCCCTGCTGGATGGTAAATCATGGAATCCAGAAGGAACAGTGGGTACAGGATGCAATTGGCAGGAAGCAACATCTATCTGAAGAGGAAAAATAAAAACCTCCTGAGGCATTTCTTGCCCAGCTGGGTCCAACACTTGTTCAGTTAATAAGTATTAAATGCTGCCACATGTCAGGCCTTATGCTAAGGGTGAGTAATTCCATGGTGCACTAGATATGCAGGGCTGCTAATCTCAAGGAGCTTCCAGTGCAGAGGGAATAAATGCTAGACTAAAATACAGAGTCTTCCAGGTGGGCATTTCAACCAACTCAGTCAAGGAACCCATGACAAAGAAAGTCATTTCAACTCTTACCTCATCAAGTTGAATAAAGACAGAGAAAACAGAAAGAGACATTGTTCTTTTCCTGAGTCTTTTGAATGGAAATTGTATTATGTTATAGCCATCATAAAACCATTTTGGTAGTTTTGACTGAACTGGGTGTTCACTTTTTCCTTTTTGATTGAATACAATTTAAATTCTACTTGATGACTGCAGTCGTCAAGGGGCTCCTGATGCAAGATGCCCCTTCCATTTTAAGTCTGTCTCCTTACAGAGGTTAAAGTCTAGTGGCTAATTCCTAAGGAAACCTGATTAACACATGCTCACAACCATCCTGGTCATTCTCGAGCATGTTCTATTTTTTAACTAATCACCCCTGATATATTTTTATTTTTATATATCCAGTTTTCATTTTTTTACGTCTTGCCTATAAGCTAATATCATAAATAAGGTTGTTTAAGACGTGCTTCAAATATCCATATTAACCACTATTTTTCAAGGAAGTATGGAAAAGTACACTCTGTCACTTTGTCACTCGATGTCATTCCAAAGTTATTGCCTACTAAGTAATGACTGTCATGAAAGCAGCATTGAAATAATTTGTTTAAAGGGGGCACTCTTTTAAACGGGAAGAAAATTTCCGCTTCCTGGTCTTATCATGGACAATTTGGGCTAGAGGCAGGAAGGAAGTGGGATGACCTCAGGAGGTCACCTTTTCTTGATTCCAGAAACATATGGGCTGATAAACCCGGGGTGACCTCATGAAATGAGTTGCAGCAGAAGTTTATTTTTTTCAGAACAAGTGATGTTTGATGGACCTCTGAATCTCTTTAGGGAGACACAGATGGCTGGGATCCCTCCCCTGTACCCTTCTCACTGCCAGGAGAACTACGTGTGAAGGTATTCAAGGCAGGGAGTATACATTGCTGTTTCCTGTTGGGCAATGCTCCTTGACCACATTTTGGGAAGAGTGGATGTTATCATTGAGAAAACAATGTGTCTGGAATTAATGGGGTTCTTATAAAGAAGGTTCCCAGAAAAGAATGTTCATCCAGCCTCCTCAGAAACAGAACATTCAAGAAAAGGACAATCAGGATGTCATCAGGGAAATGAAAATAAAAACCACAATGAGATATCACCTTATACCAGGTAGAATGGCTACTATAAAAAAATGAAGTGTCATCAAGGATATAGAGAAATTGGAACCCTTCTTCACTGCTGGAGGGAATGGAAAATGGTGTAGCCGTTATGAAAAACAGTACGGAGGTTTCTCAAAAATTAAAAATAGAACTGCTATATGATCCAGCAATCTCACTTCTGTATATATACCCAAAATAATTGAAATCAGAATTTCAAGAAAATATTTACACTCCCATGTTCATTGTGGCACTCTTCACAATCACTGTTTCCAAAGTTATGGAAACAACCCAAATTTCCATTGAAAAATAAATGGACAAAGAAAATGTGCATATACGTACAATGGGATATTATTCAGCCTAAAAAAAGGGGGAATCCTGTTATTTATGACAACATGAATAAACCCGGAGGCCATTATGCTATGTAAAATGAGCAAGTAACAGAAAGACAAATACTGCCTGATTTCATTTATATGAGGTTCTAAAATAGTCAAACTCATAGAAGCAGAGAATAGAACAGTGGTTCCTAGGGAAAAGGAGGAAGGGAGAAATGAGGAAATAGGGAGTTGTCTAATTGGTATAAAATTATAGTATGCAAGATGAATTAGCTCTAAAGATCAGCTGTATAGCAGAGTTCGTATAATGAACAATACTGTATTATGCACTTAACATTTTGTTAAGAGGGTACCTCTCATGTTAAGTGTTCTTACCATATACATATACACAAGGAAGCTTTTGGAGGTGATGGATATATTTATTACCTTGATTGTGGTGATGGTTTGACAGGTATGTGACTATGTCTAAACTCATCAAATTGTATACATTAAATATATGCAGTTTTATAATATCAATTATGTCTGAATGAAGCTATAAAAAAGAAAAGACAACAAAATTCAGTTGTCAAAACTGGAAATATGACCACAGTCAGAAGTGTTTGTTACTGAGTGTTTCAGAGTGTGTTTGGTTTGAGCAGGTCTAGGGTGATTGAACATCCCTGGGTGTGTTTCCATGTCTCATGTACTAGTGAAAGTAGATGTGTGCATTTGTGCACATATCCCTATGTATCCCTATCAGGGCTGTGTGTATTTGAAAGTGTGTGTGTCCGCATGATCATATCTGTATAGAAGAGAGTGTGATTATATTTCTTGAAGAATACATCCATTTGAAATGGATGTCTATGGCTGTTTGAGATGAGTTCTCTACTCTTGTGCTTGTACAGTAGTCTCCCCTTATCCCTTATGCTTGGTGGATACGTTCTTAGACCCCAAGTGGATCTCTGAGACCGCAGATGGTACCAAACCTCATATATGCAATATTTTTTCCTATACATAAATACCTAAGATAAAGTTCATCTTCTGAATTAGGCACAGTAAGAGATTAACAATAACTAACAATAAAATTGAATAGTTATAATAATATATTGTAATAAAAGTTATGTGAATGTGATCTCTTTCTTTCTCTCTCTCAAAATATCTTACTGTACTGTACTCACCTATTTTCAGACCATAACTGACCATGAAACCTGGGAAAGTGAAACTGTGGATAAGTGAGGAACTAACATACATACATGATTGTTTATCTACAGATGTATGCCTCAGTTTCTTAGTATGCTTGAAAATGTATGATTTTGTGTATATCCGTGCTACATGTAAGTGTGGTTCTATTCATATTTGAATATGAATTCTGCATAAGTGTGTTTATTCAAGCAAATGTACAAGGCTCTGAGAAGGAAGATCAACATACAACTTGGAATATTTCAAGGCCGAAATATTCAAGGCTGACATTGGCCTCCTTCCTATCAGTTCCCTCTCCCAGATGGAAATTCTAGAAATGGCAGGTGAGGTGGACAAGCAGGGAAAGAAATTATATGCATAGAACAGAAGGAGAAGAAAGAGTAAAGTCAGGCCTCAGCCAGCCTCTTTTTAGCTCTTTAAATCCTCTGGATTTAAGAGGGATAAAGGGTGGAATAAGGATAAATTAATGCCAATTGTAATGCCTTAAATTTGTGTGATACCTTACAACTTGAAACATATTCACAAAACTATATATTTGAATATCTCATTAGCTGAGTAAGGTAGCAAATCATAATTAACTTTTTCCATTTTATTGATGGGAAAGCTGAAGTTCAATGAAGTAAATTTTTCAATAGCCCACAGAGTAGGAAAGTGACAAAACCTGAGCCTGGGCCTCCAGGTCACTCAAGGACACTTTCTTTCTTCCACACCCAATTGCTTCATGCTTAAAGTTGGCAAAACAGGAAGTGAAACTCCTGCAGTTTTCTGTGTGGTTGACACTAGCAAGGGTTTCTCAGTTGAAGCCATGAATCATTAAGCCAATACATATGCATATATGTTATACATACCAAATGATTTATTTATAACCCTATCTTTCCATAAAGGACTTGAAGGAGCTTCAAACAAAGGATATGTGAACAATAGGGTTAATCAATAATAAGTAGAAAATCTGGACATAGAATAAAAAGAGGAGAGAAAGACACCGAGAATGAGCGTTAATACAGTGCTTTCCATTTTTCTGGTGTTTTGAGTAGCGTGGCTTTTGGAGAAAGCCAAAACTCAAATTCACTCCTTATCAACTGTGTGCCTTGGGCTCCATTTCTCTGAGAGTCTACTTAGCTCCAATGTAAAATAAGAATAGAACTATGACTTTGTAAGGTTGCTCTAAGGATTGAAAATCATGTATTATGTTCAATACGGGGACACTGTCCTTATGGGTGAGTACTCCCCTAAGACTTTATTAAGAGGGCACTAGGAGAAGCACTGGGAGGTCTTCTCAGTAACAACACTAAAGTAATTGCTATTTTTCCAGCCTGTGGAACCACAGAAGTGACTGTAACTAAAATTAGACATTTCTTTCTGATTCATTCTCTACTCACGGGATTGTCAGACCCCAGTCTTCTTCTGGACTCTATAAACTTTTTAGAAATCATCAGCAGGCTCCTGGAGAAGCTTAAATGAACTCACACAATATGTGACAGTGAACTCCCTGGGAGAGTGAAAACCAAAGTCTAAGCCAGTGTCTCCATTTACTTGTGTGATTGTGGGCAAGTCATTCAAGTGCTTTGAGGCTCAGGTCTTAATTCATGAAATGGAGGTAATAATACCTTGTTGGCAGACCTCACTTGGTTAAAATGATAATGTTGATAGTTACAATAGTTACATTTAATTGATCAATTGTTTTATGCAAGGGCTTTATTTGTGCTATCTCAGTTTGTCACATCAATGAATTAGAAAGATACGAAAGTATTTCCAATTTACAAATGAGGAGTCTGAGTCTGGGAGTCATTCTGTCATGTGTCCACTGTCACCTGCTCATTGGTGGCAGCACTGAGATTAGGATCTAAGTCCACTTCACCGCAGAAGCAGGGCTTCTAAATACTGTTCTATGGCAAGAGCACCCTGCTCTCACAAAATGCATAAAACTTCCTATCTCACCATTATAATTTTGACTGATATTAAACAAAGAGAAGTATTATTATTATTACTTGTTTTTATTTATATTACAGCTGTAAGAGCCAGGAAAAATGTGATCTAAGTTATGTGATCAAAGATTTTTTAACAGTGAACAAATCAGGCCCACTAGATGATGGCCTTTCTTTGAACAACATGCCTAGGGTTGCTCTATCATGTCTACAGTTGGTCTGACTTCCTGACGGGCATCACAGACTTGTGATTAAACACAGAGGTTATGGGGGAAGTTCCAAAAGCTTAGGACTTTCCAGATGGTTGGAATAAGATCACACACTCTGGCTGCCCTTATGGAGATCACCGAACTTTTCAACTCAAAGTAAAATCTGTGGAGTAAATGGTCGATCAAAAGGAACCAACTATATTGAGCACCATGCGTGATCATCTGATCGTTACTGCTACCTTGTGAGTTAAAGGCTACTCTTCTCATTTTAGAAATGAGAAAAGAGATGCCCAGAGAGGACGAGTAACTTGCCTTAGGTCACACAGCTTATATTAATCACAATAACATTTGCCGCACCTTCTGTATTTTTTTTAAGTTGCTAAGCTTTTGGTGCATGTCTGGCACCGTTTTAGTTGTATATTATTTCATTTAATTGTTAAAATGACCTTCTGATGCAGGTATTTGTAGCTTTGCCATTCCACAGATGAAGAAACAGATGAAAGGACTGAATTGTTCAATAGGAAGGAGCAGAATCAGGATATGAACTTGGGTTGGCCTGATTCTTGGGGCTGCATTCTTTCCATAACATAATTGCTTGCTGTGATGTCCTGGGCTACTCTGCCAGGGGTGGTTAGTGGAGTGAATGGAGAATAATTTAGACAAGGTCAGTAACTCCCATGCCATCTAGAAATTAAAAGTTTAAAAGGCAGAGTCTGCAACTCTCCTTGATTTCTACAGAAATAAAGATGATCCCTCCTGTGACAGTGCTAAGTGACAATTCTGAGTGTAAATGCGCTTTTTGGCACAAATTGTCCTGTCCTAATAGTCTTGATTATAATTATAAAATAATGGGTTTCTGAAAGGCTGCAAGCAGTTCTGGGAATGGCAATAAAGGTTTAGAAATGACGTGATGTTTATGAGAGAAGTGTTTTGTTGAAAATTAAACTCACGTTTAGGAGAAAGGATTGTGTTGTATGCTCCTAGGAAACTATCTCACTATGTAATTAAATCAAAACCAGCCAGTTACCAATTTGAGCTCTTGACTCATACTAACAACACCCCATTTCCCATGGGCCAAGCAAGGCAGGACTGACCTGAAATAACCCAGCCTGACTCTATCCACAGCCACCCCAGGACCTTGCCCCTCCGTCTTCCTAGGGCTCGGCCGTGAGATGCTAGTGCATGACCCTTCCTCTTCCTGGGACTGTCCTTGTCTTTCCCTTTGGACTCTGGGAGGTCTGTTCTCCTCCTCAGAAAGGAATAAACACTCTTTCTATTTGTGGGATTCCCTAGGAGACACTATATAAAAATATAGAGTTAAAAAAACTATTTAAAAAAAAGACAACTTCATGTCTCTACTCTGACTTCATTCTTTTTAAGATGGGTAACAAAGACTCTCTTCAAGGTTAGAAAATTTTATTTTAATTTTTATAGATTTAGAGAGTGCAAATGCAGTTTTGTTACATGAATATATTGCATAATGGTTTAGTCTGGGCTGTTAGCGTAACCATCAACTGAACAGTGTACTTTGTACCTATTAGGTACTTTCTCATCCCTTAACCCCTTCCCACCTTTCTGAGTCCTCAATGTCTGTTATTTCATTCTCCATGTCCATGTCTACAAATTATTTAGTTTCCACTCATAAGTGAGAGCATGGATGGAACTGGAGAAGAGTATTTTCTATCCCAAGATCGGTTCCTTGATCTTGTGTCTCCAAATCACTTGCTCTCTCTCTTACATCTTTTCTATCTTCTTCTAGCCTCTTTTTGCAAACTTCATTTTGACAAAGAATTCCAGGCAGTCTACAGCTGATTTTATTTCAATACAACGATTAAAATGGAAACCATATATGAAGATGACAAAGTTGAGCAGGTCCCAAACTCTCACTTTTAAACAAATGCTTGGCTTAAGAATCACTTAATGACTTTCATTCTGCTATCTATGTGTCTGTGTATCTAGGTACTAATTATCTATCTTTATGATCTTTATTGCTAGAAATTCTGGTTCAATATCAGAGGTTAGTCCTAAGGAATTTATATTTTAAAATATTCTCCCAGTTTTCGTGCACAGACAGATTTGGGAATTACTGTTATAATGGAAAATGGAGAATAACCACCCACATTTAATATGGTTATTGGTTTTGTTCTTGAGATTTATTGCTAAGATTCATGATAGCCCAGGCAAGGTCAGATAATGTATTTTTATTTTACACTGTATAGTTGATTCTTCTCAATCCCACTAGATCAGACTCTTTGGGATACTAGGATTGGCCTATTTGATGGTGAGCTCACTACATCCATTTAGATGTTGTGTCCATGCAATCATTTTAGTTCTCCTAGTTTCTACCTATCACGTTGTCATTTTCCCTTCTTTATCATCCTGGGTAGCTGAGACCCCACATAAATATATACCAGAAAAATGTTGTGGTCTTTTCTAAACTCTCTGAGGCATCTGTTGTCAATGTGATGTTGTTTTTTGTTTCCAGTCCAAAATATATCAAAGTAAAATTTAACTCCACTTTTGCTAAGTATTCATCTTGCCTTGAGTACTAAGATTCCAAAAATGACTTTCCCCTCTGAAAAACACAGGATTTCCTTGCGAAAACTTGCTGGGCCACTGCCAATCTTCCCAGAAACTCCTTTTTCCTTATCGTTGAGGGGAATTGGGGAAGTGATCACTGACGGTTGAAATTCAGTAGTTTTGGTCTTTAAGCTGAGACCCTGAGTCTTCTGAGGAGTCTACTGCTCCCCAGTGGGAAACACCTGCTGTCAAAATTTTCCTGCTTGCAAAGAGCACTTTTGAAATTAATGGCAGGGGATGAATATCTGGCTAGTGCTGTGCTCAGCTGAGTTATTAATAGGGCCTTCTGAGTCCTCTCTACACATCATCTTTGGCTGAATTAGCTGTGGTTTCAGCACCTGAGAGTCTAGCACCACTAAAGGCAGGGAATACCTTTGCCAGTTTCTGGCATATTAACAGCTGAGATCAGATAAGTGAACAGCGATAGAGGTAGTGAGGTTTAGGATTCAGGTCTGCCACCGGGAGCGCACCTCTGGGCTCAGGTCTCTCATTTGTAAAATGGGACATTTAGGTCAGATCAGCATTTTCAAAAGTGTGACATGTTAGTAAATAAGATGATTTTATGTGGTTGACAGATGAATGTATTACCTTTAGTGGTTATATGTTTATTTTCATGGTTACTTTTATTTATAATAAATTTTGTGACTAGCTAAGAATCAATTATCTCTTTAAAATATATTTAAGTTTAAAATGTGGGCCAACTTAGGAAAAAAACGGGATGAAATGAATTATATAAAAGGTATGCAGATTTGGAAAAATTTTGAAGGTGTCACAAGAAAGATTGGCAGTCAGAAAGGAATGAACCAAACGGCTGCTGAGGGTCAGGCCAGCTCTCTGACATTCTAGCATGTTCACATCTCCAGGGCTGTTTCCTTACCTATAAATTGTGGCAATTGGAGTAAATGTCCATTCCAGGAATTCTATTCTATGATTAGAGGTGTAACTTCATCATCCAGATTTTCCAGCATCCTTAACATGTGGTTTTAGCGTTCTAAACCTGATGATGCTATATCAAAACGGGAGACTCATTCGTCAAGTCATGATGTATCCATGTATTTATAATATTTCCCATGTTCCCTCATTTCTGAAAAGGATTAAGCTATCAACCCCATTGAGTTATAGGTGAAAGGCTGTGGAAACAAGACATTGATAGTGAAATGGCTCCACCACTAACAGGCTGTTGAACAAAGGCAAATCTCTTGATCTCTTTGCTCTTTGGTCTCTGTTTATCTATGAGATAACGTTATTTTTACGCTGTCTTCTGTGAAAGTTTTGAGAATGAAATGAGACAGAGCCTCCAATAAAATTTAGGGAAGTGCTACATAAATGCAAGGAGTTATTATGATAACAGATTGAAAACTCCTCCAAGGAGGAGTTTCTCTTTTGCCCCATGTTATAAACTCAAGAATATCTTCCATTTTGCCTACATATTCCAAAAGCTTTTAAATTAAGCTATATGTCATTCTTACAGGAGTCTCCTCTATTTCAGCAATGTGTATACTTGGTCAGTTTTAATTATCTTAAAGGAGAAGAATACAGTTTCTCTAAACTCAAGCACTTTTGTGGACTAATCCTTGCAATTATTCTTTCTTCTTTCCCATACTTGACATTTAAAGTGATATCTCCCAGGCTCCTACACTGTTAGTCACAGAGGTACCATTCGACCCCTTGTGCCTCTTACCATATGTGAATGCTTGTCAGTTGAGAGTAAACTTTCTTCATAAATTTCACAGTTGTGGATTGATAAAAACAGAGAACTCTGGTTCCTCATTCCTTCCTGCTTTCTTTCTTGAAATGCCATTCATGATGGTCCCTTATATCACTATAGGGCTGCTATCATCCTTCATCCTTATGCCACTGCAAATAGCAACCAACAGTGTCCTTAGTGCCAGCACTCCCAGGCATGCCCCTTTCCAAGCAGCAGGGTCAAGCCGCTCCCTTCCTGAGCTGTGGCATCTGTCTCTAAATCATGCTTCCTCCTTGCCTGCTGCAGGCCCTTGTCTCTGCCCTTTACTTTTTCTGGCTCTTGCCACGGTTTTGAATAAAACTCTTCCAAATATCTGAAGCTCAATTCTGTTGCCATTCTAAGCTCTCTAAATGTCACCACAATCTTCCTTCCTTTGCATTTTCTTATTGTGCACTAAGTTAGTTCTTGCTTAGTAAGTCTTGTCTTTCTCTCTGCTTTGACCTGTCAGTATTCCAACTTCCTTATTTTTTGATGTTCATTTTCTCCTTGCTCTCTTTCTTCCTTTCTTGTCTGTGAACTCCATTAACCGCTTCTGCATGTGACCATTAATGTGCCTGTCTTTCTTCTCATGTATTAGAGAGAACAAAAGCTTTGGGAATCAGACAGATCTGTGTTCTGATCCTGTCTTATGGTATCTGTCTTGTTTGTCTCGGCTTAAAATGGGGATAATATCTACCTCTCAGTTTTGTTGGCAGTTCAGTACACGGAAATAAAGTTCTCACTTTCTTTTTTCTCCTTGAGAGTGTTCTTTATTTTACTCATCTGGCCATCTAATATTTATGAAGAAGCTACTCTGTGGTTGAAAAGGCACATGAAGCTGCAGAAGTAAATGACCAAGAAGTGCCCTCAAAGTTACGGAGTTCAGATTCATTTTGGCAAGAGAGGCATGTCAATACACACACACACACACACACACACACACACACACACACACACACAATGTTATGCCAAAATGCAGGGTGGTGGGGAGTGGAGGGTTGTTCTTCCTAGAAGCAATCAGAGAAGGCTTTACAGAGGAGGGCCCATTTGAGCTGGAAATTGTAAAAGAACAGCTCTGCAGATGGATCTTTAAATTCTTAACCTAAAAGAAGAGCAAAAATGTAAATGATAAATCTGGGAAGTAATAAGTAGAAGACCATGTATAGCAGAGTTGAGGAAAGAAACAATATAGTATAAATACTGAATTACATGAAAGCTAATAGTTAATTGGCATCAGTTGACCCTGACAAAGACATTTATCTGGACTATGTCTCAATTTGCTTATCTGTCAGTTAAGGATGATATATTAAATGAGTGCTTATACAAACAAAGTGCTTAAAACAGTGCAAGGCACTTCACAGTCATCAAAAATGCTAATTTTTTGTGTGCTTTCATTATGAAATGGGGAGCATACAGCCCGACAGAAGCCTAGGTAATGTCTCAGCATTAAGCCCACTGGTTTGTGGTGCCTTGCATTTAGGAGGCCCAAGTCCTTATCCTGGTGTTGATACAAACTTCCTGTGTGACACTGGGAAGCTATAACTCAGTCTTGACATAATACAACTTGTTCTTCGGCTTCAAAAACTTTCCCAGAATTGGAGTGACCCTACCCTCCCTTTCAAGAAACAGACAAACATCCTAGAATGTTACAACATAAGGGTTGAAGAAGCTGTTGTTAAGTGATCATCTTGTTACCACAAAATTGTTAAACTGCATAACAGAGTTATGCAATTTCTTCTTCCCCTATTTTTTATTTTATTTTTCCATAAGGTATTGGTATTTCATTACATGAGTAAGTTCTTTAGTGGTGACTTGTGAAATTTTGGTGCACCCGTCACCCAAGCAATATACACTGCACCATATTTGTAGTCTGTTATCCCTCTCCCTCTTGCCACTCACAGCATTTGGGGTGTCTTCTGGGTCCTGCAGGAGCAGTCCACTTCCTTGAGAGGTTTTGTGGGTCCTCTTGGGAATGTTGGTTTGTTCTTGCAGTCAATTTGGAGCTAAAATTCACAATGCAAGCCTCTGGATGCTGCTCTGTCTGGAGCTGCAATCTAGTCCTGACTCCTCTCTGCCATGATCCCCTCCATACACCTTCTTCTCTTATTTTTATGCCAATGAGTGAAGGCCTCAACCTGGCCTTCCCTGCCTCTTAGTTAGCCTCCTGTTCTGCCTGATGTCACAAGGATAGTGAGAGGCATGGTCTGGATTTGAACCAGATCTACCTGTTCCCACTGCACCATGCTGACTTTGTATGAAGAAGCCACCAGGCTAGTGGTGGTGGTGGTGGTAGTAGCAGTAGTGAAATTCTATTGATAATACTACCTCTACCAATAATAATAAAAAAGGGGAGAGATGGAGGAAAAGGGGTGGAGAATCAAGTGAGGAATCAACTGGAGCAGTTCTACTTGATTCTGTTTTATGTTTTGGGTTTCTTGTTGACGGTTTAGCTTTTGTGATCTTAATTTTTGTTCTTTTTTGTTTGTTTTTGTCATTTCCAAAACTTCTGCTCAGCTTTCTATCCACTATAGGGATTCTTTCTACTACCACAAAACAATAACAATAAAGATCATAATAATGAAAAAATACAACATTCTTAAGTCCATTTATACCAAGTGAAACAGTCTTTTAGCAGTTTTCACGAACCAGGCACTACGTTAGGTGTTTTACGTGCATGATCCCATTTAATATTCCCAACCACTCTGTGAGGCAGGTGTCTTCATCGCCATTTGGCAGAGGAGGAAACTGAGGCTAAGGGAGTTTGAACCGATCCATCCAAACAACTTAGCTAGTAAATTACAGATAGTAAGATGGAAGATTAGAACCCATATGTGCCTAATTCCAAAAGCTGAGCTCTTCAATCCTACCCTGAAATATCTCCTAAGTATGATTGTTCAGATTATGCTAAAAAATCCAGTGACAGAGCTGATTATTTCCTCAAATGTCTCATTTATTGTTTGGCAGCTCTGATGACAGATATAAAGATGGAGATACATAAACTGACTACATCAGTCCGCCTATGCATGAGAGTTGGCCCATTATTTTCACCTGTGATATGGAATAAGAACCAAGAGTTTTTTTTTTACATGCATTTGGATATGATATAAAGGCTTGCTATTGGAGTTGGATCCTGCCCTTTTCTCACCAGGAGATTCTGGCTGGCTTGGAGCAGAAAGCCTTTGTTCTGGGGTAGCAACACCAATATTCTGCCTAGGAGAAGCCTCCTGCAGAGTCTTTCTCTTTTTTTCAGCTTTGTTTGACCCTCAGTAAGGTGCTACTTGAGCTTTCTGGGAGGTAGAAAATGTTAAATGGATGTACACAGATATCCCCTCCTTTGTAAGTTCCATGGGAAATGTTTTAAAATGGGTTCATTGCTGTCTCCCAGTACACTGGGGTAGTGGAATACAATGTGTTTTTACGAAATGGGTGATGGATGTCATATACTCAGCATGGTGCTTGACACATGCTGTGTGGTCTCAACATGTGGTCAGCTTCAGTAACTAGCTGATAAGCAAGTGTTAGGGCAGTAGAATGAATTTCTCATAGGCATGGAAACTAGAAAGGCAACGAAGAGGCTGGGCTCAGTGGCTCACACCTGTAATCCCAGCACTTTGGGAGGCCCAGCCGGAAAGATCATGAGGTCAGGAGTCCAAGACCAGCCTGGCCAATATGGTGAAACCCCATCTCTACTAAAAATAAAAAAAAAACTACCCAGGCGTGGTGGCGCATGCCTGTAGTTCCAGCTACTGAGGTGCCTGAGGCAGGAGAATCGCTTGAACCTGGGAGGCAGAGGTTGCAGTGAGCCAAGATTGCTCCACTGCACTCTGGCCTGGGCATGAGAGCATGACTGCATCTCAAAAAAAAAAAAAAAAAAAAATAGGCAACTGAGAATCCCTATACTGCCATAGCGTGGATGGTAGAACAGGCATTATCCAGAACACTGTCTATTAATTTAAAAATGTTGACTGAGCTCATCCTACCTGCCAGCCCCTGAAGAGGAATGCCAGAAAAATCCAAATAAAGTATGACCTCCATGCTCAGGAGGGTCAAGTCTAACTGTGCAGACAGGGAAGAGCAGTATCCTGGGTACATTTCTAAAAGTGTATGCAAAGTATATTGGGTCATCTGGCAGCCAACTGACAATAAGTTTGCATTTCTGGAGAGCTTCCTCCATGCACAACACTCTTCAAAGTGCTTAAGTGAATTAATTAATCTACTCCACTCTAAAGATAGGAAACTTAGGCACAGTGCAGCTAAGAACCCCACCTTAGAGCATTACAAATCCAGAGGTCACAGAAGCAGGATTTGAACTAACCTGAGACAGATTTGAGCTCTTACCATACTTCTATCTACTTCTAGGAAATACAATAAAATAAAACACAACTGGGAGGCCAGGCATGGTGGCTCACAGCTGTAATCCTAGCACTTTGGGAGGCTGAGGCGGGCAGACCACTTGAGGCCAGGAGTTCAAGACCAGCCTGGCCAACATGATGAAACCCCATCTCTACCAAAAATACAAAAATTAGCTGAGCGTCATGGTGCAAAGGTGGCTGAGGCACGAGAATCACCTGAATCTGGGAGGCGGAGGTTGTAGTGAGCCAAGGGTGAACCATTGCACTTCAGCCTGGGTGACAGAGCAAGACTCCATTTCAGGAAAAAGAAAATCTTTATATCAACCCCATCCATTGGCAATATTGCCCTCCTCTTTTTAAAATAAAAAAATGTTAAAATTGGGGAAATATATACTGTGTGGCCACCATGACCCTGTTCCAGCAGGGACAAAAACAATGGGAAAAAAAAGCATGATTCTTAATCTCTTGGTAGGAGTTGATGATTTAGGTGACAGAGGGACAGACATGTAAACAAGTGGCTATATTGTAGTGTGACATACATGAGGTAAAGATTAGTGATTTGGGGTTTGGTGACAGACAGACCTAAATCACTGATCTACCACATAGAAGCTGTGTGACCTGGGGCAGGTTACGCTACTTAACCCTTCTGTTCCTAAGTTTCATCATCTAGTCTGGTACATTGAGGATACTGCAGATGTTTGCCTCAGAGAATTATAATGGGATAAAATACATTAATATGATGAATAGAAATTAATTGGCACACCATCATATAGTAAGCACTTAAATTTGTGATACCTATTATTACAATTGTTTTTAATAGTAAAAATAAAGGTGAGATAAAGAAGAAAAAAATTAGAAGGACAGCAGCAGGGAAGACCCAGAAGGGCCTGGAATGTCTCTTAAGGTGTTTAGAAATACTGAAGTTCTTTATTCTAGGGAGGGAAAAGATCGGAAATGAGATGTAACTCTGTTACTCAGGGGATGGTGTGGTGGGTGGATTGAAACGGAAAAGACTGGCCCTAGGAACCCATCAAAAGAACGTGGAGACTTTACCCTCAATTGCTTTGATGAATGTCAAAGAGATTCCTGATCTTGTTAGAAAATGAACTCAAAAATCACGAGACATAGATACTATAGCCCTTTTTAGCTCTGTCCCACAAAGCATGGAGTGGGACTTTCAGGGCCAGAAACACAATCTGTTCTTTTAGAGAGTTGGTAGCAACTGTGATGTCTCCTGTGGCCTGACCCAACAACTTGGGCTCCACTCATTTATCTCAATAGCTCAGGCAATAGATATATATAGAACAGTGGTGACAACAGGCAGAAGGTAATTTAATTTGAGCAAAAGCCTCAAGTGGAAGAGACAGGAGGAGGTCCTTCTGAATGGAAATGCCTAACATGTACGACTTTGGTTTTTTTTTTTTTTTTTTTTTTTTTTTTTTTTTTGTATCCCCTAGCAAAGGCTCAGTCTCATCACGTATCAGGTTGTATTTGACCAAACACCAGAGGGAAAAGAGAAACAATCTAGGCCCGTGGTTATGAAAGGAAAAACGAACCTCTTCTGAAAAAAGAAAAAAAATACATGCGTCTTAGTCCCTTGGTAGGTTTGAAAGAGGAGAATAAGATTATCGGTAATTCTCATGCTATCATTTACTTCCTATGAGCTGACAAGTCATTCTCTCCTAGATCCCCTAAACTCGCCCCAGAATATATTAGCCAGAGGACAAGGGGACAGGCTCACTTAGACTGTAATTGTGTGTGTGTGTGTGTGTGTGTATGTGTGTGTGTTTCTCTCCTTCTATTTTTTATCTAGATACCCCCTTTGCTTCCTCTGCAAATGGCTACTCTGTCACCATTTCCCTTTTTTTAAAAAAATCTGCAGTTTAATTACATGTCTTTCTGTTCCTGATATGTAGAGACAAGCCAGTCTGGGTGCAAATCCTAATTTTTACCACTTCTTGCATGAATAGCTTTAAGAAAGTCATATAACTGTTGTCATCCTCAGTTTGTTAGCATGCCAAATGGGGATAAAGATGCTTACTTTCTTAGATTAGGATGGAGAGGGAGTTAGATAGTGGAGGCAGACCACTGGCACACAGTAGGGGCTTAATAAATGCTATTTCCCCACTCTGTGACTGCATGGCCCCAACTGCCCTCGTGGCCTTCAAATCCTCCCACCATACTGTGCCCATTGGCTTCTCCCTGTGTGCATAGACCATGCAAGGGAGGTTTCTTACCTCCCGTATTCTCCCCTTTAATCCATCCACCACACCATCCATGAGTGACAGATGTAAAAACTCATTTCTGATCTCATCCCTTGCTAAGATAAGGAGCTTCAACATTTCCCAACACCTAATTTCTATCTCCTTAAGCCCTTTCTATCCTTCAAAGTCCAGCTAAAACTTCATTTCTTCTGGAAGCCTTCTCTGATCAGATCATCAACCAGTGTTTGCTAGTGCACTGAATTCCAGTAGGATTTCGGGCCCATAGGGGTCCCTTGGATATTCCCAAGCACTCACAGAATGCCAGGCTGTGTGCTGGCATATGCCCTCCATAGACTCTACTTGACCCCGAGCGGAGTGGTAGATGGACATTACAGGGCATAAACAGGTGTGGAGTTAGCCTAAGCCTGAGTTTTCAGGGGAGCCAGACCTAACCAATGCTGAATGAACTTCCTTGGGAGGCAGTGACTTCCCAAACTGTGACCAGCCTTGATGGTCAGGGGCCCCCAATTCTGGGGCAAGGAGCTAGTTCAAGAGAAACATCCAGGGGTGGGGGCTGGGCCTGCAATTGGATAGGTAATAATTTTATCTTTGGTTGACACAGATAGAACTGAGATGTAGTTAAGTGGTCAGCAAACCTAACTAATAACCAAAATCTCCTGGAGAGGGTGCTTTGAAAAAAGAGACAGGTTCATGGACCCCAACCTTGAAGGACTTAATGAAACCCTTCTAAGTTATGAAGAGGAAGTGCATAATTTTTGGAATTCCCTGGGTGATTTGATCATTAAGCAGATTTGAGAAGCACTGATAAAGCCAATTCACCTTGTTTCACAGGAAGGAAACTGATATCTCCACTATGTATTTTCTGTCGTCTCCAAGGATCCCCTATGTGTTATAGTCAAATATTTCAGCATTTGAGAAATTCATTGCATTTGTTACCCTAGAAGAATCAGAAAAGAGGGCAGTGTTTCCTCTCTTACCATCTGTATTCTTTCATGCACATACACTGTAGCAATTTCCCAGGTCCAGTTTCTGGCTAGGTATAGTTATGGAAGCCAGCGTGTAATGATGAATCTGTGTCTCAGGCACTGTGCAAATTGCTTGGCCTGCACTGCTTCACCAAGTCCTGTGGACTTCCTCTGAGAATTACTGTACTTATCCTTATTTTACAGATGAAATTGCAACAAAGAAGTTAACTAATTGGCCTAAGATTCCATGGCTAGCAAGTGGCAGAGCCAGAATTTAATTTCCAATGCATTTATCCCAAAAGCTGTTCTCATACATGCTCTATGATGCTTCTGAATTTTAGTACATGTATCTGAATGTCTGTTGTCCAGATCCAAGTTTTAACATGTAGCTTCACAGGTCATACATAGCCACTTCCTTACATTATACTTTTTCCCTAAGACATTTAAAATCGTCTTTCAAATAAATTATTTTTCTTGTTTCAAGAAAAAATCTTGTTTCTACAAGCATATTTTAGTGTGTGTTTTGAGGGGAAGGTAAATTTATTTAAAAACATGCTTTTTGAACTTTCCTATAATATAATTAAGATCATACATCTTCCCACCCAGCCTCCCAGATGGGACATATAGACTGGTATGCTGGTAAATATTTAACAACCAGCTCTCCAGGGGTGAGATGGGGGGAATAGAAAGCCTTGATTCTGTTTGCCAAATTCTATGGTGTAAATACTCCCACCATGGCTAATTTCAAGATACCAACATGATGTCAATAAATGTGGGATTGGGAAAAGATGCTTACCATCAGCTCTCAGCAGAGAAATTGTAATATCTTTCCCTCTATCTTTTTCAATCTCTATTCTTGCTCACACATAAATCACATCAATTTTCCAGGTCCAATTTCTGTCTAAGCATAATCATTAAAACCAACGTTTATGGAGTGATCTCTGTGTTTCTAGCACTGTGAAAATCACTTGATATAGTTTAATAATAGCATTTGTTGTATTTTAACATCCGAGAATATACTGAATAGCATTTCCAAACATGTTGCTCTTTACTGACCGGTGTATAACCCACCAATCTTGATGAAGGCTGGTTGAAATATAGGTAAAGGAGTGACTCTGGACTTACGCACAGCTCAATGCTTGCCCTTGCTCTAGCACTGCGAGAGGTGTGACCTCGTTTAAAGCACTTAATCTCTCCTGGATCAGGAACATATGTCTAAACATGCTGACAACACAGAACTGTTAGGACAATTAAATAATAGACCATATATAAAATACTGGGCACATTACAGGTGATCAATAAGTGTTAGCTATCGACCCCTGCTCCCTTCATGAATCATTTACATTTTATCAGTACACATTGCCTTCTTTCTTATACTCAAGTTATCTGCACTTGCTCTTCACTCAGAGCTCATATTCTTTGTTTCTTAGTTGTGTTATATACCCCCTATGATAACTTGTAATTTCTCTGTATTTGTGTGATTCTATTGTCATCCTTCAAGGCTTCCTTTCTAAGCCTCTAGGCTTTTCTCCTTTGTGTTACTACTTTTTTTCTTAGACTCTAACTTTCTCAGTTACGCTTTTCTCTTTCTTTTTGGATGTGTGCTCTATCACCAGTGGGACTCTTAATCTCAACTCTTTGCTTTTTCCTCCATTAATTTCTTAGAATACTCCTCCTCATTTCTCCTCTGTGGATTTCAGACAAAGCCGTCTTGACTGATGTGTGTTCTGTTTGCTTCTCTACACAAGAGCAGCCTTCGCTGTCCTCTTTATTTCTTGTATGTTGTACATTCCTGGCTTCTGCCTACCCTCTCCTGCAACTCCCAAGTGCTCCCACTGCCTCAACCTAAAATCTTCTGCCTTTATTTTGCCATTTCTTCCCAAAGGACGTCCATATCCTTCTTCAGTCAGCCCATTATTTTTCTTTCTCTTTCATTTTTTTCCTGAAACTCCTCCAGCTGAGTATATTTTCCCTTTCATGATGCAAAAGACTCAGAGGCAATTTGTGTTGATATCTCTATTCACACCATAAGGGTAACATTTATTTTTGAGGCTGTGTAGCTCAGCTCTTGTCACTAAGGTGGAAAAACAAAACAAAACAAACACTTCTGTCTCCACACTGAAATCTCTTTAATGAGTCCCTGTACAGAATGACAGGGTGGGGCAGCGGATAGTACACAGACCTGACCTGGTTTTAGGTTCAACTGTCACAGCCATGTGATCTTTGAGCAAGGGAATTCACCTGCTTCAACCTCAGTTTTCCCATCAATAAAATGAAGCAGCAGTGCAGTATAGGGGCTTTGGAAATGGACAGATCAGTGTCCAATTACTGGCTCATCTTACTAGCTATGCTATAAGAGCAATTGTAGGTCACCCACTTCCTCTCAATGACAAGAGCTTCTTCATCCATGAAATAGGTAAATCTCAGCACTGAAGGGAGGATTCAGTAATATTGTGTGTGTAAAATAACCCATGGCTTAGTCCTTCATAAGCAATCAGTACTGGAATTTATTATTATTGGGATACTATTAGCTTTCTTAGAAGTGGCATGGCCTCTTACATGTGTCTGACTTTGCTCATGCTGCTGTCTCTATCCAGAGCGTCCTTTCACTTCCTTCTAAAGTCTCTTCCATGCCTCTTTTTTGGCATCTTTTGCAAAGCCTTCTCAATCACCCCATTTCGCTGAATAGAATCAGGCACTCCCCACTGTCTGTTCTCAGAGGACTTTGTCCATGTTCTGTTTCTAGGTCTAATCACCTGATTTTGTAGCTGTCAGTTTATTTACAGGTGCACTTCCTACACTTCAGTCTGAACTATGAGCTTCTAGAGAGCTAGACTATGCCTTTTTTTCTCAATCTCTCAGCACCAGACACAATGCCTAACAAATAGTAGGTGCTCAATATATATTTGCTACTAAATGGAAGAATCGATGAGGACAAATGGTAGGTGCTCACTATCAGATTGTGATGAGTGAATGAATAAGGAAAAAACCCTGTTTCTATAATTAGGCCATATGGCAGGGGCATATGCACAGGCCATCCAGGGAACCCCAGTGTGTAGGACTAGGTCAAAATTGGCTCAGCAGCCAATTTTGTTTTTTTCTTCCTACTTGTTTCCTAGAACAAAGTAGGTTGGGTTTTTTTTTTTTTTCTTTAACCTCTAGGGTTGAATGGCTCCAGATTAAAAAATAAGAACAATATAGGTCAGGAAGACTAGCAAGTCCGTAGAGCAATCTGTTTATTTGGCTCCCTTAAGCAGAAATTCCCAGACAATCTGAAGTTTTGACACCTTATCATCTTTCATTTTATTTCCTCATATTTGCACTTATTTTCTCATGCTTATGAAAATGGCACAGGGAAACAATAAAGTATAATGTTTCTGTTTCAAGTGAACTAAAATTACAAATGCTTCCCTACTCCCCTTTTCTTTGCTGACATTTTTGTGGGCAAGACTAACATCTACCTTATTACAATGTACCAGGCTTTTATCTGTTTCTGGGAACATGATTTAATCTATGAAACACAACAGTTCAACTATTCACTCAATAAGCATTTATTGAATGCAAAGTATGTTCTAGGTATCACATGACATACCAAGAATAATAAAAAATGATGACTTGGAAGACAGTCCTAAAAGAGCAGTCAGGGATTGGAATTTCAGTCTGCACCACCACCCCGTATTAGCCCTGTAATTTGGGACATGTCATGTGGACTCCCTGAGTCTCAGTTTGTGCATCTCAGAAATCAGCATGAAAAAGTTGCCTTCTCTCTATCTCACAGGGCTATTTTAAAGCTCAAATGAAATAGTGTACTCAAGAGCTTTGAAAACTGAAAAGTGTCATGGAATGGCACAGAATGACATTAAGGGTTTTGGGTTTTTATTTTTCACATTGGATATCATGAGACTCATTCTGAGGAAATTGGTATAAATCAAGCGTGAGACTAGAAAATGAAAGCTGGTAAAATGAGCCCTGAGATGATTCCTTGAGCTCCAACTCTGGTGCAAATTAATCAGTTTGTCTCTGCTGTCTGGGACTCACTTTCCTTATCTTATAAAATGAGATAGCCAGAGAAGATAAGCTCAAAAGACCCTTCTAGCTCTGACAGTGTTCTTCTGTGGTTCTATGAAAATGACTTCTGTTGGGCTGAACTTTGTAGTAAGTTAGGTTTAGAACTCCACACACCTGGAAAGGAAAGAGAGCAGGACAAGATTGAGTTCTTTAGGTCTGGGAGCACAGTTGATGGATGAAGGACTCAAGAACAGACAAGTTCCAATCTAAGGGCAGAGAAGGCTGAGTTCTAGGGCCACCTTTCCCTAAGCACCTTTCCCTTCATGGGTTCCTTATGGTCCATTAAAAAGAAAAAAAAAAAGAAGAAGAAGAAGGCTGGGCACAGTGGCTCATGCCTGTAATCTCAGCACTTTGGGAGGCCAAGGCGGGTGGATCATGAGGTCAGGAAATTGAGACCGTCCTGGCTAACACGGTGAAACCCCATCTCTACTAAAAATACAAAAAAAAAAAAAAAAGAAAAAATTAGCCGGGCGTGGTGGCACATGCCTGTAGTCCCAGCTACCCAGGAGGCTGAGGCAGGAGAATTGCTTGAACCCGTGAGGCAGAGGTTGCAGTGAGCCAAGATCACGCCACTGCACTCCAGCCTGGGTAACACAGCAAGACTCCATCTTAAAACAAAACAAAACAAAACAAAAAACCCCAATATTTTATGACTGTTTTGGAATAAAGATAATATAATGCAAAATCTACTCTATATTTTTCTTTTAATATCAAAAATTTAAAACTTATTGTAGCCCTCTGAAAATATGGATTTTAGTCACTATGCCTACCATACCTAAAGGGTAAGTTGGCCTGTTAGATTCTCCTAAAAGTAATGGTACGTTTTACTCAAAGAACATGTAGCCTGCCAGCCACTGAAGCTCTACTTTCTTCTAGAGCAGGGTTTCTCAGCCTCAACACTATTGACTTATGTGCTGGATAATTATTTGCTGTACAGGGCTGTCCTGTCCATTGTAGGATGTTTAAGAGCATTCCTGGACTCTGTTCACTGGATGCTGGTAGCATATCTGCCTTGATTGTGACAACCAAAAATGTTTCCAGACGTTGTGAAGCATCCCCTGGGAAGCAAAATAATCCTCATTTGAGAACCAGTATTCTAGAATATGTTTTCTAGTTTATGTTCTACTTCATGCTGAGCTTTCATGAACTTCTGGGGCAAGGGCTTCTTATGATACACTTGGTAAAAACCAAAGTCCTTACATAGACCTATAGGCTCTCCCTCACCTTGCTCCATATTCATTTTCTATATTCTTCCTGTCACCTATGTACCTCCAGCCTCAATGACCTCTTTGGTGTGCCTTGGACCTGCCAAGCACATTACTACTACCTAGGGCCTTTGAAATGGATCTTCCCGCTTTATGGAACATGCTTCCCTCAGATAATCCACTAGGATAACTCACTTACCTTTTTCAATCTTGCTTTTAATATTACCTTTATAATGAGGCCTAGACACCCTTTTTAAGATTGCAATCCTGTCCCTTGACATTCCTCTTTTCCATTCTCTGTCTCTTTTTCTCCATAGATTTTTACATGGATTTTTACCTATGAAAATGTTCCATAGCTTATCACCTTCTAACATACCAGATGATTGATATTATGTAATTATTTACATAATAAATTATTTATTATGTCTATCATTTATTATCTTTCTCCCTCTGCTAGAATATAAACTCTACAAGGACAGGGATCTTTGTTTTGTTTATTTTGTTCGTGGATGTATCCACAACTATGACATAGTGGGTGTTCAATACATGTGCACTGGATTGAATTGAATTGAATTGAGGGAGCTCCCTCCGTCCAGGAACTTATTTCTTCTTCTGATCCCAAACTTGCATCTCTGTGTCTCCCTTGTTATGAGACCATTCCTTGAGACATGGTCCATGGACTGGTCCATGAGACCACAGAGACATAGTGGAGTTTTGTGTCTCTTCCTGACACCCTTTCACCCTTTGTGAACATATTTCTGTTTGTTTGTACCCCTCTGTTTCCCTTTTGTCCCTGGGCTGCCTGGAACAGCAGAGGGGACACTTGGGTGCCTGCGTTTTGAAACAGCTGATTCTTCACTTTCTATAGCTGTTCTATCTGTGAAAAGGAAGGATTCAAAAGAGAATTGAAAAAACCACGACCTTGTCATCTTTATGGACACAAAGAATCACCGAGAGAACAGAGGAGCCCTTTTCAATCTTCTTGTAGGGAATTATTTACCACTGGAGCTGCTAAATACAAAGGCCAAGCTACAGGGTTATTATGTCCTCCTCTCAAAGCCAGCTGGGGAGAGGCAGCCAAGGAGTCTTTGCAACCAGGGCTGGCATGTGGGGACACCAGGAGCCCACGTCTTGCCAGAGAGACAGCCCTCTCTGACCCAGTTTTAGCACAACATCGCCTGACACAGCACTGCAATCCGCAACTTTAATAACTTGGTGACACACAAAGCAGTTTTGATGCAAAGTGGAGCTGACAGAGCAGCAGAGGGAAGGCTCTGCTTCTCACTGAGCTGCGTGGGGAATCCACTCAAGGTGACTGCAACCTTCGCAGCCTAGCGACAGACAGTTTGAGTCTGCTCTTGCAAACAAGGAAGGCTGATTTGTTTTCCAGGAGGGCAGACACAGGGGTGGCAGACAGTGAGTGGAAGCTACTTGGAAGGACTGGTTGATACAGCCTGTCCCTTACGCTTTTGCACTATGTCCTTAATATCCCTGCTCTTCATCATCCCTCCTGCCCCTGCCTTAATTCAGGCCTCCTTCACCTGGACTACTGTAGTAGCTGCATATTTTCTAGGCTTGTTTCCTCCACTCCATCTTGCTTATAGCCAATAGAGTAAACTTCCAAATGCATATCAATAATCATGTCACTTTCCACATCAAATCCTTCCATGGTCCCCAATTCCTGCAGAAAAAAAAAATGCAAAACACAGTTTTCTGTGCTCAGTCTGTAAGCTACAGTTTTAGCCTCTCCCACTCAGTTCTGCATATTCCTCATCTCTTCTGGCCACTGCCACCTCTATAACCTCAAACTCCAGTTTTCTCTCTGCAAATTATTAAACACACATCATATTTTTCATTCCCTTATGTCCTGATATATTTACGCATGCAATGCCCACTTGAATGCTCCTACGCTGGGGGACTCTCTATCTCACATGACAGCCTTTTCTTATGTTGAACAGCTTTAAAGCTCTGCCTATGTTTTCTTATGAAACACAAACTCTGCTCCATAACTTTTATTTTCCCCCTGCACCTGTTCTCTGGAGTCCTGCAGAAAATGTTCTGTCCCAGGACTCTCTTCTGAGAAGTGAATTTAGAAAATCATATCTTTTGAGCTTCTTATTTGTGCCAGAAGTTCCAGAGTCCTTTAATCATTTTTTAAATGGTAAGGTTTCTCCCATCCCAGCCCTTCCATTTCCCCTTTCTGCACCTATCTCACGTATTCAAGATTTTTCCTTCGAAGCAACAAGGGAAAGTTGAATATTGTGCGTTTGAAGGTAATCATAACAATTAGCAACATTAATAATAATATTAGCAACTGTTTTTTTGCATGTGGAAATGGATGTCTTGATCTAGATTGTGAGATTCGAATTATTTGTACTAGACTATTACATCTATGGCAATAAGGGTACACGAAGTAAAACAGCCCCTTGTCTGCCAGTGTTCCGTAGTCTGGAGATGGGTGGTCGTTCTGAAGCGGCAATTACAACTTAGTGTAATTAATCGTGATGGATCTATTTGAGCATAAAAGAAGCATCCGTAACCGAGCATGAGAAAACTGGAAGGAGGCAAGGAATTGATAAAAGCACTGCAAAGAAATCACTGTCTACGTGGAGACTTGGGGGATAATAAGAATCACTCAGGGGAAGGGAGTGGGCAAGGACATTCCAGGTGGCATGAACAGCAAGAGCAAAGACACAGAAATAAGCCAGCACAGAGCAGTCAGTGACCTCAAGGTTTTTTCCGGTTCCTTTCCCGGACAGTGTATATTAAGAGGTCGATCCTGTGTCCAAACTGCAGTTCAAATGGAGTTCCAGAGGGGAGAGATTACTGGGGCTTGAAATTGTCGGGACAATTTCCCTGGAGGTGGACGGTCCAGAGGTGGGCCTGGAAGGAAGAACACATTATGGATAGCAGAGAGGAGGGGAGATGGATATTTATATGCAAATATGTCCGCACACATACATCTGCTTCATATGCATTTAAACCTTAAATTGACTTTCACTTGCCTTCCACTTTGGTTTCCATGGTAACCTTGGCCACTTATTTTTCTTTTAACCTCCTTTTCATTGTTTCAGAATGAGTTGGGCTGCGTGAGGGTTAACCAGTTGGGGGAAGAGAAGAGAATTTAAAGCAATTATTTGGATTTTTTTTTTTTTTTTTTTTAAGAAAACTGCCAACTTTGCAATCTAATGCAAACTGTCTCTGGTATATTTGCCCTGAAGGATGCTGTAGGGAGAAACAGGAGCCAGAATCCTTTTCGTCCCCTCCTCCCTGACTTCTATTATTATCGTGCACTTACTGCTAATACAGCATCTAAACTTGCAATCTCGGTAACTATGGCAATAAAATAGGTGAGATTCCCTTCCATTATGACTTGAATTGTTAGATCTTTGCAAAGAGCACGTGCGTTTGCACAGGGGAGGAGGAAGATGCACTCTGGGGGAAAATAGTTATTTCAAGTCCCCGTGGGGAGTTGTCTATCAGTCCACATCCACATGGAGAATTATCACTGTCCCAGTGTCAGAGGATGCAGAAATAGGGTTGCAGCCTGGCGGTTGCAATGCACATTCAGAGCTAGCAAAACATGCCTGTGACAGCCTGTAGAGCATGAAGGCCAAGGTTGCACTCATCCTAAAATGATGGCAGGGAGGAGGCAAGAGAGGAGGATCTAATCCAGGGGCCAGCAAACTTTCTCTGTAAAGGGCCAAAGAGTAAATATTTTAGCCTTTGAGGACCACATGCTCTCTGTTGAAACTATTCAACTCTGCTGTTGCAGCAAAAAAACAGCTACAGACAAAATGTAAATGACTGGGCAGCCAGTGTTCCAATAAATTTTATTTACGGACACTGATGACTGAATGTGGAATACTTTTTGCCTGTCGTGAAATTGTGTTCTTCTTTTGATTTTTTCTCTCAACCCTTAAAAAATGTAAAAGACCTTGTCGTTCATGCGCTGCACAGAAACAGGTGGTGAGCTGGATTTGGCCTGTAGGCCATAGTTTGCAATTCCTCGTTTAATCTATGCAACCAACTGTGCATGCTACACTGGTCGATTTTCTTATTATTATTACCTCTGTTAGTTTATCATTATTACTACATTATTGCTACATCAGTAGCATTAAATACTGCTACTGTTGTTGACAGTGATTTTTATCATTTATTGTGTGTCAAGTACTATATTAAGCACTAAATATATCACCTTATTTAATCAACACCAAAAGCTATTTGATAAATAAGAAAAACAAGGCTCACAGATTGAGTTGTTCAAGGTCATGTAGCTAGTAAGAATGGGTGACATTTAAATCCAGGGTCTTTCTGATTCTTACAGACAAAGTATGGCTTTTCTTCTCATCAACTATCAAACCTTCTGACCTGGGAGAGTCTCTATGTCCACCAGGTTCTCAAGCCCTATTCTCAGAGGGCTGGGCCATGAAATCTAATTGTCCACCTGTGGGATAGGTCCCAGGACTTTCAAGAACTTTCCTGTTGCAATGATTGCAATGATCCAATGTCCACAAGAATTCACATGGAACGGACTTATGCTAGCCTAACTCGCAGGCCTCCTGGTAAACCCTGTTGGTCCTAGCCTCTGACTTGCCCTTTGCCTTGGACTACATAGGGCCACATTCTCATTCACTGTCTCCTGACTACAGCTGTTCCCTTAGCATTCCAGCCTGCCTCTGCTACCTCTCCGGCTTGCCTTGCCTTTGCCTCCTCCTTGCCTTTGCTGATCTGCATAGATGCTGACAGTTTAGCCCCACGGTCCATAGACATTTTTCAACGTCCCGCTATTCTCAAGCTCCAACTCCCCATCTCCCACCTGCTCAAGGCTCTTTAAGGAGAAGTTCTGGGAACTTGAGAGCTCAGTGGGGAGAGAAAAATGCTCCAACGCTCTAGGGAGAGAATCACTGTCTTCTAATCTCCAAGGAAGCAGGAGATTTTAATTATTCAGCAGATTCACGGAGGGAAAAACTAGGAACCATGAGTAGAATTTATGAAGTGGCCGATTTCTCTCATACATGTCTTATTCTAGGTCACTAAATATACCTTCTGCCACGCGCAACTGTGATACCATAGAGAGAAGACTGCCTGGGGATCTAGGGTTCTGGATTCAGGGTTTTAGTCTCTTCAATTTTAATAGTTGAGGCCACTGTCCCATTACTCTTTCAGCTTGAGCAAAGTGACTCTATGACTGTGAAAGGTGAAGTTTGGCTGCAGCTGGCCTTGATTTTCTAGGCAGGTTGTGTGACCTTGGAAAAATCAGATTCCCTTCTCTGGGCCCTGCTTTTCCCATCTGTGTGGAGAAATCCTCTCCAGCTCCAGAGACTGCCGACTACAGCCCTTTCTGCTCATCTCCTGAGGAACAGGCACATCTGGTTCTTTGGATCCATTACTGTGAAAACTTTTAAGAGATTTTCGCTCCCTCTCAGTCCCTTGGAATTACTACAGCTCTTTCTCTGGAAAGAGCATTAGCCAGGACCTGTGCTAAGCAAATGCATTCAGCTTCTCCCTATCTGATTTCTCTTCTTCTCATTTGTCAGCAGAGGGGAAACCTCCCAGCTATTAATCAAACTCCTGGCTGTGGATAGCTTTAATTGCAGAAGCCATTGCTGGATGAGGAATGAACTTTTCCAAAGAAAGCCGGCTGCTTCGCACAGAAGAGAAACAATTAATTACCTGCTTCTCTAGTCCCCAACAGGGATGCAGATGAACTAACGATATTGCTGCTGGCACTGAATTCTCCCTTCCCAAGGTGGAAGAGAGCTAATACAAACTCAGACAGCATTCATAAAGCTAGAATGCTCAAGTAGAAGTTTAGCTATAAGGCTCTGGTGGGACCAAAAGTCAGCCTCTGTATGGCATGTTTACTTTAAGGTGGAGACTGACAAGCTCTATACTTTATCCAGGGGAGTGTTTGGGATATGGCTAAAAGCCATATTCTCTGAGGAAGAATCTAGCATAACAGAGATGTTGAATAAAGTCAGGGAATGGGTGCAATTTTTTAAAGAAGAGTCGGAATTAAAGAGATCAGATTTATTTTGTGTATCCTAATGGGCAGAATTAGAATTGTGGGTGGAATTTACAGTTTAATATAAAAAGATGTATCTGGGACTTGGGATTGTATGCCTATGGAAAGGGATGCTTTTTCAAATGTAGTTAGTCTCTTGTCTCTAGAGATATTCAAAAACCATTGAGGATGTTGTTAGAAAAGTCTTTGTATTAGATGGGAGGTTTATTAAAATAATATTGGATAAGTAACTTCCCATCCTTAGGGTCCTTGTCTTGCTATTATCTTTGGCTTGCTTCAAAGATTTACATCTGGTAGATGACATAGAAGGAGTGGGTGGGACGAAGGCAAACTGGCCCCAAGATTAAAGTCTGTTTGAAGTAAAGGCCATGTATTGGAAAGCTATGGGAGCTAACATTGGAATACTTTTTTTTTTTAAATCTTTAATTGCCACAGGGATATGACAGTTATGACATTCTCTTTGGAACTTGGTGCTAGAATCTATGTTGTTTTTCTCTATATCCACAGTAAGCTAACAGATAGATACCTGGCATAGGGAAAATGTTAAATCAGGTTTGAAAACCTTTGGATTGAGTAAAATTTAAACTTGCAGTTCTGGTATGAGTCCTGGGAAGCAATGTTTTACGGTCATAAAGAGAATGAACCTGAATTAGACTTCCCTTAGCCTAGAGCTTAACTCCTTATTTACTAGGTAAGTAAATTTGGGCAGGTGGCAGGACCTAAATGCCTCAGTTTCCTCATCTGTAAAATGAAGCTACTTTCATATACCCCATGGAACTGTCATGAAGACTTAACGAGGTTATAAATGCAAAGTGTTTGCAACAGGGATTATAGCAGGTTATTTTTTCAGTACTTAAAATGTGCCAGTAACTGTTCTGTGCATCTCACACATATTATTAATTTTAATTCTCATATGATACTAAAGAACTGAGAAGTTAACTGATGTACCTAAGGTTACACAGTGAGGAAATGGTAGCACTAGGACTCTGAGCCAATGCTGTTGATCACTGTTCACCTAAGCTTTGATCAGCATTGGTCATCATTTGTGTTTTACTGTCACTCCATCCTTTCTCTCAATAAATGCTAGCTTCTACTCTTTGCTCTCATTCCTACCTTGGCTATAGGTATGACTGCATGTACTACCTCTCTACTGAGTTCGCAGAGCTCTGAGATCAACCTTGTTTGATTTCATAGTACTTTCTCTGTCAAGCGCTGTATGGCCTTTGCATTTAATAGATGCTGTTCATATACTGGGTGATAAATGAAATAAATGATTCTCCCTTATTTAACGGAGACATGCTGTATGGACAGTGGGACAGTGGATCTGTGCTGAGGCTCCAATTTCTTTAAAGCACTGGATTAAAACCTTTCCTTGGTCAACTTTTTTCTTTTTCTTTCTTTATCTCATTTGTTGGTTTATCTATTTACTTATTTATTTACAGGCAGAATGGCATGTTGAAGAACACCAGAGCTGTATTTGAATAATCCAGTCCTCAGCACTACAGGGGGTGTTAGCTTGGATAAGTCATCTAACCTCTCTGGACTTTGGTTTTCCCATCTGTGATGTAAACAAATGAAAACCTGTTTTTGAAGATTCATCAATGACGTTGAGGAAGCTAATTATCTGGGGAACCTTTGGGGATGAATACTTTTCACATTTACTTGTCAATCTGCAAAACTCCCAAGGAGGAAATATGTGGTTTATTCTAACAAACCACTACAGTTCTTGTCAGCGACTGCCCCTTTTAATTCCCCTGGTTTGGGTTTATTTCAGTTCCTGGTAAGCCCAAGACTTCCATCTTTCACTGAATTATCTTTCACTGAAGTCAGAATGTAGTGGATCAGGTATGGGTGGAGAAGTGCTTAATGTCTTTATCGTTATCTTCAGTTACTTGAGCTATTTTAAAAATTATCTTTATTTTTTTTCTTTGCTTGAAGCATTTTTCAGTCTTTTTTTCTTTTCTTTTCTTATCTTTGCTGTCCTTTCTTCTCTGGCGTCTATCAGGCTCTCTCAACAGTTTCAAATGGAAAACTTTGAAGTAAGTGAACTTAAAAGAAGAACTGAAAAGTCAGCCCGATGCCCCGAAGTCCTGTGGGCAGCCTAGCCACAGTAACTTGGTGGAACTCATTAGCGCAGGCCGTTCTCATCAGCGCCACGGAGGACGGAGACGCCGGGGTTCCCGGCTTTGAGCCTCTGGAGCGCCCGCGCCTTCGCGGGCTGCGCGGGGCTCAGGGAGCCGCGGCCACGGCTCCCGCGCGCTCGCTCGCCCGCAGGATCTGGGCAGCCCCGCGGGGACCCGGCTCTGCGCGCAGCCCATTGTACAGCTGGCGCAGCCGCGCAAATGACATCTGAGCCTCCTTTCAAGCCGCCGGCTGCTTTCAAAAGGGGCCTTTGAAAAGGGTGGGCTCTCCTGACTCTGCACTGGAGAAGGGAACTCGGCTTTTTCAGGGAGGACGGCCTGGCACACGTGCCTGCCTCTGTGGCTCGCGCCTGCGTTTATGCGAGAATGAAAGGCCGACTTTGTCTGCTGGGTGTTCGTGCACACGGTTTCCATCCCTTTATTTGCAGAAGAAATGTTCCGACTCCTGGAGTTCTCACTGGCCATTGGGAGATGAATGGGCTATTTGAAGTGAGAGCATTGAAGGTGTTTCGTTGGAAATAGATATATAAAATGTCCCCCCTCTCTTTCAAAACTCGGTGATAATCATTTTACTTAGGGAACCGATTGGGGTGAGGAAGAACCTAAGAATACATGTAGAATTAAACAGGATGGTTCCAACCCCGTTGGAGGTTTGGAAATCCCATTTCTATTAGAAAAGGGAGAGAGTCGCAGCCACCAACCCTTTCTTTTTCTCCTTTTGCCCCGGGATTTTTGGTCCCTACAGGAAAGGAGGTAGGAAGAGTCAATGGTGAGAATGCCGACTCTGTAACCACACAGCTGGGGTCTGGATTTTCCGCAGTCACTTAACGTTGTGAAGGTGTCCAGCACATAGCAACCTTCCTGCCTTTTCCCTCGAGGATGCAGCGCCAGAGGGTGGACCTTAGCCTTTGTATCTTGTGCTTCCTCTGACTCCTGTTTTTGTTTTTGTTTTTTAAATCACATCATTGATTTATGATTGACATATTAGAAGCTGTACATATATAATGTATATCAGTGGTCCCCAACCTTTGTGGCACCAGGGACTGGTTTTGGGGAAGACAATTTTTCCATGGACAGGAGGGAGGGTGGGGGATGGTTTTGGGGATGATTCAAGTACATTACATTTACTGTGCACTTTATTTCTATTATTATTACATTGTAACATACAATGAAATAATTATACAACTCACCATAATGTAGAATCAGTGGGAGCCCTGAGCTTGTTTTCCTGCAACTAGATGGTCCCATTTGGGGGTGGTAGGAGACAGTGACAGATCATCAGGCATTAGATTCTCATAAGGAGTGCACAACCTAGACCCCTTCATGTGCAGTTTACAATAGGGTTTATGCTCTTATGAGAATCTAATGCCGTAGCTGATCTGACAGGAGGCAGAGCTCAGGTGGTAATGCGTGCAATGGAGAGTGACTGTAAATACAGATGAAGTTTCACTTGCTCACTGGCCATTCACCTGCTGCTGTATGGCCTGGTTCCCGATAGGCCACAGACCAGTACCAGTTTGTGGTGGGGGTTGGGGAACCCCTGATGTGTGTGACTCAATGACTTTGGGGATAAGTATATAGGTGTGAAACCATCACCACCATCAATGGCATAAACATATCCATCACCTCCGAAAATTTTCTCCCACCCCTTTATTATTATTATCTGTGGTATGAACACTTAGCATAATATCTACTCTCTTAGTAAATTTTAAATATATAATACAATATTGTTAGCTATAAGATCCTGTAATTTTTGACAACATGGAGGGACCTGGAGGGCATTATGCTAAGTGAAATAAGCTTCTGAATCCTGTTTGAGTCACCCCTTCCTTGCACAAATGCTGAGTTTCTAACAGTTCATAGATCTCCAGTGCTTTCCTTCACACTGGCTCTCATTTGTGGAGCACGTCTTTGTTATACCCATCTTCATATTCTTACAGTAATATTCTTACATACTTTGATAAACCCAACTTTTTGAAAGTCACCCCTGTCATATTGAGCAGCTTCTGTTTTAGGAGCATGGTTCCACCCATAGGACATCCATAGCCATTCAGCACTGTCCTGGGTTAGAGAGAAAATGCTGGTACTGTGCTCCACGATGACTTATTTGGAAGGTTGATTACTTATTTAGGGCTTCATAGGAGGATTATCAATGAATCAGTATCATCCTGGAAGAGCATATTGACATAAACTTTCCCAGAAAGGAAGTATAGATTTAATGCAACAGTCTTTGAGAGACATCTTATTATTCCCTTCTTACAAGAAAGTAGGATTTAAGGATCTCTATGAATTCTCAAGGCAGCACAGAAAGCAGTGAAGCCAGAATACAAGACGTAGGTTTTCTGACTTTAAGAGGATGCTGTTTCCACAATACCATACATGGTGAGTTTTCATCCTCCGCATATCCACCCCTTTTCCTCTCTTTTCCTGTCTAGGACTCTATCTCTTGATTCCTTACCTCAAACATTTATGCCTGGAATCCTTATCGGGCTGTGACAGGCAGTCTTGGGCAGACAGCCCACTGGGTACCCTGTGATGAATAGTACAGTTTCTATTCTCACAAACAGGCCATGTTGTGTACCAAAACCCTATTCCCTTTAGCAGGAGGAAACTGTTAATTATAGTCGCTCATGGGCCCTGTGTTCCAAAAAGACCCAGTGCATGTCTTTGTGTCTGGCCCAGCCCAGCAGAGAAAGGCTAAATTGTGTTTGAAAGCCTTACAAGGGGAAACTTAATTGAGGCATAAAATGTATGCCTTTGATCTTCCCAGGACCTGTGGTTCTCCCATTACCTGCATCCTGTTCCTGATGACATAAGTTGGAATAAAGCCTGCAGTGAGACCTGTGCCAAAGGCACCAAGCAGGATGTTATAGCTGCCACCCTCCCCTCCTTTTCACCAGGACTGAACACTCTGTCTATGTATATTTATCAGTGGGATACATTCGAAGCGGCCTCAAACCTGATCTCTGCATTCATTTCCCTGTCCTATAAAACAAGCCTGTGTCCTCGACTTTCAAATACCTCTGTGAGACTTTCTACTCTTCCCTTCTAAAACTGCGCACACTGTCCCAACATGCATCCCCAGTATAATTCTCTCATACCTATCCCAGACCCCAGCCTCAACTGCATGACTCACTGATTTAACAGCTGGAGTTCCGTGTTTTGCAATACGTCGCTTTCACTTATTCACCCATTCATTCACTTACTTTGGCCTTCACTCATTTACCGATGCATTTCTTCAATCATTCACTCATCGATTTGTCCAATTTTTAGTCTTCAGTTGATTAGACCAAGGAGATCAGAATTACTGTGGAAATATAAGGCTGGAGAGGGCTGAAACAGTGGTCTTCCTGCAAAACCCTGAGAAGTATTCACTCAGGGGTTGTGTGAAGGTCCAAGGGAGTATAATCTCCAAGTCAGCTTAGCACGGTACAATGAAGTTAGGTTTGGGAGTGAAAGAAAGACCTGTGTTTGAATCTCAGCATTGTTACATAGCAGCATATGACTCTGGGCAAGATATATGACTGCTGTGAGCCTTGCTGTTTTCATTTATAAGAGGGAGGTGCTAATGTCTATCTTGCAGAATAATCTTCGGAAAAGGGATAATGTGTGTAAGTACTTAGCACAGGGCCTGGTACACCATTGCTATGGTTGGCATTTTCATTATTATGACCGCTACAGCTGTTCATTCGTGAAGCGAAAAGTTGGTGGAGACCCACCTGGATAGCAGATGAGGTCCTCCATCCTCTGGGAAATCACAGATACTCTGATGCTCTTATGAGCTGAAACCTGGAAAATGGGCTTTCCTTGAGGTAGCCTTAAGCAGGAACTGAAACTGCTGGTGCTTTCAATTTCTCCTTCATCAGCCCCTGTAGGGGAGCTGGAAGGTCATATCTACAGGACAGTGGAGGTGATATCTGGAAAATGAGAAAAACAGGTGAGAGTGTGCATTATGGCAGCAACATATGACCAGGTCAGCAATGTCCCACTTCCTGCCCTCCATCATGGAATGCAGTCCCTACTTAAACAATTTTATTCATTGATCATTTGCTCATCTATCTATTTGTATCATATTTATGTTTGACCTTCTAAGCTCTGGGCAAGCTACTGGGGGGCCTGGACAGGTTTACCCTAAGTTATCACCTTTCTGCCACTGTATTTCTTACATTTAAATATCATTATTATATTAGTCTGTTTTCACGCAGCTGATAAAAACATACCCAAGACTGGGTAATTTACCAAAAGGAGAGGTTTAATTGGACATACAGTTCCATGTGGCTGGGAAAGCCTCACAATCATGGTGGAAGGCAAGGAGGAGCAAGTCACATCTTACTTGCATGGCAGCCAGCAAAGGGAGCTTGTGCAGGAAAATTCCCCTTATAATAACCATCAGATCTCGTGAGACTTACTTACTATCATGAAAACAGCATAGGAAAGACCTGCCGCCATGATTCAATTACCTCCCACTGTGTCCCTCCCACCACACGTGGGAATTATGGGAGCTACAATTCAATATGAGATTTGGTTGGGGACACAGCCAAACCATATCAATGATGATGATGATGATAATGACTTTTTAGACAGAGTCTCATTGTTACCCAGGCTGGAGTGCAATGGTGCAATCTCGGCTCACTGCAAGCTCTGCCTCCCAGGCTCAAGTAATCTTCCCATCACAGCCTCCCAAGTAGCTGCAACCACAGACGCATGCCACTACAACCAGTTAATATATATATATATATATTTTTGGTAGAGACGAGGTTTCACCATATTGCCTAGGTTGGTCTTGAACTCTTGAACTCAAGCAATCTGCCTGCCTCAGCCTCCCAAAGTGCTGGGATTACAGGCATGAGCCACTGCTTCCAGCCTAATGTTTCATTATTATCTGTTTTCTTCTCCTCTGAAGCAGCTCTCCTCTATTCAGGTATATCCTTCGAGGAAATCCAATATGTAAAATAGATAAGGGGTTTGCTTTAGTTGAAGTGAAAGTTGAACTCATGAAGCCTGCCTATTCAGACTCTTCTAGTTCTGCTCCCCCTCCCCAGTGCAGCCTTCCAGGGATTCTTGATTCCTCCCTCTAGTACAGAAATTAAATAATTGAAGACATCACAAGGCTGTTGACAATGCACAAGGCAACCCTGTTTCATCAGAAGGCTGAAATATCAACTGTTTGCACCAACATGTTCAGCAGCAGGGGTTGGTAAACTTATCAACTACACAAATGGGTCAGTTTTGATGGAAAGAGCAAGGGGTGTGGGATATGGGATGCAGGAGGCATAAGGAAGGCAGGGGGAAGTATGCTGTCATACCTCTTGTCTTATTGAATTGTCAGATAATCCTGTGATTTTAGGAAAGTATCATCACCATCAGTGTTCTCACTTTATGGACTAGGGAACTGCAGCTCAGAGAAGTCACCCAGCTGAGAGGTGACCAGGCTGAAATTTGCATTCTGGTCTTTGAACTCTTCCTCCCATAAACACTGCAGGGCTTTGCATGCCTCCCTGCTCTCCTCCATGAATGCTGTATCAGCCATCTTTCCTCTCCAAGTACAGGAGGAGGCATGACCCTAAGAATGTGCTCCCTGCCTATCAAAATGGCCACTTCCCCTTCCCTTCCTTCTCATTATCCCCTTATCTTCATCTGTGACTGACAAATTAGTTAGTGTGTGTTTCAGGAAGATAAATGTCTCTCAGATCTGACAGAGCTGCCTCATCTTGGGAGGAAAGCTTACAATGTCCTTACTAGATCTAATCAGACAGGAAGATCCGAAGAGTATGACCTTCCTCTTCCCTCAGCCTTCAAGGGTGAGGCTACAAAAGGTAGAGCGCAACTGTGGCTGAGGAGGGAGCTTCCAGAACCAGGGCCAATCACCTCCATAGCCACCTGCAATTTGGAGTCAGGCAAGCTGGGATTTATTATCTGAGGCTGCTTTCCTTAGCTTTCCCTCGTAACCCTCCTTTCAAGTAAAAAAAGAATCTGTGCAGAAGGGGAGGAAAATTATGGTTTACCAGCAGTCAACGAGAAGGTCAGCTATCCCATGTGATGAGTGTTAACTTACACTGTGCCATAGGGAACTTCCCATTTAGGCTTGGAAGTGCATGAAAATCCTCAAAGAAAAGGAGCCACAGATGATGGGATCTCTCCTTGTCATTTTAGCAGTATTTTGCAGTTAAAAAATAAAAATAAAAAAATCTTTACTGTACATTGTCTCATTTGATCCTCACAATAATTCTCTCAGGCAATACAGAGATTTTCAGTCTCATTTTACAGAGGGAGAAGCTGAGGCTCATAGTGGCAATATGACTGCCTAAAATCACGTAACCATAAAGTGGCAGAACCAAAATTTAAATCCAGCTCTTCTGACTCAGATGTAGGAATATTACTAGACTCATCAGTGCTCAATTTTAGGAGAGTAATCACCTCTGTAGTCCTGAGATTTACATTTGCTAAGGATGGAGTTTTGAGGTTAAGTTTCTTGTCGGTTTCTTTAGTGAATTTAATAGAAATTTAATAGAACTAAAATTTAATAGAACATGACGTGTCATTTTTGAAGGAATTAAAGGTATTTGGTTTTTGGTTTTTGTTTTTTTTTTGCAAACTAACCACCTCATCTCCAACATGTTGTCTCAGTTTACCATAGGGGAGCAGAAAATAGCACATGCATTTTGGAAAAGATCATGGTCACATTTATACAGAGTAAAATTTTAAACTTTGAGGAAAACTGAAGGTAGTCAAACTTTCTGGGGAATTAGTTTCTCATAAGACAATCTCCTGAAAGTGAAAAGGAATTCAATACATTGGTGGGTGGGTTGGGGCGGGAGAGAGGTACATGAGAAGAAGAAAGAGTTTACACTAGTAAGAAATGACGTCACCAAGCTCAAATGCCATTTTCCTCACTACTTTTTAGAAGTGCCCTCTGTGAGTGTGGTGCTACTTGAGTGCTGTAGTACCCCCAGCTCCTCTCCCACCCATTCCCAAGTATATGTATCAGCATGAGATTAGTCTCAAAGTGTGGCTCTGGACACATCATTAATGGCCCTGCGTGTACACTTTCAATGGCTCCCATTACTGCTGGATAAAGTTAAAACATCTTAGCCAAGTATTTAAGGGACTTAACATCTTGGCCGTAATTAACCTTCCCAACTTTATCTCCTAGAACTGCCATTCTTCCTGCAAAGCTGCTCTTCTTATTTCCCCTGCCCTTACCCACCTTTACCACTTTGTTCACCCGGTGATCTGTATCCTCACATCAAGGAATCCTAGCCTACTTCTGCTTTTGTCTCCTCTCTCCACACACCTGGGATGACTGAAGGCCTGCGTGCAGCTCAGTCCCAAGCTATTTGATGCGTCACAAAGTGAAGAGGCAGGATTGAAGAGGCAGGATGGCAAGCAGAGCATTCTGTACCTAGTAAGGTTATACGCTTGTCCCCTTATGATCTAGCTCTTGAGCTCCTGTATTTTCCTAAGAGGAAGACCCTCACCTGGTGCCTCAGATGTCAACCCTGGGTCTTTCTCTAAATTACCTGCCCAGCTTGACGTACTGCAGGACTGAGCCTCACCTGGTGTCTCAGAGTCCTGCCTCCTGTTTCTGATAGACCATATTCCTCTTCTGGAATACTAGGCTGATTAGTAAGTGCTAATTGCCTACTTGGTCTCCTAATACTGACTCCTTGTTTTTTGTTTTGTTTTGTTTTTTGAGACAGTCTCACTCTGTTGCCCCGGCTGGAATGCAGTGGTGAGATCTCAGCACACTGCAACCTCCATATCCTGAGTTCAAGTGATTCTTGTGCCTCAGCCACCCAAGTAGCTGGGATTACAGGTGCCCACCACCACACCCAGCTAATTTTTGTATTTTTAGTAGAGATGGGATTTCACCATGTTGGCAAGGCTGGTCTCAAACTCCCAGCCTTACTTGATCCGCCTGCCTCGACCTCCTCAAAGTGCTGGGATTACAGGTGTGAGCCACCACGCCTAGCCCCTGACTCCTTTTTGAATACCCTACTGCTGTTTTCTAATAGTTAGCAGATTCTCTCTCCAGATTGCCAGTCTCTCTCCACATTGCCTCTCTCTAAGGTTAAACATTTCTGCTTCCCTACCACTTGTCGGATGCTGACTAACTATCCAAACCCAGTGTCCCAACCTGCTGCATTGGACTTTAGCTCACTGTTGGTATCAGTCCAAAAGCCATCCTTCTGTGAAGTTTTCCCTGTTCTCAGTCATAGCTGATTTTCCCTTCAAGCTACTTTCTTGGGAGAACTACCACCACCTGGAAATATGGTCAAATGCAGTGGTGAGATGCTAAATACTGGTGCAGGAAATAAACAGCCCTCATATATGCTGTTTGTTTTTTCCTTAGTATAAATATCCCCACTGTGGCTGATCTTAAGCTACTACCCTAGTTGGAAAAGAGAGGCACAATGGGCTGTCACCAGCTAGTATGAACTGGCCCCAGTACCACCTCCTGGTTATACATGTCCTAATCTCATCTCCCATTCTGTCTTTTACTCTATTACAGCCACACTGGACTTCTCTCACTCTTGAATGTAAAATACTCTCATATAGCATATTAGCCCTTTCTTATGCTGCTAATAAAGACATACCTGAGACTGGGTAGTTTATAAAGGAAAGAGGTTTACTTGACTCACAGTTCCACATGGCTGGGGAGGCCTCACAATCATGGCAGATGAAGGAGGGGCAAAGTCATGTCTTACATGGCAACAGGCAAGAGAGAGTGTGCAGAGGAACTCCCCTTTATAAAACCATCAGATCCCATGAGACTTATTCACTATCACGACAATGGCATGGGAAGGACCTGCCCCCATGTTTCAATTACCTCCCACAAGGTCCCTCCCACAACACATGGGAATTATAAGAGCTCCAATTCAAGATGAGATATGGGTGGGGACACAGCCAAACCGTATCACACAGCTCTGGGCATTTGCAAATGGCATTCCTCTGTCAGTCACATTCTCCTTGCCCAATTCCCTAAGTCCTTACCTTTTATCTATCTAATATTCATTCTTCTACCTCTGCTTGAATATCATTTCTGCCCCAGTTAAATATCACTTTCACTAGGAAATCTTCATCACTCCTCCCAGACTGGGTTGAGTAATGCTGGTGTCTTGATACCTCTTTGTATAGTTAAAATTTGACTGTGTTTTTAAGGGCCGTCTTCCCACTAGACTGCAGGCTCCAAGAGGCAGGTATCATGCTTGTTTTGTTTCCCACCATATTTCTAGCCACTCACTCTGTGACTGACACATAGTGAACTCTCAAGCTTATGGGATGATAAGCTTTTGCTTCCTCTAAAGAATGGATATGCTTTTTCTTCATAAATACTGGGCAAGTAACAAATTATGTTTTCCTTTTCACTTCAGCAGAAAAGATGCTCAATGCTGATTTTACTGTTTATATTTAATAACTTTTTAATGCTAGACATTGCATATCTAGATTCCAGTACTTTTTAGTTTGGTCTAGATCTTCTGTTTTGCCTGTATTTGTAGTTTTACATTTCATTGTAGATATTTTTGAAAGTTGCCTCAAATTTGCTGGGTTACAAAGTAGAAAAGAGACAATCAGTTCCTCACTGTAGTCTGTTTGTTTCACTATAGAGCCAACACTCTCACACTGCCCTAAAGTAGGACCTCACATTGAGCCTTGAAATAGAAATAAATAAAGTGAAAGGATTAGGACATAATGTTTAGAATCACAGAGACCTCTGTTAGCACTGCAGTTTGTCACCAGTTTGCAACATGACACAAGGCAAGTTCAGTCTCTTCTCTGGTTTGAAGTTTCTTTATCTGTTACATGGAGGTGATAATGTATTCCTCACATGGTAGTTATGAAGATTAAATTAAATAATATGTGTGAAATGCTTAGCACAGTTCCTAGCACTTGGCAAGTGCTCAATAAATGGTAGGAATGATTACAAATAATGCTATTGAAGAAGACTTGTGTCACGGTAGCATCATAGAATCAGAGGTTTGGCAGTAATAGTCCCCTTATCTGCAGCAACACCTTTTATCTTCTCCCATCCTTCCAATGATGCCCCTTGCCCCACCCATCTCTAAACATCACAAAAAATATCAGTGTTTTGTGTCCAATTTGCTAAGAGTACATCACTAATTCCCCAGGGATAATGCTTGCTTGAAATCCCCCTAATTTCATTTGCTGGGAGAGAAACTTTAATTCAGCAAACTGAAGAAAATGCAATTTAGTACATTTCATCAACTTATTGTCGCCTCACTTTGCCCAATTTGTGCAGGAAAGAACAGGTAAAGACATGGAAAGCAAGTTATAGCATGTTTAAGATTCTATAAGATGTAAATGCAGGCTTATACTTTGGCCAGTTTCAGCTGCAACCCCTTCACCTCTATCTGTCTGATCACAGCCTGGCATGTGTAGCCTCTACTTACTACCCAGGAACTCCATGTTAGCCTCTTTGGGGCTCCAAGGAATGACAAAAACTGAGCCCATTTCATGGCTTTCTCAAATGAGTATTTTGAATAAATCTGACAAAATTGCTGGGTTCACCTCAGTCTTTCTCATGAATTTGGTGTGTGTTTATTCTCAGCATTATGTATCAAACATCTATGGAAGAGCTGCTCTGCGTGGAACGTTGTCATAGGCAACATCTCACTCATGAGTGGTGTGTATCAGTCTTCGATTCCAAACACATTGATTTTCACGTAGACCCTTACATGCTGTGGCTCCCCATACTAACTTGCCTTTGCTTGTAACTTTGGCTTAAAATGCCTTCTATTTTTCTCTGAGATCCAAATCAAGAGTTATCATTTTAGTTCAGATGGAGCTAACAATCAAAAGATACAATTTGTTCATTCTTCCATCTATTCTTTCTTTTACTGAATGTTTATTAAACATGTACTGTGTTATCAGCCACAGTGTTTGATGATGGACATACAAATATCCGTGAAACAACACAGTCACTGGCCACAGGGGCTTGTTTGTTTTACTAAGTGATACTAACAATAAATAAACTGGAGGAGAATATAATAGTGTTTATTATTTATGGAACACCTGGAACACCCATTACACATCAGACACATTAAAAGTTCCTTATGTCACCTAATTCTCCAAAAAGTTTGATAAGTAGATATGATATTTTTTTATACATAGAAACTGAATTTTACAGTTCTGTAATTTATCCAATGTTTATCACTGAAACCAGAGACCAGGTCTATATGTCTAGGAAGTTCATATTTTCCTGCTGTGCTACCTCACTCACTGCAGAGCATCCTATATATATATATCATCACTTGCTATGGCATTCACTTGACTTAAAGGGTCTTTGCAAGCTGTTGAAACCCAGACACGCACAAAGAATCACAAACAGGGGCTGAAGATTTTGAGTATGTAGGAGGCATGAATTAAGTACCATCAGTCACTGGTATAGGGCAAATCAGCATTTTGGATGGCCTGTGTCAGAGTCAAATGCAGAAGTCAAGTCCAGACAGGGGTGGGTACCAGATTCTAACGACCTGCCCAATGCCTGGTTCAGCCTTGATAAGAAGGCAAGGGGCAGGAATTAGGGACAGCTGTTGGCAGTTCTCGAAGAATTTGTGTGGGTGATGTCTTATAGTCTAGGAGCTCCTGTGAAGTTCTTTGATCTGCCTCCTAGCACCCTCTGTCCCTATCATGTCTTTCTTTTAGCTCTTTGTTGGTTTTGCAAGGTATAGTTCTCTTGAGGCTGCATGTAACCAACATAAGTTTTCTAGACTAGTCTCTTGAGCCAGGCAATGCCATTAAAAGTTTCTGGGAAAAGAGCACGACTGAGAGTACAGGAGCCATAAAAATCTCTGTCATTGTCACCCCACTTTGGGCAAGTCATATTTTTCCTTCTTAATTTTACTTTCCTCATTTAAAAATATGTACAGATGACTATGAAATGTTTGCAGATGAACGCAAGTGACTGCTAACAGCAGTTGACTCTGGGGAGAGCACTTTGAGGGCTGAGGGAAGAGAGAATACTTTGTTCTTTACAGCATTTTAAATGGTGTGCATTTTAGCATATTGATATATATGCACACACTATATATGCAAGCACAAATGTATATGCACCATATATAAATATATGAAGATACATATACATATATATATATATATAATTGTAATTGTCACTTATTACACTCCAGACACTGACTATAGAGCATTGACCTATCAATCAAAGGATTTGCCTCCACAGTAGACAATGGGCTCTTAGATGCTAAAGATGGAGTCTTGATCACCTGTGTTTACCTGAAAACTAACATAGCATCTGGCACATGGTAAGTGTTAAATAAATGTTTGTCAAATTGCTTACTTTTGAAAAATAAATAAATCTGTAGAATAGAATGTTAAAGTAAACAACCTTCTGAGATGGGCCTCCAAAGCTTGGGTATCTATATATTAAACATGAACCCCAAGAGGATTTGAGTATCTGTGACTATCTTGCTCCCTAGTACAGAATGTTAGGATCTGTGGTCTCGGAAGTCAGAGCCAGTATCACAGACCAGCAGCAGCAACTGTCCATTTGGATTCTGGGGTGGAAACTGTTTTCTCTGTTTTCTGACCTTTGCTATGGGTTACAGGTTGAAGGCTTGAAGGTTTTCAGGTGTTTGTAGCAGAATATTAAGGCAAAGATCAGGAGAGTATCTTGTTCCGAAGAAGGCAAGCAGCAAATGTGGCACGTGAAGACTTCAAAAACTCTTGCATGCCAAGCCTTTCCTTTAGGCGCTGGGCAGGAGTTAGTGCTGTAGGGGGTGACTTCCTCCTAGGAGCCAGCCTGTCAACTTCCAGGCCTTTTTTGTGTGACATCTGCTCTAGCAGCCAGGAGCTGGGTCACAAGCTTCCTTTTTGTCATGCTTCTGTGCAGGGTGGTCCAGAGGCAATAGGAAGAGGAACAAGGGAGGGAGAATACTGTGTATGCAGAGTTTGAGTGATGTCTTCAGGGCTTGGAAAAATGTAATTCTGTTTGAGCAGTTTGCAGGCAGTTTTGCAACTCATCCCCCTGAATTAGGGACCAAATGAAGTCATTAGGCCCTAATTAAAAGCAGCTAATCAGAAGTCAGTGGGAGCTCTACCAATTAATCGCGGCTGGAACCCAACAAGCTGAAGTACCCAAGGCTGGATGAATAAAAGTAATGAAATTAGTATCAGTGCTGTGCAGTACTGCACAACTTCAAGAACAGGTTATGGGCTGCTCAGCTCTTCCTGCCATATCACAAATAGAGGCTCATTGTCAAAACATAGATGAGTTGGGAAGCAGCTTTTGAGCTTGCCCTGAGCTTTTTGTAAGTCAAGATGTGTGTAAGCCAGAGTCAAAAGTGGAATCATGAAAAAAACAGATGAAAGGTGATTTTTTAAGGTGTGATAATATGACCGAAATATCTCTTTCACAGCTTGTAAATAATTTATACCCAGATTCTTTGTTGATGTCCTATTCTTTATTCTTTCGCCTAAATTGCAAAGACAAGAGATTGTTTCAGGTGAGTCTCTTGTCCTGTACTCAGCACCACACCTGGTGCAAGGTAACTGCTAAATAAACAGCATTTATTTAATTAATTTGGGTCAGAGAAAAAATTTGAACTGAGATTTTTTTAATTCCAAATTTTGCACACCTTTTCCTATACGACTTAAGCAGAAGGATTCAGTGCCCTTTTCTAATCAAAATAACAATTGTTACCTGCTAGCAGTTTTTGGTCCAGAAATGTTCACGTACTTTGGATTACAGCTTTAAGATCTTAGAAAACAGAACCTCATGTCCAAAATTTAATTTCACAGGTGAAGAGACAAGGGCCAGGGAGTGAGAGGAATTTGTCCTAGGTCCCCCAGCAAATTTGTGGCAGAGATAAGACTAGAGCCGATGTCCTGACTCAAGGTTCAATTGTTTCCCTCAGCACTTGGCCCTTTGCTTTCAGTATTAGCAGTCGTCCTTTTTATTTTATTTTATATTAACTTCAGGGATACACGTGCAGGATGCGCAGGTTTGTTACATAGGTAAACGTGTGCCATGGTGGTTTGCTGCACCTGTCAATCCATCATCTAGATATTAAGCCTAGCATGCATTAGCTATTTTTCCTCATGCTCTCCCTCCCCCTGCCCCCCACCCACCCAACAACAGGCCCCAGTGTGTGTTGTTCCCTGCCCTGTGTCCATGTGTTCAGCTCCCACTTAAAAGTGAGAACATGCGGTGTTTGGTTTTCTGTTTCTGTGTTAGTTTGCTGAGTATAATGGCTCCATCCTTGTCCCTGCAAAGGACATGTCCTTGTTCCTTTTTAAGCAGTCATCCTTATTAAGTGTTATCTTTTTGTCCTCTGAGATTTCTAGAGCTATTAGTCTGTCTAAATTGAGGCCAATTAAAGAATTGCAAAAGTGTTTCTAGAGTCTTTGTTGGTGGCCAGGGCAGTTAGTCTGGGACACGAGGGAGGCAGGAGCCATCTAGGGCAGAGGGATTGTCTGCACTAGGACAGCTCTGTTAAAAAGGAGGACTTTTTTGTTTATGGGAAGATTTCCATAAAGATGATCTTCTGAGTGAAGGCTGGGCTTTAAGACGAAATGAGAGACAGTGTTGGTGGAAGAAGAGAACTTAAGGCCAGAAGTTGTGTGTGTGTGTGTGTGTGTGTGTGTATAATTATGCCTGAATATGTTTTATTTATTATAGTCTATGTGTGATTTTGTATTTGAAAGTAGATGCTTGATTCTACCACAATTAAAAAAAGGATATGCTTGGATTTGTCTGTAGTATGTGGGTGTGGAGGAGTTCATTTGAACACGGGCATTTTTGTGTGTCCAGGACGTATCAACAGCCTCCTTAGAGGTGTCATATGTGCAGGGAATACTGAAGAGAGTGCATTAGTCTACATGTCTCTCTATATATTTTTTCTTTTTGTGTGTGTCTGGTTTTCCTAGATTTCTCTCTTGCATGTTTGTGGGTATGAGAGTCTGTTAGTATTAATATGTGAATGGGTGTGTGCTATTTGTCTGGGGAGGATGATTTAGGCAAGGATTTGAAAGTGTGCATTTAGAAATTGAGGGCATCTCTGTGTTATTATGAGTGTATGTGTGTTTGTGTGTGCATTTTAGAGTGGTTGGTTATCTGTGTGTATTTGCAAGGAGAAGGGGAATTCAGTGTGTTTCTGTGTTTGTGTGTTTGTTTGTGAATGGTATGTTTTGCAGAGGAGTGTACTTTTTATGTTCGAAAGTTAGGCAATCATGTAATTTATCATCCAAATGGGGATACATTTGAGAATGAAATATATATGTGTGTGAAAGGATGTCTTTGAATGTACTTTTAAAAATGCATTTAATTTTGTGTGTGTTATTGGTGTCAGGAATTAAGAAAAAGAAGAGAAGTACAGGAGATATCATTAAATTATATAGTTCTCTCTTCGACTGTAGCCTTATAACAGGGACATTAATAGAATTAACAGGTAAGAACAGGTCAGCCCCAAAGATGTGTGCGTGTGTGTGTGTGTGTGTGTGTGTGTGTTACCAGATCAATGAACTGAGAAAAGAGGTCATACATATCTTGTGGCGACAAAAACCCATATGGTTAAAAAAAAATCAGCACAGTAAGTAAGGGAAGAAATGTGAACTACATTGTGCTAGAAAGTGTCTTTTATGTACAACATCTGCTTTGCTATGTCCTCTTTATGCTTCCTGCCTTGTTCCCCATGAGTAACTCTGGCTTGTGATGGCCAAGATAGCTGAGACCTTTCATTCTCTTACCTCCAAAGTTTGGAAAAATAACTCAGTGTGACCTCCATCAGGTAAGAGAAAGAAAGAGGCTAGGGAGAGTTGGCTGCTTCATTTCAGGTGAGTCAGAAAAGAAATCCCAGGGATGCTCCTAGTAGTCTCACTCTTTTTCAGAGTGTAGCTTCTGACTCCCTGGTTTATACATGCACCCCCTGGGGTTGGGAAATTCACTTGCTTAGTTCTCACTGGCTTTGTGGGATGTAGTGAAGAGACTAGAATGTTACTGCTTCTACTCTACCATGTCGGTGTAGCAGTTTCTCAGTGGCTTCATCCCCCAGTCATCCCTTTTTTATGTGCACTCTATATGCTCATCGCAGTGGAATGACTGCAGTCACTTCTGAATGTCATAATAGTGCTAGTAGCACTGCTAGTAGTACCAGTTGTGTGGTGTATTGGAGATGGCCACAAATTCATTGTCAACCTCTCATTGAAAGGTGGAATCTAATTGTCTCCCTTGGAATCTGGGATGGCTGTCCTACTTATTTGACCAACAGAATTTGTCAGAAGGGACTTTCTGTAACTTCTGAAGCTGTCTCATAAGAAGCCTTGCAGATTCTGCTCATGTCTCTTTCCTCTCTGGGAAACAAGTCGCGACTCAGGGATAAGCCTGAGACACATGGAGAGAACATCCTGATCAATCTGGTCTTTGCTGCTACCCTGGTCAACAGCCTGAGCTGGATACCTGGCTGACAAGTACCACCTTTTTCCTACACAGATGACAACCCAGCCCATGAGCACCAGGTGAGTGAGTGAAGAAGTCATCCAGGAAGTGGGTGCTCCAGTTCATGCTGCATAGGTTGGAGACAACTCTTCTAGCTGAGGTCTTGTGATGCACAAAACAATGGTTATTTGATAATATTATGCTTTGGAGTAGTTTCTTTCATAACAGTAGATAATTGGAATAGCATTACTAGAAATAGCTAACATGTATTGAGCCATTGCTGCTTGTCAGAGTATTTTCTTAGGAAGATACACACACACACACACACACACACACACACACACACACACACACACACAGAGTTATATAATACATAATACACATGTATTTAATTGTATCTGCATATTAATCTAAGGGCTTTGGAGCTTTTATTATTCTCATTTTATATAAGAAAAATCTGAGGTTAGGCAACTCTTCCAGATCACACAGCTAGCAATTGGTAGAAATGTATTCAGACTAGGACTTTATTTGTAACCGCATCTCTCCCTCATAGCTCTGTGCTTTTGTCATGATGATGTCGATATTTAGAAATACACTTTTTGTTTTCTTGGAATAACCTTCCCACTCACCCCACTCTACTCCAACTGACAAATTCTTTCTAATCCTTCATGGCTTAGCTCTATAGTTATGTTTTCCTACCCAAATCCATGTAGATGTCCCTCAGCCAGTACTGCACTGTCTTCTGCCTAGCTGCATGAAAACAAGCAAGTTATTCCACCTCCCTGAGGCTCAGTTTTCTCATCTGTAAAATCAGTTAAAATGACTTCCTTATAGGTTTGTTGTGAAGATTAAATGGGCTGGCAGATGCTAAAATGTGTCATGTATGGAGGACCACGATGCACACACTAACCATCATCAAAGCTGAACTGCAGGCTGGAAGGATGAGTTCCATAGTCAATTACCTTTTGCTCTATATGTCTCTGGGTGTGCTGAGTTGCCTAAGGCACCACTTGCGCCTTCAAAGAGCACATAGTTCAGTGGGACAGAAGACAAGTAAAAGAACCAATATATTAATGAGATTCATGGCAGGATAGAGGGGAACATAGACTCTTTTAGTATCAAAAAGGGGCTCGTAATACCTTTGAGGAGGGCATTTCATGAAAGATTACCTGGAGGTGAAATAAGCCCTGCAGAATGAGAAGGTATTAGTGAGGCAAAGAAAAAGGAAAACCAGGCATTCCAGGTAAGAACAAGCTTAAGCAAAGCTATAAAGGAACCCAGGAGTAGGGTGTACGAGGGAACCTCCAAATAGTTTGATACCTACTTGCATAACAGATTTTGGGTGAAGGTGGTCTGGAGTAAAGAAGCAGGAGAGGCCTTTAGAGAGAACTTTGAATTCTAAGCTGAAGCCTTTCTCCCAAGGTCGTGAGATGCTATTAAAGGATTGAGAGCAGTGAGTGTAGATGAATAATTCTGCATTTTAGAACCATTACTTTGGAGCCTGTTTTGGAAGGGCAGGACTGGAGGCAGAGATATGGATGGAGGATTGTTCAATATTCTAAAAGAAGGGTGATGGTAGTGTGATCCAGGAGCATGCGAGTGGGCCTTTGGAGAGATGCCAAAGCAAAAGAAAGAAGGAAACTTAGTGGCTGGCTAAGAGGGATAAAGGTGGGGAAGAAATCTGAATGAACACCTTGGTTTCTGACTTGGGTGACAGTTCATGGTGGCACCCCACATTCAAATAGAATTAAAAGAGTGCAGAAGGAGGGACAGTCTCTTCTCCCTCTGGAGATGGGATTTCTGCAGGGAGGACACTGGGTCCTGTGACACTAGCTGTGCAGGTCACAGGCCTGCAGGAGCATTGAGCCAAGCAGGTCATTACAGGCATATCCACATCTGTTATAAAAACTGAACTCTAATCGTGCCAGACCCACTCTGGCATAATAAGTGTGGTTTTTAACATAATGCACTGCTGGAGCGAAGTTGTCAGAAAAGCAGGAGGCGGAGGAGGTAATCTGTGAGACTTCAAAAAAGAAGATTGAAGCCATTTTATGTGGCTGGAAATGAGTCATTTGTCAGCAATGCCAATGTGCTGTCAGCTTTGGAGGAGAGATGACGGGGCACCCTGGGGGGAGGGCTGGTGAAAGTGTCAACCTTCAGTCACCAGAGGCCATGTGTGGGGTAAAAAGTGTCAGTCACATCACATCCCTGTCCTGACCTGGGTTAGAGGAAAACCAGGGTCACAGCAGAGCATTAGCCTTGTAACCAAGGAACCTTGTAACCCTCCTCTCTCAGGAAGGAACTGATGTGCTCAGCGTTCTCAAAGACTGTTCAGAGCTTTAATTCCTCGGGGCATGTGCACTTTAAAAGAAGAGTGGGAGTGCAACACTTAGGAAGAAGAAACTAAGGGGTAAGAGTGGATTGGTGGCAGAAAGGAGGAGAGATTTCGAGCAAGGACTTGCCTAAGGTCACTTACATAGGTGAATACCCCTTCTCTCTACCTAGTTGCCAAGTCCAGGGTTATCTCTGGGTCCTAATAGCTTGGAAGCCATTCCTGGGAGTGACAACCCATTCTAAATGGAGTGATCCCTGCTTTGTATGTTATTGCATTACCTGACACTCCCCTACCCCCATCATGCCAGTATCGATCACTTGGATACTTACTTGGGGTACAGCAGCAGATCATCCTAACTGGTTCAGCCTTCATTGCTCTGCTCTCATCCATTTTTTTTTTTTTTTGAGGCCATAGTGACCATCTTAACTTGAATTGAGTCTTCGCCTTTCCCTGTTCTTTGTGTCCTCCCAAGCTACCTGGCTTTGGTCTCTAACAACCTATACCATTTCAATCTCAAACAAGAATAACTTTTCCTTTGTTCTCTTCACTCTACTCATGCTTGCCCTTTTTAGTTCCCTGAACACAGTGACGTTTTGTCTTTCTCTAGAACTTTGCTAAGGCTGGTCTCTCTTCTCAGGTAATGTCTATTCATCCTTCAGCTTCAATATCACTTCTTCAGAGAGGTACCTCCTGACTCTGACTAAGTTGCACCCCTGACCAATACAACACATAGAGACTGTCTTATAATACTTTCTTTGCTTTTGTAATTTTTATGATTATTTTATGTTATTGTTTATATTCTGACATCCCATTTCGATTCTGAACTCCTTAACAGCAAAGATAATGCTTGTCTTTTTTGCAACTGAATCTTTATGCCTATATGAATGCCTAATGTCAATGTTTCCCAGATATTTGTAGGATGAATAAATGAGGCCAGGTGCAGTGGCTCATGCCTATAATCCCAGAATTTTGGGAGGCCGAGGTGGGCTGATCACCTGAGGTCAGGAGTTCGAGACCAGCCTGGCCAACATGGTGAAACCCTGTCTCTAGTAAAAATACAAAAAGTAGGCAGGTGTGGTGGCATAAGCCTGTAGTCCCAGCTACTCGGGAGGCTAAGGCAGGAGAATCACTTGAACTCAGGAGGCGGAGTTTGCAGTGAGCCGAGATCGCGCCACTGCACTCCAGCCCGGGTGACAGAAAGAGACCCACCTCAAAGAAAAAAAAAAAATGAATGAACAAATGAATGAGTAAATGAATGAATAGACAACTCTTTAGTAATTCTGGTGAGCAGGAAAGTTTGGAACTCCACGCACCAGGCAACATCACAGATATACCAAATGACTTGCATAGGCAAAGAGACACGCAGGAATCAAGGAGGTTTATCAATAACTTTCCTGCCATTTTAAGCTATTTCCCTCTCACACTTTCTGTGGCAGGATAGCTTTGGGGAACAGAAGTTATAGAACCCCTTCCATTAGACCAGTGGTTCTAAAAATCTCCTAAAGACATAGATTAGAGGGTCCCACCCCGGTGCTTCTGATTCAGTAGGTCTGGGGTGGATTTCAAGAATTCACATTTCTGAAAAGTTCCCAGGTGGTACTGATGATGCTGGGTGGGGGGGTCACACACCTTTAGAGATAGTGCACTGCACATAATCTCTAGAGGCAAGGACTCTGCTTTTCACATTTGCTATTGCTATACGCAGATGCTATTGCTTAAACATACATACTGCTATGTTGTATATGCTCAAAAATTTTGTTGAATATGTGAAAGAAACTCAGTGGGCCCCTTTGCCCATCATGTAGTTCTGTTCCCAGAGCTAATTCCTCTTATCCATTCCTATTCCACGTTAGACGATCAACGCCATCACAAGCTCCCCTTACCAACCACTTGACCTTCTCTAGGTAGCTTTTATGTTCCACCCATCCTCCCCAAGAAACATCATCTATCCTTGTATTTTCTGTTCCTAAGGACTTGATGATATTTAGCAAACCACTTCAAGTTATGATGTTAACCAGTAATGGCAGATCAACATGTCACCTCTTTAAAGAGAAATTTTATTCTAACATTCGATTGAACATTGATCCATAATTGTGGTCAACTTGTACAGTATAGCTTGCTGGCTAAACTAAGCTTTTACAGATCTTAGTAAAAGAGTTTTATTTAGTAAACTATATAGCATTAAAAATAATTGTGAGGGCCAGACGTGATGGCTCACATCTGTAATCCCAGCACTTTGGGAGGCCGAGGTGAGAGGATCACCTGGGGACAGGAGTTCGAGACCAGCCAGGCCAACATGGTAAAACCCAGACTCTATTTAAAAAAAAAAATACAAAAATTAGCCAGGCATGGTGGCACGAGCCTGTAGTGTCAGCTACTTGGGAAGCTGAGGCAGGAGAATCTCTTGAACTCAGGAGACAAAGGCTACAGTGAGCCGGGATGTCACCACTGCACTCCAGCCTGGGTGATGAAGTGAGACTCCATCTCAAAAACAAACAAAATGACTGTGGGGCAAGCTATGATAAACAGCTTAATAGCAAAAATTACTTGTCTGTACTTTAGAAATATCCACATGCATAGTATAAATTGGTGTGTTAACTATAATTGTTTCTTATCTATGCTATGAGGATATTTATTGAGCAAATATTTTGGTACAGTAGGTAGAATTGCCACATACAGCTCAAAAAATAGATGCATGCATACATACTTATATAAGTACATACATACATATGTATCTAAGTATAGATATGGGTAAAGATGTATGTGTATATGTTTTTGTCTTCATGAAACCCAAAAGGTTTTCCCTTTTTACCTAATCTCATTGAGTCCACATGCATTAAGTTTTATTCTAAGAAATAGGGTCTAGTATAATAAGCGTTATCTGTTTTCACACATACTAGATCGTGCCACTCCCCTCACACTCATTAAATGAGCATTTAGTAAAATTTCTGAAAAATTACTTCTGCTAGATCAAGCTGTAAACTATTAGAGACTAGAAGTGATTTATTTATTTATGTATTTTTATTGGTGGCAAGGCATCACAATCCCTGAGCAATTTACCAGGTTGATTTAATTTAGAGTCACTTCCATGCTTTCCTGGAGATCTACCCTAAATCTCTAGCTGAACAATGTTAGAAATTGATGAAATGTTCAACCCTGTGTCACACATACACACGAAGTTCAATTTCAGTACTGATACTCTCATCTGCAGGCTTGGTACTGCTTAGAGAAAATCAAATATTTTCTTTCCTCTAGAGTCAGATAGGTGCTTGTGACAGTAAGAAATAAGGATGAGAACTAATGCACTGAGCACATGCTATATGCCAGGTGCCCTTTGTAGGTTGTCATGATCCTACGCCAACCCTGGGAAATAGACATCATTTTTTCTTCCAGGAAAATTAAACAAAAAGCCGAAAGAAAAAAGAAAAGAAGAAGTCTGGGAGTGAAGTTATATGCTTAAAGGCATGCATCTAGCAAATGGCAAAAAAAATGGATGAAGACACAAGACTGATTGTCACTAAAAACCATGTGGTATGTTTGAGCAAGGTCAGTGCCACGGTAGAACCACTTGTGACCACATGCCAGCTATGGGTATAACTAAAAAACATGAGTAGTCAGAAATCATTTTCCAATTATGTCCCTCCGTTTGTTTCACTCCAGGGAGTTGTATGTGATCTTTTTCTCTACTGAATTTCAAGACAAGGATTTTGTACCACTTTTCTGAAACTTCTCTGAGATGTCTTTCATCTCACGTCTTTTTGTTTTATTTAATTTTGAGAATCAAACTAAGTCCCTCTCATTTATGAATCCTTCTCTGAATCCACCACTGAAAGTAACTTTCTTCATTTACTTATTATAGAATCCTGTGTTTTTTATCAATCATTTGACAATTTGCAACTTGCCTTAAACCTATGTATTAGGGTATTAAATATTTTCTATTTAAATATTTATTAGGATACTAAATTAGTTTAACTCAAGGGATATTAGGGTTGATGATAGAGATGTGTGAGGCTGAAATTTTGAATCAAATCAATGGCATTAGGTTTGTTCAACCTCTAATTTCCTTCCCAAGATGGAGAGAAATATATATATAGAGAAAATAGGATTTCCCTGGTATTTCCAAACCGTTACCTTTGAAGCTCAAGTTCCTCCCTGTAAAATGGGAATAAAAATTATTATCATGCCTTGCTTGTGAGGCTAATGTGAAGGTCAGATGAAATAATATAAGGGAGAGTGCTTAAAAAACACAAAGAGTTGTTATCATTAGTATTATATTAGTAGGTCAACAACAAAAACAGGAACCAAAAAACAAAATCCATGAATCCATGAATGACTTGAAAAAAAAAACCAAACTTCTCTTTAAGTTAAAATTCTTAGAAGACTGCCCACAATAATCATATATATTTTTCTTTTTTTTTTTTTTTTTTTGAGATGGAGTCTCACTCTGTCACCCAGGCTGGAGTGCAATGGCACGATATTGGCTCACCACAACCTCCGCCTCTCGAGTTTAAGCGATTCTCCTGCCTCAGCCTCCCAAGTAGCTGGGACTACAGGTGCCCGCCACCACGCCCGGCTAATTTTTTGTATTTTTAGTAGAGACAGGGTTTCACCATGTTGGCCAGGCTGGTCTCGAACTCTCGAGCTCAGGCAATCCACCCATCTCGGCCTCCCAAAGTGCTGGGATTACAGGTGTGAGCCACCACACCCGGCCATATATATTTTTCTTGTGGTGACCTCATGCTAGCTTATTTTGCTTATTCCCAAATTCTTGGTAAAATTCAATTTCTTTGTACACTTTACTATTATAGAATTAGTAAAGATTTTAAACAAGTGTCAGCCTATTTTTAATAGGTTTCCTAGGCAGTAAAGATTAAAAACAGAATAACCAATGGGGATGGGGAAAAGACGGTTTAAACTATCCAAGAAATAACATCATTATTCAAGAGTTTATAAAATCTGTTTGGCAGTTTCCAATTGCTTGCCAAGAATACACAAATCATTCTTATTTATTTAACTCTTTACGTCTCAGTAAATTTGCATGTACTAATGGCATTTCAAAATGAACGTAGTCTAAACCCTTCTTTTCCCAATGTAGGGAATTTGAAAACATCTGTAGCATTAGGAATTTTGACTAGATCAGAAACAGAAAGAATATGGCAAGTTGGTCTAACACTGTCCAACTCCGTGGCCATGGCAGGCATCACTAATGGATTATAGTACTTTTCCACTGAACTAGGAAGTAGCCTCAGAATCACTCTCTCCTCACTGCTCCCAGCAGCTGCTATCAATCAATTGCAGCTTTGCCACTGTAGGAGCTCTTAAATTTCATTGTTTAGCTCTGACATTTTCAGAGGATATAAATGCAATGAATTTGCCTAACTCCTGAAATTCATTTTCTTAAAAAAACGATCTGTTCCTATTCTCTGGAAGGTGGTGACAAATTTCAGCATTTAAGTTGGTATTTCTCATTCAGTTGTCTGTCTTCTCCATTTCCCAATCTGTGAATGGTACTGGTGTTTCTCAGTAGGAGATGCCAAGTAAATGAAGCTGCCCAGCAGGAAACCCTGTTTGGCAATTCTAACAAGGCTTGAAGAATTGGTTTCCTCATTAGAAACAACAAAAGTTTTCTATCTGATGAATTCGCAAGTTCCTGATCTGGTGCTCTCCTGAACAAAATATTGATGTGTAAGAAATACAAATGAAAAGTAAATCCTTAGTAATGATGGTATTAAGCATTCACCTAGATTATAGGAGATAAAAATTCCATTTCCTTGCAATGTATTGTCTCTATTGATAGACTTTAACTCTGGGAGTGGAAGGATTTTTATCTCCTGAGTGGGGATTACCACATGATGAAATCCTACCATGTGTCTATGTCCTTCATGCGTACTATCTCACTGAAATCACAATAATAATTGTTAACATATATTAAAGCTCACTCTGTGTCTGGAACTGTTCTAAGTACTTTACTTGAATTAACTCATTTAATCCCCACAAGAGCACTATGGAATAGGTAATAATAACATTTTCTAACAAATAAGGAAATAGAGGCAAAGAGAATTTAAGTAATTTGCCTGAAGGCCATACATTAGTAAGTGGGGCAGCTTGCATTTGAATCTGTGTAGTCTGGCTCCAGGATCTGAACTTAGAACCACAGTATTATACTATCTTATGATGTTCCCAAGGGTTGAGTGTTACATTTATTTTTCCAATGAGTAAAGCAAACTTCAAAACCTAGGTTGCTGGCCCCATTGCCTTTCAGCCAGAAAGTGACAAGAATTAGATAGCAGGGTAGAGCCAGCACTTCTCATCTATCATCTTATTTGATTCTGGCTACCACCCCATGATGTAGATGGTAGTATTTCCCCCCTTTAACAGATGGTGAAACAGGTTCTACTTCGATTGTAACTTCTCAACATAATACAGCTTGTGAATGTAGAGCCAGGCTTTGAATGAGGGAGCCCAACTGGAGGATGTCCATGTGATACCAGTTATCAAGGAGCTGACAATCAGATCTGAAAGAAGGAACAGTGCAAATATGAAAAAAATCTTCCAAGTCTGGTGGACCAGAGACATCGTGAGGCAGCTCTGAAAGAGGACAAAGGGCTCAGAGAAAAATTAGAGTGATACAGTCAGTTTCAGCGATGAGGAGGATCATTAATTGACTCTTTAAGAATAAGTACAGGGTAGGTTATGGAGTCTTAAAGAAAAGTAACTGCCAATATCTGTGGGGGTAGGGGTGGGGACACTGTGTGTTTGTATGCTGATAGTAAGGAGATCAGCATCTAGTATTCAATTTCCCAAGAGGCACTAATATTTGATTGACATATAAAATAGAAGATTGTTGAAGATCTATGGTTAATATCTGTTTAATATCTGCTTCATCAAATTCAATGAAAATGTTTCTGAGCTTTACTTCAGAGCCCAGACAGAAAGATTCTGGAATTTAGTTTTTCCTTATTTATTCTCAGTCTTATTCTATTCCCATTTTCCTCTTTTCTTTCCCCTCTTTTTTCCCCCTTTCTTCCCTCCTGTTCTCTCTTCTTCTCCTCCTCTTCCTCTTCCTGTTTCCCCTTCTTCCTCCTCCTCTCTTCCTTTTCCTCTCTCCTCCCCTCCTGCTTTCCCTCTCTGCCTCACTTCCACCTCACAGTATTCTTGGGACTTCTTTTCAGCCCATAACGGAATTCTGTTCTTTAAGTAGGGCTTTAAAAAATTGTGACCCTTAGTTTATTTTAATTCCATTTCAGCCTTTGATATGTCGGCAGTAAATGGTTCTTATGTTCATTCCTTCCACACACAATCTCAGCCCCCATTGTGCCATTAGATTTGTGCATCTCCTCTGCTATTCTGCCTTATATGTGTGTATGCGTATATATATGCATATAAAATATAAAATGTCTACATATATAGGTTACACACACACATTCACTGCTAGCTCATAGTTTTGAGGTTTGAGGGTTGCTGGGTTTTCTTTCCCAATCATAAACAATGTTTCCATTCTACAGCCCTTCTCTAGGGAAGACCCATAAAATTTGACTCATGAAGAGAGAGAAAAAAATTCAGGAGGCGAAATTAATACGGGGAGAAAATGAAAGAGATTTAGTGCAGCTATCAACCGACCATTGTGCTGTCTTTAAGAGTCTGTTGAAACAACATAATAAGAGGTAATAAAGGCTGGATTTATAGCCTACCTGGCGGAAATGGCTGTCTGTTTGTATCTTGCCCAGTTGCAGACCACTGCAGGTCTGTCTTGGGAGCAGGATCTTTTTTCCTCAGAGATCTCTTTTTTTTTCCCTTGGACTCAAGGGACATTAGAAAGTATCCAAATCAGGTTGGCAGATAAGTTAAACATCTCTCTGGTTCTTTCTCTTCCCTTCTTTGCTCTGGGATTTAAGGACCCAGTATTGTTTCTTTTAAAAGCTGTATTTGATTTGGTTTGCCTAGGAAAGCCCTCAGTGATTACTAAAATAGGTAAAGAGAACTTTGAACTTTAAAAATGGTCCTGCCAGCTCCTATGGGATTAAGGGCTTATTCTTTCACCTTAAAGTTGAAATAAATATCCCAAAACTTCTAAATTAGTACAAATCAGTTTCTTGAAAGGAAGGTGAAACACACTGCCCAGGTAGTATGAGAAAATCAAGGATCAAGAAGACAAGAGGAATAGATGGTGTCTGCTCACAAAGGGGTCTGGACCATGTTGTAGGAGGCAGCTGGGACAGGGGTTAGTCTGCTGAACCTGTAGTGCTCCTTACCGCTTGATGAGTGATCAGAATTTTGAAGCAATTGGAGCTTATTAATTCATTAATTCCTTCATCAAACATTCAGCATCTACTTAATGTCACGCCTTGAGCTAGTGACAGGGCTACATAAGTGAATAAGAGGTGAGAATTGAACAATGAGGACACTTGGACACAGGGCGGGGAACATCACACATTGGGGCCTGTAGGAGGGTGGGGGGCTGGGGGAGGGATAGCATTAGGAGAAATACCTAATGTAGATGACAGGTTGATGGGTGCAGCAAACCAATATGGCGCATGCGTACCTACGTATCAAACCTGCACGTTGTGCACATGTACCCTAGAACTTAAAGTATAATAATAAAATAAAATTTAAAAAAAGACCAGGTCTCTATCCTGAAGAACCCAGCCTAGAGGAGGAGAAAGCCCCCTCATACACAAGTCAAGAAATGCAGTGATCAAGTCCATAATTTCAGTGTATGTGTACAGGGCTCAGGAGGCACAAAATAGGGGCAGAGGCCAAGCTAACACCAAGCATATTGGAAGGCTTCAGAGTACAGCTGGGCCTTGATATTGTGTCAAGTATTTGCTTGAATGGGTAAATGAATTAATAAATTAAAAGGTTAGGGAGAAAAGAGGAATCAGAAGATAGGAGTTCTAGATCTAATTACCACTCACTGTGAGATCTTGAGCAAGTCTCTTCCTCTCTTTAAGCCTTAGCTTCCCCCATCTATTTGCTGAGATTCTGGATTGTCTCTAGCTTCTCTTCCACCTCAAGCATTCTAGATTAGATTATGGAGGATAAAGGGATATTAGCATCATTTCAGATCTCGGGTCTTGGTAGCAGGTCCAAGCCTTCCTTCCTATCTCCCTAAAAAATACGCCCAATTTTGTTCATATTGTATGTTTTCTCATTGCTTGTTTCTAGGCTTGGTCTAGACATGTGGCTCTGGCGGCGGGGGCTCAGATACTTTGCAAGTTAGAAGTTACAGTGACCACTTCCTGTTCCCCACCCCAAAATGAGTTTGAGGCCAAGAGGAAAGCTAGGAAATTCTGGGGAAAAAATGGAAATGGAGCCACGGGGGAAGCAGGAAGGAGGATGCCAGCAGCAAAGTGCTGAATCCCAGAAGAGAGAGATCTCATTACTGGAGTATGAGTCATGGTAATAGGCTGAACAAATCCCCATAAAGTCAGGGCTAATGTTGTCTGCTGGAGCCCATATCATGTCATAAACACAGTGGTCCACCCCAACCAGGGCTGTGTTAATTGTCTGACTCAATCAGCGGGGCTGGGGAGCCTGAAATGAAGGATTAGTTCAGGGCAGTGAGTTCCAGCCTCCCCAGCGACCCTGGCTCTGCATCCTGGCAGGCTTGAGCTCCTTATAGAAAGACTGTCCAAGGCAAGGATGGCCAGAGAGAGGGGCAAATAGTACCACAGAGAGGTCCACAGTCTGGATTTGGGGGCCAGTCAGTGATCCCTGAACCCCCAAGTAACTGGGGGAATCCTGGGGTCCTTCTGCCAGGGACCTCTCCATTTCTTTCTTTCTCTCGATTGTCTTCTCCCTCCTTAGTCTTCCCCAGCTTTCCTGTTTTCTATTTCTTCTTTTCCCTCTCTCTCTTTCTTTCTTCCTTTCTTTCTTTCTTTCTTTCTTTCTTTCTTCTTTCTTTCTTTCTTTCTCTTTCTTCCTTTTCTTTTTCTTTTCTCTTTCTTTCTTCTTTCTTTTCTTTCTTTCTCTTCCTCTCTTCCTTTCTTTCCCTCCCTCCCTCCCTCTATCCCTCTCTCCCTCCCTTCCTTTTCTTCCTTTCCTTTCCTTCTTTCCTTCCTTCCTTCCTTTCTTCCTTCCTTCCTCCTTCCCTTCCTTCCTTCTTTTCTTTCTCTCTTTCTTTCTTTCTCTCTCTTTCTTCTTTCTCTTTCTTTCTTTCTTTCTCTTTTTCTCCTTGTTTCCTTTCTCTCTTTCTTTCTTTCTCTCTTTCTCTTTCTTTCTTTCTCTCTTTCTTCCTCTCTTCCTTTCTTTCCCTCCCTCCATCCCTCTCTCCTTTCCCTTTCCTTTCCTTTCCTTCCTTTTTTTTCCATTCCTTCCTTCCTCCCTCCCTTCTCCCCTCCCTTCTCCCCTCTCTTTCTTCCTTTCTAGCAGCATTGTTTTCTCTCTCTTCTTATCTTTTTCTCTTCCTTCCTCACACTCCTCAAACTTCCCCTCCCCTCCTTTCCCTTCTTCTCTCCCTATTTTCTTTATCTCCTTCCTTCTGGCCACTCATCCTCTTTCTACTTATTTCTCTTCTAATCTCATTTTCTTCTTCTTCCTTTTTAGAGACAGGGTCTCTCTCTTCATCACCCAGGCTGGAGTGCAGTGGCATAAGAATAGCTCACTGTAACTTCAAACTCCTGGACTCAAGCCATCCTCCCACTTTAGCCTCCCAAGTAGGTAGGACCACAAGCACACATCACCACACCTGGTTAATTAAAGAAAAACTTTGGTAGTGATAGGGTCTTCCTGTGTTGTCCAGGCTGGTCTTGAAGTCCTGGCCTCAGATAATTCTCCTGCCTTGGCCTTGCAAACCTTGGCCACTACACTTGGCCTCTTTTCAAAGTACATGTCTCTGTTTCCTCTCGCCTGTCCTTCTCTTCCTCTTCTTCCTGTTTTTACTGTTTGTTCCTTTCTTTCTCTTTGCTTCTTTTCGTACATTTTCTTGTTCTTTTCCTCCCCTTATCCAAGCTTGGCAGCAAATAGCCTGAGGTTTGTCCAGTCAGAGGAGTGAGGCCCTTACTGCATCATCATCTGCAAAATACCTTCATGATTTGACCCTCATATTAGCTTTCTGATAAAAATATTTTTTCCCAAACAAGGAAATTAATACTCAGGAAAGCTAAGTGACAGGCCAAGCTCACACAACTACTAAGTAGAAGACCTGAGGTTGCATCTCAAATCTACCTGAAGTCGTTTCCCAAACAGAATTTGGAATTGTGGTATATGTGGCAAGAAAACCAACCTTGGCTCATTGACAATATTACAGGGTCAGATGTTCCCTTCCATTACAAAGAAAAATGTAGCAGTAAGCTTGTCAGTCCTTCTCTCCTGTCCCTAGGGCCTGACTTACTTAACAAATATTAAGTGACCAACATATGCAACCATGACCATGACATTTAGTGATGCTGAGGACACAGAACTAAGTGACTTTCTGTATGAAACTTGCATTCTCACAGGGGTGATAGTTAATAAGCAAGTAATGAAATAAATATAAAAATGTAATAGGTTATGGTGTAGGTGTCCATGGATGTGGAAATGTGTTATGTAGGTGATGAGACTGTTGATAGAGGACATTGAAAATTGTTGGGATTTTTGTCCTCATGTTTTTTTTTCTGTATTATTGCCATTTTCAAAAATATGTATACTGAAATCACAGCTTTTATATACACTAATAACAACTAGTTTAAAATATGCAATGGAAAAACCTATTCTTTGTAGAATAGTACCATGAAAAGTAGTTCCACTGGGTGCTCATAAAATCTTCATGAAGGCCTCTTCTACTATAATTTGGGCTTGAGCCTGCCTTTTGCCTGACTCCCTTTGTATGGGGTGCACCATTGCCAACAACATCTAAAATGTTCATTTCAAATGCTCCTTGAGCTAATTATGGTTACCCAGGGGCTTGAGGGCAATGGGTTCTAGCTGCCATCACACTCTGCCTCATTATGGAGGATTTCAGCCCACCCTTGTTCTCCCAAAGTGAGATTTCCTTCCTTCCTCTTCCATTCAGCCCAGTCCTCTCTGTCTGCCTGTGGCTGGGCTGTGCCACAAGCTCAGTTCCCTGTGTCATGGGTAATAGTCACCCAGGGAAACTTGCCATCTGGCAAAAATGCCACCTTTTAGTCACAAGAGCTTTCCTATGCCCAGTACTTCTGTTGACTGTTGGGAGAGGATAATTTTCTATGTTTCTTTATTGGAATAGAAAATAGCCTGAAGACAGTGAAGGAAGATCATGATGCTCCCTCTGTGACTTAGTCACACTTTACCCCATATGTAGAATGCTTCCACATGCAAATCTCTCCCCTCCTTCAAAGCCCACTCCAAATGGTACCTCCTCCATGGAGCCTTCTTGAGTAACATAATGCTCTACCCATCTTCTGAAGTTTCATAGAAAATCTCTTCGAGCCAAAGTGGCCTGGATACATAACCTGCTTCAACACACACCAGCTGTACAGCTTAAGCCTTCAGTGTTTGCTGCAGTGATATCACCTGTACCACAGCTTCTTCTGCAGTGTGACCTTTTCACTTCCCCATGATGAACTGGAGTCTAATTTCTAAGTTAATCCATGCTTGCCTTATAAGTACCTTAACCAAATAGACTGTAATGGAAGTGGGATTGCATGACTTCAGATACTGTTAGAAGAACCCAGCTGCCACCAGAAAGCTAAGGCACATAGAGAGGCCTCTACGTAGGTAGGTGGCTCTTACAGGCAGTCTCAGCTGAGCCCAGACATCAACTCACCTCAGGTTCCAGACCTGTACATAAAGAAATCTCTTTTTGATTTCAGCCTCTGGACATTTGAGACCTTCCCACTGCCCCAGGTATCTTTGAGCATAAACAAGCTACTTCTGTGATACCTTATTCTAATTCCTGGCCCACAGACTCCATGAACACGATCAAATGGTTTTATACCACTACGATTGGGTGGTCTTTTATGCAGCAATACAAAAAATCTAGAGCAGTGTTTCAGTTCTTAAATGAACAAAATGGTATGATACTGTCAACCCTAGTGTGTAGTTGAAAATTAAATGAAATAATATATGAAGCACCTGGCAGTGCTTGACATTTAGAAAGCATTTAATGAATATTTTTTTTCATTTCCTTCCAACTACAGTAGCTACCTGTCCACACATCTTACGTTTTACTAAAATTTTTGCTCTCCTGTGGCAGGAGTTGAATCATATTTAAGTTGTAAGCCCTGTGTTACCATTGTGTATATATTATATGCTCATAAAATATTTACTGAGTAAAAAGATGAATAAATAACTATAATGGGCACTGGATTGGGAGCCAGAAACTTTAGTTACTAGCTGTGCATTCTTGGTAAGTTTTTTTCTGTTTAATAATTATTTTTTCTTATGTTAAAATTGAAAAGGTTTAGGCTGAAAGGGGAGATATGGTGGCAGATTGAAGAAGACCTAGCAACTGTTTTTAAATTCTTAAAGAATTGTTATGGGGAAGAAGAATGGATTTCTCTGTTTGACTCTCAAGTAGTACAGTCAGGAACCTGTGTGGAATACACAGGCACAAGACAAATAATTATCTAGAGTCAGATTGTTCAAAGATGGAAGAAATGCTTTGTGAGCTAGTGAATGCCCTGCCCCTAGAGGTGTTTCTCTGGGAAACTTGAGTGTAACCCTCCTACTCTGCTGTAGAGGATATGCAAGCATTGGAGGAGGCAAATTCCATCCCCTATGTTCCTAATTCTACCACTGGACGCCTTCTTTCAGCTCCAAAAATCTTCAAATTTGCAACAGATCTTCTGACTCTAGTCTTTCCTGTCATTGCTACGTCAGTGGGTCTGGAGTGGAATGGATAGGAAGCTGGCAAGTACAGCAACCTGGGAATAGCCCAGCTTGTTTATTTCAGTGATGCAGGGGAGGGCAAAAGAAGTGAGGCATTGTGGGGAGGAGTATTGATCAGGAACTAAAATTTAAGTGCACTTCCAAAGATGATTAGAGAGCCACTATTAATGCTCTGTAGGGGATCGCTAGGAGGGCACTACGTAGCAAGAACTGGAAAAACCTCTGGAACGTGTGGATGCAGAAACCCTAAGTGATGGGGGCTTCAGAGACTGAAAAGTAGGTTTGTAATTTTTCATAGGAGCATCTACATTTGTCAGGTAAGAATGGGTTACATTGCACCCTCAAATAACTTGCAAAGGTCTTCAGATTAACACCACAAAAGTTTAATTCTCATTCATGCCAAATCTACTCCCCTCTTCAGGGTCATAGCTCAGCTATCCAGGTGGCTTTGGTTTTGTGGCTCCACTTTCTCAACATGAAACTCCAATAGAGGAAGAAGGAAACATGTGACCTGGAGAGTTGAAGTGGGTATTGGAGACTGCTGCATCAGCAGGGAAATGCTTTATATCCTCAAATGACATGTGCTTCTCCTGACAGCTCATTGACCAGAATTAGCAACATGGCCCTTCCTAACTAGAAGGGACCAGAATGGATAGTCCTTCTATGTGTCCAGAAGGAGAGAAGGACCAGATATGTGTGATCATGTCTCCATTATGGGAGAAAAGAGAATTGAAAAAGAAAGAAGATCCACATAGTGTCTGAGGAGCTGAGACAAAAGAAAAGTAAGTCATCTCATTGAGTCTCAGTTTCTTCATCTCTCAAAGAAAGATGAACATACCCACTGCACTAAGGGTGTCATGAAGATTACATTAGAAAAATGCACATGATATCTTTAAATCTCTTTGCCAATAGCAAGACATTTTTAAAAATGAAATACTGTTTTATGATTGGTGGTTGTTTTACTATGAAACCATAAAATGCTAGATTTCATGGGGGTATACAAGACTTTCTCTGGTATAGCCTTCCCTTTGGTACGAAATTTTTTTTCCTATTTTTTTAAAGCAACCCTATTAGCTGAAGGTACAAGAATTTTCATTACAGAAGATCCTAAATGAGAGCAATGATCAGAATTAGCTGGAAAGCCACACACATGCACAACCTGATTCAGAAGGATCAGAGAAGGTTATTTGCCCCCTTGCAGATCTAGGGGGCCTGGGGCTTTTACATGAGCCCCAAAGGATGCACCAGATAGAAAATTGGCAGGATGACTGGAAATTTTCAAAATGCACAGGTCAGTTGCAAATAATCTGATGCTGTTTTTGGGAAACTGCAGGCTAAAAATAGCCATGGTTTTCCTGGATGAGGCATTAGTTTGATGTTGGCCTTTGTAACCTGTATGTTTTTGCCATCTCTGCTCAGTTCCAATCATTTTTACTTCCTTTCACTTTGTGTACCTATAAGATTCAGAGTTGTATTAGAAACATTCATACTTTCTTTCATTGATATATTTATTCACATATCATTTATTCACTCATTCATTTATCCATATATCCTTTGCTTTCTTTCCATGACTTCATCAAGTTTCTTATTTAGAGTATAAACATTTATTGATCACTTTGTTTTCTCTGGGCACTGTATTAGGCACCAGAGATTCTAAAGGTGGGGGGAAACAAACTAAACAACAACAACAGCAACAACAACAACAAATCCTCACAAAATAACATGTGCAATGTCGTGGGGGTGCAGACAAGCACTCATAATTACAACAAATAATGCAGAGTGCAGTAGGAGTTCAGAATTTCAACTAGCTTGAGAGTAGAGTGGTACAAGAAGGTTTCTTAGAGGAAGTGGCAGTTGAAGTAATTCCTGAAGGTATTGTTCAAGTGGGGAGGGTGGGAAGGGCATCCTAGGTAAAAGGAACAACATTTATGTTGTAATGAAGCCAAGTTGAAAAGAAAGCCACGTGCAGGCAAGCAAAGCATGTTTGCCAGATCTGCAGTTATTCTAGGAGGCTCTTGTTTAATGTGTGCCTGATATTGTGGATTTAATCACTACCTCACAAATTATTCTTCAAGATTCAACTTGATCATTTAAACACAGACTCTAACAGAGTTTCTGACTCACACTAGGCACTAGAAAAATCTTATTTCTGAACTCTTTGCTGTTGCGTTTTCCCCCTTACCAGTCCCACAGTGCCTTGCAGAAAGTAGCCATTCAATGAAGTTACCTCCAATTTAATCCTATCCCTCTCCGCCCAGTCCCAGTTTAACTTCCTTTTCCACCTACAAAGACCCTGAGGGCCAGAAAGAGGGCAGCCTCTTCCCAAGGCCTCCTTGTCTTTTTCTGCTTGAGGAAATAGCTTGTGGTGTCTCCTTGGCTGTCTGTTTCTCCGCCTCTGGGGAATCTCCTCTCATGTAAATCCTGCAATTAGAGGCTCTCACCCCCACCACCAGAGCTACATCTGCCTCCCTAGATAGGCACCCACTTGATTAGGAAGAGATAATCACAGGGGCTGCTTCAGCCTACAGCTTGGTGAAGACAGGAAGAAATTCTGATTAAATTTGTGGTTTCAAGAGAAGGGCTCCCCCTCTCTCATCACATACCAGCTTCCTGTCTGCCTATACATTTGGACTCAAGGCGCAAAATTTTGATTCGTCATTTATTTTTTCAAAAACCATAGAAATTAGGCAATAAATAGGAATATACCTCTTTGGTAGATGAAGAATGTGAGCTGTGAGAGATGAAGCATTTGACTTAGGTCATAATGTTGATTGCCTAGCAGAGACTTTGGATTCGATCACTGATTAGTTTTATATCCTCCATAAGAGAAAGCAAGAGAAAGTAAGCAAAGCATTTTTTTCCCTTGAGATGATCTAATTTTGACTTCTGTATGGGTGTGTGTTTGTACTTATATATATTATTAATTCAAATTATATATTCAACTTAACTTTTAGAAACATTAGAAATATGTGCAGAATGTAAGAAATGCATAAAGTAGAGGAAAGCCTAAGGAAGAAGCCAAAGTCATTCATTATATCCAGAGATACTTCCTGGTTGATATATGACGTGTGTATGTGTCTATATAAAATGTCTACATAATCAGAATTATAATACACATGTGCACATATAGTTATTTTCTAACTACATTTTGTATTGTAAACATTTCCCCAGGTCATTAAATATTCTTCTAAAACACAATTTGGTTTGACTCCTTTAATGTTTTGATCTATATCCTGGATTGTCTCCTTTCTGTTCAATTCAAGGGAGAAAAAAGCAAATAAAAAAATAATGGATTAAGAGGAAGAAGCTCTGTGTTCTAGCCCTAGTTCTGCCACTTTCTCCCTTGAGTCTCTGTTTGTCCATCTGTGAAATGGGATAATAGTTATCCTTTTACCAGTCACACAATCTTATTTGCAGACTCAGGTAAAATCACAGCGATGGGTTTGCCCAGGAACGTGGGATTGCCTGGTGCTGTCTTTATTATGTTGCTGAGGATTCTTATTGCTTTTTTCATCAGCCCAAACACAAGAGCCTCCCAGGAGGTGGGTTTTTTCCTTTTTCTTGGCAGTGCTCACATGGGCAACACAGTTCATCGGAAGCACCTCTGCTCCAATCACCCTTCTGCATTGTCTGTCTTGATGAAAAATGACCTGTTATTATTTCTTACCTTTGGGTTTGGGAGGCCCCAAAGAAATCAGTAGCCACATAAAATCGCTGCTATTATTGTAACAGTATTTTCATTGATGGATTTAAGTGTGAGGTGTTTGCTATCGATTGTTAGCATCTGTCCTGGAGAGGCTGTGCTGCGGGGAGGCAGTGATAATGGTGGGAACGGGCACCTCCAGGAGCTGTGGCATGCTGAGTGGTTTTCCTGAAGCTGGGAAAAGTGTGTTTGCACTCCAGGGCGTCTTGCTTTGTAGGAGAAATGTACACCTACAAATGTGATTTCAAACATGTAACCCTTTAGAACAGATACTGCCTTCTTCCTGAATTTCTTTCTAATTTGAGAGATTTGACATTTTCATCCCCAATTTGATATTCGGCAGGCTCCTAATTCTTTATGTTTTAATATTTTTGGTCCTTTATAGGAATCAGCACTTAAAGGCAAAAAGTGAACAAATAATGAAGCTTCCGTTATGTCTTAAATGAGTCCTGTAATGTAATAAAATGCATTTTAATGTTTCCCCTTCCTTCCTTTCTTCCTGTCTTTTGTATTTTCTCTCTAGCTTCCATGTTTGAATTGTTTCTTCCCACTCTTTCTGCTTTCAGAAAATAAAAACAAAAACTTAGTGTCTACTGCATTGAAAACAAGGTGTTAAGCATTGTGAGAAATCAAATCTTGATGATGACATAATCTTTGCCTTCAGAGAAACCCACTAATGTACAATTTATGGACACAATTTATGAGAACAATATATGTTCTCATAAATTAAACAGCAGAACAAATTGGAAAGATGTCAGGGAAAGTAGTGAGTAACAGAGTGACAGAATCTTGATATGTTACAACTTAGAGAGACCCTAGAATATCATGAGATGACTCCATCATCACCTTTATGGAGAAACTCGAGCCCAGGGAAGTAAAGAGTTTAGTCCAAGGTCTCCTTATGACCTAACCTGTGCTTTTGATTTATATTCCTGATGGTTTTGCACCTGAAAGGCAGATTTAAACCTTGCTACTTACTGGCTATGAATGTACCTAACCTCTCTGAAGCTCAGTTTTTTAATCCAGAAAACAAGCCTTTGCAGGATGCTTGTGACAGTGGAATCATGTATGCAGTTCACCTGGCCTGGTAGTGTTTGGTACACACCATTTCATGCTACCCCTAAGCTGCATTCTCCTTTGGAGAGCCACAGGCACTAGCGTAAATCATATGCTTTCCATAAGCAAGCATACGCCCTCCCTCCTGTGAACCCAGACGGATGGAGATACACTTTGGGGATGTTGTCTGGGTATTTGTCTCAAATGCTAATGATAGCTCCCTTTGGCAGAAAAACAAACTCAGGCCAGTGGGGTTCTTAGAGTATTAGTCCTAGGAGCCAAAGAATCGATCCATCAACAGGACCTGCTGAGCAGGCACCTCATACGCAGAGCAGCTCAGGCACAGATGTCCGAAGCACTGCCCTCTCACAGGGAGCCCTGGAACCATAACTTCCAGAACTCCCTTCTCCAATCTAGAACTCGCCGCAGAGATTTCCAATACTCACCTCCTCCCCACTTCTAGTTCCCACCAGGTATAAATTTTAAAATCCTATACCTCAGAAAGAAAAAAAAAAAGCCAAATATTACACAAAACTGTGGAAGAAATCTAACTTTCTAGAACCCTGGAAAATGCTTTATTTTTACTTGTAAGAACTTTCTGTGCAAAGAGCTAACCACCCTGCCTATTCAGTTAAGGCTAATCACCTGCTTGTTAAATTATCTTAGGACAATGAGAGGAACATGTGGCAAGTCTCTCTGTGAAAAAACAAAAACAAAAAAAATTCCACTGATGAGTGGGTGAGGTTGTGCAACAGAAGCTGAGTCAGTGACACAGATCAAGATGCAGGAACCAGGAATTCAAGATGCAGGGAACCAGTCTATTCAAGAATAGACTGAGACACAGATGACAGCAGAGAGAACGAAGTCTAAAACTGAAACTGAAAGAGGAAAGAGGTGATGAGAAAGATGTTGAGACGAGGGTGTGGGGGAAAAGATACAAGTGGCACAGAAAGACGGTGAGAAAACACAGCCAGAGTATTAGATCACATAAGAGGAAAACATAATGAGAGGCGGAAGAACTAGCACAGACAACCAACACAGAGCCTGCAACCAGGGAAACCTGTGTTTCTTGCAGTTAGCAGCCAGCAGCCTGCAGTCAGCAGCAGGGGGCATCAGAACTCCACGGATAGTAAAAGATGCCAGGGAGCCAGTATAAGGAGAGAGGAAGTGAGAAAGAAATAAAGAGAGAAAGAAAAGGGATAAGAAACCTTCCTCTTAACTTTGAGATTAGAAGGAAGAGAGAGCCGCGCTATTCCTCGGGGTCCTGCATTTAGTGGTAAGCCAATTCCCCCAGACATCTTCCTGCTGACAGTGAAGGTATGTAAGTGGCTGTAGAAAGTAACACTGAAGGCTTTCTCAAAGAGACTGAGTCCAAGGGCGATGGCCTGGGCTTAAGCCAGCTGACTAACACTTAGGCATTCTGTTAGGCAGAACTCAGGTGCAAATAGCATATCTCCCTGAATGTAGTTTATCCAAGCATTTTCCTCTACTTCACCGCCTCCCAAAAAAGAATTATTAGGAGTATACTAGGATATTGCATAGATAAGGAAGTGATGGAAAAGTAAGCCTTGAGGAAAAAAGACCAAAGGATTTATGTTAAAAGACTTTTGTTTTTGTTTTTGTCCATTTCCCTCATCCATGCTCTGCCAGTCTTATTCTCCTAGCCCTCTCTATGCAGCAATCATTTCATTTGGTGTCACTTCCTCAATCATTTACCAGAGATCAAGAACTCACTTTCAATTTCAGTTTAAAACCAAAATCCAGATGAGGTTTCTGATTGGCTCAGCTTGGACCATGTGCTCACACCTTGGGTCAAAGTCACCGGAAGAGTGACATAGTCTGATTGGCCCAGTACTCTGAAGCCACACCCACACTTGTGCAGGCTTGGAGATTGGGGAGCAGCACACCTGAGGGTGTAAGGATCTGTTGTTGACTGAAGGAGATATTAGAATCATGATCCCTGAAGCCACACCAATTTAGGGCTACTAAGTTCATCTTGAATAAATGAGTTGCCTGAGTTGCTCTGAGCTTGTTTTTCTCTTCTATCGAAAGGCATTACTTACACCTGCTTTGTCCACCTCCAGGAGTTGTTATGGGGCTCTGATTAGAATATAGAGCAAATCACAGAGCCTCCTGCTAACAGGTGTGCAGACAAGCGCTAAGATGAAATGGGCCAAATACGAGAGTCAGGAAACTTGTGTGCTGGTTTTACCTGTGACATAAACCAGCAGTATGAATTTGGGTAAGTTCCTTATCTCTCTGGATTTAAATATCTTTAACTTAAAATTTGGGGATTTGACTGGGTCTGTTAATGTCTTTGTAGTCATTAGACCGCTTTAAGAGACTGAGGAAAGCTAGGTACTTTTACTGCCCTCCTCAATGTCCGGAAGTTCGTAATTTCCCTACAAGTCTACCTCCAGATATCAGGATAAGAACTCCTGGTTTAGATCATCTTCAAGGTGATATCCGACTCTTCAACTGATTGAAAAGAGGGGCTGCATTCTCAGTTGGAAAAGACAATTCTGTGTATCAAGCAGATGTGCGTCTTTCTTTGGTTTAAATCTCTTTCCCAGAAATATCATGCATGTTTCTCATTATCTCCTTCCTCTGGACTACTTCTCTTTTCTTCTTTTTTTCCCTCTACCACCTCATCATTCCTCCGCTACGGGTAGTCAAGTATGGATGTGATTGAAGTTGGGTTTCCATCTGTGTTAGCGGCAGGAAGTGTTACTATCATGGAAATAGTTGGGACATATATCATCTCTTATCTGCACCTCCAAGAACTTAAATGATTTCTTTCCCCCAACCAAAATAAATCAAAGGAGAGGAATCTTAATTATAGTCACCAGGTGGTGAATTTAATACATCCACATGAGTCTCTGTGCTGGCAGTGTTGTCAGATGAGCTTGTCTCTCCAGGCAGGAGGATAATGGGATTGTGAGAGTCTGGAGAGGAAGAACTCTGGGGATTATAACAGCAGCTCCCTGGTGGCAAGGAAACAGCCAGGCAAGTTCTGTTAAATATAAAGGCCAGGGAAACATTGCCTCATGTCAGGGTGTCAGGGTTGTCTCCACTCATGCTCTATCGTGAATGGTTTCAGCAAGGGATTCATAGGAGCTTCTCACATAGGCATTGCCCACCCAAGTCTGAGATGGGGGCTACACATCAATAATTTCCCCCCATCTATCAGTTTGAAGCAGTGGACAAAGCTCTAACTTGGACCACAGAGTGATCTGGACTTATATCTACTCTTACAGTTAATTGTTAAAGTTTTTCAATTGATGAATATTTATTGGATGCCTAGTACATGCTAGACACTGTTCTAAATAGCATGGATATATCAGCAAAATAATAGAGATTTAGAGATAAGTGAAACATACACTTAACCTATTACCTAGTAACAATTCTACTTCTAGGTGTTTATCTAATAAAAATGAAAATATATATTCACAAAAAGACTTGTGCACAATGTTCATAGTGGCTCTGTTTATAGTAGCCCCAACCTAGAAACAACCTAAATGTTCATCAACAGGTCAGTAGATTAATTGTGATATATTCATCACAATGGAATACTATTTACTAATAAAAAGAAACAAACAACTAATCATTAGAAGAATGTGAATGAATCTTGAAATTATATTCAATGAACGGAGCCAGACACAAAAAAATTACTTTTTGTATACTTCAGTTTTTATGAATTTGAGAAGAGGAAAACTAATCTATAGTTATAGAAAGCAGATCAATGTGTTGTGTAGGATGAGGAGTGGGCCTCAGAGAACTTTTGGGGGTGACCAAAAATATTCTATATCCGATCACAGTATATTTATTTTTCAAAACCTCATGAAAATATGCACTAAAATGAGTAAATGCATTATAATTTTATGTAAAGTATAATTTGGTAGAACTAGAAAAAAGGGGGAAATTTATTCCCAGTGCACATAAAGCTTACGTTCTAGGGTTGCCAAAAAATAAAACAAATTTAAAACATAATAGTGTAGCAGCTTGCAATATGATGAAAAACATTGTTTAAGGGCTTAGCGAATTGCAGGAGAGGCAGAGTTGCTTTTTATATTAGAGAAGGCCTCTCGGATAAGCTGACATTTGAGAAGGCCCCAGTGCATATCAGACGAAGAGAGGTGCAAGTGCAAAGACCCTGGGGCAGTGGCATATTTGTCCTAATCAAGGAAAGGTAAATAGGTTGGTATGGCCAAGTAGAGTGGGCAAAGTGAAACGCAGTGGGTATAACTGTTTTATGAATGAGAATGAAACTTTGAAAATCTAAGTAGCATGTAAGGTCAAACATCTAGGTATAAGATTCCTTAAATCTATCTGATCAGAAAACTATTACCCATCACACAATATTTTCTCTATCCACCCCTGCTCCCTGCTCATAGTCCAAACACGAAAGTGAAGCAGCAAGCAGCCCATGACAAATATGTGCACTGCCAGCTAATGAATATTGGAGAACATGACACGTTGGAGAGCCCAGTGGGTCTTGAAAGTCTGAGTTCCAGCAAATTCTCATGTCTGCATCGACTGCAGCAAGGTCAAAAGTTGGAAAGCAGGGATATTCGGTGAGTTCTGAGCCTCCAACACAGAGGCCAGGGGAATTCTTGCAGCTGGCCAAAAGTGAGAAGTTGCTCAGCTCAGATTTGGAGCTTTCTACTGCTTTTGTGGAGATGCCATTAGGCAAATGAGCAGGTCTGAGAGAGGCCGATAAGGCACAGGGGGAGAATGTGCTGGTCTTTCCAGAGAAGGTCATTTGAAGCAGCCACAGAATAATAAAGCTGCTGGCCTGAGATAGGAAGGGCCTTGAAAAATAACCAAATGAGGGCCTCTTCCCTAATTCCTTGGAGCTGAATTTTATCAGGAAGGCCACTTGTGCTTACAGAAAACTGTAATCACTCACGGTGGGACACAAATTCCCAGCGAGACTGCAGTTGCAGATCAGGTCTAAACGTTCAGGATCCTGTCTAAAGACATGTTTCTCACTGTGAGGCCTGCCTGTTCTGTCCTTACAGCTTCTTTAGAGTTTCCTAAGCATCTGAACCATCTGAAAATCGTGCTTGCCAAAGACTATTCCTTTCTCCCAGAAGGATTAAGCTTTGAATAATTCCTTGGGGAGGCCACACTGGCTACCCCTTCTTCCATCCCTCCAGCTTCAATAAGCATGAATCGGGGGCCCGTGGTCACCTGCCCACCCTGTCTCTCAGGATTAATGGTTGGAAACCTCGGAGTTAGGAGTACTGGCTCCTCGAATTTTCTTCTCTTTTTGAGCTCTATTTTTCTCTTGGGCAGTGGAAAAATCATTGGCTTTGGAACTGGAAGACTTTAATTCTAATTCTGGCTCTTTCTTATATTTCTTTTATTTATTTATTTAACTTTACCTAAGTAATGACTTTTAACTGGCATTCAGTTTTCTCATTTTTGAAGGGGAGATTATAACTTTAATTCATAGGGCTACAGAAAGGTCAATTTTGATAATAATTTTTAGGTGCTTCATATAGTATTTGATACATACTTGTAGCCCTAGACATACTGGACTGCTTTTATTTCTCAGACTTACTAGGCTTTCTCTGGTTCCAAGACTCCTCTCACTCCTGTGCCATTGCTTTCTGTTCTTCACGCCCCACCACTTCCCTTCTTCTGGTTCTCATTGACTCATCTTTTTCATGTAAACTTAGACATCATTTCCCCTTGGAAATCTTGCTTGATCATTTCCCTCTCTAGGCTCCCAAAGTACCCTGTTCTTCCCCAGTATAGCTTTTATGAAAATGATAATTTACTTGTCTGAGACGCAATCCATGAGAACAAGGGCTCCATCAGTCATGGACTGATGTCGAACTTACTTATTTTCCTAGTTTATGTAACTTTTCTATGTTTTGTCTGCTTTGTCAGCCTTTGACTCCCTTAATCAAATCGTCCACATCCCCATGAGTTAAGTTGTATTAATCAGGTTATACAAATAAAGAATTGACATTCAAAGAGATTAAGGAACTTACTGAAATTATAGGAGTTATTAGATAAAGCTTACAATTTGTTTCCAGTTCTAATTCCAAATAACAAAAATAAGCATTCTTTAAAAAGTTGTTACATGCAACACAGTGTACTAAGCATTTATATTACAACCGTGCATTATGGGTGTTACCAAAATCTGCATTTTATAGATGTGTCTGTAACCTCTCAGTGAAATTAAAGAACCCACACAAGAACAAATGGAGAGGAGGACATGGATTAAATTCAGTTCTATTAGACTATGCAGCCCATGTCCCTCACTAGAGAATCATGTTCTGTTACACATTCTTTCAAAGTCTCAGTAAGTTTCATTGCACCAAAAAAATTCTTTCCATGCCCCAGTTACAGTTTTGCTGCTTTAATTAATAAATAAATTGATTTTCTTTTTTGCCATTCTCCATAGATACAAATTTCCTGCTCAGTATTCCTATAAACAAAATCAATGACACTGGAATGTGTTTGCCAAGATATTGGAAGGTTTTGCTAAAAATTCCATGAAATGGGAAATTGCTGGTTAATGAATGAACGGCAGAGAAGGGACCCACAATCTCTGTCAAAAGGTTAACTCTCAAATCTTATTACAATCTTATTTTCAGAGAAGAGGATGGCAAAAATAAGAGGGTTTTAACTCTTACATGTGGAGGAATTTTACAGGATTTAGGATTGTTAGCTAAGAGAAGGAAACTGTCTTTTTATGTATGTGTGTATTCTTGTGTAAGACTGTGAGTTTAGTGATGTCAGAGAAGTTAGTCAGTTAGTTGTCTTTAAATATCAGAAACCGATAAGTGGGAGAAATGAGGATTCTGGTCTTTTCTTAATAAAAGGAAATGCTTTAAATCAATTGGAGCACCTACTCCACGTAGAATGGCTTCTGAAACCATGAAGCCATTCATGGAAATATTCAAGCAGAGTTTACCTGAGAATCCATAAATAGTTTGGATTCTCCCAAACTGAAATCCATTTGAGATGAGAGAAGTAGAGAAGATACATAACTTTGTGAGGTTAGTAGACATTCCAAGACATCTAGTCACCCTATACACACTCTTTTTTCAGGTTCCTTCCAATTCTAAGATTCCATTATTGTACGAATCTAATTTAGCAACTTTTAACGATATTGTGTATAATAAATTTTGATAAATTGGCTAGAAGAAAAAAGTGAGAAATTACCTATTTTTAAAAGCATCATGGACCCTTAAATACATATTTTCTTGACTAGTCTATTGATAGGTTGTCTGGAAGATGTCTAATGTCTCACATGTCTAGCAGTTCTTTGGGGCAGTTGGCTCAGATACCTTGTGTATTAGGCTATTCTTCTATTGCTATAACGAAATAACTGGGAGTGAATAATTTATAAAGAAAAAGGTTTAATTGGCTCATGGTTTTGCAGGGTGTACAGAAAGCATGGCACTGGCATTTGCCTCTGGTAAGGTCTCAGATAGCTTACAATCATGGCACAAGGTGAGGGGGGAACAGACGCATCACAGCATAGAAGAGGGAGCAAAAGACAGTGGGGGGGTGGGTGGGAGGTGCTACACACTTAAACAACCATATCTGGCAAGAACTCACTCAGTGTCCCGAGGACAGCACCAGCACATGAGGGATCCTCCCCCATGACCCAAACACCTCCCACCAGGCCCCATTTGGGCAGGGACAGATATCCAAACTACATCACTTTGATTTTGCATGCAACCTGTCCACATGGCTAGCTCAGCCTTCCATACATGACAATTGGGTTATAAGAGATTGTGAATGGAAGCCGCCAGCTGTCTCAAGGGCCTCTTTAGAATTTGCACATCATGCAGTCTATTGGTCCAAGCATGTCACAAAGCTAGATCATATTTAAAAGGGTTCAACATTTCAAAGGGTGCAGAAATAGACTCTACCTCCTGCTAGAAAAATGGTCAGTGTTACATTGCATAAAAGGATGAGAGAAATTTGTGGCCACATTTTGAAATCTGCCACACTTCAGAAGGGACATTTCTTTAGCATCTTACTTAAATTCTTGTGGACTTTGTACCAATAAAAATAATGATCATTTATGCTATACTCAAGCATGTTTAAAAAAAGACTCCCAATTTTTCCCTCCCTTTAGGCCCAGGAAACTACCATTCTACTCTCTGCTTCTATGAGTTTGACTATTTTAGATTTCTCATGTAAGTGGTGTCTTGCAGTATTTATCTTTCTGTATCTGGCTTATTTCACTCAGCATATTGACCTCCCGTTGACTCCATGTTGTTGCAAATTGCAGGATGTTTTTAAGGCTGAAAAATATTTCACTGTATGTATATGCCATATTTTCATTAGCTGTTCATCTGTCAATGGACATTTAATCTCCAATGTCTTCGTTATTGTGAATAATGCTATAATGAACAAGGGCGCGCAGATATCTTTTGGAGATTCTGATTTAAATTCCATAGGTATATACTCAGAAGTGGGATTGCTAGATCATGTAATAGTTTTATTTATTTATTTTTAGGAAATTCCATACCATTTCTGTAGTGACCACATCAATTGATATTCCCACCACCAATGCACAGGGGTTCTGATTTCCCTACATTCTTGGCAACACAAGCCATCATTGTCTTCTTGATAATAACCATTCTAACAGGTATTCAGTAATATCTCATTGTGATTTTGATTTGCATTTCTCCATTAGTGATGTTGAGAAACTTTTCATATACCTGTTGCTGTTGGCCATTTGTATATCTTCTTTGGAGAAATGTCAAGTCATTTGCTTTGCACATTTAAAGAATCAGATTATTTGTTTTTTTGCTATGGAGCTGTATTACTTTGTTGTAGATTTTTGGATATTAACCCTTTATCAGATATATGGTTTACAATTAGTTTCTCCCATTCTGTAGGTTGCCTTGTAATATTCTGGATTGCTTCCTTTGCTGCGAAGAGGCTTTTTGGTTTGATGTAATCACACTTGTTTATTTTTGCTTTTTTTTTTGCCTGTGTTTTTGGTGTCATATGCAAGAAATCATTGCCAAGGCCAATGTCAAGAAGCATTTTTCCTATGTTTTCTTCTAGGAGTTTTATGATTTCAGGTCTTAGATTTATGTTTTTAGTTTACTTTATGTTTTTGGTGATTTTTGTGCATGGCATAAGGATTCAATTTCATTTGTTCTTTTGCATGTTCATATCCAGCTTTCCCAGTGCCATTTATTAAAGGGACTGTTCTTTTCCCATTGTATATTATTGGAACCTTCATAAAAAAATCAATTAACTGTATATACATGGGTTTATTTCTGGGTTCTTTATTCTGATGAATTGGTATATATATATCTGGACTCTTTATTCTGATGAATTGGTCTACCATGCTGTTTTGATTACTGTAACTTTGTAATATATTTTGAAGTCAGAAAATAGAATGCCTCCAGCTTTATCCTTCTTGCTGAAAATTTATTTGGCCATTTCTTTCTTGGTTCCGTGTGTATTTTAGGATTGTTTCTTTTATTTCTGTAAAAAATGTCTTTGGGATGTTGATGGGAGTTTCTTTGAATCTGTAGATTGCTTTAGTAGTATGGACATTTTAACAACATTAATTAATGTATTTTTTCTAGTTTTCAGAGTTATTTCATATCTAATTACTTTCCCTTTGATTTTCATAGCACCATCTCATATTAAGTGACTTAGGGAAAGTTGTTTCATACATTTGAGCTACCGAGTCCTCATTCATAAAATGGAGAACATTCTTGCCCTATCTATAACTTTGAGCTGTTGAAAATCTAATGGGATAATAAAGGAATGATTAGAAGTGCCCAATATTATGCTATTTCAGTGACTCTTTACATCAAGCATCAAGAAAGGAAGTTCTATGTGATCATATTTCCTGAACACCAAATTTTCACAAAAGATTTATGAACTACTTCAGTGTATGAGCCTTCAATATAGTTTAGATTTTGAAATGCTTGATTTTCTGGAATATTGTATTGGTTTATTAGATAAAATAATTGAAATCTGAAGTTGAGATTGTTGCAGAGAGTCTAGTTGATTTGATTACCATGCCATGGCAGAAGGGCTCCACTCTATTTCATGTCGACTGAAGTTGAACAGTATGAAAACACATAGTATTTAAACTTTAGCACCCTGGGGGATTGGGGAGGGGGGAAAAGTTTATAACATACTTCTGCAGTTTGTATACCCACCCATTTGCTATTCTTCGTAGTAACATTCTTTAAAGAATTTTTACGTTCCTTAGGGAAAGAGTTTCAGGAACAGAAAGGAATCATGGGGGAGAATTATCATTTATTCTACACCTCTTCTGTCCCCAACATTGTTTCTAGGATGTGTCACTAAATCTCAGTGAAGGTGTTGTGAATGGGACACATAAGGTCACTGACACTTACTGAAAGGCTCAGTTAGTGTCAGATTACAGATTTAAATTTAGGTCTTCTAAAACCAAAGTCCTATCTACCCAGTATACAATGCTGTGTTGCCAAAAAACAAGGGTCTTCGAGATGTAACCCTCTTATAGAAAAGAAATCCCATTTGTTACCCTCTTGTACAAAAGAAATCCCAAGAGACTGAGTATGAAATTATTAGTGTGAGGAGAAGGAATCATAGTGAATCCTTTGGGATCTGTGCAAAGAACAAAGGAGGTGCTTAGCGACCCACTCTGAGCTATAGAGGCTGACTTAGCAGCAGAGAAAATAATCAAAGGCTGCTTCCATTCCTTAGAACGACCTCTCATCAATAATCCAGTGGTTACACAGTATCTGAAACTTTCTCTTTTTTCTTTCTGCGTTGTAGAGAAGTAAAAGAGAAAAACATTTCTGAACAGAGAACTTCCCTAGTTCTATGGGCAACATACATATTTCACTTTTTAAAAGCTGCCGACAAATAGCAAGATTCATTTTAGCACTGGCATACCATAAATTTATTTGCTTGTTAATGCAGCATCCCCAGTTCATGTTTTTGCTAACTAGAAACATGAAAATGTCAATCTGCCCTAAGGGATGTATCAACCTCATGATCTGAACTTGGTAACAAGATGAGAGTATGGCCTGCTCAAGAGCACGTGCTGTCTCAAGAATCAAGGCACATTGGAATCTTAATATTAGAGACTCCTACAGCAAAATATAAGAGTTAGAGAAGTAAGAGTTGTAGAATCATTGACTAATAGACAATTAGTGGAAGATAAAACTTTAGGATTTATCCTGACATATTTTACCTTTATTTTGGTAAAGCCTCCTTTTATATCCTACTGATATTGAGGGACAGATGGATTTGAAGTCTGCATTATGTTAACATGATAATGAGCATCCCAGCCCACTGGAAGAGAGAAAGAGGAGAGCGTGGTAGAGTGGCATAATTCAATTTGGCATTGAGAGGCTCTAGATACAAAACGAAGTCGTAAATATTGACATGATCTCACTATTATCACTGTAGCAGGGGGTTTTGTTTAAGTATGGGTTTTTCTATCTCTTTCTTATTTTGGCTGAATGCCATTGCTTTTCCTTTTGAGAATGTTCCCTCTCCAAGTCCCTGACAATGTTGTCTACCGGGGCCTATCCAATCCCCAGTCCCCAGTCTGACAATTGGCTTATTCCATCTCCCTAGTTCCAGTTTATGAATAAGCTTATAACCCCAGTTAAGTGAAAGTGAACAATGGACTTTGCTAAAACATATAGAAAGAAAAAAGGTGCTTTTTTTCCCCCTTTATTTTCCTTGCAGTTGCTGATCTAGTAAGGTGGTAACCTGATATGGTAGTAACCTGGCCATCTTGTAATAAGAGCCTTGCTGAGAAAGAAAGAAGCTTTCAGAAAGAGAAACAGAACCAACATGTTGAAAGACAAAGGCATGATGAGGTGAAGATAGGTGTATTCCTCCTTCCTTAGACTCCTGTAGTGAGGCAAGGCAGTGTGGTAGTAAGTTCAGGACAATCATCTGTGAGTGGTAAACCCACAATGAGTTGATGAATTGCACAACTGAAAACATAGGTGGCTAAAAGTTAAACATGCAATTACCATGTAACCCAGTCATTAGAATTTTAAGTATTACTCAATAGAAATGAAAGCCTATGTCCATGCAAAGACTTCTATGCAAATATTCATAGCTTCTTTATTCATAACAACCAAAAGCTAGAAATAAATGTTTATCAGGAAATAAATGGATTAAAATGTTTTTTAAAATCAAGTGAAATACTACTCAGCAATTTAGAGGAATAAATCATTGATACACACAACATGAGTGAATCTTAAAATAATTATGCTGAGTAAAACACACAAAAAAGAACAGTTAGGATTCTATTTATTAAAACCTCTGGAAAATGCAAACTAAGTAATAGAAAAAACTCAATGATTGTCTGAGGACAGAGGTAAGGGAAATGTTTGAGTTAGGGAGAAATTACAAAGGGATATTACATTTTTGTAGGTGATAGATATGTTTATTTTCTTGATTGTGGTGGTTGTGATTGTAGTGATACATATGACACAAATTGCATGCATATCAAATTGTATAATTTAAATATGTTTAGTTTGTCGTATGTCAATTACGCTGCCATAAAACTGTTAAACATAAGGGAGGTAAAGTCTCTGTTGGCCTGAGTACCCTAGTCGAGCAAAGAACCTCTTCCACTAAGAGCTGACCCATATCCATATGAGACTTGCCACAATATTGTCACATAGCAAATCATTTCAAAATTCAGTTGTTTAAACATTGACCATTTATTGTCACATTTATTGGTCTGTGGACTGAATGCATCTTGGCTGGGTTAGGCTGGACTCGAGGATCCAGGCTGCAGGTTAGTTTCAGATCTGTTCCAGGTATCTCTTATTCTTAGAGCAGCAGCCTCAAAGGAAATGAGTTCTGCCCTACATATGCCAACCTGGGGCCAGGTAGATGGGCAATAGCTACCTAGATCATTTTATTTTCATGGTGTGTCACAAAAGTGCGGGAGCCGAAGCCAAACCGAATCACCATGTGTTTGGCCTCTGCTCATGTGATGACTGCCAATGTTTGATTGGCCAAAGCTAGTCATAATTAAGCGCAGCTTTAATGGGGTAAATAATAGACTTAATCATAGTGGGAGGAAAAGGGAAGTGAATTATTTGTTGAACAATAATTTAGACTATCAGCACTATGTATCATAAACCAAAAAGCAAATCTTTGAATGTTAGATATTTGTGGGTTATTTATTGCAACTGAGACATGAGAGGCAAGGAAATGTCTCAAATATTTGGAATATTTGGGGACTCTTTATTACAACACATGAATTATTTCCTGTCCTAAAGACATTATCAGATGTACATGAGAATCTAGTGGTACTCAGAAGGTTTAGTTTTGTCAGGCAAAAAAAAAATTATTTACTTAATCCCATTTGAGTTAAGTTTCTGTTACTTAAACTACAGTTGTCCTTATTGATATCATTGTGGGAAACTATAATAATCAAAGAGCAGAGTCTAGCAAAACAAATGATGTCTATCGTTAGTTGAGCAATGACTACTTACCAGTCACTTCACATTAGTTATTTCAGTTAAGTCGCATCACCAAGATGCTAGGTTGGTATTATACACTGTTCTCTCATTAAGAGAACTGAAATTCCATGTCTCAAGAAAAAGAGTTGAGAAGCAAAGCCAAATCTGTTGAAGCCAAGACCTATTCCCTTTCCAGTTTACCATGTTTTTGCTCAGGAGATAATCAATGAAACATGGCACCAGAGGCATTTATGATCTTTCTCTGTGTCCAGAAAAAGCTAGAGCTAATTTCTTTCTGAGAGATCATCATCTATTCTGTGTTTTTTAAAGCTCTCTCCTCCCATCTTCCTAGATTGATATTACCAGTGCTTAACTGCACTTAGACCTGAAAATCATTCTTCAGTGTAAACAATATGGTGCATATAGGAAAAGCCATGGATGTGCTGTCCGGAAGTGTGGCTTAGAATCTCTGATCTTCCATTTAGTGGCTTTGAGACCACGGAAAATCCACATAAACATTTAGTACCTCAGTTTCTTCCTTTACAAAGTGAAAATAAAAGTATCTCCTGTTAACCTGATTTGACAGTTAAATATGACAAACTGAAAATAAGTTTATAAAGTGCTTTAAAATGTGATGTAGCGTTAATGTAACCATCATAAGTAAAGTCACTAATAATGATTCAGAGGGACTAATCTCTATCAGTAGCATTGTAGTTGTTATAACAGGTAGGCGCAGGGAAATTTGTGGCTAGAGGAGGATATTCTTGCCAAATGGTTCTTAATTTAGACCATATAGACAGAAACTGTCTATGTCTTTATATAAGGCAGTAACTACTGCTACATCAAGAAGACCCTGTGCTGTATCTATCCCTAAGGTCTCTAATTACCCAGCAGTTTCTCCAGCAATCAGCAGCCCACTCAATGATCATCAAGAGATCTTCCAATACTGGCTGTAAGGTTTTGTTCTTTCCTCTAAGAAGTCTTTATTAACTCCTCTGCCTCTGCTGAGTCCTGGAGGCCAGGTAGGTGATTAATGGCCTCTGAATTATGATCCAACCAGAAAGGCTGTTGGTGGAAATTTATACTTAGTGTGGTAAGCTAGAATTATTTCAAACCAGATACTCGACATTCATTGCACAATTTAATTGTAAAGAGTAGTAGTTAACGAGAGCACAGGGGAAGAGGGTAAAATAGGAGCAGAGAGTCTGGGCTGAAGGCCAGTGCTCTCAGCAGTGAAGTTACATCTGGTATGGATGAATCATGGAGTAGACAAATTACAGCACTGGAACAAGGTTTTCATCACCATTATATTTTATCAAGAAGGAAACTAAGGCACACAGAGAGTAATGAGGAAGCATGATCATGATGGTAACTATGATGATAACAACAACTCCCTTTAGTTTTAGTACCTTCTATAAGTCAAGCTCTAGGTAGGAAACTTGACAAGCACCAAAGCTAATCTCAAATGCAACATTATAAAGTTAGATATGATTGTCAATATTTTACAGATGAGAAAAATTGAAGTTTAGCAAGATCAAATGACTTGTCCAAAATCATGAAGCATCTTGATTCCAGGTATAAACAGGGTCTGTCTGAACTTCAAAATTTTGCTCCTTCTGGTATGTCACTTATGTTGCTTCTACCATTACTCTTTACTGCTACCAGTAATGTGGAGTTAACTGTGTGCCAGGTACTCACTCTATGTATACCTTCTCAGTGTTTTCTCCATTTACCAATGAGGAAGCTGAGATTTTGTTTGGGTTATGCGCCCAAAGCCCTGCGGCAAGCAAGAGGCAGAACTGGAATTTAAAATCCAGTCAGAAGATCCTTCTGACTCCACAGATAATTATCTTAGCCACTACCATAACTGGCTACAGCTCATACTAATTACCAACATTGTCACCATGATACCCAGTGTTCTGGTTCAAACACCATTTTTAATGATAAATTTCCTGATTTGGTGAGAAAAGCCAGTCAGTTTGAAGGTAAGATGAGACGAGATGGGGAGCAGAATGTAGAGTGTGCATTTTTCTGTTACTACTGCACCAAAATACTCAATTCAATGGTATAAAGGAGACTCTGCTTTAATAATTGACTATGACATTTATCAACCTGTGGAATCAGCAGGGATCAAAGTTAAGGAGCCACTTCCTACACTAGAAGAATCTTGGTGCTTAATAAAACCACATTGTCTTTTCAGCTGATTAAAAAATTGGATGAACCAGACTGCCAAGATGCATGCAAACCTCTGAGCCCTGCTAAGTGTCCCTAAGTAAATAAATTACAAAAATAAGTATCTTTTTTACTTGCATATAAAAACAAGCAAATGAAAGCTTTTTGCATAATTGCTGCAAAGGGCCCCAACCAGCCATTTCCATTTGCAATTTCATATTTCAATAAAGTTTTATTTATTTTCATTTGCAAATGAATTTGCTGCCTTTGAAAAAGAAGTCTTGCTGCTCTGATTGGTGCCAGGTGGTTGGGAGGAGCTTCCACTCCCAACACTGGCCTTTTGGCTGAACAGATGAACTCCAAGCTTGTCTGCTTGTCTTCCTTTTCCCAGCTGCCTCTGCCTGGTTTTAATGTATCTATGTGTTTTGAAATTCTGTGCAATTGCCAAATTGCCTTATTTCCTAAATAGAAAAAAATATGTGCTAGCATTCATCCATTTAATACATATGTGTTAAATACCTACTGTGTGCCAGAAACTGTTCTAAACACCAGAGATATAGCAATAACAAATGTATTAGGTCCTTTTTGCATTACTATAAAGAAATACCTAAGGCTAGATAATTTATAAAGAAAAGAAACTTAATTGGCTCATGGTTCTGTAGCCTGTACAGGAAGCATGGTTTTGGCCTCTGTTTCTGGCAAAGCCTTAGGAAGCTTCCAATCACGGTAGAAGGTGAAGGGGGAATAGGCACATCACATGGTGAGAGCAGGAGCAAGAGAAAAGAGGGAAGAGGTGCCACACATTTTTAAACAACTAGATCTGACATGGACTAATGGAGCAAGAACTCACTTATCACAAAGGGGAAGATGCTAAAGCATTCATGAGGGATTCACCCCCACAATCCAATCACCTCCCCCCAGGCTCCACCTCCAACACTGGGAATCACATTTCAGCATGAGATTTAGAAGGGACAAACATGCAAAAAATATCAACAAAATAGAGAAAAATCTTAGTCCTCATGGAGAAAAGGATCCAGACAAAAATTTGTGTTTATTTGGAGTAGATGTTTGGGTGGGGGGAGGGAAAGTAGCATTAAAATATTCCACCACAGTGGGTAAAGCATACCTTGAGGTCCTCATTGTGGGAAAGACCTTGGAGTGCTTGTGGACTAGAGAGGTTGTGTGGCTGGGGTGGTCTGGGCAAGGGAAGTATGTTGGGAGATGAGTCTAGAGAAAGAAGCAGGAAACAGAGATTGGGAGAGAGGGGGTTATGCATGCTTTAGCAAGTGTAAGGGAGAGCAGGTTGCAATGAAGAAACAAAACTAAAGATCTGTAGAGTATTTCTTTGGTAGGGCAGAATACATTCTTTGGAAAGATATTTGGATACCAACTGGATTTCTAAATCCTTGTCATTTGTGCATACATACACTTTCTAGTCTTCAGTATCTGTAAATTATAGTGGGAATGGTGGCAATTGATGCAACCCAGGATTCTTGAATGTTGAAATTCTCTCTTGACCCAGCCAGTGCCCATGAGAGCACTAAGAAAGGTATATTTTCACAGGGGACAGGCAGAGAAGGAACAAAGTACGTTCATAGGTATTCTTTATTCAAAATTCCAGAATGATTACATAGTGAACTAAACTGGGCCACGTGGTTGACTACTTTTCCCTATACCAGTGCATCACCTCTGTGATGAGAAAAGCCAAGTTCAAAGAGAAACTCAAAGAAAGATACATCGGAGATAAAGGACTTTCTCCCTAAGAATAAGAGTTTAGCTTATCTAATTTGTCAACCTATGGTATTTCCTTGCCTCTGCCTAGCTTCAAGTTTGGTGAAGGTTGGGAAATTTTAACATAGCATTTTTAAGGAAAGATTTAAAAAAGGGAGAAAAATAGGGTAGATGAGAAAGAAAGACAGAGAGATTGCTTCTAGGATTTCAAAGAAAAATGCTCACAGCCCTCTAAGGATGAAGTTAGTAACAAATAACCCCTTGGAAGAGTTTCAGACCTATATTATACCTTGGACTAACTTTTCTTTTTAGGACACTTGAGCCTTGTAGGTTTTGAACAAATCAGAAGAAGAGAGAAGTCTCAAAAGTTAGAATTCATGTTATTAAGGCAACTGGGAACTAGTGTAAATCATTAAACCAATTAAAAATATCTTATTTCCACCTCAAATTTGTAGCTCAACCCATTACAAAAAAATAATTTGTCTTAGCATCACCAAAGATGAGATCAAGTAAAATCTCCTTAGAAGCAGAATGGTTGATCAAATGTATCACTAACTGCTTAAATGAGATAAAATGTACTTCCAATGAGCCCCAGAGCCCCAGATCTATGAAACACTGGAAGGGACATCAAGTGACAATCTCATTGAGTCCCTGTCTCCATTGTGACCACATAAAAGGTGAACTAGAAGCCAGTTGCTTTACATTCCGTGGCCAGCCTTGTTTTCACACCCCTTATTCCAAAAAAGCCTAGGACAGAAGGCATGAGGCATAGTGGTTGCAGTTCTTCCAAATGGTTAGGAGCTTGGCCCAAGCAACCCCTATATGGAACTGCTTACCTGGTGATAAATATTGTCACTACTGCTCATGGCACTTACTGTCTGTTGCTTATGAAGGACAGTGATTTATGGCTGTGTTACACGTGTGGATTGGGCAGAGGAAAAAGAATGCCTAATGCAAGGCTTAAAGACTAGGCTGTGTTTTGACTGTGGTCAATAACAGCTATTTCATTACTCTATAACCACCATCAGATTTTCCTCTGACTCACTTCTGTCTTTGCCCACTGCCTTCCTCTGCCTCTCTCTCTCTCTCTCTGTCGCTCCATTTTTCTCTGATCATCTCTCAAAGGTTCAACATAATCAGCCTAGGTAGACTTGTGTCAAAGGGAAGATAAAGAAAGAAGAAGTGAAGAGACTTTATCTAAGTATCTTTAATGTATGAGGTACTGGGATAAATACTTTCATGCTGTTTTTTCCATTTAAGATGCACAATCATGCTGAGAAGGGTAATTTACCCCCATTTACAAATGAGGAAACTTGCTTACAGTTCACAGAGTTGGTAGGTAATAAAGTTGGAATTCAAAATCAGATCCATCTGACTCCAAAATGGCCTCTTTCCATGCATCCTCTTTTACATCACTCTTCTCCATCTGTCCGGTAGATCTTCCTGCTTCTTGTCCTGGGTATACACAACAGCACATTCATTTAATAAACATTGAGTTTCTATTATATGTTATAATTGAAGAAGCAAAAATATGTAATACAGCTTGTTCACCCTCAAGCAGCTCCCAGCCAGTATATGCACGTGTGCTTGGGGCTTAGGGCTGATAATGAATGCACATTAGTAAGTGCATCTTAATACAGGACGTTTATGTATTTATGCATTCATTATTTGAACAAATGCTTATTAAGTACCCATTCTGTGCCAGGCATTATTTTGTTCCAGTGTTCATCAATCCTGGCTGCATATTAAAATAACCTAGTGTACTTTTTAAGAAATACTGATCTTTGGCCCATCCAAGTAATTCTATTTAATTGGCATGGAGCAGGCCTCTGGCATCAGTATGTTTTAAAAGCCTCCTAGGCAATGGTAATATGCAGCCAGAGTTGAAAAACACTCTTCTAGGTTCTAGAAGTGAAGCAGTGAGCAAACAGGAGAAAAAGTACTCAAGATATTCACAGGATATATGTCCCCCTTATTCAGATAGAGGATGTGATAGATAAAGGAAGAGAGAGGAAGATAAAGCTGGAAGGCTGGATTGTGCGTAAGTCTTCTTAAGCCTTAAGTTCAATGCAATTTGGATGATTTGAAGCAGGGGAATTACATAAAGACTGAGATAGCTTCACACTCTACATTTCTGTGATCTGGACTAAGCAGAAGAATCTCTCATCCTAAGAATTTTTAGTTTTAACAGATTGACTGATGTAGGGCTTTACTCAGTGCTGCACTAGAAGCTATGAGTATAGAAATAGATAAGAAAAGTTCCTGCCTTCAAGGACCTTCCAGTCTAGTGTGTCTGCTAAGAGTAGGGAAAGAGGGCTTGCAGAGGAACATTGCTACTGCAACAAGAAGTACTGAGTTGCAGGAGACATTGAGAGCTTTCAGAATGTTTTCCCTCCCTGATGAGGAGCACATCATGGACACTTCTAGGTACCACCTTTGCAGAGTATCTATAGGTGACTGGTGATTGAACAGGAAGAGAAGTGAAGGGAGGACCATATAGCAGAGGGAACAGCATTTGCAAGATGTGAAAGAGAAGAAACTTGGTTTAATCCAGATTCTTCAAGCAGTTCAATCGGTGAAATGGAGAGGGTCACAGTTAGAGAGGAGAACAGGAAATAACAAGCACTGTAGGTCTATCACAGAGTACCTTTTTTTAAAGCAACGTTTTGCAGGAATAGAGAAGAAATTGACATGGTTAGATTTGCACTAAAGACTTTCCTCTGGTTGCCTGTGGATAAGGATAGTCAAGGCTGGAAGCAAGGAGGCTAAATGGCATTAGTGACAGAGGTGATGGGAAAATGAAAATCCTCATCAAATGGAGCATGAGAGTAGTGGGGTTGGCTTAGAGAGGTCAGTGCTGTCTAGGGTCTGTTCTCTCAGGTTTATGGCTCCAGAAACTCTACTTTAACTCTGCACCAGAGGGTAATGGGATTCTGGAGGAAAAATGGTGTAGGGAATGTGTACACCTGTGAAGGACAAGGGAGTAGAAGATATGGGCTTTCCCCCTGCCTTCACTATTTTCTAATTGTGCCCGTGAGAGCATGTCACATTATCTTGATGACCCTTTGTGTCCTCATCTGTAAAGGAAGGGAGAGGAAGATATGATAGCTACATTCATTTCCTTAGGGTTCTGGGAAGGATTAAATGATCTGCACTGCATGGAAGCAATTCTTAGACTAAAAAGCTTTGCAATTGGGCTTCATTTTCTAAATCCCCTGAACCAGTATCAGACTGTAAGGGGTAACTATGTGGGCCACGTAGGGGGTCAGGGCTGTCAGACTCCACTTCCAGGAGAGAGTTAAACACTCCTTGTATGGACTTTTATTGTACTATCAAATCCAATCTCAAAATATCTTCATAGGCGACACGGACATGTTTGTCTCTCCCTAGTTTTGCAGCCACATCAGTTTCTGATTAGACTTACAATTTAAGTGGGGAAGTGACTTTGGAAGAGACATGCGTGCTGTCAGCAGATGGGAGAGAGGATGGAGAAAGATGGAGGGAGGCTGCTGTAACACCTGTTCTGGTTGGGATTCTGAATGAATATGAAAGGTAAGCAGAAACCCAATTAGTAACCCCTGAACTCGCTCCATGTTATCTCTGCAAACACACACTCTCTTCCGTCCTGTGCTTCCAAAGGATAGCAGGCTTCCTGACAAGCTATTGCAAAGAAGGATGCAGACCCAGAGGAAAGAGAGAATGAAGCAACTCTCAGTTTTTTTATGCCTCGTCCAGCATCTCTAACTCAAAATTTTTTGTGAGGATTCAGCATTTTCTACTTCTGAAAGCATAAAAGAAGATAATTATTTCTGCTATGTTCATAGTCTCTTTTCGCTAAGTACCTACTATGTGCCACACAGGCATGCCTTTTAAAGCTTTATTATGTGCTGGTATTTATTATTCTCATTTTGCAGAAAAGGAAACTGAAGTTCAGAAGGGTGCAATAGCTACCCAGCTATGGAATAAAGGATCAAGGATTTCTTGTGTCTTAAGGCATTCAGTTCTCAAACTAATATGAGAGAGAGGTAGTATTGTTATTCTTTCCATTGTTGGTTACCATTTTGCCTAGCACCCCTATTTCCCACTCTGCAGTGCCTCTCCCTGTGAGAGGAATATGCTTCTTGATCACTGAAGGCTGACTAGGTGATGCAGAAGGTGAGTGGCAGTGACAGATGTCACTGTTGAGCAGAAGCTTCAAGATTTTGAATGGGCTTTGTTATATCTCATTTTTCTTTCTATTAGACTAACAAGGTCTGAGATTGAGTCTGCCCAGTCAGCCTAGTTTTGCCAAAGCAAAGACAATACAGAGGAGAATCACAGCCATACATAGACATATGCACGTGAATTCTGAAATTTAAGGTCTGTATGTTATACAGTGTAGCCAAGCCTGAACTGACTAATGTGCCCATTTGAGAAGATTGAAGTTAAGGAAAGGTAAATAGGTGCCCAGCTATACAGTGGTGAAACTAAAACTTGAAGTCAACGCTGTTCTACTCCAAATTGTGTGATCGTTACCATTGTATTACTCTTTCTCGCCAGTTCTCATTCTGAGATTTTTCTGTATTTTATAGTGACAGCTTTAAAATCACACACACACACACACACACACACACACACACACACACAAATCCGAACAACTAGTTTAAATAGGTATAAGAGTAGGTAGGTCCTCGTTAAGAAGAAAATTCAGTTAGGGCAGTGATTTGTAATTTCGATGAACATACAATCTATCTAGGGATTATGTTAAAATGCAAATACTTTTATAGTAGGTCTGGGGTAGCACCTAAGATTCTGCATTTCATAAAAGATTACAGAAGAAGCTCATACTGCTGGTCCTTGGACCACTCTTTGAGTGGCAGGGACCTACAAGATGCCAGTCACTTTGCTATGGTGATGATAGATAAAATAATGCAGCCTTGCATAGTGGTTAGGAATGCTAGGACAGGACTGGGACTAAGGTCAGGCAAGCAAGGTAATAAGGGGGCAAAGTTTAAGAGGGAAAGTAGAGCAAGGGCTGAACCTGTATCCTGAGAGTGTCACCTAATTCAGTCCTCTGTGGTGTGTTTCTAGGCTGCTTCTAACAATTGAATTTGAAAACCGAATTAATATAAAGCCAAAGAAAATGCTACAACTTTGCCTTCACATTGCTTCTAATGGCATTGGCCACCATCAGGCCAAGGGGGATGTTCACAACATCAGTCAAATTGTAGACTCTGCTAATAAAAAAACATAAAATAGCTCAAAATTATGTCATGCTTTAGTTAGCTTCATTTTTTTTAGTTAGCTTCATATTTTAAATATATTATTGTTTTTGGTTTATGTGTTTATTTCCAGAATTTCTAATTATCTTTTTTTCCCTGTGCTCTGTCCTTTTATGATATCTTTAAGTCTTTCCACGCTAACAATTATACTAGAGTTTCTGTCAAATCACTCCCACTATCAATATCCCTCAGAAAATGTCCTCCTGTAATTTTCAGTGCTATTTTTCCAAACTGGACTAAATATTGCTATAATAAGATGTTTGATGAAATTTTTATTTGTGTTGTCTAAATTGTATCTAAGTCTCAAAGCTAAAGATAAAATATCCCATCACTTATATTCTAAATAGAAACCTAAGAATAGCCAACTTTGGGGCCACGTTCCTTCATGTCTGACCTCTAGATCTTGCAAGGAACCAGCAAGCAACCCTCCTATTAGGAACACTAGCATCCCTCTTCCTCATTCCTCAATCTGCATAAGAAGACTAGAGTAGGTAAAGGGGATGGCAGACATAGAGTAACCTGAGTTTTTGCTGCCATTGTGAAAAATGTAATTTCCTAGATAAGTTGTTTTCTCTTCTTTCATGAGACAAGGAAAAGGAAATTCTCAACATCTTCCAAACCAAGTAATAGGAATGCCAAGAAAATAACATAAACATTTGAAATGCTTGCAAGAAGAGACAGACACCTTCCTTCCCTGATAGATAAAAATCCACAGAACCTGCAGTAATACCTGGTCATAGGAGGTTATGAGAGAGATTCATATCTGTAACCTATTGGGCAGGTAATTCTTACATTAGTGAATACCTCTTTCATACATACACATCTGTCTCATCAGTGAACAGTCTCATCTGATCCTGAAAAGTGTTTGACTTCTCTCATCCATGATGCTTTCTTTTGTTTTATTCTCTCCCATGCTCTCTCCTTTCTTCCTTCTTTTACCCTCCCTCCCTCTCCTTCCCTTACTTTATTATTTTTTGTGTTAAACCTTCCTGCCCATAAACATTCTTTTTTTTTCTTTAAAAAATTATACTTTAAGTTCTAGGATACAGGTGCAGAACGTGCAGCTTTGTTACCTAGGTATACATGTGCCATGGTGGTTTGCTACACCCATCAACCCATCATCTACATTAGGTATTTCTTCTCATTCGATCTCTCCCCTAGCCCCCCACCCTCTGACAGACCCCGGTGTGTGATATTCCCCTCCCTGTGTCCATGTGTTCTCATTGTTCAATCCCCACATATGAGTGAGAACATGCGGCATTTGGTTTTCTGTTCTTGTGTTAGTTTGCTGAGAATGATGGTTTCCAGCTTCATCCATGTGCCTGCAAAGGACATGAACTCATCCTTTTTTATGGCTGCATAGTATTCGATGGTGTATATGTGCCACATTTTTTTTAATCCAGTCTATCCTTGATGAGCATGTGGGTTGGTTCCAAGTCTTTGACATTTATCATCATCTCAGGAGAAAGGAGGAGATTGGTGCATGTTCTCTGTCCCTCATTCTGAATGGCACATTTCCCCCTTAGTATTTGGTGGTGCTTCTGTCATCTGATGTTTACTAATATTACACAGTGTTTATGTGTCATTTACAAAAGAGGCAGTGTAATCATAAGAAAGAGCATAGGATTAGAAATTTTATAGACTTTGTTTAAATTCTGGCTCTGTCACTTGTTGGCTATATGATTTTGGGCAAATGTAACTATTTTCTTATCCTTGACTTGTGAAGAATGACAGCAAGAATAACAATGGCAACAATAATGAAAAAGTCAATGACAATGATACCAGCATATCATTTGTTTCTCTCATCAATAGATATATTAAGTAATTAAAACACCTGGTTCAGCCACTGATTAATTAAATACATTTACATTAAGTACCCACTATGTGCCTGATGCTGTTTTGGGCACTGGAAATTCATAGTGAGTAAGAGAACTATTACCTTTTTTCCTCATAGAGCTTATGGTCATCTATTGCAGGGGTTGAGCACACACTGGGGGCCCAAATCCTGCCTTTAGTCTAGTTTAACATTGTCTTTGAGAGAAGATTGGTTTTATATTTGTAAAGTGTTGTGAGAAAAGGAAAAGATAAATGCAACAAAAAAAACTCATCATAGCCCACAAAGCCTAAAATATTTACTGTCTGGCCTTTGGTGGAAAAGTCTGCCTATTGCTGGTCTAATGGTACACACAGGAAACGTTCACTAAATGCTTTTCTCATGCCAATTCTTAACCTGAAGTTCTTTGCATTGGTGTTTTGATTAATTTCTGCATCCCTTCAATTCCCCCATAGGCTTCTCATTGCCCCTGCATTAAAAGTCAAAATAGACGCGGCATGAGCGACTCCTATGCCTTTCCAATCTCCTCTAATTATATTTTTATCCTCCTGCATCACTGGACTTTTTTTCTTTTCAACAAATATTGCACATGTGCCTCAGCCCAATGTATTATAACTCTTGAGCTCCCCTTTCCCCAACTTTTCAGCCAGTTTACTTCCAACTTACCCTTCAGAATTCAGCTCTAACATCACTTCCTTTGCCAAAATGTCCTTGACCTCTCCTTACCAGATGTGTTCCAACCCCCAAACCTTTTAACTGCTCTCACAACTCCTGATAATTATGGTAATTTTATATTCTTTTCTGTGATCCCTTTCTAATTATCACCTCCACACGTTAGTTCCATGAGGACAAGGGCTATATCTCTTTTGTTTATTTATTTATCTCTAGCACCTAGCATCCTTGCTTGATGCTCAATAAATATTAGGCAACTAAATGAAACAAAGAATGAACGATTCACTCTCATGTTTGTTGAAAAAAAAATAGGTCAGATAGCTTATAGTATTCTTTCATCATAAGGTATCTAGTTCTCCCAGGGAAATATACCCCTAAACGGAATTTCTGTGACTGCATCTTCTCAGTTCCTTCATTCTATGTATATAATTAATGGGGGCCCAGTGAGATGTTTGTGCTGATACATCATCTGCACCACATAGCAAATGCATTTGTTACGGAGTTATCTGGGCCAAAGCTAATGAAACATTTGCAAATGTCCTGATTTACAAAGAGAAAATTAGTTCACCTGAATGACAAGGTTTACATGCAAGGAAAATCTTTGCATTTTTTTCACTATGTTCTGGGATGCCTCAAAATCCCAAGGAAACACACATCAGCAGTCCCCTGCGGAAGACAAAGTCCAGAGGTCACCTTGGAGGAGAACAAAAGCTCTAAGGTCAACATTCCTTCATGGCTATGGCAATCCTCTTGTGAGTCTTCAGATGCCTGAGAACTCTGAAATTCTAAACTGAATGTTTCCTTGTATATGTACATGCTCCTAAAGACCACATCAAATTTATCAGCTTCTCACTGGGGTCTGTGGCACCCCGGTAGTTGAGAATCAGTGCTTTAAGAAAATTCTGGGCTCCCTTATTCTTAAATTTATTTGTTATTTTTTTTTAAAAGAAGATAAAGATAAGGAGCAGAGATGACTGTAAGTCCTGAAGGGATCCCTCATATTTCTTGTCCCAACCTTCCCTGACCCACTGTACAGATGAGGAGATTCAGATCAGTTAAAGAGCTGACTTGCCCAGGGCTTTTCAGCAAGTGAGACACAAACCAGGACTCAGATTCTGTCAGCTCACTGTCCTTTCTACTACACCCTACTCTCCACCGATATGACAATTGTTTATTTCTGCTTTCATTCCTTTTCTCATTCACTCACCCAATTTTTTTCTTCTTCATGTATTTTCTCAGATGAGAGAATTATCATTTTTTCAAGATTAATTTTTAAAACAATTTATTATTTGTGACTAGATCATTTCTAAGAAGAATTTTGACTTCAATAAACAATTGTTCAATAAGCCTGTTAAATTAGAAAATAACATACAATAGAAGAACACATTTATCTTTTCCTTTCCAAATGCATCTCTCAAGTGATAGTAAAGAAATAAAAAATCATACAAATCTACAAGAACCAAAAAAATTGAAGAAGAAAAGGCACTCCATAAGAGACTTCAAAAAGTTTTAGGAATTGAAGATGGAAGATTCAACAAAGAGATGCAGAACCACAAAATAAGTGTCTGCAGAGGGAGATACTGATGAAAAACAAACCAATTCATCCTAAGAAGTCAATATATAACAACAGATATATGAGGATGGTAAAAATTGGGGGGCTGATTGAATGTCTGTGTATGAAGGAGTTGAACATCACTCCATCTCCTGAGTTCTCGTAAACCACAGAGAAGTTGTGCCCAGAGATCAGAGGCAGGGGGATGGAATAAATCTGAATGGCCCTAGAAAAAGGACTTTCAAATATGGTTACTGTGATCAGTTAGTGAAATTAGTGATTCCCTACTCCTTCACTTTGATAATAAAGCCCAGTGAGAAACCCCTCCAATTTGCTCAAAGCTTCAAATTAGTTTTTTTGTACCTAGAAGGTGAAAAAGCAGTAAAGGATCAACTAATAGTTTCCAGGCATCCAAAATGATTGGGAAAATTCTAAACCAATAAATATGAAAGGAAAAGCTGGAAGAAAACAGATATGACAGGGAGTGAAATAAAACTTGAACCAAAGCTTATTAATAATGTAAGCCTAGAAGTTGTACCTGAAAAAAACGAAGAGGATGGCATAAAAGATAATAAAAAAACAGGAAATAATTCTTACAAATTATGTGTGTATATATATATACATGTATATATGTACATATACATACCTTGACTGAAATTTTAAATCCAATAAAAAGTTACAAGACAAAGTTAAGAAAATATTCAGACAGTAGAAAATGGCAAAAAGATAAAAATTGTGTGGGACAGTTTTCCAAGTACTGCCTGTAAGCTCTAAATGCATCCTTTATAGCCTTCTCTAAGACAAGGGAGATGGGCCTTATGAATATTCCTTCTTTGCCAGTTGGCATGAAACTGGAGGAAAACTAGAGAATGAAGGGTCTTTTCTTCCTGGCTCTAGTTTGCCCTTCTCCCTGGGTTCCTGTAGCACACACAGCTTCTACAGCACCCAACCCCTGTAGAGTGTGGTAGCCCAGTGGTCAGCAGTACATGGGACCTGCCTCACTTCCCCAGAACTCTCTTGTTTGGTTTCATGTTGCGTTCTTGGGTATGGCACCTCTCTGTGGAAGGCTACGACATGGCAGTGCAGAGTACAGACTGTGGTAAATCCTGCCGGTGAAGCACCTCAGTGAACTTCTCTGAGGTGAATGGTAATTCAGTTATCCATGGTCACACCCTCTCCAGTGGAATCTAGATCCACCTTAGAAGTAGGGGAGGGATTTTCCCTTGGTGTTCGATTATAACCTTAGGGATTGTGGCCCTTACCTATGCCTGCTACTCTTATATTCTCTAGTGTTATCTTTACCTTTTACTAGCTAATTCCTCATTACTACAATATCACATTTTAATTAATAATTTTCATATTAAATGTTCCCTGTCAAAATTACTGTGTGATTCCTGTCTCTTGGCAGGACCTAATTGTTGTGGTGGGAGATAAAAGATAAGAATATTAAAGAGCTAATTTAGAAAGAATGATTTTAGGTAATAGGTATTACAGGTATTTCTAAAATACAAATAAATAAAATTCCTTGAACTGAAGGAGAAAAGAGTTTCCAGATTGAAATTTTCCAGTAAGTGGCCAGATTACAGAAAGAAAGAGAAAAGAAAAGATACTGAAAAGGCCACAGCATCATACATTTTCATGACTTGAAATGAAAGGGTAAATAGAAACGTCTAAACACTTCCAGTTTGGATGGGGAAGACCATCTTTAAAAAGAAAAAATAATCAGGATATATCAATCCTCTCAAAGACAGTGCAGAATTGTTAGAAGACAAAGTGATGTTTTTAAAAATTTGAGAGACAATATTTCCAACCAGCTGAATCATAAACATATAGTAAACATGAAAGAATAACTTCAGGTAAGTAAAGGCTTGTAAGTACTACTTCCCATATATTTGCTTAGTAAGCTATTAGGAGATACACTCCTATAAGGTTGAAGGACTAAATATGAAAGTGGGAGTAATAAGATCCGTGAAACACATCTTCCATTTTAGAAAAATCTCATAACGAAGTTTTACAGTTATAATGGAAGGAAGTTCTAGATGGATCATTTTATATAAGGCTCAGGGAACAAACTTCCAAATGGAGCAAAAGAACAAGGTAAGAGGTCTGGCACGTGGAGTTAAAAAAATAACAACAAAAAAAACTATAGATGATGTGAAATGATCATTTAGTGCTTAGTGTATGTGATGGTGTGTTAAAAAATGATACGGCTGGGTCCAGTGGCTCACGTCCGTAATACCAGCACGTTGGGAGGCTGAGGTGGGCGGATCACTTAGAGGTCAAGAGTTCAAGACCAGCCTGGCCAACATGGTGAAACCACATCTCTCCTAAAAGTACAAAAAATTAGCTGGACATGGTGGTGGGCACCTCTAATCCCAGCTACTCGGGAGGCTGAGGCAGCAGAATCTCTTGAACCCGGGAGATGGAGGTTGCAGTGAGCCGAGATCGTACCATCGCACTCCAGCCTAGGTGACAGAGAAAGACTCCATCTCAAAAAAAAAAAAAAAATGATGTTAGCCTATAAAATATTGTGAAAGTAAAGATAGGCAATTACTGACTCCACTAAAATACATGAAAATATTAGAGGAAGAAAAAGCAAATTTCATGTTCTTTTATGTAAATATGACAATATGAACATATATATTTTATTTTAAATGAAACCATATTATAATTATGCTTACTTTATGGAAAGATGTTAAATGTGGAGAAAAACATGCCTAAAGTTGATAAGTCAAACAATATTACCAGACACATAAACTTTTAGAAGTATGCTGCTAAATACTAGAAAATAATGCCAGCATTGATTTTGAGAAATGAGATTCCTTTTGAGTAGCAGGAATCAAGAATGTGGTATGGCAAAACTCTTTTTAATTATAAACCATTCTGAGCACTTTTTCAAGCCATGGGTATGTATATATTTTGATTAAGTTATAATAAAAATTTAAAAAAAATTCCATCAGGGAGATAAATGAGATAATGAATGGAAGAAATCAGCAAAGTTCTTAGCAGACAGTCATCATTCAATGAGTGCTGGTTGTGATACAGTAATTGTTGAGTAAATTAGTTTGGAGAAAAAACCTACTATTTAGCATTAAATGTGTATTTTATCTTCAAGTTAAAGTGGTATAGAAAAGGTAAAGCTTGGCTTGACACAGTAAGCATACCCATTCCTGATATAATTTTTTTCTGATACGCAACATTAGATAGACGTTATCACTTGGGTGTTTCACAAGGGTCAATGAACAGCACTTTAAATTATGTCTCCTAGACAAGGCTTTGACTGGAAAAAACAATCAATCTTCCAGGAGTGTTTTTTTCTTATACTCTTGCCTTACATTAACAAACCAACCAACAAGGAACTCCCATCCCCACATCCACATAACAGTAGCAACATCAATAATGCAGATATCGGTATTAAAATCTTAATAGATGTATGCATATTTTTAAAACTGTAAAAGACAGAATCAATTTATATGGATGCTCTCTAAATTAGTAAGATTCTGACAGTCTAATTAATAAAAATTCAAAGATAGAATATTTGGAAGAAGAAATCAGTAACAAGCTTTTTAACTAGCTTCTTCCCAGGACTGAGGTCAGTTGAAAGCCTTTGACATCATTTGCAATCAAGTAATTGGCCTCTTGTCAACAACGATCAGTGATGGGCTGACCAGGTACTTCAAGCATATCCAGTAAGTCAGAAGCTGGGTTGTGCAAAACAACTGACTACAAGCTTTTCAAAGACATTGCTAAAACTGGGTTGTCCAAAACAAGTGACCACAAGCTTTTAAAAGACATTGCTAAAACCAATCACATGGTTACATTTCAAACATACACTTTATCTGAAGTCAAACTGATGTAATGTGATCACATTGCATCAACCTGTTTCAATTTAAGGCTGACAGTTCACGTTTTGGAAACAAAATAAATGCATCATTATCAAGTGGCATTTGCAATGGACCTTATCCAGGGAATTCTGATCAACACCTCTAAAGCATGTTTCTTAATTAAATTCTCTGAGTCAGAATGATAAATATAGTATGTGCACAAATAATACACACTATACATATATGTAAACGTTATATATGTATTTTACATGTGTGTTTTGTTATATATTATATATGTAATTTATACATACACATGTGTTTATATGTATCTCATGTACATACATGCCATCTCTGGCTCTCTCATACAAGTGTACATATCTTATAAATATCTCATATATATGAGAAAAACAGAGAGGGAGCAACATTAATCCCACATATTGTTAGCAATGTAGAAGTATTAACTGAACTCCAACCAATATTTCTGGATATGAAATAGTAGGATATTGTGATAGGCTTCATATTAATGCCAGGAAAGAACACTAAAATGTGTGGTCTGGTAATCAGACCTCAAGATGAATGAGATTAGAATCCTGCCCTAAATACCAGAAAGTTTTATTTATCTCTCAGATTCAGGTACAATTACCTTCACCAAATTCAGCTGCATCATTACTTTTCTGATTTCAGTTTTCTTACGAAAATAGTATTATAATATAATACCAACTGATCTCACAATATTGTCTTGGGATTAAAACAAGATAATGGTACAAAATACTATACACATTTGAAGTAGTAGAACAGCTATATAAAAATAGCTGTATAAGAAATTCAAATTTCAAACCAAAATGAGAGTATACTGGCTCATGTAATTGGGAAATACAAAGATAGAATGACCTCAGGGAGCTCTAGACACTTAAAAATTATCCAGAACTTGTTTATTCTTTATCACAATTACCTGCTTCACCTTATGGTTTGATTTCATTTTCTTATATCATGAAGAGGCTTTCCATGCAATGGCTAGAGTGGTGGGTCAAGCAGCACATAGCTCCTGGCTTGTTAAGTGACTTTTGTCATCTAGAGGAAAGAAAGAGCTTCTATTAGTATCTGCTTATAAATTTCCAGGGAAGGACTCTTATTGGACCACGTTGGATCACACACCAATATATGAGCCAATGATTGTAGCCAAGAGGAGGGGTTTACAATTAGCCAGTGGCCACAAGAATGCCAGGAACACCATTAAATGGTGGATCCTTAGCTCTTCAAAATAAAGGTGTGCTCTTACAAGGTGAAAAGAGAAAAAAAATACTGGAGGAAAAATATCAGATGCCCAACATCATGCCCTCTATCTCTCTCTGCTTCTAATGTTCCCCATGCATCCGTCTATCCCAGCCCTCAACACATTAGAATGGAATTGTTTCTTTATGGTTCACATTGCAGACATGTGTCTGGTTTAGCTTTGTAACCCCAGCACATATCACAGGAGCCAGCATAGATTAGTTGGTCAAGAAATACAGACGGAAGGAATTAGTTAAATAATTCTTCTGGGAAAACTTCAGAGGACTCTGCCACCCCAGTTCTTGAATGTTACATGGAGAATCAACCCCTGCATGCTTATACTCCTACATTCTCCTGAGCTCAAATATGCTCCCTGAGAACGCTTCTTTATCTAATTTATTAAATATTCACTTGACACTGATTAGGAGTAAAGCCCTATGCAAAGTTCTCCAGATGATTCAGAGTAGGGAATTCCGGATGACTTCTTGGTTTTCTAAATGGTAAATGGGAAGCTCTACCCTCAAGAAGCTTACAGCCAGATTGCCAAGTCATGGCATCTGACCTATAATGGGTAATTCTCAAAACTGTGTGACAAATCCTGAAATAATCCACTCATATGATATATGACATTGAGGCTCAGAGATAAGATAAGTGAAGACCAACTGGAAACAATAGAAAAGCTAAATAACCAGAAGAGTAAAAACAAGGTTCTGGCAGAGGCAAGCAGAAAGGAAGAATTACATCTGGGAGTCTACTCTGATCCAGGCACTATGCCCAGCATCTTATAACCACTATTTTAGGAGACCTTCCAAGCCCCAGGAGAGGGGCATTTCTGTCTCTACTTGGCAAGGAAGAAAACTGAGACTCAGAGAGGTTAAGTAAATCAGTGAGACAATGTTAAGAATACAAGGGTTATAACCATAGATTGATGTTTTCAATGCTCTTGTGCTTTCCTTCACGGTGTGATTAATTATACATACAACACATGAGTCAGTGTAAAAACTATGTAAAGATGACCAATCAGGAGATGTAATAGACAAATAATTTACAGCTACTTGGATACAGATAATTATGAAAATATTAACAGGTAATGGGAATTGATCATAAGTGATAGATTATAAAGATGAATGGGAAATGAAGACACATAAATATATAATTGAGTTAGGTTGATAGATACATTCATATATATCCATACAGGGACACCATCACCCTACCTTGTGAAAAGTCAATTTGGCCAGATATAATGTGCTCTGGTGCGGAGATAATCGCGCAATTATAAGGAAGCCGTGATCTGCTCCTACTTCTCCCACTGTCTCTGTGGTCCTGTGTCCTTGTCTTTTCTCATCCTCAGTTTCATCATCTGTAAAACGAGAATAATAAACAGAGCCCAGCCTACTATCACAGGATAGCTCTGAGAATTCTAGAAAGTAATTGTTGGGGAAGCACCTTGGAAATTATAGCATGCTCTGTTGCCTCTGTGGGTTTGACCTGGGTGGTTTTGCAACTTCTTTTGAAAAGAAAGCCAGCCCCATATTTAGGTCAGGAAACGGGTTCTTTTTGAGATGATGCCTGAGCTTGGCTGCTGCCTGCCCGCCACTTAAAGCATATTTTAACAGGTTCCACATCGCCTCTACCTTGCAGCTTAGCTCATATCATCAAAAACCACGTTGGTGCCCTCCATGTCAGTAAATGGTTGTTCCTCTGTTGTATCTTTTGCCCCATCTCCAAAGCTGAGCTTGGTAACAGACCCTTTTTTGATGCCAGATGATCTGAAGGCAGGATAAAAAGAATGTTTTCCCACTCAAGATCAATATGCCTTTAACCTTCCTTCCCTCTATCCTTGGGGAAACATCTCACCTCACCTCACTGGCAGCTTCTGCCCTCCCACACTCCTGTCTTTCATTCTCCCTCCCTTCGCTTCCCCACTTCCACCACTGCCCGGTTAGAATTCAGCAAGTCTTCCACTTGGAGCTCTTGTGTTAATATCCATCATAACAGGTTCTGCTGAATAGCTTTTCCATACATAGAGTCCCCTATTACTATAGACCAAAGAAACTCAGGAGTTACTCTTAGAGCCAGGGAGACAGGTTTGAATCTTGCTGTTATTACAAGCAGCATGATCTTAGAGAACTGACTTCACTTCTCTGAATCTTGGTTCTCTTTTCTGCAAATTGTGGGCAACAATACCTGCCCTGCTCATCCTCTGCAAGCACGAAATATTTACCACAGAAGGGCCCTACAGATTAAATCCTAGTTTTAAAATGTTGGTGGCACGCAGTTAATTTTATTTTTTAATTTTTAAAAGCACGTGTAACTTGTAAATGCTAAAAATTACTTTAAGGTTTCAAAATGTGATGCTAATAATTTAATCTTAAGGATAACACCACATGGTATGCATTATAAATATCCCTATATTACAGACAAAGAACCTGAAGTCAAAAATGTAAGCAACCATGCCCTAAATTACATATTTAGTAAGTGGTGGCTCCAGGATTTTAACCAAACACTTGGATTCCAGAGACTGTGAGTTTAACCGCTATGCTATGCTGCCTAAGCAAACCAGTGATCCATTCCTAGGACAGTAGATGGGTTTGATGTTTTAGATGTACACTATGGAGTACCTAAAAGCAACATACAAGGATAGGATAGGTAATACTACGGTAATAAATGAACACTAACATATTTAATTTTCACTGATGCAGAGTCTAGTGAGTGTCTAGACAAACATTCTGGGTCAACAATCACTTCATTTGATGACTCTGGAAATGAGAACTAGGTATTGGTGAATAATACTAACATATACCACTCCTACCTATTTATCAGTTAGAGATAACCTACTAAATTAATACATTATGACTGTATAATGTACTATTAAAAATATGACATTGTATGAAGAAACAATATGATATAAAAGTTAATTTCATTTAAAGTTAAAATATGTGAAATACCTATACATGTTTTGTAAAGACCTACACTAAGAAAAAATCTATACTGAACATATTAAAATGAATATATACCCATTTTATATCTATCATCTATCTTCTACCTATGTATGTATGTATCTATGTATTTATCTATCTATCTACCTATCTATCTCAGAATGGCTAGTGGGGAAGGGAATGGAAGTGGTGAATAGGTATATAGGAAATATATACATTTAAAAAAAATCAAATGAGGAAACTTGAAGAGAGAGCTTTCATGGATCAATGGGACAGTAAGCCATGAACTGAGAATTATGATTAATTCAATCTTCTAAAGCAGAAGTTGGCAAAATGTATCCTGCCTGCCAAATCTGGCCTGCTGTTTTTATATATAAAGTTTTTGTTTAAAGTTTCTTGCAGTTTTTATTCTAATACATTTTTTTCCCTTTGGATAAAATTTAATTGTCATTGGAAAATATCAAGCCAGCATTTCTTAACAAATAAGTATGGATTTTATAATTAAACTCAATAAAACTTGATGAAATATAAACAGTGGAGAGCTAAAATCTAACTAAAATTATTATAAGAAACAATGCCGAATTTATTTTGGGTAGAGTACAACACATTTTGTTTTGTTTTTAATAATTTCTACTTTTATTTTAGATATAGGAGGTACACATGCAGGTTTGTTACATGGATTTATTACATGATGCTGAGGTTTGGAGTATCAGTGAGCCTGTCACCCAGGTAGTAAGCATAGTACCCAATAGGTAGTTTTTTAGCCACTGCCCTCCTCCCACTCTTTCTTCTATGATAGTCACCAGTGCCTATTATTCCCATCTGTATGCCCATGTGTACCCAATGTTTAGCTCCCACTTGCACAAGAGAACATATGGTATTTGATTTTCTGTTCCTCTGTTAATTCATTTAGGATAATGGCCTCCAGCTCTGTCTATGTGCTGCAAAAACCATGATTTTATTCTATTTTATTTTATGGTTGCAGAGTATTCCATGGTATCTATGCACCGCATTTTATTTATTCAATCCACTGTTGATGGGAACCCAGGTTGAGTCCATGTCTTTGCTATTGTGAATAGTGGTGTGATGAACATACACATGAACATACATGTGTATTTTTGGTAGAATTTATTTTCCTTTGGGTACCTGTCCAATAATATGATTGCTAGTTGAATGGTAGTTCTAAGTTCTGTGCAAAATCTCCAAACTACTTTCTACAGTGGTTGAACTAATTCCCTACCAACAGTATGTAAACATTCTCTCTTCTCCCGGGCCTTGCCAGCATCTGTTATTTTTTGACTTTTTAGTAATAGCCATTCTGACTGGTGTGAAAGGGTATCTCATTGTGGTTTTGATTTGCATTTCTATAATAATTAGTGATGCGGAATATTTTTTCATGTTTGTTGGCTGCATGTGTGTTTTCTTTGGAGAAGTGTCTAGTCATGTCCTTTGCCCACTTTTTAATGGAGTTATTTGTATTTTGGTTGTTGAGTTGCTGAAGTTCCTTATTGATCCTTGATATTAAACCTTTGTCAGATGCATAGTTTGCTAATATTTTCTCCCATTGTGGAGGCTGTCTGTTTACTCTGTTGATGGCTGATTTTGCTGTGCAAAAGCTCTTTAGTTTAATTAGGTCCCCTTTGTCAATTTTTGTTATTTTTGCAATCACTTTTGAGGACTTAGCCATAAATTATTTGCCAAGGCCTGTGTCGAAAAGGGTATTTTCTAAGTTTTCTTCTAAGGATTTTATAGTTTAAGGTCTCACATTTAAATATTTAATCCATCTGGAGTTAATTTTTGTATACGATGAAATGTAGGGATCTGGTTTCATCCTTCTACATAAGGCTAACCAGTGATCCCAGCACCATTTATTGAATAGGGAGTCCTTTTCTATTGTTTATTTTTGTTGACTTTGTTGAAGATCAAATGACTGTAGGTGTGCAGCTTTATTTCTGGGTTCTCTAACCTGTTGCATTGGTCTAGGTGTCTGTTTTTGTAACAGCACCATGCTGTAGCCTTATAGTATGGTTGGAAGTCAAGTAGTGTGATGCCTCCAGCTTTGTTTTTTTGCTTAGAGTTGTTTTTCTCTATTTGTGCTTCTCTTTTGGATCCATATGAATTTTAATTTTTTTTCTAATTATGTGAAAAATGACATTGGTAATTTGATAGGGATAACATTGAATCTGTAGATTTCTTTGGGCAGTATGGCCATTTTAATGATATTGATTCTTTCAATCCATGAGCATAGTGTGTCTTTCCATTTTTTTTGTGCTATCTATAATTTATTTCATCAGAGTTTTGTTATTCTTCTTGTAGAGATCTTTTACCTCCTTGGTTAAATGTATTCCTAGTCATTTTATTTTCTTTGTGGCTATTGTAAATGGGGTTGCATTCTTGATTTGGCTTTCAGCTTGAATGTTATTGGTGTATAGAAATGCTACTAATTTTCATATATTGATTTTGTATCCTAGATCTTTACTAAAAGCATTTTTTAGTTCTAGAAGCCTTTTGATGGAGTTTCTTGGGGTTTCTGGGTATAAAATCCTATCATCAGTGAAGACAGATAATTTGACATTTTCTTTTCTTATTTGGATTGTTGAATCCAAATAATCTATTCTATTCTATTCTATTCCATTCTATTCTATTCTATTCTAATAGGAGTGTTGAAAGTGGATATACTTGTTATGTTCTTGTGCTTAAGGAGAATGCTTCCAGTTTTTGCCCATTCAATATGATGTTGACTGTGGGCTTATCATGGATGGCTCTTATTATTTTCAGTATGTTCCTTCTATGCCCAGATTTTTTTAGGGGTTTTATCATGAATGGATATTGAATTTTATCAGAAACTTTTTCTGTGTCTGCTGAAATAATCATATAGTTTTTTGCTTTTAATTCTGCTTATGTGATAAATCACATTTATTGATTTGCCTATGTTGAACTATCCAAGAAGAAAGCCTCCTTGATTGTGATGAATTAACATTTTGATGAACTGTTGTATTTGGTTTGCTAGTATGTTGTTGAGGATTTTTGCACCTCTGTTCATCAGGGATATTTGTTTGTACTTTTCCTTTGTTGTATCTTTGTCAGGTTTTGGTATCAGGGTAATTCTGGCTTCATAGAATGAGTTAGGGAGGCATCCCTCCTCCTCAATTTTTTGGAATAGTTTCAGATGAATTGGAACCAGCTCTTCTTTGTATGTCTAGTATAATTTGGCTGTGAATCCATCTGGTCAAGGGCTTTTATGGTTGGTAGGTCTTTTATTACTGATTCAATTTTAGAACTGAAAACTCAACATTGGTTCTGTTTAGCATTTCAATTTCCTCCTGATTGAATCTTAGGATATTGTGTGTTTCTAGCAATTTATCCATTTCTTCTAGATTTTCTGGTTTTGTGCATAGAGGTGTTGATAATTGTCTCTGAAGATCTTTTGTATTTCTGTGGAATCACTTGTAATGTCAACTTTGTCATTTTTGATTGTGCATATTTGGATTTTCTCTCTTTTTTATTAATTTAATTAGCGGTCTATTGATCTTGTTTATCCTTTCAAAAACAACTTTTGTTTTTGTTGATCCTTTGTACAAATATTTGAGTCTCAATTTCATTCAGTTCTCCTCTGATTTTAGTTATTTCTTTTCTTCTGCTAGCTGTGGGGTTAGTTTATTCTTGTTTTCCAGTTCCTCTATGTGTGATATTAGATTATTAATTTGAGATCTATCTTCTTGATGTAGGTTTTAGCACTTATTTTGATACATAAAATTTTATTGGAACACAGTTACTTTTATTTGTTTACATCTTGTCTATGGCTGCTTTTGTGATGCAATGGCAGAGTTGAGTAGTTACAAAAAGGATACTCTGCCAGGAAAAGCCAAAAATATTTGCTATTTATCTCTTTACAGAAAAAAATCTTTACACCTTGGAGAACAAAAATAGAGACTATACCTTACTCCATGTATCAGTCAGTGTTCAGTCAAGAAAACAGAAACCATTTGATGTATTCCATGTAACAAGTACTAAATAGGAAATTAATGGCTTACCCAACCACTGGAAGCTGAGGGAGCAAGGATCAGAAAGTTGTCATTGCAGACCTCATCCTGAAACACAGAAGTGGGTTGTTCTCAGGCATTATCCAGAACACAACTTGAATTCAAAAGAATCTCTGGGAAGCTCCTGCCATCCATCTCAGTCCATTGTACTGAGTATATGTGTTTTTTAAAAGCTTCCTGGCAAGCCATTGCAAATTTCATGACTTTCTAATGTAAATGACTAGAAATATCTCAGTTGATAATGGATTCTTACTCTCTTCTGCTTTCCAGATCTAATGTCTCTCACTATCAAGTTCTAACCTAGAACTACTACACACTGCGCAAAAAGGTCCTTGAGAATGTAATTTGTCTGCCTTTCCACAATGTCATGGAGATTTACAAGGATGTGGTAGTGATGTGAGTTGACAACAGTCAATTGGACATTACCCTTTTATTCCTACTGCCCTGAATACTGTAGGAAGCAATAAAAATTTGTTCACATTAATGATGCTCTGTCCTAGAATCCTTTACCTGAGGTTTATGGATGTCTAGGAGGGAAATGTTTGGTCTTTAGAGAAGTCTAAATAGATTCTGAATTTCTCATCTCATGCCCATAAGTAAAAGTGTATGAGTACACATATGTGTGTGTCTATGCTTCCAGAAAACATATCCATAATTTTGTCTATTGAAATGTTCCAGATGCCCCAGATAGATTAAGATTTACCTTATCACTATGTCTGTTGGAGTCTGGGCCCCTTAAATACAAAGGGCTTCGTCTGTTTCATACAGCTGAGAGCTATGCATGATATCTGACACAGAGTAAACTTTCAAGAAACATTATAAAATAAGTGATCAAAATAATAAACATATATTCATCATCATTTATCTAAAACTCCAGCTGCCCACAGTTAATAACATATTCAAGTCTTACATAAATCCCTTCCCAATGTGTTCTAGCCAAATCTATCTCAGCACCAGGTACTGAAAGAGATTAGACCATTGTTCAGATAACACAGGTAATGCTTTCATTCCTGATAAAAGACAAGAGCCAGAGGCAGGAAGAACAAACCAGGAAGACAGGCTCTGGCCCCTGTCCTTGCCCTCAACATTATATCTGCAGAGCTTCATGCCCTCTGACTTCCCTCTCTCTGTCTCATGGATGCCTCTGCTTCCTCAATGCCTGGCAGTCCTAAAAACCGAGAAGTAGGTGCTTACTAAATCACTCCATGCTATGCGAACCCTCTTGACATCACTAGGATTTATAATACATGGCTTCAAGGCCTAACTCTGTCATTCCTGTTTCTGTTAGCTCTGAATAGTCACTTAACATTATCAGAAGCTAGTCTTAGCTTTCCATTCTATAAAATGGGTATTATGGTGAGTATTCTAGATGTAAAATCATTCTACATAGTTTTACACGTCAATAAAACGTAGGCTGTTAATAATCGTACTCATCATGCTTGCCCCACAATCCTCGCAGTTTGTTCAGAATGTGGAGATTTTAACGATTGGCTTAAATAAGTCAGTAAACAGCTAATTTAGGGACCCAAAAGGCCAATAGTTACTGAATAGTGAACTATACCAAGTATCTCCCCCAGAACTATAATTCAAGCTGACACATTTTTATGAATTGAATAGGTTCTGATTATCTGGCTTTCTTTCATATTTTTTTCCTGTCCCATTTCCTGAGTTTATACAACTTCCTTTGCCAGCTAAACTTAAATCCCTGAAAATCAGAACTGAACATGCCAGGTACATTTCTGACAGCCATAAACAAACTTGGGATTTAGTTAAGGCCTCTTGTGTCTTAGCTAAGTGTTCACCCCCTTTGAGATTCCAGAAGTCCCTGGACACTCCCTCCCTCCACCCTCTTCACTCTCTAACCTCTTATCTTTTGAGATGTAACCAGATGGTTAGCAAAGATCACAGAATGTGCAGAGAACCCACAATTATGCAAACAGTTTTCTCATCTATAAAAGGAAGGCGAACATCACTAGTCTGCCTACCTGGAGGCTGTTAAGACAGAAGAGGCAGCTTTTTCAGGGCATTAGAAAATGTTTTGTAGAGAAGCCATCATTGAAATTTGAAGGATATGAGTGAAGTGACCACTGGAGAAGATAGGCACGATTTTGCAAGATTTTAATATTTGCTATTAGTGGTAAACCAAATATTATCACTGGAGAAGGTCAACAGAAGAAATAGCAGAAATCAGGCATAAAAAGCTGAGAAAGTTATGACATATTTGGAGAGGAGAGAGAACTTTGATATGTTTTGATTTTCTGATGATGCAGGGGTGCAATGGGACATCAGACTGGAACATTATGACTAAGGGAAACTCTAAAGGATCTTGAATGCCACTGTAGTCATTCAGAATGTCTACTTTACTGGATAATTTTTCCAAAAATATATAATTATATCTAGTATTTAAAAAATTACTTGATCAGCTGTGTGAAATGCAATGTAAAAGTGACACCCAAAGTGTTTGCTTAAGGCACAGGTTCAACTGGTGCTTAAAAGATGTCACACACACACATATCTACACACTTATACACTCACACAACTGGCCATCACTCATGGTAATCGTACAAACAGTCATTTGTTGAAAGAATGTGTGAGTTAGGATTAGTATATTTTATGTTCAAGCAAGCTAAATAAAAATTTTCTTACTGTTTTTGTTGGTTTTGATTGTTTAGCTCTAGGATTTTCTAGAAAATCTAGCAAACTGATATGCTTGGTGTATCCCCAAGAGGGAAGAGAATAAGTAAGATTGCATAATTTTGTCATGGGACTTCTTTGGTCATGTATCTCATGGGACCAGTGTCTCATGGAAAACACTTGGGAAATGTTACAGTAAAAAGAAAGATAAGAGACAAAAAACCTAAACAAAGAGCAATGTTGAAAACTCAGGAATGCAAACATGGGACCTGGACTATAACAGTGTCAGAAGGGTTGGAGAAGAAGGAAGGTTGGAAACACACTATGAAAGTGAAACAGACAGGACTTAATGATTCGTTGTATGTCGGGAAAGGAGATGGAGGAATCAAAATTATGCCCAGCTTTTAAAGTGCAGGGAAATTGTGGTCTTATTCTATTTATATAATGTTTAAGTAACTGATTTATAAAAATCTATTATAATCGAAGTCTTCTTCATTTTTCCATTGCAATCAAAGAGTTCCCAAATGTGAGAAAAGTGGCAATGTCTAATACTGACACTCACCTGCATGACATCTGTCTACCCTTTAGAACCTTTGACCTAATATTTTATTTAAAAACTATCATAGATGCACACAGGTGTATAAACTTAAATGAAAAACCAAAATATCAAAGAATAAGAAATTAGTTCAATATACCTGTGTATATTAATCTGAATATATTAATAGAATGCTATGCATTAAAAACCATATTTTACAAGAAAACTTCAAAACATATTAGATAACAAAAACCTCCCATGGTATAAGTTAAGCATAGAAAAAGAAGGGAGGTTATAAAGCAAAATATACTAATAAGAATTTTAAGGAAAATACGTTAATGATACTTTGAGAAAAATGGACATATAAAAACACAACATTTCAGCAGTAGTTTTATTTGGACAGTGAATTAATTGCAACTTTTAGTTTTCTCTGTATATTTGAGTTTCCCAAATGCCCAAGTGGTACTTACTAAGCAGACAAAATTGTATTTTTAATAGGGCAGATTTTTGTTTAACATGATACTATTATGATTATTATTGCCAGAAAATACATACTAATTTTGTCACTCACTTTTCTATCCTTTCTTCTTCCCTTCATTCCATTAGTTTAATCAAGAAACATTGGTCAAATATACATTGTGTGTCAAATTCTTTTCTAGGCTGCTGGGATAGAAAATAGCAAATTATTGAGTCCTCCCTCTAGGTGCTCTCAGCCACGAAGGCACTTATGGAGAGCCAGCATCAGGCACGACAGTGGCCTCAGATTTTACTGAAGGAAGGAAGCACATTAGGACAAAAAGAAGGGTCATTTGGCTCTCATGATATTTGTCAAAAATAGAGCTAGCTATGGAGAGATGGGAGACACCAACAGGTAAGTCCTCCACATGTATCTGAAGTAACTGTTGTGGGCTTGGAAAGAGGGAGGGAAAATGTCTTTGGTGTAGTAGAGAAGCTACAACTCATTTAATTATACATATGTGTTGAATTACAAGAAATTGAGATACGTACCGAAAGTGAGGATTATGTGGGTCTAAGGGAAGTTGTCACTAACTTGAAACATCAATGGAATCTTCAGAAATATCAGCTATGCAGAGGAGAGGGAGAGAGGATGATTTGAAATGATGGGTCCTTAGTTTGAGATGCCAATCAGACAATGCAACTCTCCTTCTGTGTGCAGGTGCATTCGTGTGTAGGTGTGTGCCTTTGGGGTAGGATAGAGAGTAGGCAGAGCCTACAGCTCTGAATGAATAGGTTAGAAACTACTGATTTGGCCATGAAGAGGTCATCACAGAAATCTCATATATAATGCAAGCAACATCTGAAACTTGGTTCTAAGAGACCTAAGATTGTTGGGACTTTGAAACTTGGAAATCTATCATTTCCAAATAGGCAGCATTTCTTTTTTTTTTTTTCCTCAATAGTTGAAGAAGTTTATTATCTGGAGCAGACTGTTCTCTTTTTCCAAGTGACCACCTGAAAGAGCTTTATTATGACACACAAAGCAAACTTCACTGCCAACCATTTATATTGGCCATAGATAGCCCATGTTAATATATCCAAAGATAAGCTTTGAGCTTAGATGAGAAAGAAGCAGACATAGCAAGGCAGAGTATCAATTCTAATCACTCAATCCACACACAATCATATACCCATGTGCACACACACTCACATAGACACATATACATCCTACATACCTATCCTGTCAATCCCTTGTCTGAGTCTTGATGGTTAGAGGAGTTTTGCTCGAAACTAAATGTACTGTTTTAACAAAATATTTGGGAACAAAGAGATTCTAGATCCAAACAGAAATGCTTGCAGATCCGTAAAGCACAAAGTAGGGGGAGGCCATTCTCTCAGCTCTACCCAGAGGATAAAAGACTTTGGAAACTTTGGGTAATGACACCCTTGGCCCAGGCAATGGTAGCTTTCAAGAGGTATGTTAGGTGTAACAGCTTCATAGATAATAGACATTGATAAACAGGAGAGAAAAAGAAAAAAGGGCCTCTTTGTGGTGACTGTGGCTGCCAGCCTGGTTTGTGAACACGTGGTAAGCCTTCTGTGAACTCCCCAAAACCACTAAGAACAGAAGAAGGGGAAGTAGTGGGGTGGGGTAAGTCATCGTATGTAGGAAACAGCCACTGTCATTTAAGCAGAAAAGTCAAAGTGATTATTATTGTCCTCCCAGGCTATAAAAGACCCTGATTTTTAAGTTACATATGGGGATAAAGAATGAAGCCAAAGCTGAAACTCCTGTTCATCATTTAACCCCACAGAGGCATGCATGCCTACATCTTGAAAATAGCTCTTTTGCGCTTGACAATTAGACCAAGTTAAGAAAGACCACGGGCTATTAATTCCTTTTCCCCACCATCTCCAGGCCTTTTTACCACCCTTGGAAATAAGACTAGGTTTTTTAATTTTTTAATTTTTTTCCCTCATTTAGCTTTGGACGAGGCTTGGGAGTTGGGAGACAGAAGACAGAGAAATGTGATTAAAATGTAGGTCAGCTGGTACGTTATTTACAAATGGCTGAGAGAATAGAACAAGGACATACTTGGTCAAGTCCTTGGCAAAGGCCTTAAAGGAAGATGTAAAGAAGAACAACCACTTTGTGTGCAAGAGTCACCTCTTTCGGGGTCAAGGCCACTTTCCCGAGTTGCTGAAGCGAATCTTTATTTTTTTCCTAAAACTCAACAGACAGCATCTTCAGAACCTAATTTGATTTTGATTGATTTTTGAAACTTGAAACACTTCTAAACTAATTTTCAGTATATTACTCTTGTCAACGCTTAAAGATTTTGTCAGGAGGAATTTGCTGAACAGACACAGTAATTTTGTTTCTCATTCTGGCGTATCACCCCTAAAGAGGAAGCCCAGGGAGGGAGGCAGCTCTGTTACTACAGCTGCTGCTATTAGAATATACATTGCAATTACTTTGCTGCTATTTTGGGGGTCTTCTCAACCAGTTCATGCCACAACCCACGGGAGCTAGATGTCTTGAAATAAGAATCACAGAATTGTTGACTCCTCTTGGGTCAGACCTGGGATAGAGAGAAGGGACTTGAGACCCAGAGAGAAGTGATTCATTCAAGGTCATATAGCAATTTAGTGGCAAGGCTGGTACTAGAGGACATCTTCATATTTTTAGCCCGTTTGTCTCCCCAGTGTATTAAGAAGCACAGAAGCTAGCTAGGTCAGCCCTGCAGTGGTCATGGACCAAGCTGGGATTTATTAAATAAATATACCAGTGACAACGTCAATGGGAGAAGGGGCCTTTAATTGCGGTCGATACACCAATCGATAGGCAGTAAAAGCCACTCTGATAGCCCAGCACAATGCTACCCCTAGGAAGCGTAGGGGCTGTGTTAACAGTGTCTCCCTTTTTGTCTAACCGCAGTCAGCAGATCCATTGGGGGCTGTTGGAAATAACAGTGGCATTACAAGATAATAACCTCTGTTCAAGCCGGCATTATGCCGAGAGGGCTGTCAAAAAGTGCTTTCCTTTTATTGCTTTTTGCCACCCAGGGTCTGTGGCATGCAGACAGATGGACAGGCTCATCTTAACAAATAAGCAACGGGGACAAACTGCTCTGGCTCAAATCAGCAATCTTCGCTCAAGGCAGGGCCTTGCAAGCAAGGACCTGCGGGTGCCTGGGTAACAACATTGGCAGATGCAAAGCAGAGGATTATTCAGTAGGGTAGTAGAATTAGTAAAGTGCTGGCCCATTGTGTGACCACATGGGCTCAAGGACTTTCATCTGCTACAAAACTACCTTGATATAGTGGGAGTTGGCTAAATGTAAAGAGGAAGAACTTTAGGAGCAGAGGAAAGATCGGAGATTCTACAGTTCTGTTTTAGCTATTTAAATCTGTTTCCCAACACACAGTGTCCTATAGGTGAATACTAATAGATCAAATTAATATGCATTTATGTATACGCATTTATTCATTAATACATTCTCAATGCAATTCAATGCATGTAATAAGGTGACTCTGGGTGAAATTGAACACCAACTTTTTTTTTGTTTGTTTTTTGTTTTTTGTTTTTTAAATCTGGGTAAAGAGAAATTGAGAAAGGAATGGCCATTGATATTTCAAATAAAAAGATAGTTTTAAAAATGTTTTGCATATTTTATTTTTTTAAGTTTTCATTGATACATAATAATTGTATACATATTTATGAAGTACATGTGGCAGTTTTTAAGAATCAATAATAGGTATTTGGGAACTGTATTGATGTATTGATGTCCAGCTACTATGACTATATCAGCAGGGCTATGGAGCCAATTTATTCCTTTTGGGTAGAGGCAAGGCTTTCCCTGTAGGAATTGGCTATTACCACTTTCAAAGAGTCCTGGGAAGAGATAGTGGCTGGAACACCAGGACTTAGGGTGACTAGGACTGTAGTGAGGGGGGATGGTCTTTCATTCCCTGGATCCAGGAGGCCAAGCTACAAAGAAGATAGGATTACTTCTTGTGAGTGGCAGGACCTGGCCAAGTGGAAACTCACTGGGAGCAAGTCAGACAGCCAAGGTTATATAGTCTGGGCCTGGGCTGTAGTTATAAATTAACCTTTGCAGTTACTTATTTGTATATATTTTATCCATTTAGATAAATCATTTACATCAGAATAGCCTCCTGTCTGCTACTAAAGAAAATTTTAAAAGGGGTCAGACCTAATTATGGGGCTCTCAAGGTAAAGGAGACTGGGAGTTGGGGGACCAGTGCTACTGAGAGCAGAGTGATGGCAGCAGAAGGGTCACCAACAAAGGGCAACTATGTCCAGTGGAAGAATAACCTCTCGAGGACTTGGCAGCAGTGTGGTGACAGGAGTGACAGGGGTTAAAAAAGGATGGCTGGGGGCTGTGCTCTGCACCCTTTCGGCAACAGCCTAGAGGGTCTTCAGAATCATCCAGGAGATGTGTTGAGAAAAGTACTTTGGGGGCAATAAAACAAATGAGTGCTTGGATCAGTGTCACTAGTGAGAGACAAAGATACAAAAATTCATAAAGCTGAAGCCTCGAGGAAATTCCCAGTCTCTCTGGGAAGGCAAGACAAATACAAATGAAAAGATTCCTAAAAAACATAAGCCTGCTAAGCCTCACAGGAATGGAAGAAAACTGAAGGTGGTATAGTAGTTCTGACAAATGAGAACTGGGGTTGGGTTTATTGCAGATGCTTCCTAAAAGATATGGAAAATGATCTAAACCTTGTAATGTAGAATCTAGGTGATGCAGAGGTTCCTAGAGTAATGTCCCCGAAAGCAGGGGAATTTGTTAGTACTGCAAATTCTTGGGCTCCACCCTCAGTCCACCCTCAGAATTCTGAGGGGTGGGGGGTGGGGGCAGCAATCTGTGTTTGTTTGTTTTTGAGACAGAGTTTTGTTTTGCTCTTGTCTCCCAGGCTGGAGTGCACTGGCATGATCTCAGCTCACCGCAACCTGTGTCTCTCGGGTTCAAGCAATTCTCCTGCCTCAGCCTTCGGAGTAGCTGGGATTACAGGCATGCGCCACCATGCCCAGCTAATTTTGTAATTTTAGTAGAGACAGGGTTTCTCCATGTTGGTCAGGCTGGTCTTGAGCTCCTGACCTCAGGTGATCCGCCTGCCTCAGCCTCCCAAACTTCTGGGATTACAGGCGTGAGCCACCGGGCCAGCAATCTGTGTTTTAACAAGTGCCTCCAGATGATTCTGTTGGCCATTCAAGTTTGAGGATAACTGAAATAGGGAATGTGGTTTAAGGCAAAGTAATAGAAGTTTGGCTAAAGGTGCTTCTGCCAGCAGCTCTGCTGCAACTGAGAAAAGAGACAAGCAACTGAGAATTAGTGATTATCAGTTCAATACTAATAACAGCTCTCTCTCCTGTCATCACATGACTCATGACATATTACTCAATTACTGCATTTTGTTGTTGTATTACTTTCAGAACTATTACTGGTACATATTACATCAGTTTTATAGGTGGAGCAATTAACAATCAAGAAGTTCTATTACTTGTCCAAAATTACAAGGATGGTTAAGCAGAAGAGCGAATAGAAGCTCTAGACTTCTGATTGCTAATGTGGGGCTCTTTCCTCGACACCTTACTCTCTGTCTTCCTTTCCTGTTGATGAGAAGTATTCAGAAATCTCCAAAACTTCCAGAATTTCCCTAGCAGAGGCTGGTATCTTGCATGCCACATCTGAATATTGATAGTGATTTTTGGGACCCTCTGTTGAAAAGGATACTGAGGATTTATTTGGAGTCAGTAGGAAAGCATGCTGTAATGGATTGCTAATGTCTGCAGTGAGCATCAAATGGCAAAGTGACAGTATATGTATAATATATATAATATAGCCCACTCACAAAGTATGATCTTGTTCTGGGCTTCACAGCATTATTTGGCTAGGCCCTGATAAGTACAAACTACAGAAGAATAGCATTCAGTTAGGAGGATTAAATAGGGGTGGGTTGATGAAGAGAGGAATGATGATTCTCACATGCCTTCATATTATCTCATTAGCCATTACTGTTCATTCTAATTCCAATCAGGTTTCATGAATTTGTGGAGAAACATTCAAAACAAACAAACTAACAAAAAACACACAACACCCCCCTACATAAAAACAACAAACAAACAAACAAACAAACAAAAAAAACTAAGCCTCACTCTCTGACATCAGCCCAAATACATTCCCTTGCCTTACAAACCCATGCATCTAAAATTCTGGGCACATTCTAATAACACAGCTTTTTATTCCAGCTTCATAAAAGGACAGATATAAATGTACAAAGTCTGCCAGTCCTCTCGACTTGCCCCAATATTGTCTTTTTAGGAATGAATGGAAACTTTTCCCATTTTGCTGGCTTTTTCCCACTAACCTCCCCCTATAAAACTAAACAAAAATCCCAAAGCAAACAAAAACAATAAAAGACATTACTATCAACCAGCCAAACATTCTTAAAGCATCAAGTCCATGTGACCATCCTGATTGCTATTATTGTGTGTGAGTCACTTGCAAACTCAGGCTCAGTTTTTAATTATTCTCAATTGTCACTTTGCACTGAACAAACAGACCAAACCTTTGTCCAAATCATGTGTGATAGAGCAATATTTTTATTTCCTATAATGCCAGCAACTTGCACTTGCTTTCCCTCTAGCTCTTGCTAATTTCCAGGGATTTGGCTGCAATTTGGAAAAGGCCTCTCCCGATGGAGGCCACAGTTTCCAGCCCTTGTTGCCTTCCTGGCACTGCTTTCTAATCGTCCCCCTACCCTTTGCTAATATTATATCTGCAATCATTACTCCATTTTGCCGTGATTTTAATTAGAGGACATGTGGTATCTTTTAATATTCTTCTGCACATTGAGGCTCCTGAGCACTTGTTACCAACCAATGCCTCACTATAATTTGGAAGCTGTGGCTTCATAAGCAAGTCCTCCAATCTTTTGATATTAAATTTTCAAATTAATCTCTGCTGTATGCATCACTGGTGATTATCTTGGCCTAAATTATGCATCCTTCTTAAAGTTAGGAAACAACGGCTCATCCCATCTGACAATGAATCTATGCTGATACCCTTCTCTCTAAGGAGAAAAAGGTTGTTTTTAACCCTCTATGGGTATAATTAGAGATCTCTTTGACTCCAGTTTTGTTTACTATCATCCCACTTGTGGCTACAATAAGAGCAAAACTGATCCTGTGAGTGCCGTCTCAGGCCCTCTTGTGGGTTCCCATTGCTTCCAAGAAAAATCCAAGCCCCCATTTATCCTTCAAAAGATAAACTTTTAAATATCAAGCAGGAGTGATATAACTATATTATTAGAAAAAAATGTATGGAGTTAGCTGATAATGGCTTGTGGTGTTATTCCTCAAAGGGGATTTTATGGTACAGTGGGATGTACACAGTCTCTGGAGTTGGAGGGACTTAGATTAATATCCATTATTCAACATTTATTACCTTCCCCATTGCTAGAAAATTGTTTCCGTTTTCTATGCCTCAATTTTTATTGTCAGAACTAACAGGGTTGCTATGGCAGCACATAGTAGGTTATCAAAGGACAAATTTCCCTTTTCTCTAACTTCGTCCCCTGGGTATTTCTTGTAGTGGCAACCCTCAAGACTTACAAGATTGAATCTAAATATGAATAATTGGGCAATGTAAAGAAAAGATTTTGGAGTATTTATAGTCATATGTTGGAGGTGGGATTTGGAGGAGCAAATAAGCTAAAATTAGATTATTTATCAAAATCCCCCACATGTAGTATTGTGGGCTCTTTCAAACAGGGATGGGATCTGTTCTCTTGGTTTAATTCAGGCGTCATTGTGCCTGGTTTAAAAGTGGACTGCACCATCTAACTATAATCTTTCTCTTCGTAATTGTGTCACTGTGCTCACATGAAGCCACTGTCCCATCAAATGAGAGGACAAATAAACGTCCAGTAAGAAAAAAACAAGATAATCTAATACATTTCAATCTTAAAAAGACTACCACCAGACACTCTGTAAGATGACATAACAATCAAACAGCACTGAATATCTGGATTGATCACATCTCAAGACAATTATAATCTACTCCCAAGCTCAGGCTCCAGTACAACTAAAAGGTGGAGTAAGAACACAAACCAAAATAATTCTCTGTCCCTGTGTTTGACAACACTGGAAACAGGCATACTTCCCTCTCTCTGAGCTAAACAACTCTAGGATGATGTATTTTACCTCTTTCTTTGCTAAGCAATGCTGAGAATAAACAAAAATAACTTAGCTGCTTGCTCTAGGAAATACCTGCTCCTGGAAGATAAGACTGGGAACTAACTAAACAGCTTACTTATCATGAATAACACCTGACTCATCCAGAATTACTTCAAGACCCTCCGCACTGTGACCATCAATCCAAAGCTATCATGGCATAATCTCTGCCCAATCCCAAATAGTTTCTATCTTGTAAGACTCTCCTTAAATTCAGTCACCCCTGACCCCAAAACCATATATATTTCTATTTTGAGACACTACTAAGGCTGTCTCCTTTCCTGCAGTAAATCTAATAAACTGAGCTTTTCTTGATCAATAGACTTTTCTGGTGATCTTTGAGGAATCAACAGTTGACTCTGTAAAGTACTTTATTACAAGACTAATTGTATTTAACTTTCTTAAAAATCTGTTTTTCTGTTTTTATCTTTTATGTATTCCCCCAAGAAATATTTATTGAGTGTCAAGAACTATGCTAGACATGGAGAACCAACTATTTTTGCCTTCATGGCATATACATTCCAGTAAGGAAAAATATATTAGTTTTAAAGATGACAAGAATAATTATACCATTACAGTTGTGATAAGTGTGTTAAAGCAAAAATCCTAAAATTCTAAGAAAACATGTCAAGGGAGAACCACATTTGGCTTTGAGTGCATGTGTGTGTTGGAGAGCAGGGACAGTATCCCCGGACAGGCAGCATTTAAGGTAAGACAAGAAGTCCAAGTGGAGGGGTGCCACTGATAGAAGTGATAGTATGTCCAATGCTTAGTGTCAGAAGGAGCTTGGCTTGCTGCTAGGACAGAGAGAAGGCCAATCCAGAATAACCAGCCATTGGGAGGGAGTTTGACTGGAGGTAGGCAGGGCTGGGATTGATCAGGCTTTGTCAGACATGATAAGTATTTATTCCTGGAGGTTAGTTGCATTGGGCTGTTTTTTTCTTCTGATACTACGATGACTTAGACTCTAATATGTTTGTATTAATAGCATCTCACATTTGATGTCCAAAGATGATGTCCATATTAGTGTCTACTTTTAGCCATATGCTCCTTCTTTCTAGTTTTACCTTCTTTTATTTTACAAAATTTCTTCAACTCCCTGTGTTTGTCCTGTTCCCCTTCCTATGCTTTTTTTAGGACAGGGTCCTCACAGCCAATATTCTACCTTATTTAGCCTCTTTAGGACTGAAGGAGTTCTTGCTTCCCTAGGTTAAGTCCCTTGAAGAAAGCCTTTAAAAAGGTGTAGTCGATGAACTCTTTCTACAGCCTAAGTAGTGTAATGCATTATTGACTCTTTCCAGATATAAGGTCCCCTCCGCTGCCAGCATTAATGAAGAAACTTTCCCTAGTTCACAAGTGTTAACAGGCCTCCAGTCTTACTCAACTTCTTCCTGGAGTGGTTTACTCCCTCAGGAAACGTGATTGTCTCAACTGTATCTCAAGTTGGGAGGTGATTTCTGTTCCAGAAACTCAAAAAGAGTGGAAGTTTATTTGTAAAATGATTATGGCAGTTTGGACTTTGTTAAGTGCTCATGTCATTGGACAATGAGATTTGTGTTTGTCACACCACATCTTGATGTTTTCTATTATAATGTTAAATGCAGAATGTTAAAACTTAATTTGGGACCAGGCGCAGTGGCTCACGCCTGTAATCCCAGCATATTGGAAGGCTGAGGCGGGTGGATCACGAGGTCAGGAGATCGAGACCATCCTGTCTAACACAGTGAAACCCCGTCTCTACTAAAATACAAATAATTAGCTGGGCGTGGTGGCGGGCGGCCTGTAGTTCCAGCTACTTGGGAGGCTGAGGCAGGAGAATTGCATGAACCAGGGAGGCAGAGGCTGCAGTGAGCCCAGATCGCGCCACTGAACTCCAGTCTGGATGACAGAGCTAGACTCCAGCTCAAAAAAAAAAAAAAAAAACACCTTTATTTTGAAAGACTAAACCATTATGTGTATCCAATTCTTATTCAGAAGTCCAATATATAAAATAGACAAAAGCAAAGTAGCTCAACTGAGAGCAGGGGAAGGTCTGAGAGCTGGCACATTGGATACCCTCTTTAGCACTGCTAAGTCCCCAGAATCCACTGAAGGACCTTAGGTTGAAACAACACTACTTGACTCCGAGTTAGGGCAACATGGTTGACAACAGAAACTCAAGACCCTTTGTCTTAGTCTGTTCAAGCTGCCATAACAAAATACCATAGACTGGTGTCTTGTAAACAATAGATATTTATTTCTGATAGTTCTAGAGACTAGAAGTCCAAGATCAAGGTGCCAACCTATTTGATGTCTGGTGAGGGCCTATGCTTTGGTTCATCGATGGTGTCTTCTTGCTGTGTCTTCACATGGTAGAAGGAATGAGGGAACTCTCTCTGGTCTTTTTTATAAGGGCACTAATTTCATTCATGAGGGCTCCACCTTCAAAATGCAATCATCTCCCAAAGGCCCCTCCTCCAAATATCATCACTTTGGGGATTAGGATTTTGTGATGGTTAATACTGAGTGTTACTTGATTGGATTGAAGGATACAAAGTATTGATAGTGGGTGTGTCTATGAGGGTGTTGCTAAAGGAGATTAACATTTCAGTCAGTGGGCTGGGAAAGGCAGACCCACCCTTAATCTGGGTGGGTACAATCTAATCAGCTGCCAGATCGGCTTGAATATAAGCAGGCAGAAAAAAGTGAAAAGAGAGACTGGCCTAGCCTCCCAGCCTACATCTTTCTCCCATGCTGTAAGCTTCCTGCCCTCGAACATCGGACTCCAGGTTCTTCAGTTTTGGAACTCAGACTGGCTCTCCTTGCTCCTCAGCCTGCCGACAACATATTGTGGGACCTGGTGATCCATCGTGTGAGTTAACACTGAATAAATTCCCCTTTATATACATATTTATTCTATTAGTTCTGTCCCTCTAGAGAACCCTGACTAATACAGGATTTCAACATATAAATTTTAGGAGAATGCAAACATTTAGACCATAACACCCTCCTGCAATAAACACTTAGACATTGTCAACAAAATGGTGCAAACTTTTACAGGCATAGCCCCGCTAGTCATAACAAAAGAGAAATCTGCTAGTGCTATGAGTCAAAATAGAACTATAAATGAGAGTAGAAATGCATGAGCTAATACTGCTGCTGGGGTAAGGGTGGCCCTTAAACTAGGGACTAGGGTGTTTAACACATATTCAGAAACAGAAGACATGACCTTGGGCTCACCAGAGGTCTACCTGAGAATTGTAAAATCCATTAAAGAGGCACTTTCTCATGGAAGGAAAGGAGTATATAAAACCACCTCTCACCATAAAATGAATTCAAGAAAACATGTCCAACTCTCTCTAGTCTCTGGTTGGAAAAAAAATCCTCCAAGAATCTGTGAAATTAAAATCATAATCCTGTTTCACTTTTGGGAGTCAGGTTTGAATTTAAATTTCCTTTATGGTTTGTGAAGCCACAAGCTTTTCTATTAACATACAAATGATCCCAGGTCTGTGGTCCCCTTTGGGCACCTGGAGAATTCCAACACAGTTACTCTCTGGAGAGATATACCCTCACCTCAGGCTGCACAGGAAGATGAGCTTACTACCCCAAAGCACAAAACATAAAAGAAAATGATCCACCATGAGTAAGAGGGAACAGATGTAAGAAACAGCTGATAAAAATCTGCTACCATTTCAATTAATGGAACCATATGATATAAACTACAAAATCAGTATATTTTTAGAAAAAAACAAAGACACAAAGATGCATTAAAACCATAAGAAATGACTAAAATACATTGAAATATATCAGGTAGATAAAAATGAAAATTAAAATAGTCATCTGATAAAAAATACTTACAGCATGGAAATAGCACTTTAGATACAACCAAGGAGGGAATGGGTTGAGTAGGGCATTGGGTCCCTTATTTGAAAACTATGGACCAAGCCCTATTCTGCTGTTTCTTTTTCTCCCCTGTACTTGCAACTAGGCTGGGCCAAGGAGAACTAGATTAGAACAAGCACTACTTCCTGAGTACATCCCTATACGGCTGCTCTAAATCATTCATTTAGCAGAACGACCTTCAAATTCTTTGATGTTAGAAATCTTCTGTAACTTTTCTGCAGAAACAAATGATCACCTGTTAATTGACTCTGGGATGGTAAAATCTGTCAAATATCACAAAAGATCTGATCTTCTAGTCTAACATTTCAGACTTTGGAACATAACATCTTGTTTATGGCCTGGTATGTAACTTCTTTTAGGGACAGAGAATGCATTAATATATGGATGGAGAAATGCAATTGAGAGCAAAATTCCCATTTTAGGGTAGAAATCTAACTCACACAAAAACTGCTAAATCTATCAACCTACACGTTTTCCTGAAAGCTAACAGCTTCCTAAACCGACAGAATAGCAAATACTCCAAATACTCTGCATTATTTCATTTAAACTTAACAGAAATCTTAAGATTTGGATATCATTTTATTTTTGAAAGTTACAGATAAGAAAAATGAGGCCTGTAGAAGCATTTTATCCACACATAAGCAGATCTCAGGTTTTGTCTTGTTTTGTTTTGTTTTGTTTTTTGAGATAGCATCTTGATCTGTCGCTCAGGCTGGAGTGCAGTGGCTTGATCCTGGCTCACTGCAACCTCCACCTCCTGAGTTCAAGCAATTCTCCTGCCTCAGCTTCCTGAGTAGCTAGGATTACAGATGCCCACAACCAGGCCCAGCTAATTTTTGTATTTTTAGTAGAGACGGGATTTCACCATGTTGTCCAGGCTCGTCTCAAACTCCTGACCTCGTGATCCGCCCACCTCGGCCTCCCAAAGTTCCCAGTTTTTTTTTTTTTTTTTTTTTTTTTTGAGACGGAGTCTTGCTCTGTCACCCAGGCTGGAGTGCAGTGGCGGGATCTCTGCTCACTGCAGGCTCCGTCCCCCAGGTTTACCCCATTCTCCTGCCTCAGCCTCCCGATTAGCTGGGACTACAGGCACCCGCCACCTCGCCTGGCTAATTTTTTTGTATTTTTAGTAGAGACGGGGTTTCACCGTGTTAGCCAGGATGGTCTCGATCTCCTGACCTTGTGATCTGCCCGCCTCGGCCTCCCAAAGTGCTGGGATTACAAGCGTGAGCCACCGCGCCCGGCCTGATCCCAGTTTTTAGCACCAAAGCTCATGGACTCTATCTCTGTACTCCACCATATTCCTTTCCTTGAATTCTGAATCATAATTAACCAAGTTTAACATTGAAATTCTGAGCACCCATGCTGGAGTTATAAGACCACCTGCCAAATGCATTTGAATGTTTCGTTTCTTCGTTTTGTTTTATTTTTTTTCCCCCTAATCTAGCAATAAAGAAACTAACAGCAAAATTCAAACCTACTACCCCCTGCTAGGGTCAGCTGTTCTGTGAAAACATGGCTGCTGAAAACTCTCACTTCAAATTTCACCCTAGGTTCAACGTATGGCCAAAATGTGAGTCTCTCCTCAGGCTCCTCTGGGGCCTCTTCAGCTACACAGAGCAGTGGTTATGTGTGAGGACATTAAGAGTTCATCACTGAGAAAGAGACAGTGGGACAAGAAGGACACAGAGGTTATAGAAAGCAACTCCTGTGTTGTGGTAGGTGTAAAAGTAAACGGCAGAGGGCCGGTCATGGTGGCTCACACCTCTAATCCCAGCACTTTGGGAGGTCAAGGCAGGTGAATCACTGGAGGTCAAGAGTTTAAACCCTGTCTGGCCAACATGGCAAAACCCCGACTCTACTAAAAATACAAAAATTAGCTGGGTGTGGTGATGGACACCTGTAGGCCCAGCTACTTGGGAAGCTGAGGCAGGAGAATCACTTGAACCTGGGAGGCAGAAGTTGCAATGAGCCAAGATCATATCACTGCACTCCAGCCTGGGTGACAGATTGAGACTCCATCTCAAAAAAAAAAAAAAAAAATGGCAGAAAGGAAACAGGAAATATCCTGTCAGATGGACCTTGGTGGAAAGGACACAGGTGCAGAAAGGGCTCCACTGAAGGGGCAATAATAAAAACTAACTTTAAGAAGTACTTAAAAATCTGTCTCTCTACAGCAAAGCTTTTTCCAGGTCTCTATTCTCATTCTAACATTTTTCTAGGACCAATGGAAGGAAGAACAAAATTATCCATATATTAATATTTACAACTCTCTAGGCTTCCAGGTGTTTTTGTTGTTTTTGGGTTTTTATTATTATTATCAATTTAACCTCGAGAATCACTACATATTCTTTTAGCTACTATTTCTGATCCCTTTGCACATGGCTGGTACAGAGCTGTGTTCTTTAGATGTGTTACTGCCTGTAAATACAAAAATTCCACAAGATCATGATTATTGTCTCTCTTTTATAGACAAGGGAAGTGAAGCCAAAAGAGATTTCACTTGTTAAGTAGAAGAACCAGGATTTGAAATCAGGTTCTTCATTTTCTATGGCTTTGCTCTTACCGGCCATGATATACCACCTGCCCTTAGCAACAGGTGTCAAGGAACCAGAACAAAGAGGGTACTATGGGAAATTCTTTTGAGAAATCCTGGGTTAATATAATTAAACTACCTGACATGATAATATGCATAGGAAATCTCCCACAGGAGTAGAGAATATGGTGTATTTCCCATATTTGTTTGATCATGGGGTCTTTTTTATAGCATATCTTGTAAGATAACTGTTCTATAAAGCACACATTGGGAAATGCTTTCGTAGGCTGATGTCTCACTGGAGCAAATCCTACTTAATTATTATAACCAATATGTAGGGTCCCAGAGTGGACAGAATCAGGTAATCAGCCCCCTTATAGAGTACTGCTTTGGCTAAGCTTCTTTCTGTATGCATATGCTCTGAGTTTTGGTGAACGTCTGGAAGAAACCTGTCTTCGTATAATTCCATTTTGTGTGGGGAAGGTTAATGGTGCCCAGAGTTTTTTCTCCTAGAAATTTTGTGATTCTCTTTTTCACTTTTTTTTCCCTAAAACACCATAGAGACTTCTTTTTCCTGCCAGTGGCTTTTAACAGAGGCACTTAATTGGTATTTTTGAGGCCTTTCCTTGAACTCAACTTTCAAAACAAAACTGTGTTAAAGTTACCAAAAATTAAAGTGAAACAACACTTGACTTTATACCTTTTGACAAAATGAGAAAGAAACACTGCCAAGTTTCTCACAAGTGGCCAGTCATTTCTAAAGCAGTTTCCCCCACCTGGACCAAGCATACTACTGATATTCACAACTTGCTTCTCTACACGTTCCCCTCAACTTGCTGGCAATAATCGCAGTGTAGATAACTGATAATTAAATAAAATGGGATAAATATTGAACATGGAAAAATGGAGAAATGTTCTCTAACAGATGAAGGAAGGAAGAGACTTGAGATATTAAAAGGGAAGTGAGGGTGGGGTGTTCTGTCTTTGTATAATATCAGAACTAGGAAACAGCCTGTGAGATGTTTCTGCTCTTTAGTGGTCATTTTAATACCATGTTTATGAACAATAGGAAAGAAAGAAGAATTCTAGTTGTTCTTCTCTTTGAGTCTTCAGAGTTCTTACATATAATACCGTCATTCTTGGACCCTGGAATCATAAAATGTATGAGTAAAAGTGACCCTGGAAGTCATCCAATCCAATGACTTAAAACACCGTGTTCCATGCAGTCAGAGGACAGATGCAAAGGAACCTCTGGGGTTAAGGGCTCCGGGTCCCATCTTTCACTTCAGGGAGAGCAGCTCCATGTTCTTCCTGGGGGAAAAATAAAAAAAAATTGTATTAAGCTGGGTCTTCTAGTCAACATGGCATTTGGAGTTCATGCTATTGCCTCTGTGATCTGCATCTAAGACCTGAAATGTCAAAAATACGGTTTTAATTGAGTAAGCACAGCAACACGTTCAGAATAGAGAATAGGAAGAATCTAAGAGAGGCCAAGAGGAGGTGGCATTTGATTAAAGGAAGGAGAAGCTCCAGAGACTTGAAACTATGGATAACAGCAGTGAAGGGCCTAGAGGCAACACCATGGGCATTTCCTACCACTGGATGGGAATGACAAGCACACAAGGGGCAGAAGGGTATTGATGGGGCTGAGAGGTGGCCAGGGTCTGTGAGCCATCCCCACTTCAAGCTTTTAGTAACAAGGAGTTATAAATAGAGGGACCATTTCCAGGTAGGAGACAAGGCAGAACCCGAGTGACCAGAAATCTTGAGAGATCAGTGGGAAAAATCCTTCTCTTCCTGCTACATTCCACCCATTCCTTAATCCTACTGAAAACAGTGAGGGAAAGACTTCAGTAGAAGCTTCTACCCTTTAAAAAGTTAGCTCACGGTCTTGAAGTTAAGGTCAACTATAAACATAAGCTATGGACAAGAATTACAAGATATGTGAGAACTAGCACAATGAAAGGGAGAGAACGAAGAGGGAAAATGCGGACAGAAAATGCAGACAAGAAATTTAGAATAAGCATAATTAACATTATCAACAAAATAGGTAAGTAGAGCTTCTACGAAACAAAATTAAGAGGTTGTGTAAAAGAAGAAGCAGGAGGTCTTAGTAATGAAATTGACATGGTTATATAATGAAAAGAATAACAGGAACCAGAGAAGAGATAGACTGAATAGCAGAATGGACAGAGTCAAGGAGAAACTGGTGATCTGGAAGAGTAAAAATCTCTCAGAATGAATTTCTGTAACATGAGATGCACCCCCAGATCCCCTTCAAGGAAAAAACTCACTGTCCAGCTGCTGGACTGTGCTTAGCTGCCAGTCTTCAGCTAGTAGCATCGTAAGCATCCACCCCAGCTTTTGAGTCAAGATCATGCTACTCTCAGGGCAGCCTCTAGCCAGTGACTGAGCAAGACAGTGGGAAGCTGGGGATTCTCTCATGGGTGACCTTGACAGATCCCTGACAGGCTATCAGGGACTGCCAGGTAAAAATAGTATGCTGACAGCTCCCTCACCCACCCAATCCTGCCGCTCCCTTTTAATTTCAAAGGTGTTATTCACCATTCAAACTTTTCAACTTTGCCACAGCATCCTATTCTTGGAAATCCAAAGCTACCACAGCATCTGAAAGGTATAGGAAGATTGAAAGCACAAACAAGAACCCAAGAAACATGGGGCAAACAAGGACTCACAGGTATTGGGGGAATAATGTCCCAAGTCCACAACTTAATCCCTGGAACGTGTGACTATGTCACAAAATAAATGTAAAATAAGAATGCTATATGCAACTAAATTATAACTTGAATATGAGATAAATAATGATACTTATGGGCAGACAAGAACTTAAAAAATCAGTAGCAAAAATATTTCTAATGCAAGATTAAAGAATATACCAGAGGTTAAGTATTCCTTATCCAAAATACTTGGAAAAATAAGTGTTTCAGATTGTGTATTTTTTTAGATTTTGGAATATTTGCACATACTTACCAGTTGAGCATCCCCAATTTGAAAATAAAAAATATCAAAATGTTCTGATGGCATTTCTTTGAGTGTCATGTAAGCACTGAAAAAGTTTCTGTTCTGAAACATTTTGTATTTTGGCTCTTTCGGTTAAAGATACTCCACATGTATAAGAATAATGAATACAAAAGGAAGTAATGATAGGCAATAAGTAATTGCGAGTAAAGAAAATACCACATTGGTGTCTAGATTAGACATACATATGTACTTTTTTCTCTATAACAATCTGGAATTCAAATTCCAATGCTTCCAATCAGGTGATGGGAGTCAGAGAAGAAAGCATAACTGATTTCTCTGTCTTTAATAGATAACTGGTTAACCTTAGTTGTTGCTAGAAAAAAATAAATTAATAGAATGTTTGATAACAATTGTGGGAAACTCCTTAAATAATAGAAACCAAATAAGTAACTTTCAGACTAGAATAGGAAAAAATGGAAACCAAAACTTTATCAATTTAAGAGAAACAGGAAAGTGATAATTAAAAAAAGAAGGTAGGTAAACAAAAAAATTAATAACAAAGACAGTCAGTAATATGTTACTTACAAGAACTATTTATTTCAAAATAAGGAAGAAAAACATATATTTGAACATATAAACCAAAAGAAAGCTTGAATAGCAATATTTATATCAAATAAACTGAAATTTAGGGCAAAAAGTTTTATTATAATGGAGAAAAGAAAATATTTCATGGTAATAATCCTAGCAATATACAAAGAAAATGAATCATTTATGATTTTGTCTCCTCTAATTATATAAAGTCCAAATGTTTCAGCAAATTCCAAATAACTATGCATTATACTGATTATATTATCTTATCAAATAATTAAATTGGAAATGAAATAAGAAGCTCAGTAAAATTTCAATATTGTAGACTAAAAATTGTTATTAAAAATATTTTTATTGTTTTAAAATTTTGAAAACCCATTAGCTGATTCTATTTTACAAGTTGGGGTAAAGGAGAACTTACAGACACAAAAATCAGGTGATCAAGCCCAAACAATGCAGGAAAACTAAGGCACTGGAAATCCTTGTCAACAGAATCCAACTGGAGAAAAAATATATTTTTAATATAAATTGTATAAATATAAACCATAAATGAAATTAAATAAGTAAATTAAGCCCAAACTGAGAAGATTCAGCCTCTGCTACCAATGCTGTGTTTTTAGTATGGTATAAGGCCCTTTGATTTTAAAGTGAGTGTCAAAAAGGCTGGGAGAAGTTTAAACCCTGGGGTGGAGAGTGGTGAAACCAGAATTCCGATAATGCTGGATAATAGGGAATAACTATGACACTGGAGTATATATTTAAGTTTGAGGATCATTTTAACTGCAATGTACCAAAATAAGACTTTTTTTTTCTTGTCAGGCTTCTTGGTAAATTTTTATTCTTAATTTTTTTTCCTTCATGAGCACCATTTTTTTCCATATGAGACTCAAAGTTAGAAAGCAGTGGGGTTAACGTGATCATTAGTGCCATATGTTCTAAGGGGAAAAATAAATAAAGGATACCCAAAGTAACTGTCCATCAATGGGGAGTCACTGCTATCTGGGAGAGACGGCAACACCAGAAAGGAGAAAGGGGCACAAGCACACCTGCAGAGTTAAAGGAAGTAAGTGGAGAGGGTGCAGAGGCAAAATGCTACGTTTCCTGTGGAAAATGTCAGTCCCATCTGCTTTTGAAGGATGATGGAGAAGACATAATTGGTAGAATGGTTTACATTGGAAGCCTCTGAAGATGGAAGGTTGTAGACTGGCCTGGGGAGAGGGTAAGGGGCATAAGAGAGAACCATGTGTGGAAATTAACAGCAATGTTGCCATGATGATTGCTGATTGATGACAAGAGAACCTGATTGTAGAATCAAGAGGGCAAAGTAACTGTGAATACCCAATACGTATAGAATCATTGTCACTACCATGATCAACTCTGATACTGATATCTTTGAGGACAATTGAGGAGCATGGTAACCCGTAAGTTGCTCCTGATGTCCTACAGAAGAATAATTGAGAGGGAACATCGCACATGTGCATGCGTGTGTATGTGCACACACACACACACAGTTTGCTAAGGCTGTATTTTGAATTTCTGTAAGTGAATACATGAAAAACACTCTCCAACACCCATGCCTTCCTGCTGTCTTGGGAAAAAAATAGAAGAGACATATGGTTTAGGGTTGCATATATATTTCATTTGTAAAAGAGAAGCCCAATAACCTGGGTACATGAAGCAAAGATAAGCTGAAGGCAGGCAGGTGGAAAAAAGACTGTGTGACGCTCTGGGAAAAGTGTGTTTTAATGAGATAATATTGAATTGAACTTATGAAGTCTAATGGGCTAGTCTTGTTGCTTCCACTAGCTATGGCAAGTCAATTATTCCTTCTTAACTCAGTGTCCTTGAAATATAAGAGACTGGACTGATCTCTGAGGTCCCTCAAAGTTCTTTCTGCTTCCAGTACAACTGCTTAATGAATTGTATATCTTTGGACCCATTTGAACTCATTACCCAACCATTCTGAACCTCAGGTTTTATGGTTACACACACAGAGAAGTACACATTGCACACACACACACACATACACACTTTATTTTGGTTCTATCTGAAATCAATATCTTAGGAAGATGTCATATACATTAATCACTTAAAGAGGGCATTATATGACAGGCATTGTGTTAAGAACTTTACCTATATATTTGTGCATTTTGCTGTTGTTATTCTGACAACCCTGGGAGACCTTTAAGGATTGATACTGCTATCTTCCTTTTTAAGGGTGGAAAACTAAAGCTCAATGCCATCTGCTGTGTGGGGCAGATCCAGAATTCAAAACTGGCCCTGGCTGGCTCCAAAATCCATCCTATAAATCACCTGCTTTGTTAGTCTGTTAGGTCACAAAATGTGATGAAATGTAATTCCTTTTGTTGAGATATATTTCAGCCCTAACTAAAGACAATTCAGACTCAGGTATTTCCCTTACTCAATTGTACAACCCACTGTGGTTGTGTCTCAGTGAAGATGAATGGAAAAAGACATATGGAAGCCCTTATGGAAACATTTATCTGACAATCCAGTTTGACGTATGTTTTACATACACATGTAATAAATGTATCCCTTCCTTTTAAACCAGAATATCTATTGAGAATGTCATTAGTGCAATCATTGGGCTAAATTATAATTGTACCAAATGGGCTCAAATTTATATGGATACACACATTCAGCAATTTCATGGAAAATTGCTTCCAAAATTACATCTCTAGAAGGGACCTCCATTAATAATGCTCCTTGAGGCCACATAAATTCCTTTAGGATCTTTTGCTTTATGCAATTAGATGCACTGGAAAGCATCCGACTTCTTAAAGGTAGACTTAGTTAATGAAAACATAGTGGGATTTTAAAAATAATGACTGTAAGATTGCCATGGACACAGTAGATGCTCCCACAACCAAAGAAAGATGGGTCTCCAGTGAGAATTTGACCCACATCTACACAATTATGATAAGGATAATGATAATAAACATTTAAAGAGTGCTGTGCTGTTTACCAAATGTATCTAATTCCATAAACTCTTGTAATCTTCAGAGCAACTGAGAGGTGAATGGGAACAGATCTTTATCCCTTCCTTTGTATCAGTGATGAAACCAAGTCTCAGAGAATTATTGATCTGATCAAAGAAATGGCTACTGCATAGTATAGTTGGGAATTAAACTTTCTTAATTCTAGAGGAAAAGAAATGTAATTTTTTGATATTTATTGTGGACCAGGAACTGGCTTAGAATTGTCCATATCATTTCATTATATCACTGATGGGCTTTTGCTATGAGATGAGAGAGAGAGAGTAGGTGAGAACAAGAGAGAGAAAAAGAGCTATTCAAGGTCACCCATTTATTTTCTAACAAATGTTTATTGAGTTGTCATGAGGTATTCTTGGTTCACTAAAAACAATGATGGACAAGATGAACAAGTGTTAGTAAATTTATGGGTCAGAAATTAAACCTAGGTTCACATGAACATAAAATCCTTTTGTCCCCCTCACTCACCCACAGAGATTTCTACTATCTCCCTTCATCTTTTTAACTAAAAGTACAAATCATCCTGTGAAAGACCACAAATAGATATTTGCATTTCTGCAGCCAGACTAGAAGACCAAAATCCATCAAAATCCAGAATGATGGCAAATAGTGGTGGAATTTGAAGCCGACTTGCAGGAATCAGGGAATAAAATTTGAGTTGAGTACCTTGTCTGCTGTTTCAAGCTGATGACCTTCTCCTTTTCAAGAAACCAGACTTCTGCCTTCTTTCTTCCTCTGGTATTAGGTACAAATCCATAATGACTGATTCTTTCTCAGTTCAAGTGATCAATAAATGCAACAAGGATGGAGGAGGAACATGGCTTTCTAGAAAGAACTAGGTAGAAATCAGTTGTGGTTGGACTTTTTGAAAGTCTCCTTGAACTTCCCTCATGACAATGTGTCTTTTCCGGTCAGAGCTCTAAGAATCTTAAGGTATCATTAGTAACAGAATTCAAGAAACTTCAGGGTAAAAAAAGTGTCTTGTGTATTTCTGCCTCATTGACTCTCCATCTCGTTTCCATTCTCATCTGAAAAACATATCTTTTTCTCTCCTGACCGCATCTGCTAATTGCCCTCTCCCACGGCTATTATTTAACTGTAATATACATGAGATCACTTTAACAAGGGTATTTAACTTCATGGGGTTGTAGAGATGTTGTTTTTAATAGTCTTAGGTTGAAAATGTAAGTGACTGAGTTTCTTAACTGAGAAGGGGCCTTATGAAAGTCCTGTCAATATTTTAGCTAGGAAAGAATTTCCTAGGCTTTTAAACCCATACCCCCAACAGTCCCCTCACCCCAGATTGGTTTAGCTTTAGATTTGTAGTTTATATTATAAAAATAAAAAAAGTATTATTTTAATTTCCAAATATGCATTTGTATTATTTGTGATGCCTTTCCAAATCACATGACATTTTCCTGTCCTGGCATCACCCCAAAGACTCTGTCATGACACGTTCTCCACCCAGTTTCAAATATTAGCTTTATCACTTTGAATCTATGTGAACCTTATAATGCTACTCAAATATTTGAAGTCTTAGCTTTCTCATCTTCAACATGGGAATGATATGCTCATCTCAAGTGTTCTCCCAGAATTAAATGGTATTCTTTCTATGAAACTCCTGGTATAATGGAAGAGTTTAATCCATGTTAGCTATTAGTGAGTGAAGGAGAATGTGTAACTCTTGACTAACTTAAAATCAGAGAAGTTCTTATTACACTAGAATGCTGGCTCCATGAACAATAAGACATTGCTTGATGCTCTACCCCAGCACCTAGAATTGTGCCTGGCCCACAATAGCTATCCAATTATCTGTGAGTGGATAAATATCATTTACCATTACACAGTTACTTTACAATTTGCAGAGCACTTGCAAACCTATGATCTCATTTGGTTCCCTCAACATTGTTGCACACAAATATGTCAGAAACACCTGACTGGACCAGCAAAAAAAAAAATATGATTCACCATTAATCCTGTTTCTTTGGAATTTTTCCTGGAGACCCATGGTAGAGTCCAGATCACCTTTGATGCTTCCCTTCTTTTCAACATACAGAACCAGTACCCAATCCTCAAAGTTGTGCCTCCTAGCTTTTTTGAAACTATTCCTCCTGCCATAAGTCAAGTGGTCGGTATTCTTTACCTGAACTGATATAGCAAACTTGTCTGACTGTCTTTCAGATGCCACTGCTACTCCTTCACTTGCTCATTCTGCAAAAGTTTGTAGATCTTCTGCAAGGAGAACGGCATTGTTAACTACCTACAGGAAGTGGTAAGCCAGATATGACCCTTGTACTTATACATCTTCCATTCTAGTGAATCTTGTTGGGATATTATGTTGACTTATTTCTGTTCCTTAGTGATCAACTCCTCCCAATTTCATACAGTATTACTTTACATACAGTTTTAAATCCTTCAGTCTCAGGTGTCCTTTGCCTCTCCAACCTTATCTTCTTCACAATCTATTGCGCTTTCTGCGATCAATCTTGACATATAACACTCAATGCCAAATCAAATTTCTGTTTTTTTAAAGCCAAGAACATGTTATGCTTTTTTGATACTCATGGAATTACTGTATTATCTATCTGGAATGTTCTGCTCAATTCATTTTTGCCACTATCAGAAGTGATTACAATGGTAATAGCTCTATTCTGAGGGATTTCTCTCTGAGAAGCACAATGCTAAGTACTATATATGGGCATACTTATATACACCCACACATAATTTCATCTCATGTAATTCTTAATAGACCATTTTATTTATGAGAACATGTAAAATTCAGGAAAATGGGAAATTAATTAACTTACCCAAGGTCATGCAGATAGCCAGTGACAGAATATCATTCCAAACCCTATTTGACTCCAAAGTCCATGTGTTTAACTGCTCTGCTCTATAACAAGTGGGCTTGTATCATCGTTCAAGGCTTAATCCAAGGACACTTCATTTCTGAAATCTTTTTTGACTTGCCTAGGCAAAGACAGCAGTGTTTTTCCTTTACATTTACCTTACATATATTTCTATGGTGGTGTATTTTGCATGTATCTTATATAAACATCTTCACTAGTTATTTGTACAGAAGTCTGTATCTGCTGTTGGCTTGCTTCAGGTTACTGATTCAGAGCTATTCTTCCCCACATTCCCTGGGCCTAGCACAGTAACCAGCCAATGATGGGTTTCCAATAAGTGAATGATGAATGAATGACCTGGCTGAAGCAGCACTTCCTGTTTGGAGCAGAGTGCCAATAAGGGAGAGCAAAGGGAAATAAGTGGGAGAGGTGGGTGGCAGCCGTTGATGAAGGCTCTGCCCACCAGGTCATCATGCATGAATTTGACCTGATTTGAGAAAAACCTGATCAAAAATTGCTTGCAATAGTGGAGGCAAAACACAAACACAAAAACAAAAACTCTGCTCAGTTCAGTTTACATTTTTCATCCAGTTGTTTTGGCATTGCACTGACACTTGAGCTATAGGTCGGAGCTAAGTTCACCTGGGTTTAATTGGAAAGTACATAGGCTTGTTTGGGGAATGCTCTAGGGAGCAGGTGAGCAAGAGACTTCTGCTATCAACTTGAAAAATAGCTGTATGAGAATTTTAAAAATCAACAAACCCCACTGTGTTCTTCAGCAACATGTCTTTCATTTTCTGTGGCTATGTCTGGTCTCTTTTTAGTTTAAGATGAAGAATGAAGATGACATGTATTGATTTGGTCTAACAACTGGTTTGGGAGTGATTTGAAAAACACATAGCCCATGAACAGTAGATTGATTATATTAATGGCCCCAATTCTTTGATCCTCAAATTCACACCCTTTGCGTGATAGCTTTGTGGTGTCTCTCACTCTGATTCTGAACCTAGTCACATGACTGGATAGGTAACCAGTTGTCCTGATTTTAGCACTGAAGATCCCACACCTTCGGAAGCCCCTTGGGCCCAGGGAAACCCTTCAGCTACACAAAAATCAGGATGGTTGGTCACTCCACTTGCCAGTGGGAGGTCAGGAGAAGTGACACAAGCAGAGACTAGCAACACACTTGTTAGGTAGGCTTGTCCCCGTTATTACACCTCTTCTATCACCATGAAAACATGTCCAGAATACCCTGCAGAATGCTAAGAAATACACGAAGGAGAGCCAAGTCATTCCAGTTGCCCCAGACCAAGACAGACTAGAAACGCTACCAATCCAAGGACTCTTAGACCTTGTGTGTAAGGAGATATATTAGTCATGGATCCAGGCCACAGAGAGGTGTAGGTATACAAATACAAGCAGAACAGTAAGTAGCCTTCACATACCTGAGAGCTATCGTTAGAAGAGAGCAGATTCATTTTGCCTATGTTCAATGAATAAAATTATGATCAGTATGTAGAATCTACAGGAAGATAAATGTAGATAAAATTAGATTTCTTTATGAGAAAGAATTTTCTAGCTATCACAGCTGCTGAAAGCTGTTCAAAGTTGGCTCCTTAGTGAAGTACTGAGCTAACTCACAGTGGAGACATTGATGCAGAGGCTGGAAAGTGAGCTGACACAGGTGCTGTAAAGTATTCAACTCAACTGGTGGGCTGAGCTCTGTGCTGGGCACAGGAATACAAAGATGAGCCTCTTGAAGAACTTACAGTAAAGATGGAGAAGTAAATGATGACCTTTCGTGATGATAAGTGCAAAGCAGTAGCTAACAACCTCACAGAAGTAGTTCCAGGGAAGGATTTTTTGTTTTAACGTGTGTGTGTGTGTGTGTGTGTGTGTGTGTGTGTGTGTGTGTGTATCTTTAGGGGGTAGAATTGTTGAGTGGGAAAACTTTTCCTAAGTGACAGGTAAGTTTGGTAAGTTTGACAGGTGAGTTTTGAAGAAAAAAATCTGTCAGAAGGATGAGGGCTAAATTGGGGCAGTGCAGATTTATTGGGCCTGGTGCAGAATGACAACTTGTGGTCCCTTGCAAAAAAATTATTAAAACTTACAAGACAGTGATAGCTTGTGGTGTGTCTCTATGGGTACAGTATGGATATGGATTTGCAGATGCTACTGTGGAAAAGGGCAACACAACAGAGGAGATGGTATGGTGGGTTTGTATTATGTCAATTTAGTTAAGCTGGTATCGACTTTCCAAGGACTCCCTACCCTGCATAATTCAGGAATACTGTGGGCCACAAGAGACATTTTATATGAGATTTGAAAAGAGGAAGGGAAACAGCAACTATATTCTGTTTAGACTTGGAAGGTCTGTGCAGGGTGCAAGAAGTTGCTGCAGATTACCCAAATTATTGCTTATTCCCAGTTTATCTTGTGGTATGGGGCAGCAGCAACCCTGTAACTCCTTCACTTCCCCTCAGATCTCTTCTGTAATCTTCTCAAGCTTCCCATAACAAAGAACACTAGCTTTTCCTGCAGATCACCTACATATCACATCAAATTTGCAGGCTTGAAGGCACTGAGAGCCTAACACGGGTTTCCCTTCATCCTTGTGGGTTCTACTTTGTCTTATCAGATTCTGGTTTGTCCTTTCTCTTCTTCACTTTATATCCATGTGTTCTTCCTCTCTTTCTCCTTCTCCTCCTCTCCTCCTCCTCCTTTTTCTTCTTCTTCTTCTGGCTGCCATGTAGACTCCAGCCCACATAAAGACTGTATAATTTGCTACACTATACTAAATATCAACTTGCTATATAACTTACTATACCTAATTCTATGTCACTCCTAGTGATTCTGTTTCTCTGATCGAACCCTGACTTGTAGTGAAAGGCTTATAAAGTGAGGTACACAAGAAGACATTTTAAGGAGGCAGTAAACATGTGGTTTAAAGCATGGGTTGTGAAGATGACATAACTTGAGTTTATAAACTCATTTCTTTATTGCTACTTTACCAGTTGTGTAATCTCAGTTTGTGTGATAGGCAGACTCCAAGGTAGCCCCCAGTGACTTCTGCCTCCTGATATTATTCCCTTGTGTATATCCTCCCATATCATAATGAGAGGTGACAGCAGGCTGGCAGCCCTCACAGCCCTCGCTCACCCTCGGCGCCTCCTCTGCCTGAGCTCCCACTTTGGCGGCACTTGAGGAGCCCTTCAGCCCGCCGCTGCACTGTGGGAGCCCCTTTCTGGGCTGGCCAAGGCTGGAACCGGCTCCCTCAGGTTGCAGGGAGGTGTGGAGGGAGAGGCGCGAGCGGGAACCGGGGCTGCGTGCCGTGCTTGCGGGACAGCTGGAGTTCCGGGTGGGCGTGGGCTTCGTGGGCCCCGCACTCGGAGCGGCCCGCCGGCCCTGCTGCCCCGGGCAATGAGGGGCTTAGCACCCGGGCCAGCGGCTGCAGAGGGTTTACTGGGTCCCCCAGCAGTGCCAGCCCACCGGCGCTGCACTGGATTTCTTGCCGGGCCTTAGCTGCCTTCCCGCGGGGCAGGCCTAGGGACTGCAGCCTGCCATGCCTGAGCCTTCCCCCACCTCCGTGGGGTCCTGTGCAGCCCGAGCCTGCCCGACGAGCACCGCCCCCTGCTCCACGGCACCCAGTCCCAGCCCTGGCAGGCAGCTCAACCTGCAGCCCCGGTGTGGGATCCACTGGGTGAAGCCAGCTGGGCTCCTGCGTCTGGTGGGGTCTTGGAGAACCTTTATGTCTAGCTCAGGGATTGTAAATACACCAATCGGCACTCTGTATCTAGCTCAAGGTTTGTAAACACACCAATCAGCACCCTGTGTCTAGTTCAGGGTTTGTGAGTACACCAATGGACACTCTGTATCTAGCTACTCTGGTGGGGCCGTGGAGAACCTTTGTGTCCATACTCTGTATCTAACTAATCTGGTGGGGAGGTGGAGAACCTCTGTGTCTAGCTCAGGGATTGTAAAGGCACCAATCAGCACCCTGTCAAAACAGACCACTCGGCTCTACCAATCAGCAGGATGTGGGTGGGGCCAGATAAGAGAGTAAAAGCAGGCTGCCGGAGCCAGCAGTGGCAACCCGCTGGGGTCCCCTTCCACACTGTGGAAGCTTTGTTCTTTCGCTCTTTGCAATAAATCTTGCTGCTGCTCACTGTTTGGGTCCACACTGCTTTTATGAGCTGTAACACTCACCGCAAAAGTCTGCAGCTTCACTCCTGAAGCCAGCGAGACTACGAGCCCACCGGGAGGAACGAACAACTCCAGATGCCCCGCCTTAAGAGCTGTAACACTCACTGTGAAGGTCTGCAGCTTCACTCCTGAGCCAGCGAGACCAGGAACCCACCAGAAGGAAGAAATTCCAAACACATCCGAACATTAGAAGGAACAAACTCCAGACGCGCCACCTTAAGAGCTGTAACACTCACCGCGAGGGTCCGTGGCTTCATTCTTGAGGTCAGTGAGACCAAGAACCCACCAATTCCGGACACAATAACAGAGATGGGGTATGTGATTAATAGAATAATGCACAATTGATGGTATGTCACTCCCAAAGCAATAAGAGACACTGCAGCTTCTGCCTCTTCCTCTCTTGATTTACTCATTCTAGGGAAACCAGTGGCCATTTTGTTAGGAGAAACCCACATGGTAGGATTAGCCTTTTACTAACAACCATGTGACTGAATCTCAGTCAATCCCCAGTCAAGCCTTCATATGACATCAGTTCTGAGCAATATCTTGTTTGCAAACCTATGAGAGACTTTAAGCCAGAAACACCCACCTAAGACACTCCCAGGCTCATGACCCTTAGAAACTGAGCGAGATGATGTATATATTGCTTTAGGCTGCTAAATTTGTTATATAGCAATCAATAACAAATAACCAATAAAATAACCAATATGTAAACAAGCAATAAAGTAAACAATCAATTTTCTCACAAGTAAAATGAAGATGACCATAGTACCCACTTATTGGATTATTTTTAAGAATAAGAGAAAAAACATATATAAAGCATGTAGCCACTGTATTTGGCATGTGGTAGCTGCAAGGGTGAATGTTGCTCTTGCTGCTTTGCTGTTAGAATTATTACTATTGTTATTACTATATCTTCTTTAAAACTTGGCTTCTATGATTGTTTCACTTCAGACTACAACAGGAGAAGCCTTGAGTAAGTAATATTTATATTGAGTCTGAAAACCTACTCTGTCATAAATTTACAGTGTCTGCCATCAGAAAATCAGTGGGTGTGAGTGTGGGGTAGATATGGAGACAACCCCATATGTAAGCCTTGTTAATGTTGTTTTTTTTTTTAAATACATGGAGGGGCCCACACAGACTTCACCCCAAAGAAAGTATCCTAATCTTGGATTAGGATAGTAGCTGAATCAGTTCATGTTGGAACTCCAATGTCCCAAGGGCTGGAGAATATTAAAGGTTGAGAATTAAAATCTGTCATCTGCCTGCTTGGAAAATTAACCCAGTTGGTGATGGAGAATTACTGGAAAGTTATAAGAAACATAGACACCTACCCAGAACTTCATGGTGCAAACAAAATTGAATGGCATTTAACATATCTAATTGTTAATGAAATGGGGTATTGTAGAGCATTAATATCTGCCCTTCAGCAGTGGCTGCTTGCTTTCACTGGCAGTATTTGTATCTGAATAATAAAACATTGGCGCTTGAAGGGTTTTTCTAGATGAGCTCAGCCTTCTTTTACAAATAAAGAAATAGGCTTGGAAATATACATATAAATGATAGTGGTGAATCTCTATCTTGTTCTCTCCTGAAGGGGGTTAAATGAGGGGTTGGGAGAAAGTGGTCTTTCTTTGGTTTCCTAAATAGTATCATTTAGTAATTCTGAGAATAGATATTGAAATCACACAGGGCTGCATCAAATTGCACCTTTCTTCTTTGTTAACTGCAAGATTCTGGATGAGCTAACTTGGTATTGAATAACTTGCTAACTTTTTTTAAGCCTCAGTTTTCTCATCTGCAAAATAGAACTAGTAATAATACATATGTCATAATGATATTATGAAGATTCAGAATATGCTTGGCCCATGGGAGGTGCCCTACAAATTTCAGGTTCTAATATTTTATATGCAATTCCTCAATGTTATGGCCTGTATATAAGAAAGAAATGGAATGCATAAATATTGTTGGGAGTATTCATTTGAATTTTGAGCTTTACTTAAAACACATTTAGCATTTTTCAGGGAATCCAGTCAGATTGCAAGATTTAAAAGTGATGACATTTTGTACAGCAAACATCACCTTCTGGTTTTGCAGTCTCTGAAGGCCAGACCACTTTGATGACTTTCTTCAGGTTGGTTTTATACAGTAAAAGAAGGTAAGTCCAGGGGCTTCTTAGGAGGAGAGGGATATCCATCAAGAGATATCAAAGACCACCTCTCCCATAATTGTAAATCACATTCCCTGATTTACAATGGTTCAACTTATGATGTTTTGATTCATGATTTGGTTTTCTGGGTATAATCCCATTGTAAGTCAAGGTGCATCTGTATAAGGAATATTATTTACATGAGATCACTGTACTCACCAGACAAGGAATAGGCATTACTCTTTCCATTCTACATTTGAGAAAATTAAAACTCAAAGTATTTGACTTCCCTACAGTTCCATAATTAATGCATAGTGGATCCAAGACTTGGGCTTTGGACCTATAACATGGACTCAGAGTGTTATTCTGGGCACTTGATCCTCAACAATATGTCTCCCACCTTCTTTACTTTGCTGTTTGCCCTCTAGGGATAAGTCTTCCTGAAGAGCTTGAGAGTTTACATCCTACTATTGTGACTCCATTCATGCTCTTGCTCTTTGAGAAATAGCTAAAACCCAAGCCTCTTCAGGTTGTCAAGACCAGGGAGGCAATAGGCAGAATCACAGAAGGCAGTCAGAGCATGAATAGTTTTCTTAGTGATGTTCCAGAGAAGTAGCATAGAAGAAAGAGATGGAAGCTGGATCATCGGCAAAATTTAAGTCACTGGAAGAATTAGTAAGAAAAACCTTGGGCTCAATGCAAATAAATGGAGTCCTGAACAGTTTGCTGAAGCAAAGACTTTAAAACTGGGACACAAACAAGGTGAAATTACAAAATAGGACTTGGGAATAGGAACAATACAGCTAATGGTCCAAAGCAGGACAAGCCATTGATTGTTTAGAAACCATTGTTGTTAGCTACTTATCTGGAAGAAAAGATTCAATCTCACATTATTGAGGGAATAATATATAAACACAGTTCCTGAGTTACAATGGTTCAACTTATAATGTTTTGATTCATGATTGCTTTTTTCTGGATATAATCCCATTGCAAATCAAGGTGCATCTGTATAAGGAATATTATTTACAGGAGGTCATTTTGTTGTAGGACTTTCTCCTTAGTTCAGCTAAAAATGGGGTCCTTGTCACACAACCATGAAAAATTAGGCTTGCAGACACTTTGAAGGGTGAGAAAAATGAAATTTATTGGGTAAAAAGGAAAAAAAATTCAGCAAAGTGAGAGAGGTTCCTGTTAACAGGCCCTCATCTCACAGATTGAATTCCAGGTAACCACCCCAGAACAGGAGAGACCAGGCCACACCCTTACAAAGAGCGTGAACTTCCCGAGCCTCCACCCCATTCTCCCAGTGCGCAGGCCAGTCAGAGGTTCTCTGAGGACCTCTTTATACTTGGCTGTCTCGGCTTTACTCACCAGATGAGGAATAGGCATTACTCTTTCCATTCTACAATTGAGAAAATTAAAACTCAAAGTATTTGACTTCCCTACAGTTCCATAATTAATAAGTAGTAAATCCAAGACTTGGACCTTGAACCTATATCTGTATAAGTACAAAAAAATAGGTGTGCAACTAGGATTACAGATAGGAATCAAATGGCTCTAATTTGATATCTGTGTCTATTAGTGGTGGGGATACGTTGAATGGCCAGGGTGGTCATTTTAAAGCAGGATAACAGACCTATCTTTAAATGGAAAATGAGAACATGACCCTTCTTTAGTGATATTTTCTCTAACATCGTGATGACCACACTCTCCATCACCACTCTGAGCCTTGCGATATATTTGAATGAAGGCCCAAAGTTCTTGCAAGTCTTTTGTCTTTTCGGAGTAAATGGATTACATTGACATAAGTAGAATCAAAGCAGAAAAGTGGCCAAGGTTGTTTAGAAATATTTGAACAAAGATTAGACCAATACAGTTTAACTTCACTTTCACTGGACAAGTGGTGAAAAAATAATTGAGTAGTTTCAGAAAGGCCCAAGTTTGAATCCTGGTTCTGTCTTTAACCAACAGTTGAATTTGAGAGCCAGTGTCATGTCTCTGTACTTAATCTTCTTTAACAGGTGGAACGTACTTGCCCCACTTAATATGATAAAGTTGCTATAAAGAAATAGGATGAGGTATGTGTGAAATAGTATTCTAAACTCACTGTGCACATGGAGAATTGACAACTTTCCTTTAATATCAATGGCCAAGGTCACCATTCGCCTAGGACTAGAGGACTCCCGAGGAAACAGAAATCAGTACATGCATTCTATATCCAGGGCCAAGAGGATAGAAATCCTGCTCGGTGGGAAGAACAATGAACTGAAATTCCAAGTGTCTGGGTACTTCTCGTTTCTTCCACTTATTAACAGTGTGATCCTTGGCAATTATTCCTTCACCTCTCTGAGCCTTAATTTCCTCTCCTGTTAAATGAAGGAGATAATGTAAAATCTAGAAGGTTGGTTCTCAACCTTGGCTACAAATGAGCTCTCCATGGGTGCTTTTAAAGGCCTGATGTCCAGGAGATACCCCAGATTAATTAAATCAGAATCTCTGAGCATAGAATATAGGCATTGGTATTTTTTTAAACTCCCCAGGTAATTCCAAAATGTAACCATGTTCAAGACCCATTGATCATTCTAGATAGTTTCAAGGTCAGGCCCTTCCATGTCTAATACTCTAGTATTTTGCAAAAACCTCTTGTTAGCTCTAGATCAGTCCCTCTCCAATTTCTTTGTAGAGATAGGTAATGCCATTGTGAGTCCAATATGCCAGCTGTATTACTTTCCTAGAGTTACAAAGAACCACAAACTGGGAAGCTGAAGCAAGAGAAATTTCTTGTTGCACAATTCTGGAGGCTTAGAAGTCTGAGACCAAGGTGTTGGCAGGGTTGGTTCCCCATGACGTCTCTAAGAAAGATTCTGTGTTACATCTTTTCCCCTAGCTTCTGGTAGTTTGCTGTCAATCTTTGGGATTTATTGGATGGTAGAAGCATTGGCTCAATCTCTGCCTTCATCTTCACATGGCATTCTCCTTGTGTGTGTTTCTGTATTCACATTTCCCCATTTTTATAAGGAAGCCAATCATATTTGATTAAGGGCCCAACCTATTTCTATATGGCCACATCTTAACAACATCTGCAGGGACCCTATATCCAAATAATGACACAAGTTGAAGTACTGAGGGTTAGGACTTCAGTATATGAACTCTGGAGGGACACAGTTCAGTTTGAAGTAATATTACCATAGTACCTATAGATTTCAACAATTGGGTAGAGCATTATTGGTGTTAGATGATTTCCTGAAACCTCTGTAATTGGTTTCAAAGGAGGACTCCTTTCACACAGAACACAACACACTCCCTCCGTTTCTCTCTCCCAGTTGCCCCTGGCCTCACCCACCTTCAAATTCTTTGCTCCCTGCCTGCCCCCTCCTGTCTCCTCTAATGATTCCTTGCCAACAAGGGAGGGAGACCCTGGCCCCTTCATTTGCCAGTTTAGGGATTTTCCACTAAGCATCTCAACTCCCTGCCAACCACCTTTAGTTATTAAAATGCAGCTCACAACGTCTCACTCTGGCTGTTACATTATCATTCCTCGTTAGAGACTCCTCCAGGGCCTGAGACATCCCTGCACTGACTTTATAATTACAAAGTCAATTTCTAAACAGACATTTGCAAATAAGTCAATTTAAATACCGAGATTTGCAAACAATAATTAAGCAGTAGCTTCTTTTTTAATATCTCTACATATAATTAATGCCGGTGGGCTTTTCATTTTACCTTGCAACTGGGTAGTTTGCAATAGTTTGTTGAGCTAAAGTGTTCTCTGAAAGCAAATCAAAGCACAGGGGAGATTTTGAAAGTGATTGAAGAATGAGTTTTTCCTTTTCCTTCCTTATCCCTACTTCACCTGATTGGCTAGGTTTCTTATCAGGTGGGACCATGATAGGGCAGGGATGCTGAAGCAGGATCATTTTCTGCAGTAAAAACAGTAACAACACAGGGTTCTGGTCCAGAGATAGCTTGGTTAATATGGCCTCTAAAATCAAATATACAGTCAAGGCATTTCTCTATGCAAGAAGCCTCAGATTCTACTCATTCCAGCATCATCTACACAGTGATATCTCTCAGTACTCAGCTTTGATAGTGTATTCTTCCTAGTTTAAACCAATCTGCAGCATATCCCTGCCAGCTATAGGATAATAGCCTGACCCTGACATTCAACATCCTTTGCAATCTTGCCTTACCCTCTCTTTTAAACAAGTATTACTGAAAACCTACTAGATGCTAGGGAAAATGCCAGGTAACAAGGGCACACTGGTAACTAAGACACAATCTATTTTGAAGTCTAGTGGGGATAGAAAAAGTAAATTCAAAGATAAAGTGTTATAAAAGGGGAAGGAGAAGGAAAGCTAGCTTGATCTGAAGACTTAGGAATGTCCTTTTAAGAAAGTGATTATCTAAACTGAAATATCAAGGATGAGTAGTTATCAACAAGATGAAGATTGAGGAGGATGGTTATTTTATGTAAAAGCCTTTTAGAAGCTGTAGAGATTAACAAACACAAAAACTGTTTGAAAAACCAAAAAGAATGGGCCTAAATGGTAGCTAACATAAATGAGGGAAAAGATGGGTCTAGGCAAAGAAACACAGACTAAAATCCTGAAGGCCTTGTATTACAAGTTAAGAAGTTTGAGCTTTGTACTAAGGATAGCAGGGAGTCATGAAAGGGTTTTAGGGAGTGAGGTGACCAGTGTGGCTTATGATGCCCCAGCTGTGTTCCCAAGCCACGCTAGACAATCTCTCCAAGTTAGTTGGATTATCTGACAAATCTTGATTTAGCTTCCTAATCTCACCTCTAATGAGCATGTTTCTACCAATATTCCCAACCCAGCTTAATACCTCACCATCAAAGTCTAACACAGAAATCATAGCCTCTGTGAAATGTCTTTTATCCCTCCACAACTTTCTTATAAAAATGGGTCACCTCCTAATGAGTGCTTCCAAAACATTTTGTTCAGTTCTCCAATTCAATACTTATGACATGCACGTTAATAGTAAAACTTTCATTGTTCCCAGGTTAGTGTATCTATATTCACCATGGTGCTCAGCAAACAGTAAGCATTTACAAATAGTTTAGAATCATCATCATCAATTTGACCAACAGATGAAACCTTCAGAATTTTTCAGAAAGAGAATCCTCACATGTGCCGTGGTGGGAGCCGGCATGTTTTGCCTTCAGAATGTCCTCAAGCGCAGTCATAATCTCCCTTCATCCAGGATGTTTCTGTTCAGTTCATGGGAAAAGAGTTTCTGTGCAGCTTTCTTTAGGTAGAAGGAGGCTGACTGAAGTCAGCATTCCCCAGAAGAGAGACAGGGACTCCAGAGTTAAGAGTGCATGAGAGGTCAGAGGCACTGACAACTCTTTTTAAGGTGCTGAGATTCTCAGCCCAAAATACAGACGGGAATTCCACTGACCCACAGAAGCCTACTTTGCCCTCTGACTCAGAGATAAACATCTTTCTTTTTTTTCATGTTCACTCTTCTTAGAGAGACAGGTCCAGGCTGGGTGCGGTGGCTCATGCCTGTAATCCCAGCACTTTGGGAGGCTGAGGCTGGAGGATTACGAAGTCAGGAGATCGAGACCATCCTGGCTAACACGGTGAAACCCCATCGCTACTAAAAATACAAAAAATTAGCTGGGCACTCAGCCACTCAGGAGGCTGAGGCGAGAGAATAGCATGAACCCGGGAGGCGGAGCTTGCAGTGAACCGAGATCGCGCCACTGCACTCCAGCCTGGGCGACAGAGCAAGACTCCATCTCAAAAAAAAAAAAAAAAAGAAAAGAAAAAGAGAGACAGGTCCAATTTAGGCCCAGGGTCTGGGCTCTAGAAAAGCCAGCCCTGCTCCACTAAATGCTAGGCCCGCCTGGAAAAGTTAAAGAGTTGACCAGCTGAGGTTCACTCAAGGCCTCCACTTCCTGCTTGAATCATTTCATATTTTTGGTTCAAACCAGTCAGCACCAGGGCTAAGTGACCTTTAGTGGGCCACATATTTTGCAAGCCACACATTAACTAACAGATTATTATTGAGCCCAGTAGTCCTTTTCAACATAGATTTTGTCTCCTCAGGGAATGTTTTCTGGAGGCTTTAGTGTTCATTTCTTATGGTGTTTTCTTAGTAAACTCATCATCTCTGGAAGAGTCTTAAATGCTAACAAGAAGGATTACATAGAACGTGGATACATAGCTCCCTAAAATACTTAATTTCCCAGTATTGAGAGTGAGTTTTCAGGACACTCCTCTAATCCTAATCCTCATACCCATTTGTTTCAGTGCCTGGCTCATGTTCTAGATACAGCTGCATGGGATAATCTGATATTGGTTCTGACTGAGATTACCCTGAATTTAATTTTTTTCCCCTTAAGCCAAAGACATTCAAACTTAGGTGCACATTAGGGGAAATAAAAAACAAACAAACAAACAAACAAAATAGCACTGAGTATTTAAAAAATAATCTTCTGCAGTGATTTAATGTTCAGAATGAGAACTAGTGGTTTAAGTCACCATTCATTTAAATTGGCTTTGTTCTGATTAAAGGGCCTAGCCACCTGAAGTTGTCCAAACCGGGGGCCCATTGCAGACAGAAGCAGACAGATAAATGGACAAAGTTTTAACTGTGGTGACATCTTTTCCTTGTCAGTCATCTAAATACTTGAAGAAGAACTTAACATAATAAGGAGAGAGCAGGAACCTTATTCCAGTTTCTTGTTGTTTTGGGTGGCTTTGAATTCGCCCTCCTATATCTGGGTGAGCACAGACTTCTGTGAACTCCTACTGGCATATTTTTCTGGTCCTTCTCCCCTCACCCTTCTCTTCCCTTTTACTCATTTTTTTTCTATCTTCTTTTCTGGTTTTCTTTTACTACCTCCGTAGTAGTTAAGGAACACCAGAATGGGGACCACAGAGAGTGTGGGGCACATTGTGCTTGTGGTTACTGTATGCCATTGAAGAGTCACTTAATTTTGGGGGCCCCTTTTATCCATATGTATTTAGTTGATTGGATTAGATAGGATCATATCTCCCTACATTATTAAAATTCCATATTTTGCTATGTTTTATATTTTATTCTTTTCTATTCTTCTTTCCTTTTCTTTACATCCTCTCTCTGTATAAGCTTCTGAAAGTTGAATGTTGAGTAAGTGGTGGATGATTATTTTAGTCTTCTTTGTAACTACTTTTGGTCCAGTTTCAAAAGTTCACAGCAAAGCTATGGTACAGAGAAGTCAATAGTCATAGCTAGATGGAAATGTTCTAGTTCACTCCCTCTACTGAGCTTTCACTTAACATTAACTTCTTCATTGGGTATGGACATGCATTTTCCTACCTGTTATACTAATAGTTTGAATGTATGTCCCTGTCCAAATCTAATATTGAAATGTAATCCCTAATGTTAGAGGTGGGGCCTGGTGGAAGGTGATTGAATTATGGAAGTGAATTTCTCGTAAATAGTATATTAGTTCGTTCTCGCGCTGCTATGAAGAAATACCCAAGACTGGGTAATTTATAAGGGAAAGAGGTTTAAAATTCACAGGTCCTCATTGCTAGGGAGGCCTCAGGAAACTTACAATCATGGTAGAAGGCACCTCTTCACAGGGTGGCAGAAGGGAGAATGAGTGCCAGCAGAGGAAATGCCACACACTTATAAAACCATCAGCTCTTGTGAAAACTCATTCACTATCATGAGAACAGCATGGGGAAACCACCCCCATGATTCAATTACCTTCACTTGGTCTAGCCCTTGACATATGGGAATTATTACAATTCAAGGTGAGATTTCAGTGGGGACACAGAGCCAAACCACATCAAATAGTTTAGCACCACCCACCTTAGTACAGGCCTCATGATAATGAGTGAGTTCTTATGAGATCTGGACATTTGAAAGTGGGTAGCACCTCCCCTCTTGCTCTATTTCTCGTGCTTTTGCCATGTGACGTACCTGCTCCCCCTTCTCCTTCCACCAAGATTGTACATTTCCTAAGGCCTCCCCAGAAGCCAAGCAGATGCCAGCATCATGCTTCCTGTATAGCCTACAGAACCATGAGTCAATTAAACTTCTTTTCTTTATAAATTTCCCAGTCTCAGGTATTTATTTACAGCAATGTAAGAACCAACCAATACACTACCCTTCAAATTTCTCTTACCCATAATCATTCAGCTGAGATTTTTCTTATACCATAAATATTTTTCTTGATCATTCTAGTTCTCTCTGAACTCCCTTTCCTTTGGCCAATTACAATGTTTACTTATGAACTTTAAAATGTAACACTTAAATACTGTTCCCATTGCTTTGTTTGGTGGTATGTGTTTGTGACACTATCTGTGCCTTGTGAACATTAGTTATATTGTATCACATAAAGGAGAGAAACACCAATTTTTTCTTCTGTTTCTACTCCTGAAGGTGTCAAACTCCAGGTTAAGCATGCAATGTGTGCTTAAGAGAGACTTGGACAATATTAAGTTTTTAAGCTTAGAGAAAACCTATTTCAACTCCCACATTTTACCCACAAAGAAACTAAAGCTCAGGGAAGAAAGATAGCTTGCAGTGAATTAATAGCAGAGCTTGACTAGAAGCTAGGACTCCTCAATCCATTTCATTTTCTATATAATTTGTTGTTTGATTTATTTTTCCAATGCCTAGGCATGTCTCAGATCCTCAAAAGTGTTGCTTACTTAACCCATTGTACTTCCACTTTTGTATAACTTAACAGCTGTATCCCGTTGAGATACACCCTTGCTGCCCTTCAGGAAGTTCATTTTAAATTGATGTGTGAGCTAATTAGTCCACATAGATGCCTCCTTTGTTAAGGAGGTGATGATGGTGTAGCAGAAGGAGCTCTGGGCTTAGAATCTGAAGATTGGCCTTCAGTTCTCTCTTTGTTCCTTAAAAACTCTGTGAGCTTAGGCTCACTACTTCACTTTTATGAGTCTGTTTCTTCAACAATAAAACAGAGCATAAATATCCTCATTTAGCAAAACATTGTAAAGTTTAGGTGAGGTAGTATTTACTTTTTGTTAACCTTGATGAGCTATTGAGATATCAAATGTAGTCCTTTTCACTAGTATTAAAACAATAATAAAATATAAAAGACATGAACATTAGTTAAAGAAGAAACACCCTAATTTTGCTGCATGGGACTTTACTCAGCAGGCTAGAAGCCATCATCAATATTGGTGACAATTACATATATCTCTTTCCTCCTCCTTATGTGTGAAAGACCCATAACTTAAACACTTGCTGATATTCAGCACAAAAACAAATAGCAAAGCAACCCTGGGTGTGATGTATTTCAACAGCATAGCTTAGACTTGCCACCGTTCTGTTAAATTATGAATATCTATTACTTGATGAAGTCAATGCTTTCATTTGGAATAAGAAAGGAGGGAGGCAAAGAGGTTGCAGTTAGGGAAGAAAAAAACACAAAAGGATGCAGTTGCTATAGCGATTAACAATGGGTATCCTTTTGGCGGGGTTTAGAGATGCTGATGCAGCTAAAACAAATGTTTGTGTTTGGCCACATTGGAGACGGTGACGGATTATGGAGCCTTGGCCTTGAGCCTTGATGTAATCCAGTTCTAAATAAATCATAAATCTAAATGCAGACTGGTAAGGCAGGAAGAATACCAATTCAGGCTAGGTGGTAGCAAGCTAGCAATAGTGACCAGGATTGATTATGGGGTGTGAAGTAGGGAGGGATAGCAGGAGGGGGACCATGACTAGCCTGCAGGGATGTACTTCTTTCTCTTCTAGCCTTAGCCAACTCCCAACTGAGCTGCCAGACCTCAGTAGTGTGAATGTGAGATCACTGCTGAATTAGCCACAAGGCCAGACATTCTGCTGCCTCCTAAATTTTCTTGGATGAAAAGATTTTTCATCACGAAAGGTGCTGAATTGCTAATGTTTGGGCTAGTTTCATGATTTCCTCACTTGGAAGGAACCAAAAGTCAGTCTGAGTTTTTCACAGGCATAAAGGATGCTAGGAGTATGAGAAGATGCTACAGTGAAAGCACTTAGATGTGGGTAACCATTTACTTATGTAAAGACGGAAAAAAGACAATTGTTCATATGTAATGTTGACATTTTTCCTCATATTTTGTTTCCTAAGAAAAAAAGGCAATGAGTACAGGGTAAAATGAAAAACAAAAATACTAGCTCTATTTACACTGGAAAGAACAAGGCTTCTCTTGGGAGAGAAGGAAGGATCTAGTAAAATGTGTGGAGGGATTGAGAACAATATAAGCATTCATGAGCAGTGAGTATGAAATAAATAGCAGGTTTGGAGAGAGAAAGGAAAGGGTATGTAGCAATTGTTGGAAAAGTTCAAAAACTGGTATTTCTTAATTCACACCTTCATTTCAAGTATTACAAATGACCATAAAATAAGGTATACACTTCATTTTTAAGATGTCAGATCAACATTTCTTATAAAGATAATATTGTATTAAAATGGAGTAATAAAATATTATTTGTGTTCATTATGGAAAACTCATCTTGGATTTAGGATAAAAAGTGAAATGCTCAGCTTCAACTCAACTCAAATCCTCATCTTGAAATGGAGCTAAGAATGTGTTTTCATCATGACTGCCAAATTGGTGGTCATATGGCACATGGGATACATATTGATCCAATATGAGCCACAGTGGTCCTGGAGTGATCTTCAGATGTGACCATGTGCCATAGGTCCATCAATGGACCATTAGGTTCAGAGGAACACTGTAGACGACTTGAGGTCACCATTATGTTCTTTGGACAATATAGTTTAAAAGGGGATGCTCACTAAGCTAAGTAAGTCAAAAGAACATGACTGTAGAGCAGCAGAAGGAAAGATAAGATTAGCTCTGCAAAAGATTTATTGGAGGAGAAATGTCTAAGGGTAAAGGGGAGGAAGCAGGAGAAGGCAGGGAGACCTTTCCAATTGTGATGGCAGGTCTGACACCAGAGAAGAAGACAAAGAAAGAAGGATTTGGAGGATTGGGTAAGAATAGTCTCAAATTAGGTGACTTAAGGAGGTTCCAAGAAGGGCCAAATCACCTGTTAGAGGAGTCCTGCTATGCACAGAAATGGACTCTGCATTAGCCCCTTCATTGTCCTCAGTCATCGGCTGGGAGCATCCCATGAAAAGCGTGGCCTCAGAGGTGCTGGAGATTCATTAGAGCAACCACTGGGGCTATCTGTCAACATTGCTTCTCCACTCCCACTTCTGCAGGAGATTTGAGCCATGCAATTCCATGGCTACTGCAGTAAATTTTAGGCTAGATGTGTCTATTGTTTTAACCTGGTTCCTATGGATGTTCAATATCTGAAAGAATTACAAATCTTTCTCAAAAGAAAGAGGTAGTCAGTAGAAGACATCATGGATTAATTCAAGGCTTTTTCCTGGAACACATTTTTAAGACAAAATCCCTGAGAATTAAGCTCCAGCTCCGTGGTGCTCCATCACGCACATTGTAGAATCTGTGTTACAGGCATTTTATGTGAATTTGAATTCCACAAATTAGACATACGGTCATATAAAGTATCAATAAGTCTCACTTTATGCACAATATTTAACACTCTGTGACTCACCCAAATTAAAAACAATTCATCAAGAATTTCATAATTTGAAAGTTGGCTCAATGAATTATAAACTGTCTTTGAGAGAGCCACAGAGCAGCATGACTTCAGCTGTTAAATAGGAAGACCTGATAGCCTGTGTCAGGATTAATCTTTAATTACATGATGTTTGTAAAGTTATGATTCTTGTACCAAAATAACCCTGAGTCTATTATTACTCTAAGAAACTTGACAATGTGCAGGGAACATGATAATGACAATGTGGGAATAAAAAAACAAGCAAATGAAACATTGAGTTGTGTGTAAGCTTGCAGTGAACCAAGAGGTGCAGGGAAGAGGAGAGATGTTGGCAATTAAGAGTCAATAGCGTCCTGGATTAGGATTTATTTATGCACTTTTTGCAACCTATTTTGCTGGTGAACTGCCTGACTGAACCTCCTAGAAATAGTGAACAGGGGCTGAAATGTGTGTGTTTAGTTGATATCTGCACATTGACAGAAAAGTAACTTACAAGATGCATTCTCTTCCAGACTGGAGGGAGATCTGTAGCTGGTAATTGGGCAGCAGGTGGTAGAAGATGGCTTGGAGGATCAGAAACTCCTTAGATCAAGTCAGTGTAGTAGCAATTTATAGCGAAGAGTTAAAAAACTATTTCAGACTTCACCACCTATATGAGGAGATGACTGAATTCTTGCTGCTACTAAAGCCAATTAGATAAAGGGGAAAAAGGAAAAAAAGGTGACCATAATGTTTCCCTGGGAACAAATCAAATAGCAAAACTCAGACTAAAACTCTAGGTAAGACGCGAGAATATGAGGTGCTAAGGGCATGTGACAGCCTCCTGAATTTGGATCCTGCAAAGCGTGGCCCAGGTAGGCACAGGTAAGTGGTTTCAACTCCAAAAGTGGATGCTTCAGGGACAGCCAGATGCTGCACCTCCTAAGTTGCTTCCACTATGATAAAATCAGTCCCAAGGGATGATGCTCCTTGGTCAACTTTAGGCCCCAGCATGGAAAAGACAATGTCAAAGACAAACTAAAGATGAAGAGAAACATCAAGACAGGCACTCTGACCATGGGGCAACAAACTCGATAGATATTCCGTTATTTTTTTCTTTCTTAGGAGGAAAAGAACCAGGATTGGGAGGTCACAGAACCTGAAATCAGCATGATTGCCTCTGTGGACTTCGGTTTCAGTTACTCACACCTGGGCTTTTTAGAAGTAATTTGAATGGATACAGTCAAAGCTCAGCCTCTAGAAGATCCCAAATGACCCCACTGTAGGAGTATGAGAAGAACGTTCAGGAAGAAGGGGTTCAGGTGGTAGATGATAAGAATCTACAGGTGGCACAATAGACATATTACCTTCTTTGGTGGAGTCTGTAAAGACATTACTAAAGTTTAATAATAAAGCATGAATATTCAGACCCTTCTTTTCTGCCTTCTAAGAGTTAATGAGTGAAATGTTGAATTGGAGGAAGAAGAAACATTCATTGACTTGTTTTAAACAAGAAAGAGAGGAGAGGTGCTCTTAACATAAAATGATAGACTCATAAGAGAGTGGGAAAGTTTGGCATGGGCTGGAGTTTGAAGACATTGGGGCTTTTGAAAAGAATATTTATTGGGCAGCCATCATTAATTTGAAGTCTAAGGTAAATACACTTTGAAAAATGATTTTAAGCAGTTACTCTTTTCCTTAGTATCGTGTTTGGCAAATTTTTATTTTTTTTGAAACTTAATTGTAGATTTAAATAGCCTTTTAAATTTTCAAATATTGGTTCATATTAAATTAGAATTTCTTCTGAATGTGACACTGGACAGAGGCAAACCCTAGAGTGTTCCAGCTTTGTCTTGGTTATGCTGGCATAGTGTACAGTTAAGCATCTATTTTTTTCTAGTACAAATTGTATTAAAGTATAAATTATCCAAATTTTATTCCTAACTGTAAATGTCCACTCTACATCAAGAGAAAGCCAAAATATTAGAGAAGCATGTCAGCTGTATAATGCCTCAGAAAGAGGATTGCAATGGAAATTGCAGGAGTTACCAGGGATTTAAAATTAGAGCATCTGGATTGGAAAGAGTATTGTAAAATCATAAGTTCAACCATCCAGCCAGTCAGAACTCTGCAATGTGCATAACAGATGGCCACCTATCTTTGTTGGAACCCTTCCAGGGATGGAGAGATCTTCACCAGGATAGCCAATTCTGTGTTTGGATGATTCTTATCATTATAATGCTTCTTGTATTTAACCCAAATCTTCAGTCTGACTTACAATTGTCGATCTTTTTTTGTACCCTTTGGGTTCAGTAGAACCTGGCTAAGAAGAGAAGCCCTAATGTTTACTAGCTGTTGACTTAGGAAAAATTCTTAATGTAAATGAGAATCAATTCATGCACCTGTATAATGGACATAATAACTCCCAAATCATAGGTTTATATTAAAGATGAATAAAATAATGTATAGTCTGGATTCAACACAGTGCCTTGTACATAGTATGTTCCTAAAAATGTTAGACTATACCAATGTTACTAGTGAAACTAAATCAATGAAAGTCAAGATAGAGGCCAAAGCATTTCAGGTAATCTTGTTAGGATTTGCCATTCTGGTGTTATATTGCTTCAAGCAATGTTTCTCCATCTTGAAATGAGTCTGTCCCTCTCATCTCTGATTGTAGGTATATATGGCCTTGACTTAGCAATCTGACTCTGAACACTTGTGCTCCCAAGCTTGCTCTCTTTGTATTGTATATTTCAACACTCCAATTCTGATCTCTTTGTACTGTATATTCTAACACTGCAATCCAGACTCAAGCCTGGTTAAGTGGACCACTGCTCTCTGGCTCCACCCTATGCCTGGGTAGGACATGGACAATCACAGTTATGGGTGATCACTGAGATGGGCTGTCCTTTCACTTACGGTAAATGTTAGGAATTCTGTAGTGCACTTTTCATGTTCTTCAAAGATAGGTCTTTGAATGTGTCCCTCTTAAATATAATAAAAGGTCAAATTTTTAATTTACCTCATGGAAACTAGGGCTCAGATGCTTCTGGGAGAAGACTTAGGCAGCACCCAAATATCTATATATTTATTTCTATCCAAAGAGCTGCATGGGTCTTTTTTGTTTGAGAGTCAAAGGAAACAAGGAAGGGGTAGCTGTTCTATTACAAGGAGTATTGTCAGTAAACAGCCTCCATCTGACATCTTCAGGGTCTGTCTCAACTGCAGAAATCTACTTTGATGAGGTCATGCCCTTCCTGGGGATACTACATACAGTGACTCACCCAGGCAGGGATGTAATTTCCTGACCATGCAGGTCCAATGTAGAAAGTCTGATAAGCAACATTCACTTTGCTCTTTGCCACATCAGTAGATGCACAGTTGGGCCTACATTGGGGTTTACCTTCTTCCTCTGCACAATTCTGCTTATACCCTCTTGCTTTCACAGGTGTTGATTTCCAAGAAAGATCTTGTTCTTCAAACTCTGTTACAGCGTCTTCTCTGGAGAAGTCAACAGTGAGATGGGCTAAATGAAGAAGGAGCAGCTTATTGTCTTTGTTGGTTTTCTTTATTTTCCTTCGAAGCATCTGGGGGAAGAGGAAGACAATGGATGAGATGGCGTATGTTCTTTCCGCCCTGTGAATGAATCAGATTTGAACTCCTAAGCAAAATAGAAAATGCAGAAATGGTGCTCAGGCAAAACCTGAGAGACACCGGGCTCAAGCGACTCTCCTCTGAAGTCCATCTGATAAAGTCTGAATTATGGATAAGTCCTTTCCCCCTCAATAGTCTACTGCTTACTAAAGTGTAGCTCAATGACTCTGTGGGCTTGGGTAATCAGCAGGTAAGCATAGCTATGCCCAATGAAGCAGGGGCTGTGAGAAGAAGCCTTGAAGAGTACCTAAAGTAGAAAATAAGTGAACTTTCTCCTAAGCCCATAGGAAACATCACTATCCTGCTGAAGGCAGGGCAGAGGGAACACAGCAGAGTAGGCTCAGAATAACTGGGATTTGGGCACTGATATTAATGTCACCATATCTACACTTATTGATTGTTGAGATTATACATTTGGCTTGAAACCACAGGAACTAATATACTCTAAATATAAGCTGAGAAAAATTAAAAATAACCACAACTACAACAGTAGAAAGAGAAAATATATGAATGCCAAGAATCTAATGTGTAAATTAACTACAAGGGTTTAGAAGTTTTGGGCATCTCCCTGGGGATTAGCTGTGCTCAGTCTCCCCTCCAGGAAATCATTTACAACTCTATGTCTGTTACCCCAAAATGACTTAAATGAAGTTTAGGATAAGACAGAGACAAGTTCAGAACAAGACATGGGTGAGGTTCAGAAGAATGAAATTGAAATTATATGAATTTCCAATTGTTAGAGATGCATGAGTGAGATACAGGTTTTCAAGTGTTGTGATGTCATACCATAAAATGATTATAAACATTTAGGAAACAATCTCTCCTGTGGAATCAGGAATCATTACTAAATATCACAATTATAGTGGAGACGCTGAAGAAGTCAATATATGTGTTCTGAAAAACTTGATTAAATAAACTTCAAGGACACAGAGAAAGGCGCTGTGATCTGTTCTCTGCAAAGGGCCTGATATATTTAGATTTTCATTAAGATGGGCTGAAACACAAAATGTCTTCAGTTATCCAGGAAATGTAATTAACCACTTCTTAAGATTTCTACTTAATCAATGCTATTTTTCCCCATATTTGGTTAATTGAACTGTCTGCCTCCACTATAGTCTGAGGTATGTGGCTAATTTTGGCCAGCAATATCAAGGACATGAAACTCAAGGTAATTTTTTTCCCTCCAAAATAGCCTCTATATTTTCGCTGTAAATCCTTATCCTATTCTCTGTGAAATAAGCCTTCAATTAACAGCCATAATTAAATAATATATTTAAAAATTAAGATAAAATATGCTGAAGTAGTGAGCATTACTTAGAAATGGTATGAAAATAATTTGCAGTCAGAACAACCTAAATTTGAATTCTTGCTCTTTCAAGTTATAGCTAATCTTGGGCAAGCTATTTCTCAGTTTCTTCCTCTGTCGAATGGAGCTAATATTAATTTCTGCTTAATAGTGTTCTTGTGAGACTACAGGTAATGTTTGGATAGCATCAGTCATAGAGTAGACATATAATAAAATGTTACTATTTTTATTATTTTCACTATTATTATTACCATTTTTATTGTTAGTCTTTTAAACTGCAGGCAAATATCAAGAGTATCTCTTAATTGTATGCGTATAAGATGATCTTACATATCTCAAGGACTATTGGTATGTCCATGTTTTAAAAGTATATTATCAGCTGGGCACGGTGGCTCATGCCTGTAATCCCAGCACTTTGGGAGGCCGAGGTGGGCAGATCACGAGGTCAGGAGTTCGAGACCATCCTGGCCAACATGGTGAAACTCTGTCTCTACTAAAAATATAAAAATTAGCTGGGCTGGTGGCAGATGCCTGTAATCCCAGCTACTCAGGAGGCTGAGACACAAGAATCGCTTGAACCCGGGAGGCAGAGGGTGCAGTGAGCCCAGATTGCACCATTGCACTCCACCCCGGGTAACAGAGCGAGACACCGTCTCAAGGAAAAAAAAAAGTGTATTATTAAAGTAAGAATACCTGGCTTGTATGGCCAAGACAAGCAGAATAATGTGGAAAGCTCTTTCCATCAAGCTGCTCAGTATGTCCTTGATAAATTCTGTGCTGATCCTACTTTGAGCATTTCTGTGGACTTCGCTGCAAGGACCCTGGTCCTTTGAGATATTTGTTTTAGGAAGTACTGCCATTTCCATCTCTAGCTGGGTTATGACGACTATATAGCCAACGTTTCTCTCCTAGATGCTAGCACTGCTATAATTAAGTAAAGAAAGGAAAGTTCCTTTGTTCTTCACCCAGCAGGTTACTTGACAGCCTTCTAAGTGCCAAGCGCTCTGCTGGTTGTTGGAGACACACCAATTGCCCTCAAAGAATGCACAGACGAATGTAGGATAGGATTCAACAACAACAACAAAACCCTTGCATTTTAAAAGACAGAGTTTGGTCCTCCAGTATAACTTAGGGTTTGCTTTTATTAGGTGCTTGATTTGGGGCAAGTAATTTGACTGGTCCCATACTCACTTTTCTCACGTTTAAAATTAGCACCTACCACAGCAGTCAGGAGGACCACATAAGCTAATGTGAATATAGTGCGTATAGCAGTGTTTTGTGCATACTAAGAATGTAGTAAATACTAATAGCAGTAGTAATAATTAAAATGATTATTATACCAATAATTATTAGTTTTACTATTTGTTCAAAATATTTCAAACAGAACAGGAATGGGGAAGGGTATCAAATATTGAGGCAGGAGAAGTAAACAAAGGCTGGATTATGAAGGGTTTCATGGAGCCCAAAGGGTAGATGGAGGATTATGATAGAGTTTTACAAAGAGGAGTTTTGAACAGTAGAAAACAACTTAGCCTTCTACTTCTGACAGATTATTTGCCCCTTGGGTGGGATGTAAGTGCCTGCAAGTTCAGGATTGGTCCATTCTCATGACCCACAGGTGTCTTCCTCCTTGATGTGTCATGAAAAATTAAAATGAGGACAGTTCAGTCAACAGAGTGTCTGTGAAATTAATGAACCCCTTTGCCTTCAACACCTGGTAATTATATCTTTCAATTAAATTAACTCTCTAGCTGTCTACAATCTTATAAATTAACTCACAGTCTTATATCTTTCTAAGCAGCCAGATCTTTTCACAACTCAAACCTGAGGGGCCAGAGATACAAAGCAGGGTCAGGGAAGGCAAATGAAAGGACCTCATTCACTTTTCTGCTTGTCACAGAAAAACTTGAGTCTCTACTTTCTCAGCTTGGTCACTAGAGCCAAAAAGGTATGTTTTTGTGTCACTGATGATCTATTTGGTCTGTATTTGAGCATATCTCATGGCTCACTGGAAAGGGAGAATTGAACTAGTAAAGTCTGCTGTTGAGTATTACTCATATAAATTCATTCATTCACTCACTCATTTATTCAATTCTTGAGAACAAGGAAATCTAGAGATAAAAAAAATTGTCACTCTGTTGACTGAACTGTCCTCATTTTAATTCTTTGAGGCACTGATGATCTCTGAAGTGAGCGAAAAATACAAACTGGTTAAAAATCAGGAAGTGAACTTGCATATTCACCAATTCTTTCAGCGGATAATTTTTGAGTTCTAAACATGTGGAAAGCACGGAACATTATAATAGGGGAAGTACAGGAAGATATAGGACAGTGTAGCAGAGGGTTTTCCACTGGTCTCGGGCTTAGTGAACCACTCCATAAAGTGACATTTGCTCCAGGACCTGAAGAGTTGAGAGAACAAAAGTGTCTAACAGCGTAGGCAGGGGGAGCAGGGGAAGTTCATAGAACAGGGAGTTTAGTAGAGCTGGAGCAGAGAGTAAGTTGGAGAGGTAAAATGATGAAATGAGCAGGGTCAGACTATGGAGGGTCTTGTAATGATGTTTAGGAGTTTTAAGTTTTCTCTTAAAAGCAAAGAGAAGCTGTGTAAGGATATTAAGCTAAGGAGTTTTCATGACCCTTGTGGTCATAGTATTTTTCATGTGCTCTTTAAGTGATCACTTTACTTGCAATGTAAGGAAGTGTCTCGAAGGCAATAAAACTGGAAATGGAAAGACAATTTTGAAGATCCTTGTGCAAGTGCAAGAGGGCTAGGATAGGTACCGAGGAGATAGAGAGAAATGTAGAGATTCACTGAGCAGGTGAATGACTAGAGGTGGCAGGTAGGAAGAGGAAACTATAAAGATGATGACTGCCTTCCTGGTTTATGTCACAGAGCAGCTGCAAAATATTTTAACTTCTACTCCTCTTTGAAAAGCGTCCCCAAAATACAGGCAACAGAGCCCCGAAGAACGCAGGTGGCAATTAAAATGTATTGCAGTTCTATCAAATGGATTGTCAGGAGAGACTTCTTTGATAATCTGCAAATAGAACCCAAGCATTGAAACTACTGGGTATAGATTTAGTCTTCTTTTTAGGAATATGTAACATAGATGAACAGAAAGGAATAAACCAAAGAATTTTTATGGAAAATATGAATAGTAATTTCATAATTCTTACCTCCTTTTATCACCCTAAGCAATGCTCTAAGCTTGATATACAGATGAGGAAACATTTGAAAAGTTAAAGTGAATTGGTGTACACAAGTTTTTAACTTAGCTCTTCCTAATTCGAGTCCCTGGCTCTTTCTAGATGAACACACTTTTCTATCATCAGCCACAAGTATTTAGGTAGAACTTACTATGTATGCAGATCTGTTAAGACATGTGAAGTTTAGGTTTGTCACAGCCATGGCTTCGTCGATTGATTAGTCTTGAAGCTGAAATGGCAAAAATGCCCCCGAGAGAAAATACATTGAAGCAATCAATTATTTCTTTTGTACCTCCTACGACAATGTAAAACAGGCAAGGCTTCTTAGAGTAAGAATTCCAGAGAGCAGCATGTATGGCCTTCCAATCTCATCCTCTGTACATTGTAATGTCATTTGTTCATAGTGCTGGGACATTCTACTTGCTGTGGCTTTTCCTAGCACTCATGAACTAGCACCGAGAAATGTGATCTCTAGGCTTCAGACCCCAAGATCATTCCCCTTGTCTCCAGAACCTCCCTGATATTTTTCATTACTACTTAACTCTCAGAATTGTCTGAGCTCTGGTTTTCCTATCTGGTCTGCGTCTCAGGAGAAAAAATTGCAACTCAAGTTTATTGACCTTGTCAATTTATACAAGGAACTCAAAAAATGTTTTTATTGGACATTATATAACTGAACACTTATTGGAGCAAAAGTGTGGAAGTCCAGACCCAGGGCTGTGTTCTATCTAGGTTAAACATGACAGAATGACACAGAAAGTAATGTGGGTAAATAAAAACAAATGATAAATCTACAATCATCTTTAAAATCAAAGGCTAAATCCCAGCTGTCCTACTTCTTAACCCTAAGACCATAGCCTATTTATCTAACTTCTCTGAGTCTCGGTTTTCCTATCTGTGAAATGGGATTATTAAAGAGGACTCAGTAAAAACAACGCATGTGAAGCTTCTGGCACAAAACCTAGCACAATGATAGGAAGCTGTTTTACTCACGTTAATCCATACATTGATTTTGTTGTCTCTGCTATCCAGAATCCACCCCTATTTGCTCTCAACAATTAATTTGTGAATTACAGCAACTATGGTTGTTTAATTATATCATTTTATTGACTTTTTCAGTTTAATAATATAATGATATACTTGGCTAACATTCGAATATCTACTTTGTACCATGCACTGAATTTAATGTTTCACATGCATCTATCGCTAGGGATGATTACAATATTCAGATGATGCATAACTGTTGTTATTGCCCACCCACTTCTTTTTGAAGATGAGGAAACTGGAGCTCACACATGTTGAATTATCTAAGATTGCAACATTTTAAAAATCCAGAAAATGGAATTAAAAGCCATGGCTGCTTTACTTAGTAACCTTACACTATACAAACTATTACTAGTTTATAATATTATTTAAAATAATTTCACAGGTCTTTCCCCTAATTTGGACTTTTTTCTTTTAATTGGAGATTCAATATCTTCAGTGCAAATCAATAAGCACTCTGGAGAATACATCAATGAGACTATTGTGAGGGTACATCTTGTGTACGCTTGTGAGGGTCTTTCCTAAGCAGGAGGAGATGGCTGTATAAAAGGATTACTGTTACTTATTTCTATATTTTTCCTAAAGAAAAGCAGGAACTACATTAATTCTAGATTGAGATCAGAAACTACTTACCTTACAGGACACGTGTTGTGTGCAGCCACAGGTTTCAGAAGCAGATGGCATGTGCTAAAGAGTGTATGTATGAATTAGCTCTGGGAATAACTTCTGCTCCAGGTATAAAAGAAATTAGGAGGAGAGCCAAATTAAAATTGGGCAATAGGCCTATGCAGAGTGGTACTTTTATATCTCCTTTTCCTATTGTGTGTATGTGTGTGTGTAGAGTGCGTGTGTCTGCATGTACTGAAAGCACACAAACACAAATAGACCCCTACCTGTAGGTTTTATACATTTACATTGTACTCCAGAAAAATAAAAATGATTTTTTTTTCTTGACATTTACAGTCTCAGATTAACAGACGTGTGTAGGATTTCAGTCCCATTTGAATACACCCGATGGATGTACGACCTTGAGAAATTTACTTAACACTTCCAGGTCAGCCCGGCGTGGTGGCTTATGCCTGTATTTCCAGCACTTGGGGAGGCCAAGCCGGGTGGATCACGAGGTCAGGAGTCCGAGACCAGCCTGGCCAACATGGTGAAAACCTGTCTCTACTAAAGATACAAAAATTATCTGGGTGTGGTGGTGGGCGCCTGCAATTCCAGCTACTCGGGAGGCTGAGGCAGGAGAATCATTTGAACCTGGGAGGCAGAGGTTGCAGTGAGCCAAGATCACACCATTGCACTCCAGCGGGGGCAACAGGGCTAGACTGCCTCTCAAAACAAACAAACAAACAAACAAACAAACAAAAACATTTCGGGGTCAAATGTTTGTCACCTAAAAACAAAGCCATTGAGCATAAGAAGAACATAATGGACTTTGGGGACTCAGGAGGAAAGTGTGGGAAGGGGATGAGGGATAAAAGACGACAAATATGGTGCTGTGTATACTGCTCTGGTGATGGGTGCACCAAAATCTCACAAATCACCACAAAAGAACTTACTCATGTAACCAAATACCACCTGTTTCCCAATAACCTATGGAAATAAAAAAAATTTTAAAAAAACCAAAGCCATTGAGTAAGATATTTGCTTTCATTTACATCTAATATTCAGAGTAAAAGAGTCTATAAACCGAATACTACCTAACACTGCAGAATTAAACTATGTTCACGTAACTAATCTTCAACATTCCCTAATCCTCCATCCTACAAACAACACTCCTGTCCATGTAGCTTAACAATATTGGCTGAATTAATTATCAGAAGATAGTATAGTATGCAATAAAAACAATGCTCATGATTCTTCAGGCTTTCTGCATCCACAGCCTTTAAAATTTGGCTCTGTTTCTCTAATTCTTGAATCTGGACAACTAGAGTTGTCACCTGTTTTGACCAATAGGTTGCCGTAGAATTGACATGCTGTGACTTCCATAACCCACTCACCAAAAGATGTTGTGTGTTTCCACTCTCTCTCCTGGAAACCAGACAAGTGCCAGGATAATCAGATAAGTCTGGTGGACTGGAGAAGAAGAGACCACATATAACAGAACTGAACCATTCCAGCTGAAGGCATCTTAGATAAACTAGCCCTCAGGCAATCTAGCAGTTGACCACAATTGCATGAGCGAACTCAGAGGAGATCAGAAGAGCTTCTCAACAGAGCCCAGAGTAAATCATTGACTCAGAGAATTGTGAGATAACTTAAAGATGCTGCTTAATGCCCCGAAGTTGGAGTGTTTTGTTACACACCAAAAGTCAACTGATACATGGAGCTGTCTACTTGACTTTTTTAAAATGAAAATCTTCACACATTTCAAGACTCCTATCTGATTCAGTTTTTTCAATAATGTCTGCTCTAGTAATTTCAATCTACATTGAACATATTCATTTATTTATTGGACAAACATTTTGTAACTGTTCATTAGGTTTTCTTTTTTACTTGCACTATACTTTTGTCCTTTATCACATTAAATACTGCCTACATTAGATTATCTGTTAGCATCTTACCATATATTAGGCCATTTTCTGTCTCATAGCAAGTAGAAGGCTAAAATCCACATTTCCTAGACTTCTTTATCATCCCATTCTAGCTTAACTTTTACAAGGTTAAAAGGTACTGGCAAGGTATTTGGAAGGTCAAAAAAAAAAAAAAAGAAGAAGCCATGATTACTCTAGCAGTAGGTGGTGCTGGGCTTTGTCAGAAGAAGATATGATATTTTGTCAGTAGCTCATGTTTGTTATCCTATAAATTACTTACTTTGATGCTCTTAGTAACTGATATGCTTAGCAAAAATTGTTGGAGATACTAGTACTTTCTGGTATTAGCATCTTCCCTGACCTTTTCTAATCCTGTTCTTCCAAAGGTTTTATAAGAGTATAGTTCTCTGTATTAAATCATTTTATGTTGGAAATATTTAGATTGATTTCTATTTCCCACATTGAACTTTGAGAGGTTTTTTAATATACACTTATGTGTATATTATGTGTGTAATATACATACATGTGTAATATACACTTATGTGTGTGTATATATACACACACAAAATTATATATATAAGGTATATATATATTAACTATAAATGTTAATATATATAACATAATTATAAACATGATTGACAATAGAGTACAAATTTATTAACTATATATAAAAATTATTTAGCACTAATAATGTTCAAGAATTTATAAGTAGTAAGATTCATCACTCTTTTTTTTAATATGGGTAAATTGAGATCCAGAGAAATAAATGACTTTTCCAAGTCAATCATGAGCTACTGTCATCACTGAGATTGCTATGGTAATTGATTGGCATAATTGGACCTGCAGATTTCTAGAAAAAACATGGAGTTAGATGTCTATTTTATAAGAGACCAGGCTCTCTAGGGGGAAATGCAGGTGTGCTAGGGCTGGGGTGGAAAGTAAGGGACAGTAAGACTGGAAATTTCAGGCCACCTAGCCTCATTTTAAGAAGAGTAGCTCCATTTTAATCTACTGCCTATACAGTCATCACTTGGTATCTTCTGCAGACTGTTTCCAGGACTCTGCATAGATACAAAAATCTAAAGAGTCTCAAGTCTTTGGTATAAAATGGCATCATATTTCCATATAACCTACAAACATCCTCCTATACACTTTAAATTGTTCCTAGATCAGTTAAAATACCTAATACAAGACCTACACATCACTTCATTCATGTGGATTCAATGGAGTACTCAGTGCTTGGCAAAATCAAGTTATGCTTTTTGGAACTTCATGAATCTTTTTCTAAATATTTTTGATCCGTGATTGGTTGAACTCACAGATGCAGAACTTATGGTTATGGAGGACTGACTTGTATATGCCTTTCTTTTAATATTTCATTTAAAGATAGAATGGATTAAAATACCTTTCAAACTATTGTAATTATTGGCAATCCGTTGCTTGAGAAACAAATTAGATGTGATTGACAATATAGAGTACGTTTTTAAAAATTCTTATTTCTTAAAACAATTTAAAGTATAATTGATGTACTATAAGTTGTACAAACACAGTTTGTTGTGCATATGTACTTGTGATCCCATTGCCACAATAAAGATAATATACCTTTCTATCACTTCCAAAAGTTTTTTTGTGTTCTTTATAGCCCATCTGTCTCTTTACTCCCAATACTGAAAAACCACTGATCCAATTTCTGTCCTCAGAGATTAATTTTCATTTTCTAGAGCTTTATATAAATGGAATCATGCACATGCACTTTTTTGTTTATTTCCTATCACTAACATAAAGTTTTGGAGATTTATCCATATTGTTGCACCTACCATAGTTTGTTCTCTTATATTGCAGAGAAGTGTTCTGTTACATGACTATACCACAATTTGTTTATTCATTCACCTGTGGAAATAAATTCAGGTTTTCTCAAAATTTTCTGGTTATTACAAATAAAGCTGCCATGCAGGCCAACCTTGTTTTCTTGTGTTTTACTTTATTGTACTTTGTAGCTACTGCAATTTTTTAAAATTAAACGTTTGTAGCAACCCTGCATGAAGCAAATATATCAGTGCCATTTTTCCAGTAGCATATGCTCACTTCATGTCTTTGTGTAACATTTTGGTAATTCTCACACTTCAATTTTTTTTTTTATTATTGTATTTATTTTGGTGATCTGTGATCAGTGATCTTTGATGTTTCTCTAATCATTGTTTTGGTGCACCACAAACTGTAACCATATATGACAGTTAACTTAATTGACAAATGTTGTGTGTGTTCTATGCTTCACCAACCAGCTGTTCTTTCCCTCCCCTCCTCATGGCTTTTTTTCATGTTGACTTACACGTTGATTTGATGATCTCTGCTGTACAGTCTACCACTATTTGCCCTCAAGAATTAATATGTGAATTATAGAAACTATAGTGGTTTGATTATATTCTCTTATTGAAATGTTTAATTTTAAGGAATTGTCCCTATTGCTTGAAACATAACAATGTGTGTTCAAGTGAAAGGAAGAGTCTCATGTCTCCCACTTTAAATTAAGAGGTAGAAATGATTAAGATTAGTGAAAAAGACATGTAGAAAGCCAAGACAGGCCAAAAGATAGATCTCTTGAACCAAGCAGTCAAGTTGTGGAAGTTTCTTGGAGGAAATTAAAAGTGCTACTTCAGTGAACACACAAATGAGAAGAAAGCAAAATTGCCTTATTGTTGATATGAAGAAAGTTTTAGTGGTCTATATAAATCAAACTGCCACAACATTTCCTTAAGTCAAAGCCTAATCCAAGACAAGGCCTTAACTCTCTTTAATTCTATGAAGACTGAGAGAAGTGAGGAAGCTAAAGAAGAAACACTGGGAGCTAGCAGAGGTTGGTTCATGAGGTTTAAGGAAGAAAGGTCTTTCCATAACATAAAAGTACAAGGTGAAGCCGCAAGTGCTGATATAGAAGTTGCAACAAATTATTCAGGAGCTCTACCTAAGATCACAAATGAAGGTGGCTACACTAAACACCAGATTTTCAATGTAGACAAAACAGCATGATTTTGGAAAAATGTGTCATCTTGGAGTTTTCTAGAGAGCAGTAGTCAATGTTTAGCTTCGAAGCTTCAAAGGACATGCTGACTCTCATGCTGTTTTGTTTACTTTGAAAATCTGGTGTTTAGTGTAGCCACCTTCCTTTGGCAACACCCTCACAGACACACCCGGGATCAATACTGTGCATTTTTCAATCCAATCAAGTTGACAGTCAGTATTAGCCATCACAGGAGGCTAAAGAAGCTGGAGTGGGAGGAATGCCGTTCCCCAAACTATGACAAGGCTCTCACAAAATATTTTCACCACATGGATTAGGCCTTTGTTGTGGAGAACGTTCTGAGTGTATTTCCCATTGATAAATTCTCCTCTCCCAGCCAGAGCCCTAAGGGGCTTTTTCTCATATTTTCACTCTAATAACCTGTTAGGGTTCTTGGAGATAAAGCCCATAAACTTATGGAGGCACTTCTGTGACTGTAATATTCAGGAATTTCTAATTCTCATGCTAACCTACACTTTCTCCTCCTATTTGTCAAAACTACTGATATGATTTGGCTCTGTATCCCCGCTCAAATCTCACGTCAAATTGTAATCCTCAATGTTGGAGGACGGGCTTGGTGGGAGGTGATTGAATCATGGGGACGAAGTCCCCCCATGCTGTTCTTATGATAGTGAGCAAGTTCTCACAAGATCTGGTTGTTTAAAGTGTGTAGCACAGGGATGTCCAATCTTTTGGCTTCCCTGGACAACATTGGAAAAGGAAGAATTGTCTTGGGACACACATAAAATACACTAACATTAACAATAGCTGATGAGCTAAAAAAGAAAATTGCAAAACAAATCTCCTAATGTTTTAAGAAAGTTTATGAATTTGTGTTGGGCCACATTCAAAGTGATCCTGGGCTGCATGCGACTCACAGGCTGTGGGTTTGACAAGCGTGGTGTAGCACTTTCCCCTTCTCTCTCTTCCTCCTCCTGTCATGAGATCTGCCTGCTTCCCCTTTGTATTCCACCATGACTGTAAGTTTCCCAAAGCCGCTCCAGCCATGCTTTCTGTACTTCCTGAGGAATTGTGAATCAATCAAATCTTTTATCCTTATAAATGACCCGGTGTCATGTATTTCCTTATAGCAATGCAAGAATGGACTAATACAACTATCATTTATGTGTTCCTGCTAATTTATGGCTTTAGTAGCTTCTGCCCCACATAAGCAACTCTTGGTTGCCTCTGTGTATAAACCTGTCTCTCCAGATTTTAGGGTGAAAATTTACCCTGCAGCTTCCACTCTCTGCTGATTCCAGGAAAAGTCCTTGATTTTCAGATTGTTTGGTGTATCTTGTTGTAAGACCAATGGTGATGGCTTTCAAGCTTTTTAAATGTGGATTTTGAATTTGGAAGTCTCCTCTTATTATGGATTTAAGTTGCATTTCACATAGAGGTCTTTTATATTAAAAAAAAAATGCTGGCCGGGCGTGATGGCTCACACCTGTAATCCCAGCACTTTGGGAGGCCGAGGTGGGCGGATCATGAGGTCAGGAGTTCAAGACCATCCTGGCCAACATGGTGAAACCCCATCTCTACTAAAAATACAAAAAAATAGCCAGGTGTGGTGGCAGGTGCCTGTAGTACCAGCTACTCGGGAGGCTGAGGCAGGAGAATGGCGTGAACCCGGAAGGAGGAGGTTGCAGTGAGCCGAGATCACACCACTGCACTCCAGCCTGGGTGACAGAGTGAAACTCTGTCTCAAAAAAAAAATGCTGTGTTGGGTCTGTTAATTTTATTGTTATTCTTCTCTGTCCCTTTTTGTCACTAAGTGTCACCAATGGTATGTAACTTTAATGAGATTTAAATGGTGAAGTTTACCTTAATTGTATATGTATCCCTAATATCTGGCATTGTGCATTGCTCTTAGTATATGCTTGAAAAATCTATATTAATTTAATAAAATAAATCCAGCAAAAGAAAATTACTCATCATTAAACTACAAATACTATGGAGTAAGATGAAGTCTTTAGCATCAAAAAGCTTTCAGTAAGATATTGACTGGAATATGTTTAATGACGATGCAAATTATTTCACATTTTGAACATTTACTATGTGAAAGTCATGATGAAAGCATTATAATAATTCATTAATCATCTAATACTAACAACTCTCTTACCATATCTCACCATCATACACTTAAGGGAACTGAAGTCTCAAAAAGCTAAACTGCCCAAGACTTTTTGGCCCCTTAACAGCAGAGCCAATCTAAGTCCAAAGAACTAGATTAGAATTAAGCTGTACCATGTAACAGCTCTGTGAACCAGTATGATAACCTTCATCTTGTTAAATCTCAAGATTTCATCTAGAGTAATAAGGAAAATAATAGTTTTTATGTTCCTATTAGTGTTAAATGTGATTTAATGGATTTAATTAATATTAGTTTTTTCCTTTATGTCTTACAGTAGCTTAGAGAAAATGAAGATTAGTAAGATTATCCCTTTCTTAAACATTTCATTTTCTTACTTTTTTCCTCTGACTTTCTTATTTAGTCTTCTGGGACCACTGGTCCATAAGGCACCAAATTCTGGCTGGTTAGTAAAGGAGAATGGAAAGAAATCTGTTATTGTTAAGCCGATATTGATCCCTTGACTTCACTAGATGATCTAGAAGTAACTTATTGGCCCTTGATGCCTATTATTTTGAATCACAGAATTTGTGCTTAAGTAGGGAGAACATCTTGAAAATATGAAGTTGCCATTGAAAAAGCACAGTAGTCATCCTTAGCTGCAGGTCTGGAGTGGTCATATGGGCCAGTTTGGTATAGTGCTTAAGAGTATGAACTCTTGAATAAGATAAATATGCACTCCTAAATCAGCATTACTATTTCCATATCTAGAAAATTGGAATTAAAAGCAACCATCTAAATAAAAATATTTTTATCTATGTGCATATTTATTCCACAAATATTAATTGAGTTCTTTTCTAGGAAATTAACACAAAGCAATGAACAAAGTAGTCAAAAATCGCTATGGTCAGAAAACAAAAAAAAATGAAGTTCATAAGCCAACGTATTGTTGGTTGATAGATATAGTGGTAGTCTTATAGAAATTCTTTCCTGATTGTGGCATAGAGTAAATATTTGAAGGAACTCTAATAGGCGGGATAATTGATATTGAGCTTCTGTAATAAACAACTAAACTTAAGAACTTCATTTTTTTCTTTTCTGACCATAGTGATTTTTGACTACTTTGTTCATTGCTTTGTGTTAATTTGCTAGAAAAGAACTCAGTTAATATTTGTGGAATAAATATGCACATAGATAAAAATATTTTTATTTAGATGGTTGCTTTTAATTCCAATTTTCTAGATATGGAAATAGTAATGCTGATTTAGGAGTGCATATTTATCTTATTCAAGAGTTCATACTCTTAAGCACTATACCAAACTGGCCCATATGACCACTCCAGACCTGCAGCTAAGGATGACTACTGTGCTTTTTCAATGGCAACTTTATATTTTCAAGATGTTCTCCCTACTTAAGCACAAGTAATTAACAACTAACGTAGCTTAAACCAGCAAAAGAAAAAAAGAACTTTATTTCTTGCCCACAACACATTCCAGTATGTCAGGTTAGTATGGGAGCTTGTGGGAGGAGACTCTGATTTATAACATCATTCAAGAACCAAGTCTGACAGAAGAACCTATAATCCTCAATCGTTTTAGTGCATGACAACAGGGATCGACCTGATTATTTCTATCCAAAAAGTGTTTGGGAAATAAGACAGAACAGAAGATCATGCAGGATATTTTATGGGCAGGCCTGGGTGGATCAGTGTTCAGTCACATTCCCCCAAATAACTACAGGTAAAGTCGGAAAATGTAGCTTTGCTGTGTGCCTAAAAAGAAAACAAAACGGATTTGGTAAACTCATAGCATTGTCTATATTACAGGAAGCAAATGGGATAATGTTTGTAAAGCACCTGGCACACTGCCTGGCACATAATAAGCCTTCAATAAATGGAGGCTATTACTACCACAAGAATTTTAATTTGTTAGAATATAACACATTTTTATTGAATTTGGGTAATTACAGAATGGAACATTTTGTTCTGCATAAACCCACTTGATTATAAGAATAGCAGTGCCATATTACATTTGCATTACGTTTTACTGTTTATGAAGCACTTCCATAGATATAATCTCACTTTGTTTTTTTTTTCTTTTCAGTACTCTATGAAACAGGTAGATAATATTCCTATTTAACCATAATCAAACACTTTTAGAGAGTGGTATCCTAGCCAAGGTATTACAGCTAATAAATGATAGAGACAAGATTCAAATCCAGATTGTTTTACTGTGAGGTCAGTTTATCTTATTATACCACCACTACCCAAATCACTAAAATCCACAACTGTTCTCTACTATTAAAAATTTGGTAATGATTCCTGTAAAAGCTGGGCGATCTGTGAGTCCCAAGTTTGTTTTTTATTGTGATTAAGAAACATCCTTTGTAAGTGCCTAATATCATATTTCTTTTTAATTGATGCATAATATTTTACATATTTCGGTGGTACATGTGATAATTCATTGCATACATAGAATGTGTAATGAACAACTCAAAATATTTGGAGTTTCCATCACTTTGAGTATTTGTCATTTCTATATGTTGAGAACATTTCAAATTCTCTCTTCTACTTACTTTGAAATATACAATACATTGTTGCTAAATATAGTCACTGTACTCAGCTTTAAACATTAGGACTCAAAACTTCTATCTAACCGTATATTCTAAAGAAATTTATTTATTTACCTTTAAGATATTGGGTCTCATATTTTAAGAAGGACTTTGAAAAATGGGATCATGTCCAGAAAAGAAAAAGTAATGAGAAGGTGAGAATATCTGGAAACAATATTAAAAAAGTAATTTTTGGTGAAACTGTATATATTTATGTAGCAGAATAAAATATCAAGGAAAGACATAGCTATTGCATTCAAGTATTTGAAGGACTCCAGAGGAGGGTCCATAGTTACAATCATTTTTTGCATTCTAGATTTTTGATTATTTAAGTATATATTTTTCCATTTTTAAATCTCTACTGATGAGTGTGGTGCCTGGTACAGGGTAGAGACTCAGAAAATGCTGGGGGGAGAGTGGAATAAGAATATATGTGATATATAGAATAAGCCACTTGTTAGACATGGCACAAATGCAAATGTCTGCTCCACATAAAGAGGAGCTATTGAACAAAAGGTGTGTTATGATCATGCAATTGAGTACCTTGTGATGTAATAAGCTTCCTGTCTCTGAAAATAGGAAAACGCATGTTAATAATTTCTGAATGAAGCAGAGAATTGCTAGTCAATCTCTGAGACTCTTTAACTCTAAGATTCCCTCAATACTTTTACACTAGTCTCATTTCATAAAAGACACATGGGTGAACACATGGAATGTAATCCTTCCGTTATGTGCCCACACCTGAAGTGCTCATTAACACCATCTGACAAACTTCTCTTCAGGGAAGCAGAGATAGCCCATCAGATCCTCATAGATTTTTCCATTATTAGCTTCTTATGTTCTCTCTTTGTGCTAGGTTTTCTCTTTCTCACCACACAATCTCACTTCCCCCAGGAAGTAATCTAACTATTTCTTTGGTGTCCCGAGTTTCTCTATATTTTCTTGGCCTTAAAGGACATATTCTGTTAGCTCTTCTCACATTATTATGATTCTCTGTATGTTATGAAATATCTTTCAATTGCATCTTGAAGGAATATCTCCTAAATGTCTTATGTTTACACTTTTACTTCCCTTACTATTTTATTCTTACATAGGTGAGAATAGAATTTTCTCCTGACATATCATAGCCATTATCAATTAAAAGACATTATATCGCCACACATTGTCATTAATAATAATCTATCGAGTTTCAATAGCAGTTTATATAACATTTTCTTATTTATATTATTTCCTTATCTTATTTCCTTCCAATAGTCCTATGAGACATAAAGGCAGTTCTTACTATTCCCATCTGACATGTAAGAAAACTAAAGCACAGTGAGGTTAAATGACAATCCAAAACCAGCCAGCTTGTTATTGGGAATTTCAGAAACAGAATCCACATCTTATTATTTATTCCCTTATACTTTTCCCAGCTGCATGCCACCTTCTGTGGTTGCTCTCTTTTTGTCTCTATTCTGCCTGTGATATGACTCATCTCTGCTTACTCTCTCATAAAGAATCTTCTTTCTTTGGTTATCCTTTGAATTGGGAAACATTGCATATTGACAGAAAAACGGCTATTGAATGGAAACACAGAGACAAACTTGACACTCTGCATAAGACTTCAGCATTTCTGTTACAAAGTTTGGGTTTAATGAGAGTCGCTTTTCTATCCTCACTAAATGTAGTGGATGAAGTTTCCATCTTAAGCATTAGTACCACTGCCTCAGATATAGTGCGGAGAGAAAAAGAAGGTAGGCCCTAAAGAAAGGGATATTGACAAGGGAGTCAATATCCCAAGGGAGATGACTCTCAGGTTCTCCCTACAGTCAGCTTCTCAAACATGAAACTCCAAGCTAAACTGTACACCTATCCTTAGCGTGTATCCATCACACAGGCTGTGGATTCTGAGAGCTTGAAAATTCTTAGACCAAAGCACAAGACTGACTCAAGAAACATAAACTCTTTAATGCTCAGGGGATAGCATCATGGATTAGGCTGGCAGAAACTATGGGCGGCTGATACAGGGCAAGGGCCTTAGTAAGGCCTATTGCAGCTGTTTGTGGTGCTGACTGAAAACCAACCTTGGCGTTTAACCTGCTTAGTTCTGTGGTTTTAAATTCCAGTCATTGATGGAAATACATCTAACATTTTATACTGATTCTGTCTGGACAATTGCTTATAATGGCTACTCAAATGTCCAAATAAATTAAACCCTTTGTGATTTCACCATTTGTGATGAAACCTTTAATTTAGTTTCTAACTCAAATATTTTCTGTCTTAACATGCTTATTGTTTAAAACTTGACCTGTTTTATATTCTACTTCAGCCCCAACTTAAGCATATCTCTTGATTGAGCCATTTTCTCATTTGGAGAGCAATCACTTGGTACCTAACATGGACCAAACACAAGGGTAAGAGTTCGAGGTCTCATCCCCATTCATTGTCTTCTTATGTAAAAAGGAGCATAGTATATCAAAGATTAGCTTTTGTTGGGCTTCGGTAGATTCCTCAAGGTGATTAGCATTTGGAAATTCAAAACTAAATGATTCATAGGAGCTCTAGGCTGAAATCGGTTTTTACTTTATTATCTTCTTCTGTGTACTTCCAGGTAGGACTCTCCCTTGAAATAGTCAAGAGATAGGAAAATGAAAACAGTTTTTTGATTTTAAAAATGGCAACCTAGGTATTAATTGTCCTTGTAACCTTCGACAGTTTTGCTCCCTGGTGCCTCAGTTTCCTCCTTTGTAAAATAGCTATTGCTTCCTAGTGTTTTGCTAGAGTTAAATGTGATAATTAATGGAAAGGGCCTAGTGCAGAGTCAGGCACATAGTAAGTGCACAATAAATAGTAAATTATTATTATATATAAATCCTTATTTTTTCTTTTTACTTCAGATAGTCACAGCTACTTTAATATTCATAATACACAGTCATCATGTAGTTTATTACTTTCTCTGCATTTTACATTTATAATATTATTTCCCTCTCCTGACAGAGACCTATAAATTTTATTTTCAATTATTTCCTTCCAATATACTTTTATATATTGATTTATGTTATGAAAGTATGAAAAATATATGGTTTGATGTGCATATTTATGACATTTAAATTATGACAAATTGTATTATATTGCAAATATTATTTTCATAAGGTTTTTTTCCTTAACATCATAGTTTGGGAAACAAACATCACCACATATATATTCCTCAGTCTTTCTGATCATTTAGTATATCTCTTGGACATGTGTTTCATTTAATTAATCTGCTCTCTTATTGATAGACCCTAGATTGCACCCAACTCTTTATGACCCTGTCTGAAATATGGACGGTGTACAATGGAATCCATGGCTTTTTGCGCATCTGTGTAAAAGTTTATCACAGGCCTATACGTAAGAGTACAGTTGCTATTCTTTAAATTATAGGCAAACTAATGAGATAAATGTCATGTGAGATTTTTCAGTGTGGCTTGTTAGCTTATGTCTCTCCCATCAGCAGTGTATGAGGGTTACCATTTTGGCCTATAATCACAATCATGCAGAATTGGTTTTTCTTCTTGTTGCCATTCTGATTTTGTAAAATCATGTCTTATTACTGCCGTAATTTGCATTATTCTTATCAGAATTGGGACTGAGGATATTTTCCAAGTAAGTAACCTTTCATATTTGTCCTCGTGTACTATCAAAATAATTTTCCCGCTTTTTTGGGGGGCATTGTAGGTTTTTTTTCTATTTTTCAGGAAATATAGTTAATTCTTTATCAGTCATTAATTTGGCAATTATCTTCTCTGAATATGACACCTGTATGTTAACTTTGTCTATAATGTCATGTGTTAAACAGTTATATTTAATTTTGATGTATTAAAATCCACCAGTGTTTTTCTTTGTGGTTTATGATTTTTTTGTCTTGATTTTCAAAATACTTCCTAAGTCTTATTTCTTTTAAAAGTTTAATTACTTTATCCTTCTTATTTAAGAATTGAATTCATGTGCAGTTCATCCTTGTATAGGGTGTGATGTAGAAGTTATGCTACCTTTGTTCATTGTTAAGATAATTGGCTGTCGTGTTCATGGTTGTGGAAAGAGGTGCATGGTAGACAGTATGGATGGATAGGCTGTCCATCAGATACGGGTAAAATTTCCTTCTGTAATTTGATCCAAACAAGCTAAAATTCAGTTCTGATATCTAAATAGCTTTGACAATTTCAGTATTTTCTTTATAGTTTTTAGTTCTTGCGTATTCCTTACCAATTTTGTGGGTAAAAGAGATTTGAACTAGAAGTCAGAAATCTGGCTCTCTTTGTTAGCTTGGCCACTAGCTGTCTTTTCTTTCCCTATTTTAAACTAGAACACACACCCACATTTATGATGCAAGATAACAAAATGGGTGAGAACATATTTAGACTCACAAAAATAAGGACTCAGATTTAAATTCTGGTTCAGTCTTTCATTATTCTCATAAATTTTAGGAAGTATGCCTCTTAAATCTTGATTTCCTCATCTGTGAAACAACTGTGGAATACATAAAAGGTTTTGTGATGGTTAAATAGGGAGGGTTTGTTTACTTATTTGTTTATTACAAACCTGTATGTTTGTTATTGAGGATCATATCACACTTTTTCATCATATTTTCCCAGCAGGAGTCACACTGCTTGGCTCTTAATATATTTTCAGTATTTATTTGCTGAATCCTAAAAAGCAGGCTCAGATTTTAGATGATATTTTATTAATTTTTTTTTCTGATTTTTCCATTGAATAGTAGTACTAGCTAACACTTGTAAAGCCTAAAATATGTACCAGACTGGGTTCTACAATCTTTGCATACTTAATTTGTCCTCATAGCAATGTTCTGACATATGTGCCAACAATAACCCCATTTTGAATGAAGAAAACTGAGGCAAAAAGAGGTGAGATAACTTGCTCAAGGTTTCATAGCTATTAAATAGCATAGCCCATATTGAACCCAGACACTTTGTCCTCCAGAGTTTATGTTCATAGCTATTACACTTTGCAGCTTGTCTTTAGTGTTTGAACAAATCTGCAGGATTATTGAGAGCCTACAGAATAAGTTTGAATACCAGCTCTGCCTCCCACTCCCTGCTTGATCACCAACAAGTGGCTTGACTTTAGTAAGCCTCTGTTTTATTTTCTGCAAAATAAGAAAACAAATCACCCAGTTTCATAGAGTTCCTGTAAAGGCTAAATGAGATAATCCATATGAAGCATTTAGTACAGTGCCTGGGACATATGTATTTAATATACATTAATTAATACAAGCATCATTGCAGGTACATGCATATTTCATCTTGCCTATAATTGAAAATAACCAAGGAAAATATTTCATTTTTTAGCATTTACAAATCAGTCGGTAAATTGAGGCTAGGCACAGTGGCTCACACCTGCAATCCCAGCACTTTGGGAGGCCAAGATGGGCGGATCACTTGAGCTCAGGAGTTTGAGACCAACCTGGGCAACATGGCAAAACCTCATCTCTACCTAAAATACAAAATTTAGCTGGGCATGGTGGTGCTTGCCTGTGGTCCCAGTTACTTGGGAGGCTGAGGTGGGAGGATCGCTTGAGTCTGGGAGGTGGAGGTTGCAGTGAGCCGAGATCGTGCTATGGCCAAGAAGGTAAGTCGAAAATGTAACATGATAAGTTACTTTATAGCAATGCCATATCTGCTAAATGATGTATTTTAATAATTGTCTCTATACTACCATCTCTACTCTGAGTATGCACCTAGTATACAGGTATCTTATTTGCTTTGGACCTCTGTGAAGGAGGGGGTTAAACTAGATTCTCTTTTAGTCTTTTCTTGACTGTGATCATCTATGAGATTTTAATGTGTAACCATGGAAGGTCAGGTTATCTGTGTGGGTGAGAAGTTTTTACAGTTATCCAGCAATGGTCTTGGATGATCTTAATTCTATTTTTATTGTTATAAAAGCAGATCTCAATATCTCTCCATCCTGCCTCTTTCTCCTCTTCTCCATCAACCCTGATCAAGGTCATCTTGCTCTCTTTGGAAGCCCCAAACCTCCTGCCACTGGTTTAATGGTTGCTATAAGCAAAAGGTGAGTTATGAATGTGAAGTGTGTCAGCTACTAAAAGCCTGTGAATTAGAGTTTCCTTCCCCTATCTGTCATGCAGCATACTTTTATAAAGAAATAACTTATCCTTGCAAAAGGGCTGACCTGTCACCAATCTGCTCGGCTGCAGCAGGCCTAGCACCTCTTCATCATGAACTGCTGAAAGAAGATGTCCTGTCTGTCCCAGGTGGGGTTCTCTCAGGGTCCCATGACATATTACAGCTTCTCTCAAGTCAAGGGAGGTTTTGAAAGGGTAGATTACTCTTGATTTGAAAACTGATCTCAATTTTGTTCCAAAGAATATTGGCATGCTTGCACTCAGAAACCTTGAATCTCCACACTTCCATAACTCTTTTTACCCCCACCTTTCACATCAGCTTCCCTTTGGGGCCCTAAGAGTCTGTATACTCTCCCTGGAAGTTCTGAGGGACACATCTGCTCTTAGCACTTTGTGTCACTTTGTCCCATTTTTTAAGGAATGACTAGCTAGCACACCATTGTCTCTAGTCATATAAAATTATACAGAACTTTATACAAGATTTTGGAATTTTCCAAGCATTGTCATGATTTTTTCTTTTCTTTTTCTTCCTTTGAGATGGGGAATTGCTCTGTTACCCAGGCTGAAGTGCAGCAGTGCAATCATGGCTTACTGCAGCCTCAAACTCCTAGGCTCAAGCAATCCTCTCACCTCAGCCTCCTGAATAGCTGGGACTATGGACATGCATCACTATGCCCAGCTATTTTTTATTTTTTTAATTTTTGGTAGAGATGAGGTTTCACTATGCTGCCCAGGCTTGTCTTGAACTCCTGGGCTCAAGTGATCCTCCTGCCTTGGCTTCCCAAAGTGTTGGGATTACAGGTGTGAACCACTGTTCCAGGCTCTAATCATTTTCTCAATTTAATCTCACAACATCTTTTGTATTTCTTGAGAAATACTTTACAAATTTTGCTTCTCCTATTTTACAGATTTATGAACCGAGGCCCAGAGAGGTGAATTTCCTTGCCCCTAGTGACTTACCTTATAAGTGATAGACACACTGACATGCTCAACATAATCCCCAGTCTTCAACTCTCTAGCTGGTGCTCTTTATTTCTGCAGCTCGGCATATTTAACTAACTTTGCCGGACTATATGTTACTTTGTGCCCCTTGAGCTGACTGTCTCCTACATGATTATTTTAAGCACAAGGGAAGTAGGAACTGATCATGCTGGCAGCAAAGATCCTAAGCTTTTCCCCTGATATGGGGGAATGTTTGTGCTTCTGGAGTCAGGATTCAGCATTTAAGTACTTAATATTTTTATAGGGAGATCTCAGAGCACTTTCAACACAAGGGTAGACATCTTTGTAGGTAAAAAAGACAATAAGGTGAGATAAGATAAACCCTTGCTCTGGGCAAGTTGCTGAAGTCCATCAGTGAAATTAGGGGCCTTTAAAAAGAGTAAGTAGAATCTCACAAAGGCTTCAGGGTATACTATTAGTGGTGCTGGGAGTGATGGAAGGGCTCCAAGCACCAGACATGTAAGTCATGGACAGTTTCACCAATAGCAAGCCACTCTTAACTCTTAGGCCAAATGGTGATTCTGTAAATGTTCTCCACAAGACACAGCACAGCAAGTCAGTGGGGCTCTAAGAGAATCTACCTTGACATGGTTAAGGCCGAAAGTACATTAGCATCTTCTGATATGCTTTTGTTATTAAATAAATGCTAGTAGCTACTTTTTGAACAGCTGCCAATCTTTGCCCTGTATTGGAGCTACCATATGTCTGCTGCATCCACTTGCAAGGACTTAACACTGGGTCTCAATTTTATTTCGTAAAAGCATACTGGAATGCCTGTTTAAAATGCAGATCTAGGAACCCATTTCCACAAATTCTTATTAATTTTTACTCTACATTTTTAACAAGTGGCCCGGATTATTTTCATGCAGACCATTCATATTCTACATATTATAAAATGTGCTTTTACTTATTGACCTTGAATGGGAGTAATATACTGGGGAAGGGGTGGAGTGAAGCTTGTTAAACACATGAAGCAATACAGGGAGAATGCAGGGGTTCTTCCCCTAAGGCCAGGTGGTCTTAATGTTGAGCACATGTTTAGAATTATCTACTGGCTTCTAAACTATGCTCCTGTCCACGCCCAAACCAAACTAATTGAATCTTGAACGTGTTTCACCTACACATTGGTGTTTTCTAAAGATCTTACTCCAAATGATTACCAATCAGGGGAGAAAATCACCAGAGTCTAGATGATGGCCCCAACCATGTAGATGTGTGCCTAATTCGCAAGGGATCTTTTCTGTGTGCCTAATTCACAGGGATCTTTTCTGTGAATATCAATGCATTGTTTTTGTTTTGTTTTGTTTTCACAGAGGCCAGATGAGCACATTTCAGTGCTGGCTAAGGTCTAGCACAATGAAGTGACTTCTGAGCTCTGGGGACAGTTGTTGACACTGTTTGGTTTTGACCTTCTTTAACAAATTTAATTAGCTGTAATTAATGGAGCTGCTTCTCTAACTCAGAGGACTTCAGACACTCAGACCCCACAGACTCAACAGTGAGCTCAAACTTTCCTGGATCTTCTCTCTGCACATAAAAGATGACACCCTTTACAGTATCATGAGTAGGGGCCTTTGTCTTTTCACTTCTTGAGAAAATAGAGCATCAGTGGCATCTGTATCCCTTGCCTTCTCCTCTGGGCTTGTTGAAGCAGAACCATCATGGCAAAAGGTCCATGGGCCAGAGGACTGTTCTTTCACCTTTCATTTAAATGAATCTGTCTTTTCTAATAATAAAAAATATATCCTAGTTATTTTTGAAGTGAGATCTATCTGACAAAAAATGTAATAAAATTAAAATTTCCCTCCAAATCCCATTCTTTTTATCATTATGTGAACAGCCCTCTAGGTATCTTTTGTTCTGTATATATAAAACAGAAGCATACTCAAAATGCATGCGAAACAAGTCTGATCACAGAGCAAAGCTTGGCATTTAGTCATTGCTCAATAAACATTTGTCGCACTCATGACTACATATACATACTTATTTGTAACCTGTTTCTCTACTTACCAAAAATTCTGAAGTGTCTTTTCATCTTTACATATAGATCTACCTCATCCTTTAAAAATATTATAAATCAATTGAATTGTTTTGCCATGGTTTATTCAACTAGTTTTCTAACTGAGTTACATTTAGGTTGCTGCCAGCTTGTCAACATAGGGTCTGTACATTTTAAGTTTGATCTATGTTGCCAAGCTACCCTTCAGAAATGGCACCCTCACATATACTCCCACCAACATGCCCTACAATTTTAAATGCTTTCTGTTCCATCGTGTGTCATAGGAAGGGGACCCAATAATTTAGAACATAAGTGGATGTTAAAAGCAATATCTCTTCTCTTAATTCATCCCTTTAAGACAACAACTCAGAAGGGTTCCACAGGAAGTTATTATAACTTTTCAGGTTCAGTGTCAACATAGAATCTAGAGAGTAAAGAAACTAAAACCCTAGGCATCTGGGGACACCAGGTTTTTTAAAAAATTATTTCCACTGCTCTGAATCATCTTTAATTGACTATAAGACTGAAGGAAAGAGTGCTTCAGTAGAGAGAAGGGTAACTTATATTTTTTCATGAAAGTTGAATCTAATTATTACGTGCATTCGATGATAGCTTGAATCTGAATAGAAAGGAGAGGGAATCTACCAGATAGCTATTTGACCTTGAATAACATACTTAAACAGGAAAATAATTCAAGCGTAAGAGCAGCAATGATTGTCAGCAGGGCCTTAATATAGAAATAGTCCACGGTAAAGCCCTCTTGTCTCGTAGTCTTCAGGTATTGTGGTGCAGTTGTAGAGAATTAATTTCTACAGTAGAGTGACCCAAGTTCATGCGTCTTTTTTCTAAGCCTCTTTCCTGTTAGATCTTGAGTAATTTGCTGAAATATTTTAGTCCTTTGTTTCCTTATCAAGAAAATCGACTAGTACTTCATAAAATCTTCAATTTCGCTTTTCAGTATGTATCCAGAGGAAATGAAATTAGTATCTCAAAGAGTTATCTGCACTCCCCTGTGCATTAGGGTATTATTCACAATGGCCAAGATATGGAAACAACTTAAGTGACCATCAATGGATGAATGGATAAAGAGTGGTAATAATAATATACAATGAAATATTATTCAGCCATTAAAAAGAAAGAAATCCTGGTGTTTTTGACAATATGAACCTGAAGGACATTATGGTAAGTGAAATAAGCTACAGAAAAAAAATACTGCATGATCTCACTTATACATAGTATCTAAAAAAGTTGGACTCATAGAAGCCAAGAGTAGGATGGTGGTTGTGGGGGCCTAGGGGTGGGAAAAAATTGCAGGATATTGGTCAAAGCATACATATGTTTAGTTATAAGATGCACAAGTTCTGGCAATGAAATGTACAGCATGAGTGGTGGTGGATGTGTTAATGAATTTGATTATTGTAATCATTATACAATACAGAGAGATTATTGTATTGTATTGTATAATGATTATTGTAATCATTATACGATAGAGAGAGAGAACATAAGTGGATACTATACAGTGTATACATATATAAAATCATTATGTTACACATCATTGACAATTACATATTTAAAATAAAAATAAAAATAATAAAAAATAAATCTATGGATTTTTATGTATTAAGGCAATTAGGATTTATCTTAAAGAAAGAAAGAAAATATAGTACTAAAATAAGCTTAAAAGTTTGTTTCAAAGATTTAATTACTTGAGGCATATTAAAACCTTAGGAGAGTATTGGACAAATACCAAAGCTATCAATAAATGGGAGGCATTAAAATTCATCTGTTAAGTAATGTAGATACAAGAGCAATGCACTTGGAGTTAGAAGAGCTGAGCTGGAGTCAGTTTTCACAACTTACTAGATATGTGGCAAATCACTCTGTTGACAGCCAAGCAGAATTTAAAAAATTAAAAAATAAAGCAAACCTGAATGTTTATTTTTCTTCCACTGTAAATTGGCACTCATCAAATATACTCTGTCCACTTCCAGGTAATTTTAATTTTGGAGGTCCAGATCTGAAATACATAAGACATGCAAAAATCTGTTATACCTATAAATCTCCATGGGAATGTAAAACATTTAGAATTATATTTCCAATATTTTTATCGATGGTCCCTTCTAGCTGTATACTTCCAGGATTCTCTGGTTTTAAGATGTCACAGGTGGATGGAAAGTGTGGGCTAATCAGTGTTCATGTGTCTGTGACACACGTCTGCACTGGCAAGAGAGGGGATTAACAAGGTGTCATGGCATCTAGAGGTGAAGCCGAGCCTGGGGTCCTGCCACTTTTCTGCTGTGTAAATATGGATAACCATCTTAGCCTCCTCAGTCTACATTTCTTCATGTGGGAAAAAAAGTGATTCCGGCAAATGTATTCATACTTCTCTATAAAATTAGCATGATGACCAGCACAGAGTAAGCACTAATAAGCTGCCATTTACTGATCATAAACTGTTCCAGTCACTAAGTTAAGCACTCGGTGCATTCGCGCATTTAATAACTCAAAACACTCAATGAGGTAGGTTATATTTCTATTTGTCCCATTTTCAGATGCGATTTGTGAGGCTCACAGAAGATAAATGACGTAGGTCAGTTCAGAAAGTTGGTGAGTAGACAGAAGACTAATACCTGGTCAATCTGACATTCAAGTTATGGATTTTAGCCACTTCACTTCTAAACAATGTTTGTAAATGTAAATCCTTCTTCAACCATCCACTTGTAAAGTAAAGCCCATTTCAGAGTACTGTTACCTATGTTCCTTTCCCATGCTGTAAACAGTGCAATCAATATGTGTGTGTATGTATATATGTGTATATAAACATATACACACAGACACACACGTTTGACAAGCCTAAGCAAAAGTTATTTCAGGCAATAAACAGCAATTTCGTGTGAATCTAAAATTGGGGCATAACATTTACTACCTAGAAATGGATAATTCCCAATAAGAGTCATCAGAATGTGCAAAGAACTGACAAGGTTTCTGAAATCTACTTTAGATGATGATGACAATGATAACTATGATTCGATGATGATTTCAATCAAAGAACTACTCCAAGAGTTCCTAGCTCAGGCCTTGCTAAAATAATTCTCCATAAATATTTACTGATCGAATAACTAAATCTTATATCTCAGAGGGCATGTAAGACCAGCAAGCTTAAAGGCAGAGGAATTACCAAAATGGTCCTTCGAAATGATTTATGATTTTTGATGATTTACGGAGTCCTTATCTCATTTGTTTTTCCTCCTAATAATTATTGTACTTCTGTGAACTAAAAGGTCGCTTGTTGTGTTTGGCGATGCAGACGGAAGAGAGTAGTGCACTCAGACATTAGTGAGAAAATTGATTTGAATAATGAAAAAAATCAATTCTAGAAATTTTAAAAGTACTTAAGTGGTTTTCAGAAAAATAAACTCACTAAAATACCTCAAGGTTGATGTACATATAATTAGCCTTCAAAGTTCTAGAAACAACATTTTACTCAAGCCCCCTTATTTAAGTTTCCTGTAAGGCACTTAAAGATCCTTGAGTAACAGCTTTTTGGACTCTGGAATGTTGGATCTGAATACAAGATGCAGAGTTAAGCTTGCCCGCCCATGTGCGAGACGGGAAAAAAAAAGAGAGAGAAAAAATATAATCTTCTAATGGCTTTTCTTTATCAGGCAATACAGAAATATGGATTATTCAATATCTATCGCTATTTCAATACTATGTTTGAGAACAAAAAGATGACTTTTGGTAGGAACTGACCCAGGAGAATAATAACTGACCCATTCATGGGTTGTGAAGAAAACATAAAACTGGACATGATTTTTCCTCCCATTTCTTATATGGAATTTGGGGCAGGTATCATATTTTTCCTTCATTATTTAGAAATAAAAAGAAATCCTTTGGTCATTTTCAGTTTCAGAAACAGTCTCATTTCTGTAATTAAAATTTCCATCCCAGTGTAATAATCTTCAAACTGCCAAGTCAGAGCTAAATTAGAGCTTCTCTCCCTGCAGATTAACAGTACTTTTAGCCGAGATACTTGTAGTGGGCAAGCTGATTATGGTCAGCCAATTCTCCCTCACCTTGCTCCATCTCTTCTCCCCCTTGAACACCTTGGGTTCTCCCCGCCCCCCCAACTTCTAAGGTAGGGCTCAGGGAAGGAGGAGAAGAACGAAAGAAGTCTTTGGTGGCCATTGTAATCTGCACCTGGCTCATCCTGAAATTTATCTCTTTCTTTCATGGGGAGTTTCAGGTCCTCTAACCGGAACTTCCTTTCACAGGAAATGTCTTTCCTACCTTCAAAACACCCGTGGTCAGGTACTGGAGGGATTGAGAGGGGATAGGTATACACACACATTCAAAACTCTCTCCAATAAAATCATTTTGGGGTCTCCTTAGCCTCTCATAGAAGCTGGAGTTGGTATCACTAGCTAGCAAAACTGGGTTCACAATCATTTAGCATTCTCTATAAATGGTCTACTACCTCTCTTGGAAATGTGGGGATTCTGGGAACCTATAGGTAGGTCCTGATTCTTGGCTGATAAAAGTGTTTACGTTGTGTGTTTTGAAGATAAATTATAGTATATTATGAGGCTCGTAAATGGATTTTAAGGAGGTCATTTAGGTCCTCATTCTACTTATTTGTGTTTATGATCTGTTTTGAGAAAGTGATGAAAACTATGGATCCATACCCTGGAGAAACAAACATAGACATTTTGTTTTTCAGAAATTTTGGGGTAGGATATGTAATACAATGGCTTCCCAAATTCCATCTATAGATTCTATTCATGGACTTTGAGTCAATGAAATCTCTGAATGGGCTGCTTTTCTGTCCTTTCAGTCTTTTTTTCTCCCTTCCTTCTCTTCCCTCTCTCTCTCTCTTTCTCCCTCCCTTTCTCCTTCCTTCCTTCCTTTCTTCCCTCCCTCCCTTTCCTCCCTCCCTCCCTCCCTTCCTTCCTTCCTTCCCTCTTTCCTTCCCTTTTTCATAACTTAGTCTAAGAACTATTAATTGGAGTTAAGTGAGAAAGATACGTATGGCTTATCAGTGGCATCTGGGCAGAGGGGAAGAGCCCAAGTGAGAAAGGTGGCCACATGAGGCAATGACCTACTGGATCTGGGATAGATTTAAAAAAATAACTATTTGAACATAATGATGACCAATTTTGTTAATGCTAGAATGGGAGTCATAAATGGGGGAAAGTTGTATTAAATTCTGAGGTGTTAGATTGGAATTAGTGGTATCAATATAAACTTATAATATTAGTTGTCTATTATTGCTGTAACAAATTATCACAATTTTCATGTTTTAAAACAACACAAATTCATATTACATTACACTTCCATAAGTCAGAAGTCCTATGTGGGTCTCACTGAGCAAAAAGTAAGATGTTGGCAGAACTAATTTTTTTTTCTGGTGGCTCCAGGAGATAATCCCTTCTCTTATCTTTGTTCAATGTGTAGAGGCCACCCATATTCCTTGGCTTGTGTCCCCTTCCTCTCTTTTCCAAGCCAGCATCTGTGGGTCAAGTCTTACATTGCATTACTCTGACCTTCTGTTATAGTCATACTTCATTCTGACTCACTTTTTCTTCTTCCCTTTTCCATTTTTAAGGATCATTCTTATTACATTGGGCACACCTGGATAATCTAAATTAAACTCCTTATCTTAAGGTCAGCCAATTAGCAATCTTGATTCCATGTGCAATCTTAATTTCTTTTTGCCATGTAGCCTAACAGATTCATAGACCATGTTTGGGAGGGTATTATTTCATGCAGCCATATTTGGGAAGGCATTATTCTCTTTACCACACTTATGATATTCAATATATAGCTGAATATGTAGAAAGATGGAGGTAAAGGTAAATGTATACAGGTATTCTCTAACTCTCCACTGAGAGGGTCTGGGGACAGCAACATGACACATCTTCTGGGGTTGGGCAAAGGGAAAAGTTAAACTAGCATGAAGACCCATTGAAGCCCTCAACTGGCACTTTGAAAAACTCTGGAGCTAGGATGGCAATTCATAGTATCCCTGATTTGAGCAAAGAGACCAAGCTAGGAAAAGAAAAAAAATGAAGAGAGAGAGACAGAGAGGAAAAGGGAGTGAGAAAGGGAGGGAGAAGAGGGAGGGAGAAAGGGAGGGAGAGAGGGAGAAAAAAAAGTGAGAATTAACTATTCTCTCCACTATTTAACCTGATATTCAAAATGACTAGTTTATTTGGGGGCAGCTCTTCAGGTACATTAAAGTACAATGTTAAAGAGAAGTCACTGATGAAATATGAAAGTATTTAGTAATAGTGTTTGATTTGTGTGCCACGCTCATCCCCATGCTATAGATGGAAGGGTAATTACAGCCCATTACCAAATTACTTGCAGTTATCCCTTGATCTTGTAGTTAATACAGTGAACCCTCATTTCCATGAATATTATTAGCATATCTCCCATCACATTATGATCTTTTTAAGAAGTGGCTGTTGCCTAGTTAAAGGATATCAACTTGGAATATTTTCTTTCCTTGCAGCCATTCCTGAGCATAATTTAACTTTTATAACTGGTGGCAGATTCAGAAAAAGGAAGGTGCAAAGGAGAGGAGTGAGAGCTGTTAAACAATAAGATTTTGAGGGTAGAAAATGACTTTTATTTATCTTCATATTCACAGAACCCAGCATAGCACTTGGCAGGCATTTGATGCATTATATTTGTCATCTTCACCTCAAAATCTCACTGACATCTCACACTTTCTCTTCAGTACTAAACTCATTACTTTTGTGACTCCAAAACCTTCTCTTCTTTATAAGGGCACTACCATCAACCCATTTATTGAAGCCAAATTCTGGAAGTCATTCTCAAAATTATTTTTCTTTAACAGCTGTCTACCACCATATCCCATCAGTCCAAACTCCTTAATAACCTTCACATCCATTCATTTCTTCCCATTTCCCCATATATAGCTTAGTCCATGCAACCAACATTTTATACTTGCTCAACCACAATACTGTTTCAACTAGTTTCCCTACCTATATATTTGTTCCCTTCAATTTCTTGTTCATACAGCACTCAGAATCATCCCTTTATAATAAAGATATGCTCTAGTCAATTTAGTCTCTAGCATAAATCTCCCTCAATTTCTTTTCATTATATTTCATGTGAAATCTTAACTTTTAACCATGTGATATAGTCCCAGCCTGTTTCTCCAACTTAAATCCACCCCCTGCCACACCCTTGTTCTCACCACGCCACAACACTTTGTTAATATCTTGAGGTCCTTGTGTATAGTGCTCCTGCTCTGTGCAATGTTCTTACCTACACCCACACACTTTAATTCACATATACAAGACCTATTCATCCTTCAAATTTTAGATTATCAGCTATTTATTTTTCAGTGGCTACTCGAGAACTGCCTCCATATTTTGTACTATTGCAAATGGATCTTGTTTTGTAGAAATTATGTTAACTCATATAAATTAATTATGCAATTTATGCTTTTTGCAACTTCTTGATTAAAATATGTTGGAAAACTGTATTAGTCCATTCTTGGATTGTTATAAATAAATACCTGAAAGTGAATAATTTATACAGAAAAGAGGTTTAATTGTCTCATGATTTTGCAGGCTGTACAGGAAGCATGGCTGGGGAAGCCTCAGGAAACTTGCATTCATGGCTGAAGGTGAAGGCAAAGTAGGCGTGTCTTATATGGCAATAGCAGGAGGAAGAGGTAGGGGAAGGTGCCACAAACTTTTGTTTATTTATTTATTTATTTTGAGATGGAGTCTTGCTCTGTCACCCAGGCTGCTATGCAGTGGCATGATCTCGGCTCACTGCAACCTCTGCCTCCCAGGTTCAAGCGATTCTCCTGCCTCAGCCTCCTGTGTAGCTGGGATTACAGGTGTGCGCCACCACACCCAGCTAATTTTTTGTATTTTTAGTAGAGACGGGGTTTCACCATGTTGGTCAGGCTGGTCTCGAACTCCTGAACTTATGATCCGCCTGCCTCGGCCTCTCAAAGTGCTGGGATTACAGGCGTGAGCCACTGTGCCCAGCCATCACAAACTTTTAAACAACCAAATATTGTGAGCACTCACTCACTATCATGAGGACAGCATGGAGGGGGAAATCTGTCCCCATGATTCAATCACCTTCCTCTTGGCACCACCTCCAACATTGGAGATTACAATTTGACAAGAGATTTGAGCAGGAACACAGACCCAAACCCTATTAAAAAACAGAAATTACATTATGTATTACTTATTTCCAGTGCCTTAAAGCATTCTTGGCCAGTGAGGTTCAATAACTATTTAATGAATAAATGAATGAAATAAAGACCACAGGAAGTCATCAGGAGACTTAGCTTCTAGTCCTGAATGTGTCTCCAATTTTCTGGGTAACATTGTAAAATTACTCCCACAATCATTTAATTAGGTCAATTGTACACTTTCGCTGGGGCATAATCATGAATTTGAGGTCTGGAAATACAAGAGATAATGTAAAGAAAAATCTCCCTTTCCAAATCTGCTAACATATCTGCTTCTATACTCATACATTCTTTTATTTTCAGTTATTATAGATAAGCTGTCCATGTTCCTATCTCAAGTCTACCCTTTCCATCTTACACACCCAAGGATATCACTTCCTCATTGTCAGTTTTTTTCTGTCTACTGGACCATTCCCATAAACATACAGACATGTTTTATGTAAGGTTTTTTCTCCTCACAGGAACAACAAAAACAGCAGCAACAACAAAACCCAAAAAACCTTTCTTCCCATGATATGCTATTCAATTCCTGCTGCATTTCTCAATCACCATTAAAAAAAGAAAAGAAAACATCCTCAAGAATCTTCTATACTGGCTTGCCCCACCTCCTAACTTCATAGTTTTTCTTAAACTATTCTACTAAAATTTTATTCACCAGAAGTTGCCCCAGTTATTCTTACCAACGTTACCGATGATCTCTGTTATGTCAAATGCAACGGTAATTTCTCTTTGTTACCTGGACATAGTTGATCATGCTCTCTTCTTGATATCCATTTTCCCTTTGGATTTTGAAGTATTGCTCTCTCTGGGTTTTCTGTCTGTCTCACTGGTCATTTCTTTTTTAGTCTCCCCTGCTGAATACTGCTTGTCATCATATTTAGTAAAAATAGGAGTTCTCCATGGCTTAAGTCCTTAGATATTTTCTCTGCTCTTTTTACCTAACTATGCAATTGATTGTATTTTATAAACTCATTAAATGCCTTCTATATTTGTTTTTTTTTCTTTTGAGACGGAGTTTTGCTCTTGTTGCCCAGGCTGGAGTGCAATGGTGCAATCTCGGCTCACCTGCAACCTCCACCTCCCAGTTTCAAGCGATTCTCCTGCCTTAGCCTCCCAAGTAGCTGGGATTACAGGCATGCACCACCAGGCCCAGTTAATTTTGTATTTTTAGTAGAGACGGGGTTTCTCCATGTTGGTCAGGATGGTCTCAAACTCCCAACCTTAGGTGATCTGCCTGCCTTGGCCTCCCAAAGTGCTGGGATTACAGGCATGAGCCACCGCGCCCAGCCTAAATGCCTTCTATATTCTGTCAGCTTCCAAATGTATATGTCTAATTCCAATATTTCTCATGAATGCTCTCTCTCTAGTATATCCAAGAGCCTCTTCTGCCTACATTTAGATGTCAGATAGCTATCTCACAATTAGCATGACCAAAACCAAACTCTTGATTTTCTCTCCCAATTCTGTTACTCCACATGTGTAATATCAATAAAGTACTCATTCTTTCAATTGATCAAGCTCCAAATCTTAATGTCACATTTGACTCATTTTTCCTTCTTCTTGTTGTCTCTTAGTTCTACTCTCAGATTATGCACAATACAACTATTTCTTCCCAATTTGACCACCACTACCCAATAGGCTCCTAACAGGTCTCCATGATTCCACTTTGACCCCAATCTCTATTTTAACAGAGCAGCCTTAGCGATACTTTTGGAAAATAACTCAGATCACAATGGCTCAAAACTATTTCATTAGAAACAAAGTTCAAAATACTTAGGTTGGCCTTAAAATTGATCCATGACCTCAAAACAGATGACCTTTCTGGTCTTCTTTTGGACCCCCCTTGTTCTCATTCAGCATACTCCAGCTACACTAGCATCCACGTGATGCCACAAATAGGTTCTGGTTTCTCTCACCTCAAGGCCTGTGTACTTACCTTTGCTTAACCTAGAATACACTCTTCTAGGTATCTACATGATCTTCTTCTTTACTTCCTTAAGGTCCCTGATCAAATTGATTTTTAGAGAAATCTCCTATGACCACAAATATATACTTTTTGTATCTGTTCTGCCCACCATTGTGTCAGACACTATGTCAGCACTTAGAATTTACTAATTTCATCATTCTCTATCCCTTAATTGCACTATGTTTTTATTTTATTTCTTTTTACTACCATTGGACATATGAAAATTTTTCTACATTATAAGGTAATTTTCTGTGGTGTAAATAAGAAGATATTCATTCTATTAAGGTTTTGCTTACCTTACAGGTCCATCTTGGGCTAGTGGCAAATGGAAAGGCTCTGTTTATGATAGTCGCTCAAGGACCCAGAAAAACAAGCATCCATCACTGGAATGTCATCAGTTATTGACTCAAAAAAGACCTTTGACCCAACTCAACCTGACAGTAGTCATAAATATCTCCTAATGTGTTTACTGGCTTCATTGGTTATATTTATTTTTTCTTCTGTGAAATGCCTACTTATGCTTCTTGCCCTTTTTCTATTAGATTTGCCCACTTTTAATAATGAGTAGAAATTATTTATATGTTCTTGAGTTTAATACTTTATTAGTTACATATACTGCAAATATCTCTTAACTGTTTCTCCATTCTTTTCATTTGGTTCAAGATATGTGTTGAAAAAAGGAAAAGTTTTTAGTTTTATTAGAACTCAAATGATCATCCTTTTCTTACATAGCTAGTGCTTTTTGTAACTTGTTTATGAAAAGACTGCCCAGCCCATATTCTAAGAGATAATCATCTATAGTTTTTCCAAACATTTTACTATGTAGATTTTGAAATTTAAGCCCTTTATTTGTCTCAATTTGATATTTGTATATAAAGTGACAGAGAGGTCCAATATTTTTATTTTATACAAGAATAATTATTTTATTAAGTTCCATTTTGGGAATAATTCCTTTTCTCTCCACTGATCTGATATGCCACACATACATTGGTGTTTCACATATGTGTAAATCTGTTTTAAAACTGTCCATTGTGTTACTGGTCAATTTGCCTTTCTATTTCCAAATATTGTTTTAAATAATATAAGAAGTCTTGATATCGAGAAGAATAAATTTTTCCTTAACTTTTTCTTGGCTTTTTAAAATTCCCATGGAGTCTTCAAAAACTTTTGTTAGAATATTTCCAAGATGTATGTTTTAATACCCTCCAATCATATATATATATAGTTTATTTTCTATGTTTGTAAGTAGTATTATGGGAAGACAAGTACATCTTAAAATTATTCTTAGTGTTTATCTACCTTGCTAAATGCTTTTCATAATTAAATTGATTTATTTGTAGAATTAATTTTGTGTATAATCACAGCATCTGCAAATAGAGCTCTCTTTCTCTTTTTTTCCCAGTACTTACGCCTCTAATTTATTTTCTTGACTCATTGTATGGGCTAGAACCTCCATTATGATCATTAATGGAATGATCATCAATAAAAATATTTAAGTCAGCATTTTTAGGTATGCCAGTAGCTCTGGTCAAATATATACGATCAAATAGAAGTTCAGAGCTTGCAGAAAAGAGAGAAAGAAAGAGAATCTCGTTAGAATGTCCTTATTAAGGCAAGTCTTCATGGGAAGAGACCAAAGATGATGTGCTATACAATGGTGCTAACTTTGGGTCAGAGAAACATCATCCGCTAGTAAAATATAGCTTAGTAAAAGCCCTGCACTCTGATCAATCAGATCACTGTCTCTTTCTTTTTTTGGAGGAGGAACTAATCATTAGATGGACAGAGATACTAAAGTTGAGAAGAGGCACAATAATGTACTCTCCACATGCAGAGTTTTTAAAAGTGTATTTTAAAGGCTTGAGAAATGAAAGTACTTGACGATAATATATTAGTTTATTCTCCAGCTGATATCTCTATGAGATATTCTGGACTTTAGGACAGCCTGTTTCATATCTCAGAAGAAGTGACACTCCATGGCCTACTGTTATTTTATGGGGCCATTCTGAAAGTCTGCAGGCTGATCTAGAGACCTAGACTGAAAGCATCAACTCGTTCTAAGTGCAGGACAGAGCCATAGGATTGATGTTGTCTTTTACAGTGTTTCCAGCTTTGAGACAAGCTGTAAGACTTTTAATGGACTTAAAAGCTTGGCTCTGATAAAGTACCACTTAACACAAATTAACAGGACAGATGAATTATCTCAGAGAAACAGACTCTAACTTGGCATTTGATAGACTCAGAGGTTCAGAAACATGAACAGGGAACACTGAGGAGGAGAGGTCAGCTGAGATTAGACTCAAATCTAGTTGTTACTGTTTAACTTGTTACTCTGATAGTAGTTCACAGACACTCACTCAACAAACACTGTGATCCTACTCTAATTAAGGTGCACTTTTCAGCCACTGAAGGCTTATTCTTTGTCTTCGTGTTGGTTACAGACTAGTAGGAGAGATGAGGTATGTGCGTACATAATTTTATTCAACATTAAGAAGTTGCAAGTATTGGAGAAGGATTCTGGGAATATGGAAAAGGAAGCATCAGGAATCTGTCTCCCTACCTAGACAACAATTGCACTGGCAGAATCAGTCTTAGGAAACCATTTGGGAACTCTGGAGGCTATCAAAGGCTTGCAATTTCAAACAGAAGGCATGGATAGTAAAGTGTTGTTAATTTCAGTACATTTCAGCAATTAACACAGTGGTAGTTACCCATCTCCCTCCCCAAGACCCAAGGTAGACAGCTTTACATGTGTTCCTGGAACAATCTGCACATAGCTTGTGGGAGGCAGGGTGAGCAAAAAAGACCTTGTCATACAAATATGAGGGATCTGTGCTCTGATTGCTGCTTTTAACCAAAAGGTACAGATAAAGAGGTGGATGGCCACTGTTGTTACACCTCCCCTTATTATTGCAAGCCTCTCCCCATCCAGCTGAAGTGACTTCCTGGGGATTTAAACGGCCACTGCCCTTCTCTCCTCTCATTTTTCTGTTTTGATGTTGTTGTTGTTGTTTGTTTGTTTGTTGTTTTTGTTTTTGTTTTGAGAGCCGCACATTAAAGACCAGGGCATTCAAAACCAATTGCTTATACGGGAAAAATTAGGAAGTGACAAGTCATGCCCAGGGAAATGTGTAGGCTCAGAAGAGACCTGAGAAGACTTTAAGTTAGCGTGTCAGAATACTCCTTGGCCCAGAGACAACATACAACAATAAAAACAATAAGAATAAATATATGAAAATAATATCACCACCCCCAAAAATCTGAAATCTGATTTTCAGTTGCCATATTATTAGATTCAAGTGTCCACTTTTCAACAAAAAGTCACAAGGCATACAGAGAAACAGGAAAGTATGGCTCATCAAAAGAAAAAAAAAGAAATTAACAGAAATTGTTTCTGAACAAGGCCTGATGGCACATCAACTAGGAGAAAAGCTTTTGAAGTAATAGTGGTTTTCTTTTCTTTCTTTTTTTTTTTCTTTGCAGCTATTGTAAAAGAGGTTGAGTTCTTGATTTGATTCTCCACTTGGTTGCTGTTTGGTGTATAAGAGAGCTACTGTTGTGTACATTAATTTTGTATCTGGAAACTTTGCTGAATTCTTTTATCAGTTCTAGGAGCTTTCTGGGTGTGTCCTTAGGGTTTTCAAGGTAAACGGTTACATCATCAGCAAACAGTGACCATTTTGAATTCCTCTTTACAAATTTGGATGCGCTTTATCTCTTTCTCTTGAGTGATTGCTATGGCTATGACTTCCAGTACTATGTTGAAGAGGAGTGGTGAGATTGGGCGTCCTTGTCTTGTTCCAGTTCTCAAAGGGAAATAATACTTAGGAATATACCTAACCAAGGACTCAAAAGACCTCTACAAGGAAAATTACAAAACACTGCTGATGGAAATCACAGATGACACAAACAAATGGAAACATCCCATGCTCATGAATGGGTAGAATTAATATTGTGAAAATGACCCTACTGCCAAAAGCAATCCAAAAATTTGATGCAATTCCCATCAAAATACCACCCTCATTCTTAATTAGAAAAAACAATACTAAAATTCATATAGAACCAAAAAAGAGACTGCATAGCCAAAGCAAGACTAAGCAAAAAGAACAAATCTGGAGGCATCACACTACCTGATTTCAAACTATACTATAAGGCCATAGTCACCAAAACAGTGTGGTACTGATACAAAAATAGGTATATAGATCAATGGAACAGAATAGAGAACCCAGAAATAAACACAAATACTTACAGCCAACTGATCTTCAACAAAACAAACAAAAACATAAAGTGGGGAAAGAGTACCCTTTTCAACAAATGGTGCTGGGATAATTGGCTAGCCACATATAGGAGAATGAAACTGGATCCTCATCTTTCATCTTATACAAAAATCAACTCAAGATGGATTAAGGACTTAAACCTAAGACCTGAAACTATAAAAATTCTAGAAGATAACATTGGAAAAACTCTTCTCAACATTGGCTTAGGCAAGGATTTCATGACCAAGAACCCCAAAGCAAATGCAATAAAAACAAAGATAAATAGCTGTGACCTAATTAAACCAAAGAGCTTTTGCATGGCAAAAGGAACAGTTAGCAGACTAAACAGACAACCCACTGAGGGGGAGAAAATCTTCACAATCTATACATCTGACAAAGTACTAATATCCAGAATCTATAATGAACTCAAACAAATCAGTAAGAAAAAAGCAAACAGTCTCATCAAAATGTGGGCTAAGGACATGAATAGACAATTCTCAAAAGAAAATATACAAATGGCCAACAAACCTAAGAAAAAATGGCCACCATCACTAATGATCAGGGAAATGTAAATCAAAACTACAATGAGATACCATCTCACTCCTGCAAGAACGGTCATAATCAAAAAACAGTAGATGTTAGCATGGATGCAGTCGACAAGGAACACTTTTATGCTGCTGGTGGGAATGTAAAGTAGTACAGCTACTATGGAAAACGGTGTGGAGATTATTTGAAGAACTAAAAATAGAACCACCATTTGATCCAGCAATCCCACTACTGGGTATCTACTCAGAGGAAAAGAAGTCATTATTTGAAAAAGATACTTGCACACACGTTTATAGCAGCACAATTCACAATTGTAAAATCATGGAACCAACCAAATGTCTATCAATCAACGTGTGGATAAAGAAACTGTGGTGTATATATACAATAGATTACTACACAACCATAAAAATGAATGAACTAACAGCATTTGCAGTGACGTAGATGAGATTGTAGACTATTATTCTAAGTGAAGTAACTCAGGAATGGAAAACCAAAATATTGTGTGTTCTCACTGATATGTGAGAGCTAAATTATGAGGACGTGAAGGCATAAGAATGATGCAATGGACTTTGGGGACTTGGAGGGAAAGAGTGGGAGAGGGCGAGGGATAGAAGACTACAAATATGGTGCAGGGTATACTGCTCAGGTGATGGGTGCACCAAAATCTCACAAGTCACCACTAAAGGACTTACTCATGTAACCAAATACCACCTGTACCCCAATAACTTATGGAAAATAAATAAAATGGTAGCGTTAAAGATGCACAAATACGTAAAGAAAAATACAGAAAAAGTAAAGAAAATGATGTCTAAACAAAATGGAAATACCAAGAAAGAAAGAAAGAAAAAGAAAGAAAGAAAGAAAGAAAGAAAAGAAAGAAAGAAAGAAGATTCTAAACTAAAAAGTACAATAGCTAAAATATTATTAAAAATCTACTGGGGGGATGTATTAGTCCATTCTCACATTGCTGTACAGAACTACCTCAGACTGAGTAATTTATGAAGAGGTTTAATTGACTCACAGTTCTGCAGGTTTAACAGGAAGCATGACTGGGAGGCCTTGGAAAACTTACAATCATGGCAGAAAGCGAAGGGGAAGTAACACCTTCTTCACACAGTGACAGGAGAGAGAGAGCGTGAAGCGGGAGGGGCCACACACTTTCAAACAACCAGATTCTCTGCCCTCATTATTCAATAACCTCCCACCAGGTTCCTCCTCCGATATGTGGGCATTAAAATTAGAATTCGAGATGAAATTTGGGTGGGGACACAGAGCCAAACCATATCAGGGGAATTAGAAGGCATATTTGAGCAGGCAGAAGGAAGGATCAGTGAACTTGAAGGCAAAACAATGGAAACTATTGAATTTGAAGAACAAAATAAAAAATATTGATGAAAAATGAACAGAACCTGTGGAACACCATCAAGCAAACCAACATATTGTGGAAGTCCCAGAAAGGGAGAAAGAGAGAAAAGAGCAGAGAGAATATTTGAATAAATATTGGCTGAGAATCCCTCCAAATTGAGTGAAAGACATAAATATAAACACTCAGAAAGCTCAATGATCTGCAAGTAAGATGAAGTCAAAGAGACACATACTAAAATACATTATAATCAATCTTTTGAAAGAAAAAGTCAAAGAGGGAATCTTGAAAGCAACAAGAGAAAAGGGACTTGTCATATACAAGGAATTCTCAATAAGATTATCAGCAGATTTCTAATCAGAAACTTTGGAGGCCAAAAGGCATTGGGGCAGTATATTCAAAGTGCTAAAAGAAAAAGAAGTTAAAAAACTATCAACCAAGAATTCTATACCCAGCAAAACTGTCCTTCAAAAGTAAGAAAGAAATCAAAATATTCCCATATTAACAAAAGCTGAAGGAGTGCATTAACACTAGGACCTTCTCTATAAGACATGCTTAAGGGAGTTCTGTAATTTGAAACAAAAGGACCCTAGTTATTAGACAGTAACTTGAGGCTATATGAAGAAATAAAGTTCTCAATAAAGGATTATCTTATTTCCAATAAATAGATGGAAAATTATAAAAGCTAGTATTATTGTTTTAATGGTCTGTAACTCCATTTTTGTTTTCTACATGATTTAAGAGTCTAATGCATTTAAAAGAATTATTAGTTTGTATTTTTTTGGTACACAGAGTATAAAGCTGTAAATTTACAATATTGACAACTGAGAAGGCTGGAGACAGAGGTAAAAAGAAACAGAGTTTTTGTATGTTGTTGAAGTTAACCTATTATAAATTCAAATTAGAATGTTATAACTTTAAGATGTTAAATGTAATTGCCAGGGTAACCAAAAGGAAAGTACCTATAGAATATACACAAAGGAAATGGGAAAGAAATGTAAACATTTATCTGCAAAAAATCAACTAAACACAAAAGAAGACAGTAATGAAGGAAATTAGGAAAAAAAAAAAACACTATAAGACATATAGGAAACAAATAGCAAAGTGACAAAAATAAGTCCCTTCTTATCAGTAATTACTTTAAATGTAAGAAGTTTCACTCTCCAAACAAAAGACAGAGATTGGCAGAATGGATAAAAACACATGAGATGACAATATGTAGTACAGAGGAAACTCAGTTTCGATTTAAAGATACAAATAAGTTGAAAGTAAAAGGATAGAAAAAAGGCATTCCATGTGAATAGTAACCAAAAGAGACCAAAGGTAGCTATACTATTATCAGGCAAAATAAACTTTGAATCACAAAAGTTTACAAGAGACAAATAAGGATATTATAGATTAATAACAAAATTCAACACAGTAAGAAGTTAAAAGTTCTTAACCATTGATATAATCATGATATACATTTATACATCAAATAACAGCCCATCAGTATATAGGAAGCTAAAACTGATAAAATTGCAGAGAGAAACAAGCAGTTCTATAATAATAGTTGGAGACATCAATATCTCTCTCTTAATAATATATATAACAACCAGACAGAATAAGTAAGAAAACAAAGAACATAACCAACAACATAACAATAAATAAACCTGATAGACATATACATCACACTCTAATCAACAGCATATACATTTTTTTTCAAGTGCATATGAGCCATTTTCTAGGATACTCCATATGTTAGGCCACAGATTATCAACAGATTTTTTTTGAAAATATAAATATCACACAAAGTATCTTCTCTGATCACTACAGAAAAAAATTTAGAAATAAATAACAGAAGTAAAACTGAGAAACTTGAAAAATTGTGAAAATTAAACAACACACTGTTAAACAACCAATGGATCAAAGAAGAAATTACAAGAGAAATTAAGAAGTACTTACAGGCAAATGAAAATGAAAACACAACAGACCAAAACTTATGGGATGCAGCACAAGCAGTTCTAATGTGGAAATTTACAGCTATAAACACTTACATTGTAAAACTAGAAAGATTTCAAATCAACAACCTAACTTTACAACTTAAGGGTATAGAAAAACAAACTAAACCCAAAGTTAGCAGGAGGAAAAAAAGAATAAAGATTAGAGCAGAGATAAATGAAATGGGGAATAGGAAAACAATAGAGAAAATAAATGAAACCAAAGTTGGTCTTTTGAAAAGCTCAACAAAGTTGACAAACTTTTAGCTAGAAAGACTAAGAAAAAAAGAGATAAAATATAAATTATTAAATTAAGAATGAAAGTGAGAACACAATTATTAACAATTTTAAAGAAGTAAAAAGGATTATATGAGTACTATAAACAATTATATGTCAATAAATTAGAAAACCTAGATAAAATGGACAAATTCCTAGAAACACATAATGTACAAAGACTACATCACAAAGAAATAGAAAATCTAAGTAGACTTATAACCAATAAGGAGATTGAATCAGAAAGGAAGAAAGAAAGAAAGAAAGAAAGAAAGCAAGAAAGAAAGAAAGAAAGAAAGAAAGAAAGAGAAAGAGAGAAAGAAAGAAAGAAAGAGAAAATTGCACAGCAAAGAAAAGCCCTGGATTTGATGGCTTCAGTAATGAAATATACCAAATAGCTAAAGAACTAATCACTATCTCCCTCAAACTTTTCCAAACAATTGAAGAGTAGGAAAGAACCCATATTAAAAATAAAGTAACAAAATTATCTCTGTTTACATGATGATGTAGAAAACTTAACTATCCCGGAAAAAAAAAAACTAATAGAGCTAATAAAATAAATAAAACTAATAAAAGGATTCAGGAAAGTAACAGCTTACAAAGTCAACATACAAAAATCAGTTGCATAACTATACACTAACAATGAGCAATCTGAAAAGAATTACAAAATCAGTCCCATTTATAATAGCATTAAATAGAGTGAAACACTTAAGAATTCACCAAGGAAGTGAAAGACTGAAAACTACAAAACATTGCTGCATGAAATTAAAGAAGACACAAATAAATAGAATCATCTTCTGTGTTCATGTGTTGGAAGAATTAATATTGTTAAAATGTCAGTACTGCCCAAAGTGATCTACAGATTCAATGCAATCACTATCAAAACCACAATGACATTTCTTACAGAAATAAATAAAACCCAGTATAAAATGGAATCTTAAGTAGCCAAAACAATCTTGAAAAATAACAAAGCTGTATAAGAGTTTCCTTCTCTCTTCATCCTTACTGACGTTTGATATTTTTGATCTTTTTGGTTATAGCTTGTTGGTGGGAATATAAATTTCCATTATAGAAAACATTTCCATTATGGATATTTCTCAAAAAACTAAAACTAGGACTACCACTAAATTCAGCAATCCCACTACTGGGTACTTACCCAAAGGAAAAGAAATCAGTATATCAAAGACATACCTGCATCTTCATGTTTATGGCAGCATTATTTGTAATAGCAAAGATATGGAATCAACCTAAGTGTCCCTCAATGGATGAACAGATAAAGGAAACGTGCTATACAAACCTAGTGGAACACTACTCAGCCACCCCAAAAATGAAACCCTGCCATTTGAAGCAACATGAATGGAAATGGAGTCATTCTGTTATGTAAAATAAGCCAGGCACAGAAAGACAAATGTAAAATATCACATGTTTTTACTCATATGTGAGAGCTAAAAAAGTTGATCTCATGAAGGTAAAGAGTAGAATGATAGTTGGCAAAGTCTGGGAAGGGTATCTGTATGTGTGTGTGGTAGGTAGAGGGAGACGGGACAGATGGAGACAGGTAGGTTAATAGGTACAAAAAATACTATTAGAGAGAAGGAATAAGTTCTGATGATTGATAGCACAGTAGGGTGACTATAGTTAAAGATAATATATTGTATATTTCAAAATAGTTAGAAAAGCAGATTTGCAATATTCCTAACACAAAGAAATGGTAAATATTCAAGGTGATGAATAACTTAAATACTGAGTTGATTATTATACATTCTATGAATGTATCACAGTATCACCTGTATTCCATAAACATGTGCAAATATGTATTAATAAAAGAAAAGGAATAAAGAACACACCTGGAGGACTCAGACATGTTAATTTTAAAACTTAATATAAAGCTATAGTAATAAAAACAGTATAGTAGTGACTTAAGACAGATGTACAGACCAGTGAAATAGAATGGAGAGCCCACGAATAAACTCTCATATATGTGGTCAAACAATTTTGACAAGGCTACTAAGATTATTTAATGGGGAAGGACAGTGTTTTCAACCAATGGTGGTAGGAAAACTGGATATCCACATGCAAAAAAAGGAGGAAAGAGAGAAAGAAAGAAAGAGAGAGAGAGAAAGAAAGAAAGTGAGCAAGCAAAAGAAAAGAAAGAGAGAAATTGGATCCTTATCTAACATCAGATACAAAATTAATTCAAAGCGGATCAAAGACCTAAGTGTATGACCTAAAATAACAAAACTTTTAAAACAAAATATAGGGCAAGCTCTTCACAACATAGCCTTTGACAATGATTTCCTGGATATGCCACCAAAGGCACAGGCAACACCAAAAAAAGAAAAAAATTAGAGAAACTGACATTTATGAAAATGAAAAAAATACACTATCAACAGAGTAGAAAGGCAACCCACAGAATGGGAGAAAATATTTGTAAATTACATATCCGATAAGAGATTGGTAATCAGAATGTATAGAGAACTCCTAACACTCAACAATAACACCAAAAACAACCTGATTTTAAAAATGGGCAAAAGACTTGAATAAACTTTTCTCCAAAGAAAATATACAAGTAGCCAATGAGCACACGAAAAGGTGCTTAGCATCACTAATCACTAGGGAAATGGAAATCAAAACTAACTACTGCTAAGAGATACCACCTTATGCCCAATAGGATAGGTATTATCAAAAAAGAAAAAGAAAAAAGAAAGAAAGAAAAAAATGTTGGAGAGGATGTGGAGAAATTAGAACCCTTGTGAACTGTTGGTAGGAATGTAAAATGGTACAGCTGCTGTGAAAAACAGTACACATATTCTTCAAAAAATTAAAAATAGAACTACCATATGGCCAAAGATTTCCACTTCTGCATATATATCTAAAATTTGAAAGCAGGGTCTCAAAAATATATTTTTAGACCCAGGTTTATGACAGAATTACACACAGTAGCTAAAATGTAGAAGCAATCCGTGTCATTTTTGCTGAATGGATGGATTTTTTAAAAATGGTATACACATACAAAGGAATATTATTCAACCTGAAAAGGGGGGGAAAACCCTGTGCTATATGCTACAACCCAGATGATGCTTGAGAACAATATGCTAAGTGAAATAAGTCAGTCACTAAAAAAGACATATAATACTGTATGAGTCTGCTTATACAAGATAACTTTGGAGCAGTTAAAATCACAGAGACAGAAAGTAGAATGGTGGATGACAAGAGATGGGGGAGGGAGAATGAGGACTAATTGTACAATGGGTATACAGTTTCAGTTTTACAAAATGAAGAGAGTTACGAAGGTGGGTGGTGGCGATGGTTGCACAATATTATGAATGTATTTAATACTACTGAACAGTCCACTTAAAATGCTTAAGATGGTAAATGTTATGTGTCTTTTACTACAATAAAAAATTGAACAGAATATAAGTGGCAAGTATTGTGAGCAGGTTGTGTTAAGAGAAGAATCACATCAGTTTGGAGTGGTGGAAATCAGAGAAGTTTAGCTGGAAGGTAGAATTTGAATGTTTCTTTGAAGGAGCAATAGGATTTAGAAAACTCCCAAATTTGGTTCAAGCTAAAAGCAAGACACTTTTTAACATAGAGGTAAAGAGGCAGAGAGAAGAGAAAAGCCATTACGTATCTTGGGAAGGAGGTGATGGTGGTGGTGGTAGAAGGGGGATGAGTGGATCTAAAGAAGACTAAGAAAGAGTTTTAAAGGAAAGATCAGATATGACATAGTTTAGATTCAGGGAAAAAGGTGAGATCAAAACAGAACAGATATATTTATCGTCAGTAGGAGGACAAGGGAAAGAAAATTAGAGAGGGAGGAAAGCTAGGTTACGTTGGCATCACTATAATTTTTCACAGGATAGAGTTTATGGTTTGAAAAAGGACTTTTATTCTGCAGCATACGTAAATAAACAATTTTAGTATGTCTTAAATTCATGATTCAGAAATCATTGTTTTAAAAAATGCAAGAAATACATAATTTTAACAAACTTGTCCCTTTGGAAAAAAATTTCCTGCTATTTCCCTCACTAACATGAGTTGATAGACTAAACAGGATTCTTTCTTTTCCTTTTTACCAGTCTTAAAATAGCTGTCTCTAATGCCCTGGGGTAGGCATCTGAGTCAGAGACAATTGAGCATGCGCAACAACGACCTCATAATTGAAGTGTGAGGCGTGTTTTCTCACCACGCTGATGAGGCTGGGGAGAGTAACACCGGTTGATTGTGGCGCAGGTGTTGCTGAGCCTGATTAGTTTTAGAGTTGCAGTGGCAGAAAGGGAAATTGAAAAAGATAAATGAAGTTAAGTAAAGTAAGAGAGTGAACTGGGTGGACTAAAAGTTGTAGGCTGGGCACTTTGGACAGAATTTAGAGATTGATCACCTAGTCCAGTCTTAAGAGTTTTTAAGGACTCCCAGCACCAGAGATTGAATGGCAAACTTAAAGTCACAGAGCCAGTTGACCGCACACTGTAAACCAAGACCCCAGGCTACAGTCTCTCCCAGTTCAGCATTCTTTCCACTCCAGGTTCTATGAGAAGAATAGGGTAGGGAAAATAAGGCCTTTTCTGGAGGCATGGACTGTGATAGGTGTACAGTCAGGGCTGGCTTCATGGGCCTGCACTTTGCACTGTTGGGTGAGATCCCACTCTCCAAAGGGCCTCATGCTGGGTTTAATGATCCACTGCCAATATCGTGAAATTCTTTATAATTCTGAAACAAGGGACCCCACATTTTTATTTTGCATTGAGCACTGAAAATTATGTTCCTGATCCTGCTTGTCCTACCAATATGCCCACGATGAATCCAGAATGCAAGCTAGTTATGAGATGGCTCTTGCACTTTGCTTGCCATGAATGATAACTCCGTTCCTCTGCAGGTTAAGGAAGTGATGCAGGTTAAGAAAGTGATGAGTCTTGATATCAATTAGAAAATATTTGTAATATCTAATTTAAAATATCAAGGTATGGGATAAGCATTCATAGGTAAACATTGCTTAGAAAAGGCTTTGGGCTGAGGAACCAATGATTCTCATCACTGAAACAAAGTAAATTTCTGAGCCTTAGTTTCCTTTATTTTTTTATAGAAGAGATCATTTTAAAAACAGCATAATGTAAAAAATATGTATTGCAATGACAGCAATACATATTGCAAGTCACAGCACAAAATTGTCATTTAAGACAGCTCGTTGCTAAGATTTCTGTGGCATTATGAAGGTGGGTGGGTAATATAGTTATTAAGGATGCAGGACTTGTCAAAAAATCAGAGTTATTATCCAGTCTCTACCACACAATAGCTATGACCATGAATTAATACCCTACTTAAGCAGTCTGAGTCTTTCTTAGTTTACTTATCTGTAAAATGGGGATAGAACTACCTAGCAAGGTTATTTTAGGAAGAAATGAGTTAGTGTATATAAGTACATGGCGTGGTCCCATCTCATAGTGGAAACCTATGAAATAATAGTCATACTATTAATAGTAAACTGACACCTTTGATCTTAATTCATCTCCTAAGTATTGGAATCCAGATCCCTTCATTCAGTAGGCTTGTTCTTGGCCTCTGAAATATTTCTCAGACTTTCAAAGGATTGGTAACTATTTTGAGTGGGGGATGGAGAGATAAGAGGAAGCATTTGTTTCCACCAAGTGGGAGCCATCCTCTTCTCCGATCCAGGATTTTGCCCAGCAAGACCTGCTATGCATATTCACAGCATCTAACAGCTTGTTCTGTCATGCCCAAAAGATGAATTATTGCACAGGCCTCCGACTTTCCACTCACAAGCTGTCTATTCCTATACCAAAGCCTGATTGGGACTGTGGCAGGAGGTATAGGGGGATGTTTAGGGTTGGGAGGAGGCTGGGATAGAAACAGATGGTGGTTTGGCAGAGTGATTAAAACACTAGATATCTGTTTTAATGAATTGCCTACCCAGCAGATAAAACACTGCAATAGTGAGTCTCAGTCTTCTCCGTCAGTAATTGCAGTCTTATTTACAGAGTGTATTTGCTGCTGGTAAAGCCATGCATTTGCCACTGTCCCCTTGAATGTCATGGGGTGAAGAACTGTAAGGGCAGAGAGGAAAAAACTTAGATAAGCAAGAAGAAATAGATTGATCAACTTCTTCCCAAGCTCGTACCAATATGGAAGCTTCACCAAGCAGTCAAATTTTTCTGTGTGATCTTTGGTGAGTCACTTAACCTCCCCGTGCTTCCTTTCCTCTGTTAGGAAAATGCAGCTGGAAATCTGGTCTCCTAGCTATGTCATCTTTAAATTAATGATGAAGAGATGAGGTCCAGATCATAATTCACTTTGGAAGAAATATACTATGGTAACCATTAAACACTGTTATAAAATGACCAGCAGGAAACCAAAACAATCCGATATGTAACTGTTGACCTTCAGACTCAAAATGATTTTTTATGCATTGGGGAGCTAATATTTCCACCTGTGAATTAGGAACTATTATGTGTAATAATGATTTAATGTCCTCCACTTAGCAGGAGGACAAGAAGAAACCCGCTGACATTTCCCTGCCTGCAAAAGCTAATTTGGAGTTGTATATTAATTAACTGTATCGATGCAGAACAAACCAATCAGAATGAGGAATATCAGGTTAATGCTACTCTTCCTTATTTGGTGGCTGAGGTAATTCTCTCTGGATTTGAGCATTTCTAACTCTTTATTTTACAGGCACACTAACCTTAGAATAATCATATTGTCAGTGAACACAGTTTTTCATATTCCCTACATCTCTTTTATAAATCTGAGCTTCTTTATCTGTGAAATGGGAATTGCTGAACATATCACAGGATTATTGGAAATCAGGTGTAGTGGGTGAGAAAGTACTCGGTAAATTATGAAACACCATAACAATGTTATCTAGTCATTTTGTTATAATAATTACTATAAGTTTTTAAAAATGAATTTCAAAAGAGATTGGAACAAAGGATTAAGTTACTGTGTTAATATTTGAAGATACATTTTAAACATGACTTCATAACAAAGCAGAAAAACACAAATATCATGTGATAAATGAATAAATCAATCTTCTAAATGGCAGTATTGTTGCACCTGGTGAGTCTTGGTCTGTTGTGAGGAGTATTACAATTATTGTCCTAACAATAATAATTAAGGTACAAAAGTTTGTAAACATTTACTTTTTACTATTGCTTAGATCAGAGTTTATACATTGTTTTGTCATTCACGTGAATTCCAATATGCTTTCTTGTGTGGTTGAGAAAGCAGCAGCTTCATAGCTACTTAGGTGGCAATTTCACATAACCTTGAGTAAGACTCCAAGAATGTGTTGAATGTTAACCTTAAAAACACATGATGTAGTCGGTAAAGTGAGTTATATAACTTTGAGGATGATTATTTTTAATTATAACATTATACAATTCTAGTGGGTTTATTAGACTGATAGACAGGATTTTTCTGAACATAGTTTTGATATCATCCTTTGCACAACAATAGCTAGAGAAGAAAGGTAAATTTTAGCCCAGAAATCATGATAGCCCTAAGTCACAATTGATATTTAGAATACTGTTTTGGCAGTTTGATATTTAGACAGATAAGCTTCACAAAGTTTCCTAAAAACAAAACAAAACACTTAAGTCAAATGACTATAAACCATGCTTTTATTACTTCCCTTTTAGCTGTATGGCCTAAATTTACTTATTTACTATCTCTATACTTTAGCACTCTCAGTTACAAAAGATAGAGCATATAAACCAATAAGCAAGGCATTGGTTCAAGTTAAATATTAGAATATGGGACATTCCAAAATGTAATGGAGTGCTACTATCAACACCAATGATGTCATTATGTTTTTCAGTAATGTCCTTTCATGAACTGGGTTTAGCCGAGCAAGGCTTGTGAGTGGACATGGCAAGAAAACTGACTTTGATCGTCACCTTACCAGATGGTGGTGGGGGAGTGACAATTTAGCCTAAGGACAGGGTTTCCATTGCTGGCTCCTCAGAGGTAGAATTCAATGTGTGTTTGTAGGCATTTATTATTTTAGGTAACTCTCATTGTTTTCAAAGTGCAGGTGCTCTCATAAGTTCTGTTAAGTAATACTTTATTAACTCTCTGCCAGTCACTCCAGGAAGAAGAGTGAAGTGGAAAAGGAAGTTCAAGAACTCTGACCTATTACAGTTGTTGATAATGTTCTCTGTTTCTTTCTCAACCCCAAGTAGAGGGAATTTTGTTTAACTAGTATCAACTCCATTGTAATAAACCATCTGCCTGGGTCCTACAATTTTTTCCCAGACATTTGCCCAACCAGATAATCATTCCCTCCTCTGTGATATACTTCTAATATCTACTTGTTATAATAGCCTGTTGACATGTTTATGACTATTTTCTCTATTAGACTATAAGCTCCTTGAGGCATGAGCTGTAATTTAATATCTTATTCATCAGTATCTACTATAGTACATGTGATGTAATGGATACCCAAAGCTTATTTGGATAATGTAAATTGATATGTTTAACTATTTTTGAGGTGTCAGCCAAAGGTCACTGGTATTCTGGGGCAGAGATACATGGCAGATTTAATTGGGGTAATTCAAACATTTAATATTGCTTCAATATGTCTTGATATCCTTAAATTGAAAATAAGATCAGCTTGTTCTAGCTATAGATTTAAAAATTACTTAAAATCATTTCCCACTTTTTCAGGAAGAGAAACGTAATATTGCAAGTTGTGAGTTCAAAACAATGATCAGTAAGTATAAGTCAAAGAAAGCCTTGAAATAAGAGTAATAGGCATGTAAATATCTCTCAATAATATTTGTTATCAATTCAGAGGTGATAAAGTTTTTTTTTTTTAAAAAAAAAGAGCTGCCCAGGACAAATTTGTTTGTAAGACCAAGCAAAGTCTTACCTTCTCTAAACATTTTTACTGCCAAATCATATTTTCAAGTAATAGACCAAGGATCTTTACAAATCAAACTGAATTATGAGAAAAATTAAGGCTAGCCTGAGTAAATAATATGCCCATTAATATTCATGCTATTGACTCACAGAGGTAACTGTGTGTGCGTGTGTGCGTGTGTACTATGTTAGAAAAGGTGCAACCCCTAGATAAAATAAACTTGAAAGATTTATGATTTCTTTGTATAAGCAATATAGCTGATAAGTAGAAATATTGCTATAGGTCCAGTGTGATGCTCTTCTCAATTGCATTCCTGAAAATTGTAAAAACAAGTTTGTTTTTTTTTTTTAAATAGGGTCTCACTCTGTTGCCCAGGCTGGAGTGCAATAGACTGATCTTGGCTCATTGTAGATTTGACCTCCTGGGCTCAAGCGATCCTCCCACCCTAGTCTCCTGAATAGCAGAGACTACTGGCACACACCACCATACTTAGCCAACTTTTGTATTTTTTTTTTAGAGATAGAGGTCTTACTATGTTGCCCAGTCTGGTCTTGAACTTCTGGACTCAAGTGATCTTCCTGCCTCAGTCTCCCAAACTACTGGGACTACAGGTATGAGCTACTGTGCCCGGTTGTAAAAACAAGTTTTGAAAATGCAGAAAATGCAGCATGTGGTTACTCCTTCTTTCTTTCTTTTTTTTTTTTTTTTTTTTGAGATGGAGTCTTGCTCTTGTCACCCAGTCTGGAGTGCAATGGCACGATTTTGGTTCACTGCAGCCTCTGCCTCCCAGGTTCAAGCAATTCTCCTGCCTCAGCCTCCCGAGTAGCTGGGATTACAGGCACCTGCCACCACGCCCGGCTAATTTTTGTATTTTTAGTAAAGACGGGGTTTTGCCATGTTGGCCAAGCTAGTCTCTAACTGCTGACCTCGTGATCCACCCACCTTGGCTTCCCAAAGTGCTGGCATTACAGGCATGAGCCACGCACCCAGCCTTGTGGTTACTATTTCTTGAAGAGACACAGTGCAATACCCTCCAGGGTGCTAGCTATATGAGTGCAGAGACCATCTGCATTTTATCTTTAGGACCTATAAGAGTACTTGGTATGTAATTGCAACTCAATACATATTTGTGGAAAGAACAAAAACGTAGATTAAGACCATTGCATTCCGTGACCATAAACTTTCCCACTTATCCACTGGACCAAAACTTAATTATCTTCCAAGGCCCAGATCCAAAATTGCATTTCCTCTTTTAGTACAGTAGGAGGAACCAATAAATATCTTCCTCATGACAAAAAGAATAATAAAAATGATTATGAATGCCATTTATTGAGCCACCAATATGCCAATCTTTCTAAACAGAGTCACTCTAATTCTTACAACATCCTTTGAAGCAGACTTGTTTGCCTCCTTCCCTAATTGAAGAAAAAGGGGGCCACAAAAGTAAATATATGCCCAATTCACAGAGCTAATAATTGACAGATCCAGTATTAAAAAATGGGTTTCTCTGCTTCCAGACGGTGTTTTTCCAACTCTGCCAAGCTGCTTCCCACACTTTTAAAGCACTGTAATATGCTAATTTAAATAGGCATCGTTTGCATTATTGAGCAGCTGTGTGAGGCTCCAAATTGACTTGTCTTCCAAACTGCACAGAAAATAATATCTAATCCATATTAATTATAAATACATAACCCTGTGTTTTAAGTACTGGGTAGTTGATGAGTATTGCTGAGCTAAATTTTTAATAAGTGATAAAGGTTAAAACCTTGTCAGGCTGGGCGTGGTGACTCATGCCTATAATCCCAGCACTTTGGGAGGCTGAGGCAGGCAGATCACTTGATGTCAGGAGTTCAAGAGCAGCCTGGCCAACATAGCGAAACCCTGTCTCTACTAAAAATACAAAAATTAGCCAGGCATGGTGGCGGGTGCCTGTAATCCCAGCTACTTCGGAGGCTGAGGCAGGAGAATTGCTTGAACCTGGGAGGCGGAGGTTGCACTGAGCTGAGATCATGCCACTACACTCCAGCCTGGGTGGCAGAGTGAGACTCCATCTCGAAAAAAAATAAATAAAAAAACCCTTTGGCAGGCAGTCACATCTCAGCAAAAAGTCTAATATTACTATTGCGATATTTTAAACCTTGAAAGGACCTTAGAAATATTTAGTACAGTATTTCATAATGAGAGTGCTTTTGTTTTTGGGCAAGAGTTGTACAGGGCTAGAAAGGGCTTAATATGTTGCCTCTTTGCCTTTCCCCTACTCAAGGCCAAAGGCACTCCTGTCATTAAGGCAATCAGAAATGCCTCTCCACATTAAAACAAAACAAAACAAAACAAACAAAAACAACAACAACAACAATAACAAAAAATCCCTCTTTCATGCATTTGAAAAGGTTCCACTGGGAGGCTACCATCACATAAGGACTGCTGATTGTCCAAATCCAACTTGTGTGGAGCCTGTAGGTGTAGAGATAGTGGGTGCTCTACTCAAGATCACACAGTAAGTAAAGTAAAGAGCAGAGCCAGGAGTGTTCTATTTAGTGGTAATAACATCTACCATTTACTAAGAACTTTAGTTCCAGACCCTATACTAAGGGATTTACATTACTGTCTTCTTTGTTCCCCAGCCTGTATAAGGAACTTATACAAATTTACAAGAAAAAAACCTATTTAAAAGCAGGCAAAGGACATGAACAGACACTTTTCAAAAGAAGACATATTGCAGCCAGCAATCATATTAAAAAAAGCTCGACATCACTGATCATTAGAGAAATGCAAACATCACTGATCATTAGAGAAATGCAAATCAAACCACAATGAGTTACCATCTCACAGAAATCAGAATGGCTATTATAAAAAAGTCAAAAAATAACAGATGCTGGCGAGGTAGGAGGGAGAGAATCAGGAAAAATAACTAATGAGTACTAGGCTTAATAGCTGGGTAATGAAATAATCCGTATAACCAACCTCCCTGACACAAGTAGATCTATGTAACAAATCTGCACTTGTATCCTTGAACTTAAAATAAAAGTTAAAAAAAAAAAACTGGCTAGGCAGTCAGAGAGACTTTGTAAAAGACAAAGAGCTAGAATTGTACTTGCCCCTAGAAATATAGACAAGAGTCATATTAATAAAAAACAGAAGATGGCACTGGATAAATAAGAATGAAAATATTTAAAATCAGTGCATTGCAAGATGGAGATATGTGTAGATGTGTCTGAGAAAGAGAGAGAGCGAGCTAGTGTTGTAGTGGCCTCCATCAAGGTAGGAAATATCCGTAACAAAGAGCAAAGCATAATTGGAGGATGGAATACAAGCAAATGTTCAAATATACAACAGCTTTGGGATTGACCCAAGGGAATTTCGTTTCATCCTTAGAGGAAACAGCTTATTCATTCGTGGCCCCTTAATCATAATCCCAAGAATAGTATGTGAAGAGTGAAACTAATCCCAAGATACTGAAGAGGCACTAATTGTTTTACGTATTGTAGCTGGTCATGTGAAGGTATGTTGAAAGGGTTAGAGTGCTTTGAATAAGAGAAAGAAAATAAAAGAGCAATATTCAGCAGAGATGTGACAGAGAACCTGAATAATTGAAGCAATGAGAAAAGAAAAGGAATTTGGATGGATTAGTCCTGAAAAATGAAGGCTTGGGATAAAGGAGGTAGGGAATGGGAAGTGAGGTGCCAGTGGATGACTCATAGCATTCAGCTTACATTCCTTTGTGCAGAGCACTTTAGCACAGTGACTGACACTACAGAATATACAGAAATGACACTGTGGTCTCTATTCTTAAGAAGTTTCTAGTCTTATAAAATCTATATAATGGATGTAAATCAATCACTTTTATAAGAGGCGATAAGTATTCTGGTGGCATCATAAAGAGAAAATTGCACCCAGCTGGAGGGAGTAGAGTGGGTGATTTCCCCATTGAGGGTACAGAAACAGCACTGTATTAGAATATATAAGATAGGCATTTATATCCTGATTCTGTCCTCCAGCAGGTCCTTCCATGGATATTGGGCAGCATTTTCTTCTCTATAGGCCTGTGTGTGTGTGCCCACATAGGTATTGTTTTAAATTTGGTTTCATATTAGAATCCCACAGAGAGCTTTTAAAAAGTACTAATATTGAGCCTTAACCCAGACTATTTAAATAAGAAATTGCTGTAAGCTGGGCTTAGGCATTGACAATTTAAAAACGTTCCCAGGTGATTCTATTAAGTTGCAGGTTTGAGAACTCCTTTGCTTTAGTTTGCTTCAAGGATGGTGAGGAAGTTAGAGCAAATCAAATTTAAAGTCACTTCCAATTTAAAAACTTTATCATTCCATTCATTTCATATTCTTATTTACACATTATCTTCTCCTTTTGCTGATGAAGACAGAGATCTAGACAGTGTATGTGACTTCCTCGAAAAGCAGGTAAGTCCCGCAATAAGAAAATGTCAGCATCTGCACCATGGCCCTGTGCTTCTGCTTACCAGCCTTGAGCCTTCCTCCCCATCACTTGGCCATTCATCCTCTTAGATGAATTCTGAGATCGTGACTACAGGGAAGGGTTAGGTTAAAGGCTTAGGGTATTTGTGAACTTATAATACAATTTGTCAACATTCTGGAATTGAATTTTGCATCAGTAACAGCAGTGTTAGGGGTAGCAAAGTGACAGTCTCAGCAGCAGTGTTTGATTCTCCCACTGACACACTCTTCGACGTTTTGCCCCTATTTGAAGAGGCATTCAGGTGTAAGTCAATACAGCTGGGTCTCAGGGTGCACCTGAGTCGGGAAGTGGCTTGCTGCTCCCCAGGCTGAACAGTGGAGGGAGACAGAACTCTGAATTTGCCCTAATGGGTTTTTTTGACCACTAAGTGCTGGTTTTCATTTTCTCTGAAATATTGTTGTTGTTGTTGTTGTTGTTTGAAAAATATATATAAATGACCCTTACCTCAGAGTTATGGAGAATAGATTAAAAGTGCTGTGGGGGAGACATGGGTGAGTTAGCTCAGACTAACAAATTTAGGAAGGGACGAGGAAAAAGGGGACCACACAGGCCAAAAAGTGAGTGTGTGGAGGTTTGTTTGCCCCTGTGCAAGGGGAAAGGAAGGACATGAATGAGGGAAATGAGTTGGGTGTTGATAAATATGTTGAAACATCTGACCTCAACTTTTGGAGTTAAGAGTACAGTCTTTACAGACCATTCAAAGTAATTCTGGCTTTTCTTTCTCTTTCTCTTGCTTTTCTCAATGAAATCCTTATGAAGTATGTACTAAAAACAGGGCTGTGAGTTTCAAGAGGGCAGAGGCATGTCTGTTCACTTCTTTGTGACTAGGACCTAGCTCAGTGCCTGAACCACGGTAGATTCTCACCACCTGTTTGATTCTGATGAATTCACTGAGAACACCAACTCATTGGCACAGGCAGCACCTCCTTAAGAGTTTTCTTTTAAACCACCTTAGCATTTATGTGCTCCAACCTCAAAGGTAAGCAAATCATATTGCCTATGTGATATCAGAGCTTAGCCACAGTCTGTTGAGTTGCTCATGGTGTTAAGTGAGTTCTTCTATGGAGCTTTATGTTCTTAGAATTTGTTTGATGCGGATCTCTGTTCACTGTGCCTTTCATTCTCTATGATCTTGCAGATGGTGTTTTATCTAAAGAAATCACCTTTATTCCAGGCAAAAAAAAAAAAAAAAAAAAAATGGCTCCCAGATATATTGTCAGTGTTTCTGCCAGCTTGTGTTAATTTTCACAACCTCTGAACAACTGGCAAAATAATTGCTGATGTGGCAGCTGCTGTAATGCTCTCAAGTAATTCAAGTAATTTTCCACGTTATTGGTACATTGATGACACCGTTTAGAACTATAAACAGCATAAAATAGTGGATACATAGTATTCATTCATTCATTCAACAAGCATTGATTGCCAGGTGCATCTTGACATTTAAACTCATGTTTTTCCTTTACTAAAATTATTGCATTTTTAAAACATTAATTACAAAATATATAATGGTCACTAATAGAGAATCATTGAATAGTTGGGGGGAGGCTCTGCAGGAGAGCAGGCTTATGTAGGTTTTGCTTGTTCATTGATTTGTTTTTGTTTTGTTTTGATTTATCCAGGAGAGAGCTGTGACTGAAAGTCAACATGGTCACATTTAGGAGAATAAATTCATTTTGAGTTAATGAAAACAGCATTCTCCCATTCTCCCTCACATAGAAGATCTTAGAAGTGTGTAAATAGCCCCTAGACAGGTGTGTGTGGAGTCCCATTATCTTGAAAAGGTGATGAAATTAGACTCTGGATTTCAAGACTTGGAAAAGCAATATTGCTAAAATCTTGGAGGTGTGGACCACTGGGAAAAAGGAGACAATAGTCCTTAGTTTGTGAGAGACAACAACATTAAGCAAATACAGCTTACTGTTATTGAGAGGTCCAGCTTTCTGAGGCATAGCCACATTTGAGAATGCAAGAAGCAAATACCAAGGTGGACAAATCTAAGAACTCAAGCAAGGGATACCTATGGCTAGTTTTTGCACTCAGAGAGTGGAATGAGCTTTCCTTAAAGGCCCAAGAACCTACCGAGGCACCTGGATCAGCAGGTGATTGACATCATAGGTGGAGCTGATTTTCTTTATTCTTACAAAACTATGGTAATGATAGTAACCAGCCCTAGCTGACTTCTGATAATGAAGCTAGACCTCCTTTGGGGCTGTGTTGCCTCCAGAATTTCTTACGTAGTTCAGGAGGAAGTGAGAAGCTCCAAATATAAAATGTGTGATTCCCTGCTGATGTGTCAGTAGGACCCTATTTTATTTGAAAACTGAGAGAGAATTTTACACATTGGAGTTCTGAGTTTGTAGGAGAATTCATCTTTGATATAGGCAAACTTTGGAGCAATTTAAGAAAAATTGCACTTGTCTTAGTCAGGGTGAGATCACATCTCTGCATCTCAATGTTTTAGAGTTTTTAGAGTAATCCCAAATATTACTAATTGGAATGAGTAATACTATAAGTATTTTTATAGTGTAAGTCTCTATGTGTTCTCATCTTACTTCTCACTAACATGTTGTCAATAACATTCCTCCCTATAAAACATTTTTACCCCTTGGCTTCCATAACAAAAAACTCTCTTGATTGCTATTCTTCCTTTCTTGCCTCTCTAGAATCTATTTTCCATAGATTTACACTATGCTTGTTTGGCTGCTACCCAACACTGAAGTTGGCTGTGTTCATCTGACTTGGTTTGGACAATGGAATTGGGTGGCAAGTGACTTATATAACTTCTAACCAGAAGCTTTTAGAGCCCTGTCACATACCTGGCAAAAATCCAGGTGGCAGTCCTTCCATTAAGCTGGATCTCAGAGTGAGGATGACCCGGAGCTGAGCCCTCAGCTGATGTGAGCTGGGCACAGAACATGAGTAAACATTGTTATTTGTCTTAACTGACTGAGAGTTTTATATTGTTTACTACTGAAGCCTTCCCTACCCTGACTGATGTAGTGGGACACTTAGAAACTGGGCTGCTGCAAAAAGTCCCTCATATATGTGCCATCCCATTAATGATTGGCTGACAGGTGGTAAACAAACTGATCAGAAGTTGGGAAGATCATATTTTCTATTTTGCAGAGAAACAGCAAAATTGGTAAAAAAAAATTATCTATGGTAAGTTGGGAAGAAAATTACATAGCTTGTGAACTTGTGGCTGTAGAAGAAATGGCATGAAAGGGAATTTAGTCCTTCTGGTTCTGTCTGGCAATGCACTAATAAAGAGATGATCTCAGAAATGTATTAGCCAGCTTGTAAATTGAAATGTAAGGGAATAGAGAGAATTAGTCAATCCAGGGACTGTAAGAGTTAGAAAAGAAAGTTACTTCTCAATACCAACCAGTAAAGAGTACAATTGAGAAGGCTCTTGAGTGGCAAAGGCTGATTCAAACTCAAACTTGCAGCAAGGATAAAATTAGAGATATGACCTTTGCACCCATTGATACAACTCTGAAAGGATGAAATGTTTGAAAGTTAAAGGGCCAACTAATGAAGTTACACACAGTAAGTCCTTACAACTGCATGCACAAAATGGCTTAAGGAAAAAAAGTGTAACCTGAAGATGCTCAGGGTACCTACGATTAAGGGGGGATGGGGGAAGGAAGAGAAGAAAGTACAGAGGTTAGAATACGAAGAAGTAGGTCATATTTAAGAAGTGAAGAAATGTGTCTACAAGTAAACTGTTTATGTTGCTACTGGCACATGAAATTGGCTGGAATCAAACAGATTTCTTAAAAACTCAGTTTGTGAAAGAGTTCATTGTACTAATCATGAGCCACAGAGCTGGATAACAGTTTCAAAATTGTGTTCTAATATAATATGTAAACTATCTGAGGAACACTGGAATGTTAAGCTTGAGAAAAGGAGGCTTAGGTAGGTTATAATGCATATTTCAGACATATTAAGAACTGAAATGTGAAGAAGACATTGTATGTAGAATTAGAATCTGGAGTCTATTTTCCAAAGAACAATGACCACTAGCACAATTTAACTCAATGTAAAAAGACCATCAGTACTTTCCAGAAATTGATCAAGCTGTCATGAAAAAAATGAGCTATTTAGCATTGGTTTGGCCAAGCCAATGCTGGCTGTCTGGCTTTGGCAGTTGGAGAGGAGTAATGCATTGCATAGCTCATTGGATAAAATTTCCACACAGTTATTTATGCCTTTGCTTTATAGATACTTAACTAGCCAGGCATAAAGCTAAATAATTTCAAAGATTATCGTATCTACAAATACAAATATATGAGATTCCTATTTATTTTATACAACTAGTAAAACTCACAGCTAGAATATGAAACTAGCCTTTTGAAATTTTCCAGCTCATTGCATCTATGAACCCATTATCTGTAGCTTCTTTTTGATGATATATCTTTTCCACCAAAGAGTATGTTTTAATGAAATAGGATTAAGGACTTTTACTTTTCATTGGACAGCACTTTTCAATAAAAATAAGGATAGATTTAGTAGAAGGAGTTTTGAAATCAAAATTAGAAAACTTACATTCTTGGGCTCACCACTCTCATTGAATGGCCATGGTCTGGGCTTTGAATCTATTCTTTAGTTCTTTGTATTTTAATTTGTAAGAAAGACTCTACAATGTGTCCTATATGTCAAAGGTTTTTACTGTGGATGGAATCATGTTCATGAACACTGCTATTTATAAATAGAATGTGATTTTCATAACTCACAATGGAAACATTTAACCAGACATAGTGTGATACAATTTTTCTTTTCTTTTTTTTTTTGAGATGGAGTCTTGCTCTGTCACCCAGGCTCGAGTGCAGTGGCATGATCTTGGCTCACTGCAACCTCCACCTCCCTGGTTCAAGCAATTCTCCTGCCTCAGCCTCCCGAGTAGCTGGGATTACAGGTGCCTGCTCTGCATCCCGCTAATTTTTGTATTTTTAGTAGAGATGGGGTTTCACCATGTTGGCCAGGCTGGTGTCGAACTCCTAACCTCCTGATCCACCTGCCTCAGCCTTCCAAACTGATGGGATTACAGGCATAAGCCAACACGCCCAGCCCAAATCTTTTTGTTTTTCATATTTCAGCAAATGACTTTTTTCCTGATGTCTTCCCTCCAGCAAAGCAATGTATAACCCCCAAGACTTTTCTGCTTAGGGAGGAGAACTCTTGTTTCTCAGTATAATTTTTTGTTCATTTGCTTCTTCAGCAACACCTGTCAAGTTTCTCTCCTCTGGCTAGTTCTCAGCCAAGTTGTCACCCACTTGGAAGAGAGTGAAACTAAAATAGTTTATTACCATCTACTGCGCTACTAAGTACTGGACACTGTGTTAGATGAGTAAATTGATTCTTTAATCCTTACAATAAGTATATAAAGTGGGCTTTATTTTATAAATAAAGAAATCAACACTCAGAGAGATTAAATAACGACGTCTTATGACTAGTATGTATGGATCGATTTCAAAGTCCAAGTTCTTTTCATTATGAATGCAACACTTTCTTTTCCCCTCCCACTTTTATAGCTCTATTGTCTGTAATCACTGTCAAGGTTGTATCACCATGAGGCCTGTTCTTCCCGAAAAGTCTCTATCATTCTCCATGACCATTAGCAAGTTTTGAGAGTAAGCACTAATGTATTACTGTCTTAGTCCATTTTCTGCTGCTGTAGCAGAATACCATAGTCTGGACACTGTACAAAGCAAAGGAATTGATTTAAATCATGGTTCTGGAGGCTGGGAAGTCCAAGATTCAGGAAGTCCATCTAGTGAAGGCCTTCTTGCTGCATTGTAACATGGTGGAAGTACATCCTATGATAGAAAAAGAGAGGAAATTGGGCCAAATTCCTCCTTTTTTATCAATAACCCACTCCTGAAGTAACAGCATTAATCCATTCATGGACCTAAGCACCTCTTATAGGTCTGGATTCTCAACACTGTTACAATGGAAATTAAATTTCAACAGGAGTTTTAGAGGGGGCATTACAACCATAGCAGTTACCATGAAACACAAACTTAGGCTGGAAGTAAAGGCTCTTCATTGTTGAACTCCAGTATAATTCACCACAATTATCATTGTTGCCTTTATTGCATTTTCTGATCCAGATAAGTGCAATTGCTAGTTCTGTCCTATCTAGAATGCAAGCTCCATGAGAGAAAGATTACTTTTGTCTGTGCTGTTCACTGCTATTCCTAGCTCCTAGAGCAGTGACTGTCACAGACTAGACATTCAATTAGTAGATGTTGGATAGGTGAATAAATGAATGAGTATGCTGCTCTAACATATTTCTAGAACTCTTCTGGAATGCCGTACATCCATCTTCACCTACCTGACTCTTAACCTTCAAGATCTAGATCAAAGACTACTCCTTCCATCAATACTTCTTAAATTCTCAGGCTGGAGCTCTATAGAGTTAGTGAATATATACAATTCTAATATTAGTTTGGCTTTTGTAGGCTTGGAGGTAGCTACCATTTGCCACCACTGAGTTCCTCTTTTAACTTCATATACGGAAAACAGAGGAAACCGTAGCAAGTGATTACCCCAGTGCTACACAGATAGCAGCCAGTTACTGGCAGGAACAAGAAAAATTCCAGGCTTCCATCCCCAACCCAAGTACAGTAATCTTTCCATTTATATAAAGGGTAATGAATTATAAAGATTTAACACTCTGAATGCTAAAGGCTAATTATTATCTTTAAATGCACAGAGAGATGCAGCCATATGGTATACTTCCATAGGTCAAAATGTGAGAAAGTACAAGTGGGAAGGAGCTTAGACAGTTCACTAGAAAGACGATCTGTCTGTATATGTGATGAGGATAGTAAGAATGCAGTCAACAGTAAGTGCTTTTTTTTTTCTCTGTATTGCTGAAAATCCATGACAGACATAGTAGCTGATAAGACTGAGGAGCAGTGGGAGTCCGATCCAGCCCGTTTGAATGAAAGGATGAAACAAACGAAACAAACTTTTTGAAGCCAGAGCAGCAGTAATCCCTCTTGTGCACATGTTAGTGAAGTTGGCCTTCCAGATATAGATTTGTAAAGAACAAAGTGGCAGCCCATGGATGGCAATGGGAAAACCAGGTTTATAGGCAAAAACCTCAGAAGGAAGGTGGGAAAAGGGAAGAGAATGAATTCACTGTGAAGGAAGAATCTGGCTGTCTATTGTTCATTGTTTTTGTTTTACCACATACAATTTTGTTGCCCCTAAAATGTATCTTTAGAAGGATGGCGATATCTTTTGTATGAAGATATATGGTTGGAAAGTACTACGTTAAATTATATTCATTATCTCTTTGGATTCTCACAGCAATAGGAATTCTCATAGCAATTCCTAATATAGTAGGAATAAGCTATTATCTTATTTTTTTTGGAAGGTTTTATACTTTTCCCAATATTATAAAGGAGGAAACTGAAGCAGGAAAGTGGGGACTGTGGTAGTATCAGCACAATAAGTTGAAGTCCTGGACTCTTTCAACTGTTAAGACACCCACCTAATGGCTTCCAGAGCTGAGCTTATAATAACTTTTAATAGAGACCCTATGATAACTATGCATTATTTTAACTGGCTCCAGAAATGTAACATTTCCTTGCATCTCCTTTTCTTCTTCTCTCCCTCACTTTGTCTCTTCCCTATGCCTTCTCTCCTCCCTACACCTTCCCTTGTTCTCTCTCTTGTTCTTGTGTCATTATTTTCTCTGTCTCTCTCACTGTTGCTCTCATACTGGTTTCCTTTCTATCCATTTTGCTCTCTCTTCGTCTGAGTCTTTCTGTCTCTACTGGAGGAAGTTAAAGTGTAAGACTTTGATTTAATCAACTTTGATATAATTTTGAAATTTCGAAAGATTAGTAATGCTTGTTTTAGAACTCCAAAAACAAAATAATTATAGAAAAATCAAGATGCACAGATGCATACAAGTCCTATAATATGTGATAATAATTGTGATATTTTATTTCTAGGCCATGATTAATAAAAAAAAAATAGGCCAGACACGGTAGCTCACACCTGTAATCCCAGCACTTTGGGAGGCCAAGGTGGGTGGATTATTTGAGGTCAGGAGTTCAAGACCAGTCTGGCCAACATGGTTAAACCTGGCCTCTACTAAAAATACAAAAATTAGCCAGGCATGGTGGTGGATGCCTGTAGTCCCAGCTACTCGGGAGGCTGAGGCAGGAGAATCGCTTGAACCCAGGAGGTGGAGGTTGCAGTGAGCAGAGATCGTGCCACTGCACTCTGGCCTGGGCAACAGAGCAAGACTCCATCTAAATAAATAAATAGAAATAGACATAACACATACAAACTCCATTCAGACAACAGAATGATTACAAAGGGAGGGACATAATGAGTCTCAATGAAATACGTGAGAAAGACACTGAGAAACCAATGGTGCCTAAAATATAAACTGATGCTCATCTAAAAGCATTTCTCATATTAAGTCCTATTAGGTTATTACTAATAAAGCTTGCGTTACATTTCTGTCATCATAGGTTCCTACTGACATTTTAATCATTCCGAATGACATCAAGAGCTAGATTCATTCCACAGTCCAGAAGCTTCTTATCAATGAGTGTAGAAGTTCAAACAATACTGATCTGTACTTATAGAACTATAAGGAAAATAGATAAATAAAAGCAAAAGTACCACTGACTTATATTTCTGTTCCTTTTGCTTTACCTTGGAAGCTGGGCCATCACTGGAGGCAATTGTCCAGGGCTTTACAATACAAGCGTGCATTTGTTCAAAGTCACAGACCCTAAGCTGTTAAAAGGTACAGCTTATAATTCTTGGTTCTTGAACAAGGAAATTTCCTTTCCAATTGTCAACTGTGAAGCAGTCAATTTTAATTTCTCTTTTGCAATCTTTGCAATATATACAGCTTCATTGTTCCTGCCTGGAAGAAAAAAGGCAGCAGCTGGAGGAAGAGACTTGCTCTTAATTCTGAGCCGAAATTCTGTTCAGTTGCCATTTGCTGATAGAACCCATGTGTACCCAAACCTACGGTCAAAAAATATGTCTACGGCAAATTGTGATAGTTCCCAAGTTCACAGGATGTGAAAAACAGGGCAGATAAGAATCTAGTGCTTCATGGTGCCACAGATGTCCAAAAGCAGAACAGATACTGCTGTTTAGCAGAATGCATGGGTCACCAGCTATAACAACTACCTAATTAACTCTTACATCCTACTTTAAGTTTCTGCTTATTATGTTTATCAGCATCATGCAAAATCTTTTTGGGTAGTGGATTCACTTATACCATTTTATGCTGCCCTATTTATCTTCTCTATTTCATCTACTACTTGGAACAAACACTCTGCGAGGAACACACAATGCTTAAGGCAAGAACTATGGCCAGTAACAAGTGAGACGGCAAGATCACAATCTGAAATTTGGGAGCTGTTTTCACTCCATAAGCTGCTGTTGTCTTAAGTACTTATGATGTAGCCCAGAAAAGACAAATAGTCTTCTGAAAATATCTCTACAAAAAAAAAAAAAAAAAAAAGCCTTCTCCCCAGTACCTATAAAACATTCATAACACCTTCATTGTGCTGTAAATCCTTAGCAGGAGTTGATAACAGTGTATGAATTTTTAATGTAACATTTATAAATGGTTATTAAAACTATCCTTAAAGTAAAGTGTCAGTTTATTTTTAATTAACTGTTGGCTATTTAAGCTCCCAGATGGCCTGGGGAAAGACCAATAAGCCCACATGTCAATTATCCTCCCTTCTGCTCCATCTTTAACCCCTTATTGCTTGCTATCACAAAGACCAATGCATGTAAGTTCTAAGAACTTAAATAAACTCCAGATTATGGTCTTTGGAACATTTTATTTCTTATAAAGTGGTCCTGAAATGTCTGTCACCTACCATGGCTACCATGAAACTTTGAATTAAGCACTACATGGTCTGTCTGAGTCCCAAGAGCCCAGACCAACTTCTACATACATATATGATCCAGCAAGAGAGAAAATTGGGGCAAAGAAGAGTGATAGGTGGGTTCTAGACTGCTAAACATGAGGCTTAAGATTTTAACTTAGGCTAAGTGACATCCTGCTTGTATGACCTTGAGCCAATTTCAGTTTCTTCCAATGTACTTCTTTATCTGCACATATAAAGCTGATGTAAATTGCTCTTATTTCCTCAAGAGGTTATAAGCATCAAATTAAAAGCTGGGCATAATTTTTTTTTTTTTTTTTTTTTTTGGTGGGGAGATACGGAGTCTTGCTCTGTCACCCTGACTGGAGTGCAGTGGCCTGATCTTGGCTCACTGCAACCTCCACCTCCCAGGTTCAAGCGATTCTTGTGCCTCAGACTCCCAAGTAGCTGGGACTACAGGTGTGTACCACCATACCTGGCTATTTCTTTATTATTATTATTTTAGTAGAGATGCGGTTTCACCATGTTGGCCAAGTTGGTCTCAAACTCCTGAGCTCAGGCGATCCAACTGCCTTGGTCTCCCAAAGTGCTAGGATTACAGGTGTGAGCCACTATGCCTGGCCTAAATTTTTAAAAATAAATTATAATAAGCCATCTATGCATATGGTCTCATTTTTTCCAATTATTTGTTATGTTCTCATGATCGTCTGGTATGGACTTCCTCAAATTCTGAGTTTGCCATTTCTTTCTAGAACCCAGAAATCAGGGAAACTCATTTTGTCAATATGCTTTAGACTTCAATTCTTTTTTCAGGCTGGAAAGATTATTTCACCCAGGGTACAAATTACGTCTGCATCATCCCTTGAGAATGTCTGTATGGCTTCTGACCACAGTCCCAGGAGCAACAAGCTTATTGTACTTTATAATTAGGAAATCCAATTGTTAGAGAGATCAGTTTGGTTTTTTTTTAGCTTTCTTTTTGAGCCCCCAGATATGTTTGTGCTTCTGATTTCCAACAAGATGCTTGAAATGGACTTGCCTCGCTATTGGAAGTTCTGACTCTGACTCTATGTGTATCGCATGCCCCATACCCAACATTCCTGGCTCTGTTTCATTTGCCTCAGGGGACAAGCATTCCCCAGTCCAACATGGGGAATGTGAAAATCCAGGAATCTGGCATTCACAGGATCCATGTGAGTGCACATGCATATGCTTATGTGTGTTAACATGTATTTGCACAAACATTCAAATGTCTAAGGTCAAAAACAAGGATTTGTTAATGTTCATTAGCAAATGGAAAATTAAGTCCCCTGGGAATTCACACATTCCTAAAATCACATTAAAAGCCTTTCATGGCCAGGCCTCAGGTGTGCCTCTAGTATTCATTTTCTCCACTTCAACTTTGCCTCTGTGGGGTCTAAGAAGACTGAATTACTTACCATTCCTCTGAATAAAACCCACTTGTTTTATGCCTCTTAGCAGTTGCACATTGTACCTCCTCTTCCAAGCATGTTCTTCATTTCCTTTTTTACTGATCATTCTTCAATATTCCACTCAGGCACTGTCCTCTGGGAAGTCTTCCCTGACCATATAATCCTGTGATCACTCCTATTAAAGCATTTATCACATTACATGCGAATTTTCTGCTTACATTTTTGTTTTCTTCATGGAAGTGTGAGCTCTGCAAGAGCAGATAAAATGTCCTATTCTTCCATCACCCAGTTATAACACAGTGCTAGACGTGGAGGAGGCATTCAATAATCGTTTGTTGAATAAGAGAGTGCAAATTAAGTTTCAGAGTAGGCTTTGTAAATTCTGCTGATCATAGTTAAAGGTAAAAGGGTTAATTCTCTTTTGGATTATGCTATTCACCATTAACAAAGAGTTTATTTTGTGGTCAGGAATGATGATGCGTTTATTCTAATTTGGTTACAACAAATTTGCAGTGTTGGCAAAACCTCTGAGTTTCACTAGAAGAAAACGGCATGGTAGGACTGGTTCAGGCTGTGACTGTAGATACGAGACTTTTCTAAGCATAAAATGACTAAAACTTTGTGTAAAAGAAAAAAAGAATATGGAAGAGAAAACAGGACCTAAAGTTAAACATAGTAGATTGCACACAGACTTTGTCTGATCTTTCTCCATTCTTTATTATTATTATTGTTATTATTATACTTTAAGTTTTAGGGTACAGGTGCACAATATGCAGGTTAGTTACATATGTATACATGTGCCATGCTGGTGTGCCGCACCCATTAACTTGTCATTTAGCATTAGGTATATCTCCTAATGCTATCCCTCCCCCCTCCCCCGACCCCACAACAGTCCCCAGAGTGTGATGTTCCCCTTCCTGTGTCCATGTGTTCTCATTGTTCAATTCCCACCTATAAGTGAGAACATGCGGTGTTAGGTTTTTTGTCCTTGTGATAGTTTACTGAGAATGATGATTTCCAATTTCATCCATGTCCCTACAAAGGACAGGAACTCATCATTTTTTATGGCTGCATAGTATTCCATGGTGTACATGTGCCACATTTTCTTAATCCAGTCTATCATTGATGGACATTTGGGTTAGTTCCAAGTCTTTGCTATTGTGAGTAGTGCCGCAATAAACATACGTGTGCATGTGTCTTTATAGCAGCATGATTTATAATCCTTTGGGTATATACCCAGTAATGGGATGGCTGGGTCAAATGGTATTTCTAGTTCTAGATCCCTGAGGAATTGCCACACTGACTTCCACAATGGTTGAACTAGCTTACAGTCCCACCAACAGTGTAAAAGTGTTCCTATTTCTCCACATCCTCTCCAGCACCTGTTGTTACCTGACTTTTTAATGATTGCCATTCTAACTGGTGCGAGATGGTATCTCATTGTGGTTTTGATTTGCATTTCTCTGATGGCCAGTGATGATGAGCATTTTTTCATGTGTCTTTTGGCTGCATAAATGTCTTCTTTTGAGAATTGTCTGTTCATATCCTTTGCCCACTTTTTGATGGGGTTGTTTGTTTTTTTCTTGTAAATTTGTTTGAGTTCATTTTAGATTCTGGATATTAGCCCTTTGTCAGATGAGTAGGCTGTGAAAATTTTCTCCCATTTTGTAGGTTGCCTGTTCACTCTGATGGTAGTTTCTTTAGCTGTGCAGAAGCTCTTTAGTTTAATTAGATCCCATTTGTCAATTTTGGCTTTTGTTGCCATTGCTTTTGGTGTTTTAGACATGAAGTCCTTGCCCATGCCTATGTCCTGAATGGTAATGCCTAGGTTTTCTTCTAGGATTTTTATGGTTTTAGGTCTAACGTTTAAGTCTTTAATCCATCTTGAATTAATTTTTGTATAAGGTGTAAGGAAGGGATCCAGTTTCAGCTTTCTACTCTCCATTCTTAACTGAAATGATAGTGACTGACCAACAAAGAGCTAAACATATGGAGTAAAAGCGAATTAGAAAACGGTTGATGGATAATGAGGAATATCAATACAATTATGAAAGGTAGTGACTGATTTAGCCTGTGAGAGAAAGCTGAGTAATTGGCATTATGAAAACCTGGAGAGAATCATGAATTAGAGGTGACAGGTACCTCTGAAGTCAGAGGTAATGGGTGGAGCTGGAAACAGAAGGGACGGTTGAAAGCCTGCATAAAGAACAGTGAGAGGCCCAGAAAAACTCCTTCAAAGCAGGCCTCTTGGTTCCTGCCACTCCCCTCCCCCTAAATAAGATAGGATGCTGTGTACCTTAAAAGACTGAATCAGTGGGACTCCATTCTCAGGGACACTAGACAAAACTGAGAAGAAAAAAAAAAAAAAAGCAGATGCATAGAAGGCAGATGTATTGATTAGAAGTCCGCCACTACTTGGCTTCCAGAATGCCAAAAGCAAAGTTTATGTCTCTCAGATATTCATCTTTAGGAAAAGTGACTGATTTAATGGAAAGACCCATGTAAGCAGACATCTACCAGCATATTGGCTGGTCTGGCACAACTCACCCACCAGTGAAACCCACCAGTCGACAAGTCACACCCTTATATTCTGTTCTGAGGAAGCTCCTTAGATAAATAGATAGATATGGAGATAAAATTGATGTCCATATAAGAGAAAAATACTGAAACAAATACATTTTAGAAAAGAAATTGAGTGAATAGAAATAATGTAGAGAACAAAACATAATATCTGGGAAAATATAATAACTGTTCTTTAGAGGGGAAAATATTTAATCTATGAAACAAAAAAAAGATGACATAAAATGTAATAGAGAAAAATACATCTTGAAAACTGAAAATAGGCCTGGCGCAGTGGCTCATCCCTATAATCCCAGCACTTTGGGAGTCCGAGGTGGGTGGATCACAGGTCAAGAGATTGAGACCATACTGGCCAACATGGTGAAACCCTGTCTCTACTAAAAATACAAAAATTAGCCAGGCTTGGTGGCATGTGCCTGTAATTCCAGCTACTCAGGAGGCTGAGGCAGGAGAATCGCTTGAGCCTGGGAGGCAGAGGTTGCAGTGAGCCAAGATTGCGCCCCTGCACTCCAGCCTGGTGACAGAGTGAGACTCTGTCTCAAAAAAAAAAAAAAAAAAAAAAGAAAAAGTGAACATAAGTAGAAAAAACACAAAGAAAGATGCAATGTTAAGGTCAAGAAAATCTCCCAGAAGTAACTAGAAACATAAATATAATATGGGAAAAAAAGACAAAATTGAAGACTAATAGAAAAAAATTATAATCTGACCCAAGAAAATTACAAATAACAGGAAAAAGAGAAAGAAAAGTACCAAATAAATAGTGTAACAAAGGACCCACGGAGTACTCAGCATGTCATAGCATTATTGTTATAAGATTTCAGAACATGATGAATGAAATGCTCTAAGAGATATAGATTATATAGAAGGGACTCACTAAAAACAACATTGGCCTCTACCAGACAGTGGAGCAATATCATAAAATTTCTGAGAGGATAATTTCAAACCTACGATTCTATAGGCAAGTCATTATTATTAAAAACAATTTTTTCAGGCATACAGAAACTCAAAAACTTAACTCCTAGTTCCACTTTATCAGGAGGATGGAGAATGTATGACACACAAATGAGAGAGTAATCCGAGAAAGAAGTAGATGCAAGAATCAGGAAACAGAAGATCCAACAGCAAAGGGGTGAAAGATACAAGGGTTGAGAAGAGACCTGGGTCAGAAATTGCGAGTAGCTGCCGAACCAACAGTAGGAACTAGAGAAGGTGGAGATGGCAGGTGGCTCCTGGACAGAGAAATGGAAAAGGAACCTACACATTAACATGGTCTGATGCATGTTAGAACATTTAGAAAAACATTTGAGAATGCATTAGTAATAAGACCATAGAAAAGTAAGCCAGTGAAAATAAAATGAGTCAATTGTCCACTTCCAGAAAAGTTATATATATGAAATGTGTATGTATATATGATATATATATAAAGCATGTATATATAAAAGTTATATATATGTATACATACACACACATACATACACAATAACATATATACACAAAGCACACACATGATTAGAGTATACGGTATATTTCAGCTGTAGAAACAATTGCAGAATAAATTATAACTATAAATTTAATATAAAAGTTAATATAACTATATTGGGAGGACGGGAAAATAATTTAAATTGATGGATTGTATAAGAAAACTAATTTTTTTCCTCAGAGTATGAATTCAAGATGGCTAAGCATTTTTATAAACAAATGAAACAGTGTACCCATATGTCTTAGAAATATGGAGATAAATACTTAAGAAACCATTTAAAAATGTTGAAATAAGTTAGCTCTGGGGATAAATGGAGTAGAAACTCAATGTTTAAAAGCTTGAATTGTTGACTTTTTTGTAGGGTTTCATTTTATTATTTTTAAACTCGTGTTCAAAAGTGTACTTGGTACGGGCACTAGAGATAACAGAAATAAAGAGGCCAGGTAATACTCAACTCCTTATGGATATTGTATTATTATGGAGATAAATATTTAAAATATACATTAAAGAGATAGCTTCAGGCAGTGATTAGTTTCCATAAAGAAAATAAAAATAGGAAATGCATAGGATATGCGTGGAAATAGATTAAATCTGCTAGCTTAAAAAAAAAAAAAAAGTCATGGTTGACCTAAAATTCCAGCTAGATGATGATTATAGGAGACACACTTCAAGCTGTTAAGATAATTTTAAGTTAAAGAAGGAGTAAAAAAAAGCTATATTGGTCAAAAACTGGCCAATAACCCTGTCATAGCTATATGTATTTCAGAAAAAATATAGAATAGATTTTAAGAAAAAAATATTAGGAACGAAGTGACTCATTTTTATAGTGAAAAAGTGAGTTAGTCACCATGAAGAACAGCTCTGAACATGTACACAAATAATAAAAGAACCCCAAAATGAACAAAGCAAAAAATAGAGAATAAATTGATAAAAATCCCTATCAATTTGGAGGCAACAGAACTATTAACTTTTGAAACCATACATACTTGTTTTAAATATATTAATTAAAGATACGGAGGGGAAATACTTGGAGAAATACCACATCTAGAAAGGTGAAGGAGTAATCAGAAAGTAAAAACAGGATCATTTACATTCTCATGATAAGATGGAGAAGATGGAATTGCCAAAAAAAGGAGGGTGGGGGTTGGAGGAGTGAGAAGCGCCTCAGAGATGTCAAGTTGGGATAAGAACAGAGTAAACATTGTTTGGCCACTAATGGGCCATCAATAGCTGTTTCAGAAGTTCACCTGGGGCCACTTAGTCTGACTGGGAAAGGTTTTCAGATAAGTCAAGGATGTAACCTCTCCCGTTTCAGACACTTCTGCCCTCTGATCATTATTTCTCTGATCCACTCCACCATAGTCAGTTTCAGACTTTTCCGATGTTGTAGGTAAGCAACAGGGATCTGCTATTTTTCTGAGGGAGCAATCCATCTACAAGTGTTTCTCCTGTGCTTTGCATACTGGCTTGATTTGTTCTGAAAAAAGAAACTCATGGTGTTTACTATTGTGGGGACATTTAGCAATTTAGTGCAGAAGGCCACATTAGAAGAAATAAAAGAACTATATAGATGGGCACAAAGAGTCAAGTGATAGAATTAGCGATTTAGATGTGAGCTATTATAAAAGCTCCTGAGAGTCAAAATAGCTGAGAAACACCACAAAAGGAGTCTAGGCCTGAACTGAGATTTGAGGGTATTATGGAGGGACAAGAGGGAAAAGGTAATGAAGGCAGGGAAGGAATTGCTTTAGGAGATAATGTTGACTGTGTTTCTCCAGAAACATATGCCTATATCCAGAAACACAAAACCCCTGTCTGGGTGAATGTGAGCCTCATCACTTTATTCTAGTTTCAGCTCTGCCATTCAGCTATTGTGTGATTTTGTACAAATCCAACTTTCTTAGGTCTAAATGGCAATTAATAAACCTATTGCATCACCTAGGGATGATGGCTCTTTTAGTATTGTTTGAAATGCTTGCTTCCCGGTGCCATAAAGAAATAGCACTTGAACATAAATTTAATTTACTTGCAAGGCCATTTTTACTTCTTGCAGAAAGGGTACACTCGCCAGCAGTTTTGCCATGAGAGCACACCGAACAAAGGAGATAGGGTCATTTATAACTTGACATGTCCACCCTACTGCTGTGTCTGGTTTCCATTGACTGGAACGGGACCTCACATTCTGTATTTGTTCTGACTGGCTAGCAACTTAGAACTTTTTAAAAGAGGCAAAGGCAGAGGAGAACAAAGGAAGGAGGAAGTAACTTGCGGAATGCTGAGAAAGGTAAAAACACCTTCAAATAAGGAAGAGGAACAGGCTATGACCTAATACTTTTTTGGACCAGTATAAGCATGCCAGGGCAAATATTTAGGCTACATTGTGGGAGCTAAGGACATAAAGTACATTGATTTCTTTATCACGGCTAGCAGATATTTAAGAATGTTAGCACAGTTATTTGAATAAATTTTGCTTGTAAGAGAAGTTAATATTTATTCCTAATTAAATGGGGAGGAAAGGCTTTGAAGAGGAACCTCTATTTTACTTTTTACAGTATTATAAAATGGGGCAAACAAGGGAGCAGTGATGGGGGTTGAGTTGTCGGACTTGGTGACTGCCTTTTATCTTTAATTCAATCCAAGTCATTCATTCATTCAATACACATATGTTAGGCCGCTCAGGTTTTGGAGTGGAATAAGACATTGTTCCACGTAAGATAGACATTATGCAACTAATTACTCAGTTGATTATATAAATCCTTAGCATGCACATCAGAGGTTGCATTATCTGCTTTTTACTCACCTCTACTGCCCATGTCTTGGAGCCCTTGAGGAGTCATCACCTAGGCCTTCTTTCATTTTCATGACGTGCTCTGCTTCTTCCCTGCTCAGAGACTTGGGGCACTTCACTTTCTTTCTGTTTCTCTTCACTCCTCCTCCTACTTCAGATCTTAGTTAAAGTGTCCACACCACAAGGAAGCTTTTCTTGAAATCCAGCGTGGAGTCAGGTTACCCCATAGCATCTTATGACTCTCCATTGGGGCAGTAACCAGAAGTTGTAAATACAAATTAAATAATGTGATTTAATTTCTGTATTTCTCTGCTAGAATATATGCCCTAGGAGAGCAGGAATATTTTTATTATTGTAACTCTAGACTTTGTATGATGCCTGCCTATAATAAGCCTTCAACACACATTTTCTAAATGACTGGTCAGACATTCGTAAAAGCTATTTTCAGAATTTTGGTCATAAGCGACTATTCATCCCCATGAATCTCTAATTTTCTTTAACAGCCGGTTACAGATCCATCTTCTCCAGGTTTATCTAACCATCCCTGATTCTATTTTTATATACTTGCAAGTTCTTTAAGTTATCGCAGAAATGTCAGACCCAGAACCAAATTATATTATCTTTGTCCATTATTACCAGGAGTCAAAGACTTTTCTTATTCTACTTTATTTTTTCATTTACTGGTAAAATTGGGAGGCAAGGAGAAAATCTACTCTAATAGGGGCGTTTACTGCAGTATAGAAATAACTGGTAATTATGCTCTTTAAATGAACTTGACTCTGTGGCTCATGTAAGGTTTTGCTAAGTGCCCTGGGCCCAACTGAGACTAATTAGGCCTGCATTAAATATTAAAGCTTTCTGACACCCAAGTTTTGACAGTGACAGAAGAAAAGAAATCCTGTAACCTAATCTGAACCCAATAGAAGTAATTTATGTTCCCTTCTTATAACAAAAGAAAATCCAATTATGTTGCTGGCTGGCAAATATATTTAAAGCAGAAATTAATGTAAAAAAATACATAAACACACAGACACACAGAGTACACAATAAATGTACTCTATTTAAAATAAAATAGACTACATTTAAAATAACACAATAATGTCAACAGATAGTTCTGTTTGCCACCAACTACATCAAATGCCTGTTGATTGTTCTGCTATAAACTTGTGTTTGGTTGGGAAATAGGTTTTCGCCAGTAAATAATATAGCGTAGGGGCATGGAGTCAGCATGAGCCTTTGGATAGTAAGAATATAATAATGCCACTTTCACATAGAAAAGGCTGATTGTATGTAGACCTCATTTCCAATCCATCTCCAGAAGATACCTTTTTGTTCCTTCAATTACTGAGTTTGTAAAGGGACAATTTGCTCTTGCTCACAGGTGGGGGCCAGCCCAAGGTCAGGAACCGTGGTCTAAGTCCCAGCTTTATTCTTAGTTGGAGGAGTGGCCTTAGGTATGTCACAGGGCCCCTTAGGCCTTTTGGTTGTCGTTTTCATAAAAGGCAGCTTGTCTTGCTGCTGACAATCATCTTTGAGAGTGTTAGACTTAAATGAGATCCTGCAGTAGTTTTCACCCTCCACAGGTAGCAAAATCTTTACTCTAAACAAATTGTACTTGATTCCTTGATGCTAAAACAAAAGAAAAACCTGGAATTTTATTACTACAAACATATTCTATAAGCCCTCATGTATATTTTTTACTTTTCTTGGAGCCCCTCAGTAAGAAAAACAAAACAGCTTTTAATACAATGTTTTCACAATGGCAAAGTTCAAACACAGACAAAGGTAGAGGCAATGGTATGATAAAGCCCCAGGCATTCATCACCCAGATTCAATAATTACCAATTCATAATCAACCCAATTTCAGCTCTCCACCTCACACCTCACTTTTTAAAAGACAGATCCTCCCTCATTAGATTAGTTCATTCACAAATATTTTATATGATCTTGAAAATATAAGTGCTCCTTTAATCATTGTGATATCAAATTCAAAATTAACATTAATTCTCAAATAAATAGGGCTATTTTGATGAAAAAAATATATAGGAAGGAACAAGAGATCTTCAAGGGTCATCATTCCTATGTCAAAAATCCTATTTGTTTTTAAAATATATATTTTTGCTGTAAAATATACAATCCTGATTGGCATACGAAAGTACTTTCAAATACTAACAATCTCAGTAATGTACCAGGCAAAATTGAGACTATTTTTAAATGAGCGGGATTGGTAAAAGAATTTAAATGCTACCATTTACACCAAAATAAGTTAATTCAGCAGCTAAAGTTAAGAATCTTAATTTTCTCACTTTGTTAAAATATGACTTGGGATTCATGCTATTTATTATCTTTATTTTTATTATAATTTTTGAGAAATTATTTAATGTACCCCAAAGACTAATATAAGTTTTCACACAAACTATGCCCTCAATATGTATATATTGGATGAGAAATGAATAAATAAAAAATGATATTTTAGGCAGGGCGCGGTGGCTCATGCCTGTAATCCCAGAATTTTGGGAGGCCGAGGCAGGCAGATCAACTGAGGTTAGAAGTTTAAGACCAGCCTGGCCAACATGGTGAAACCCCGTCTCTACTAAAAATACAAAAATTAGCTGGGCATGGTGGCTCATGCCTGTAGTCTCAGCTACTCGGGAGGCTGAGTTAGAAGAATGGCTTGAACCCTGGAGGCAGAGGTTGCAGTAGCGGAGATAGCACCATTGCACTCCAACCTGGGCAACAGAGCGAGACTCCATCTAAAAAAAAAAAAAAGATATATATATATATATATATATATATATATTTATATATATATTTATATTTATTGTATTTTAAGTTTTAGGGTACATGTGAACAACGTGCAGGTTTGTTACATATGTATACATGTGCCATGTTGGTGTGCTGCACCCATTAACTCATCATTTAACATTAGGTATATCTCCTAATGCTATCCCTCCCCACTCCCCCCACCCCACAACAGGCCCCAGTGTGTGATGTTCCCCTTCCTGTGTCCATGTGTTCTCATTGTTCAATTCCTACCTATGAGTGAGAACTTGTGGTGTTTGGTTTTTTGTCCTTGCAATAGTTTGCTGAGAATGATGGTTTCCAGCTTCATCCATGTCCCTACAAAGGACATGAACTCATCATTTTTTATGGCTGCATAGTATTCCATGGTGTATATGTGCCACATTTTCTTAATCCAGTCTATCATTGTTGGACATTTGGGTTGGCTCCAAGTCTTTGCTATTGTGAATAGTGCCACAATAAACATGCGTGTGCATGTGTCTTTATAGCGGCATGATTTATAATTCTTTGGGTATATACCAGTAATGGGATGGCTGGGTCAAATGGTATTTCTAGTTCTAGATCCCTGAGGAATAGCCACACTGTCTTCCACAATGGTTGAACTAGTTTACAGTCCCACCAACAGTGTAAAAGTGTTCCTATTTCTCCACATCCTCTCCAGCACCTGTTGTTTCCTGACTTTTTAATGATCGCAGTTCTAACTGGTGTGAGATGGTATCTCATTGTGGTTTTGATTTGCATTTCTCTGATGGCCAGTGATGATGAGCATTTTTTCATGTGTCTTTTGGCTGCATAAATGTCTTCTTTTGAGAAGTGTCTGTTCATATCCTTTGCCCACTTTTTGATGGGGTTGTTTGTTTTTTTCTTGTAAGTTTGTTGGAGTTCATTGTAGATTCTGGATATTAGCCCTTTGTCAGATGAGTAGATTGCAAAAATTTTCTCCCATTCTGTAGGTTGCCTGTTCACTCTGATGGTAGTTTCTTTAGCTGTGCAGAAGCTCTTCAGTTTAATTAGATCCCATTTGTCAATTTTGGCTTTTGTTGCCATTGCTTTTGGTGTTTTAGACATGAAGTCCTTGCCCATGCCTATGTCCTGAATGGTATTGCCTAGGTTTTCTTCTAGGGTTTTTATGGTTTTGGGTCTAACATTTAAGTCTTTAATCCATCTTGAATTAATTTTTGTATTAGGCATAAGGAAGGGATCCAGTTTCAGCCTTCTGCATATGGCTAGCCAGTTTTCCCAGCACCATTCATTAAATAGGGAATCCTTTTCCCATTTCTTGTTTTTGTCAGGTTTGTCAAAGATCAGATAGTTGTAGATATGTGGCATTATTTCTGAGGGCTCTGTTCTGTTCCATTGGTCTATATCTCTGTTTTGGTACCAGTACCATGCTGTTTTGGTTACTGTAGCCTTGTAGCATAGTTTGAAGTCAGGTAGCATGATGGCTCCAGCTTTGTTCTTTTGGCTTAGGATTGACTTGGCAATGTGGGCTCTTTTTTGGCTCCATATGAACTTTAAAGTGTTTTTTTCCAATTCTGTGAAGAAAGTCATTGGTAGCTTGATGGGGATGGCGTTGAATCTATAAATTACCTTGGGCAGTATGGCCATTTTCACGATATTGAGTCTTCCTACCCATGAGCATGGAATGTTCTTCCATTGTTTGTATCCTCTTTTATTTCATTGAGCAGTGGTTTGTAGTTCTCCTTGAAGAGGTCCTTCACATCCCTTGTAAGTTGGATTCTTAGGTATTTTATTCTCTTTGAAGCAATTGTGAGTGGGAGTTCACTCGTGATTTGGCTCTCTGTTTGTCTGTTATTGGTGTATAAGAATGCTTGTGATATTTGCACGTTGATTTTGTATCCTGCGTCTTTGCTGAAGTTGCTTATCAGCTTGAGGAGATTTTGGGCTGAGACAATGGGGTTTTCTAGATATACAATCATGTCATCTGCAAACAGGGACAATTTGACTTCTTCTTTTCCTAGTTGAATACCCTTTATTTCCTTCTCCTGCCTGACTGCCCTGGCCAGAACTTCCAACATTATGTTGAATAGGGGTGGTGAGAGAGGGCATCCCTCTCTTGTGCCAGTTTTCAAAGGGAATGCTTCCAGTTTTTGCCCACTCAGTATGATATTGGCTGCGGGTTTGTCAGAGTGCCTCTCCTCCTCCAAAGGAACGCAGCTCCTCACCAGCAATGGAAAAGAGATATTTTAATCAAATAGTTGTAGAAAGTAAGATATCTATGAAAAAACCTTAAAATCACTGGAATCCTAGATGAACAAAAAAACTTAAAACAATGAAATGAATAAATCAAAGACAATTTCATTATTATTTTATTACTTTCTAATTAAAACTTGTTTACTGGATGTATCCACATACCCTTCTCTGACTCTTCCCCATCAAATTTTCTGAAATTTGAAAATAAAGAGAAATGATCTGTAGTGGGCAAAGATAAAGAAGAGCAAATGAGATTGTCCAGGATAAAAAGTTCAAGAATTAAGAGTACTGGGTTCCAGACTCTCCTCGGCCATCACTGACCTTAGGATCCTGGCTGGCCATTTCCATCCATGGGACCCCAGTAATGTAATGCAGTCAGGGATCAAATACCATAATTGTTCTTGCCTCTTTGGAGTCTCAATTTTGTGATTCTCAGTATAGGGATGGGACAAACTAGTTACTTAGTTTTGAGTAAGGTACATCACTTGGAGAAATAACTTTTCAGTAGCATTTTAAGGACCTGTCTGAAAACTTGGGGACAACTTAAAGTTAGCATCAGCCCATCTCTCCAAATCTGGCTGCCACACTAGTGTTAAAAATAATTAGTGTGAGAGTAGTCCTGGAGCACATTGGAACTGCGCAGTAAGGAGGGCCTTTCTGAGTTTATTGGAAGAGAGAGTGATCTCCCTATGAAAGAGTGGTATACTTAGTGTGGAAGATATTACAACTCATCATTCCCTTGCTTGAGTACAGCAGCCTTCAGAAGCAGACTTATTTATTTATTTTCCCATTTCCTTTCCCCACCCGCTCTGCTAAAGCACATTATGAAATTATGAAAAAGCCATTTTCTATCCAAAGGCAGCTGGTTGCCACGGGTTACGAGAGCCTTTTCTGTCCCCAGTGTGATTTTGCTGACCGAAACCATCCTAGGAGGGAAGGATTGAAGAAGGACGGGAAAGTGAGGCTGCGGATCAAATCCCAGCACCCTCCCCCTTTGTCTCCTCCAGACATACGGCTCTGGAGATGCTGTGTTGGGATGCCACTTCCAAAGCCCAGGTGTCTCACACAGGCCTAGCAGGGAATACGAACGCATCTGAGGCAAGGTAGTTGGGGGAAGACAGGGTAAGGAAGTGATCAGTTAGGTGCCTGGAGAGATATTTCAGATGATGAGATGACTAAAAAGGTTACAATATGTTGGAAGATGGAAAGCAGCTTATTATAGATTCTCTGTCTTTCTCTCCCCCTCTCTTCCTCCTCCTGCACCCCTCCCCCTGTACTATTTTGGAATAATAGCAAATTAGAGTTGGAAGTCAGTACAGTTTTACATTTCATATTGAATTATATCCATATCCTCCTACCTCAATAATAGCTCATTCAAGCTGTGTTTGAATTCTTAGACCAACATGGAACTCACACCTTCCTAAGCATCCTGTTGGGAGATTGTTTGCATTAATATTGATAATAAAATCAAATAGTTATTGGATCTGGGCTACATCCTGGTCTATGAAATAATTGCCTTCATTTTAACCTTACAAATAATTAATGAGTTTGAGGTATTATAGACCTGTTTCTCACACGAGTAAACTAAGGCCTAAGTTTATATATCAAGAATCGACATTTTAAGGAGTCCAAATCCTTAAACTTCGGGCCTTTTAGCTGTGTTATTCTGCTTATTATATACTTTACTTTCCATTTCTCTCTCTTTTCAGGCATATATCTCTATTACTTCAGTTTCATGTTTTCATTTCTCTCACCTTCCTGGTGATTTTCTATACCTCTCCCTTTGTTAATGTCTTTTTTAAACTCTCATGCCCTGAATTGTTTATTTAGTTGAGGTAGTCTTATCACTGAAAGAAATAGCCCCTTCTCTATTCTCCAAATTTTACTTCTATTAATTCATTTGAAAGCAAATACCTTTTTCTGGCCTTCACATATATTACATTTCTGAACTCTCTTGAGTCAGCTGAAAGCCCCAAGCCTGCTTCATCCATGCTGAGTTTAACTTATGCTCTTTCTATCCTTTTTAGTTTTCTTAAGTGAGTAGTGGCAGATGCTTATATTTCTTCATGTGAAATTTTATCTAATTGGTTAGTTTTATCATTCTAGTTCTGGAGAACTCCTTAGATACTAATTTTTTTCATGTACCATATTCAATTTCTCCAGCAAACTATGACTTAATTCATGTCATGAATAAAAATGTAATGATAATTATACAGAATGTGGACAAGGATGGAATGTCATGTCCAGAGATCTAAACCTGGCAAGGATCATAAATTTGTCTTCCAGATTAGCTAATAAAAGGATATTGGAACAGGACACTTAAGGAAAATGTGCTTTGGGGAGGAGGTTGGCTCAAAATTGCATCAGTTTTTAGACATACGGCTGCTGGCAGGATAGAGCAAAACATTCTAGACTGTGAACTACAGCTGCAGACATCACATCCTGTGCAGATGCAGACTCTGTTTACATAATATTAACATGTTTTCAAAATTACTTTTAAAATCAAGTAAACGTTAATTCACCTAGCAAATACTTAACCAACACTGACCAGGTAGATATTAAGAAATATATTTATTTAAAAGCATCTGTCTATTGTACAAATATTTATCATAGTTTTTTCCCTGCCCTCATGGAGCTTAAAGAGTAATGAGGGAATAAAAATCAATCCCCAAATTGATTTGATAAGTCATATAGAGAAACACAATTGGGTTTTTAAGAGAGAAGAGGGTAGGTGGACTAAGTTAGATTAATAATTCAGAATGCTTCTCTAAAGAAGGAACATTTAAAGCAAGAACTGAAGGATGTATACTCTTAATTGGAAAAAAACGTGGAAAGAAGGATGTTTCTGGCAGAAGATTGTGAGAAAGAGACTAAAAATTCAAAGAACTAAAAGAGTACTAAAATAGATGAAGGGCAGTGAGTGAGGAGGCTGGTGAAATGTGAGGTGTGAAATGCAGACAGGGCTAGGTCACATAGGGCTTTTCCATAAGGAGTTTGTATGTTATGCTAAGTCTAATGAGAATCTGTAGAAGGGTTTAAGAAAAATATTTGACTTAATGAGATTTATGTTTAAAGAAGATAGCTTTGGCTGTGATGTAGCAATAAAGGAAGTTAGGAATAAAAATAAGAAGATCAGTTAAGAAGTACTATAGAGCCAGAGGTCAGGGGAAAGGGCTAGTAACAGTTTGCATTTGTGCAGTGCAGATTAAAAGTAGACAATATTGAGAACTACTTTGCAGGTAAATTTTATGAGACTTGGGATTGGATTGCATGTAGATGGTAAGTGAGGGGCATGTCAAAAATAATAAAATTACAATAGCCATAGATTTCTTTTGTTAAGAACGTATAGCCTTGTCAGGGAGAAAATATGCACACAAATAATAGAGGTATAAATCTGAACAGGTTTGGGGAGTACAGAATGAGCCTAGTTTGTGCCGAAGAGCCTCAAGGGAGGCCTCCCGGGGGTGGTGGTATTTGAAGCAATCTTGAAGTGTGGCTGTATTTTAGAATGCAGAGATCAAAGAGGTGAATACAGTTAACCATAAATGTGAGGATATCCACCTCTGCAGGTTTTTATATAGTCATGTATTTGGCGCAGTATACTGCATGCCTACAATATGTCAAACATGTTATATGTTTTAATGCAACATTCAATGGGTAAGTAGATATTAATTTTTACTCATTTGACAGCAAGGGAAAGTCACAGAGTTTAAGTTGGATACTCAATAGTGTATAATCTCTATAAAAGAGTTTTCCTGTTTTGAACCTAAATCTGTTAAACTTTAAAATTTTTAAATTCCTTATGGCAGCATCTGTCTCTCAGCACTTTATGCCTTATTTTTCTTCATGGCACTGACACTATCTAACATACTACAATTTTTACTTATTTGCTGTTATTGCATGCCTCTCCCACTAGAATATTCAGCTCTCTGAAGGTCAAGATTTTGCTGTTTTGTTCACTGCTGGATCCCTGGCACTTGGTTAGGGCTTATATATCAAAGTTTCTTAACAGGAAGAATAAATTTTTACAAATGGATAATTCTCAATCCATTTTCCTCCCACTAACCAAGATATCCTATTTAATTCAGATATATAAGTTTTTAATGTTGTTGATCTAGTTTTACCAACTTAATCCATATTTGATATTATCCTGCTTTCTTTTTAGTACCCAGCAGTCAGACAACAACAATTTGTTGATCAACGTGCTAGGCTCCAGGGTCACTATGAAGACATACCAGACAGCCTGTGTCCTCAAGGGAGCCTATGATATATTTGAAGACACATGATCTAATCTTTAGAAAGGTTAAGTAATACTAACACAGTGATATAATCAATATCACAAGACTGCATTAAGACATAATTGAAGTGTCAAAGAGAATAATAAGTTTAATAAATGATATGGGAGACAAGAAGAAGAAAGAATTATTCAGTTGATCTATTTTGGTTTCATAGAGAAAAGTAAATTTGACTAATATTTCAAAGACAAGTAAAATTTTCTTAGGTAACGAGAGAATGTTAGGATAAGTCAGGCAAGAGATGAGTAGATGCACACATGGGTGGGCCTAAATAAATAGGGGGGACGATGTGGAGAAAGGGCTGGCTGGATCACAGGAGGCTCACAAGTCCCTGGAATACTGTGCCCCTACTCTGAGAACTGGAATTTACAGACATCAGGTTTTTTCCAAAAAAGGGGGTTGCCAGAATATTTTCACTGAGATCCTGTTGTAGGATAATGTACCAATTTTACTTTTGAACTACTTTGTAATGGCAGAGTAAGTGAAGACAAATATCTCAATATCATACATTAAGGAATTTGAGAAGATTTTATCAAAAAAATATAAACTTATGACAACACCATGCAGAGAGGAGTCTAGGGCCTGGACAATCTACTGGACAGAGAATTGGTTTGAATTTTAGGAAACAGAGTCTGCTCCCTTGCTATTCTTGCAAGAGTGAGGACAACTTTGAGTAAGAGTTCCTTACCAGGCATCTTGGGGTAAATGCCAGTTATGCAAGAACTTGTCAGGACTGGCAACCTCTAGCACTCATGACCTTAAAATACTTTAGATTTGAGCTGCTAGACACAAGGGGTTCCCTGGTTTCTTGTGAAGCTGGATTAGACACACCTATTTCCCAGCAATCTGATTCTCCAGAGATAGTCCTCAAAACAATCCTACTTATCTCTCTCACCCTCTCATTGACGAATTGATCATGTAAGATACGCCCTATTGATTTAAAGGAATAAGACTTGATTGATGCATTTGTTCTTTTCAAAAATGTGTATGTTGTGCTTCAAAACCAATGTAATTACTATGTGCCAAGCACTCATCTAGGTGTTAGGTATGTATAAGTGAACAAGATAGAGCCTCTGCTCAGCACTGATAATAGAGTGGGCAGAGAGGGGTTAAATGCTCTGTGATGAGGGCTATGAGAAGAGCAAGCACTGGACACTAGGAAGGTAGATGAGGGGCACATAAACTCAAGCATACTGACATTTAAATTGTGACATACAATTTAAGGCTGAACTACCAGGAGGAAGGGCTTTCTAGATGGAGAAATTGGCATGAGCACAGGTCTAGAGGTGAGGAGAAGCAGGGACCACTCATATGACTTCACATATGTAATTCAGTGGGGCAGGAGAATAGGGGGAGATGGAGAACCAAATAGGGCCCAGATCAGGAAAGTCATCCGGTCACATTAGGGAATTTGAGTCCTGTTCCGGGGAGCCCATGAAAGGGTTTAATCGGGGGAATAGAGGGGCCAGATTATGATTTTTAAAGAGACTGCCAAAGAGCATTCTTCAATAAAAACATAATGCAAGCCACACATGCCAGCTGCATATGTAATTTTAAATTTTCTTAAACCACATTTCTTAAATAAAAAGAAAAAAATAATTTATATTTTCTTTAACATAATGCATCTAAAATATTATCTGAACATGAAATCAACATAAAATTATTAATGAGGCATTTTACATTATTTTATCTCCATTTGAACTCATTACATTTCTAGTACTCAGTACTCATGAGTGGCCACAGGCTATGGGGCAGGGCAGGCCTACAGAGTGGCAGATAAAAAATAATTTGGAGTAGAGAATGGCTGAGGGTAGGGTAGGGCAAGACCTGAAGGAATTGTGAAATATAAGGCCCATTGTGGGACAGACTCACGCCCGGGTGGGCTTACATTGAGTTCGTTCTGGGCCATAGATCCAGCTAGGAGGAAGCTCAGCTCCTGAGCAGGACAAAGTATGGGGTGGGGATGGAAGTCAACAAGATGTTTTTGTAATGCCCACCTGAAACTTGCCTCAGGTAGGCTTCTTGTTACATTGTCATAGAAAAAAGAGGCAGCAAACAAAGGAACAGGAATTAGTTGCAGAAGTAGGCAGGCAGGCAGGCAGGCAGGCAGGCAAGCAGGCAGCAGCTAGAAGGGCTATCAGAATAGAAAAAGAGCCAGACAGAGGACTTCATCTCAGGGTAGACCTTCAGATCCTGGAAGGCAGAATGTGGCAAGAACATGCCAGGGAATTATCTAGAAAGGCAAGAAAAAAAGGTAAGAAGCAAGGAGGGAAAAAAGGTAATAAATTTTAAAAAAGAATTAGTATTTATGATGTGCCAAGTCATGGAACCAAAACATAACCAGATATAGAACACCATCCTATGCAGATATATATGTGAAACCACTGGACTCTCCCTCCCCTAAGTCCTGTAAATCATCTTATATAAAGTTATGGGTTCCCCACTGAAGTCCAGCTGTGGTTATTGAAAACAAAGCCTGAAGTCCACTGAGCTTGTAGCCCTCATTTCACTAAAGTGTAAATTCTGATTTCACAGGCCCTCGATGCTTTCAAACTCTCACCTTGCTGTGAAGGGAGAAGGGAAGAGCCACCTTTCCTCTGTGTTGTTTTCAGGTAGAGAAGAACACACAGCAAGGTTGTACAGTGGCAAGGGAGTTGTAGTTAATGCAACATCTCTTATTGGACAGGCACAGCCCTTTCCTTCCTGGTGGGTTCACATGGTAACAGCATGCCTTGGCAAGGGCAGGTTTAATTAAGAGTCACTACCCTCTTGGCAAAACCGCAGCTCTCCACCCACCTTCAGATTCTGTTACCCAATCTGGTTTCTCTTTCAAAATTCTTTCTTCCCTGAAGATGAAAATTTTTTTCAGAATTTTTTTTCTCTCAGAAGATCCACAGTTCCTCCTTATGGTTTGCCTGTTTCCAGTGTATATCTTCCCCCATGCCCATTGGTTGTATTTGTAAACATTTCAGGGGACCCACAGCTCCTATGCAAATTGGTGAATCCAAATAGATGCTGCATGCCTGGAAGCTGCAGTAGGTCCCTCAACTTCAAGTGTCAGAATATTTTTAACCCCAGTTCTGCCACAGTGAGAATACTCTATTGCATTTTTTTTCATTTAGTTAACTCACATTTTTCTTTTATGGATGAGAAAATGAAGGCTTGGGTTTATCAGGTAATATATCTGTTGCCAAGGTGTGGCAGAGCCCAGATTCAAAATGCTTTATTTTCCTACTGGACAACTCTGCCTTGGTGTTTAGAAAACATGAAACAATCCAAGGATCCAACCAGCAGAGCTGGGGCACACGATGGATGGAAGGTCTAAGAAGCTAATCCAAGGCTCAGATCAGAATTGTGCTTCATGTCCAAGGCAAAGAGAACAGTGATGGAGAGACAGGATTCTGAGTCTCAGAGTATTCAGCTGGAGTTTTATAACCATCCTTCTACCCGCTGGAATGAAGTGTGTAGCAGGATCATAATTTAGTAACATGGTAGTGAGGGTCTCAGCTAGCCTCAGATGCCAGACTATCTGGATTTGAATCCTGGCTCCACTATTTGCTATGTGGACTGGGGACAAATGCTCAATCTCTCTGATCTTCAGTTTCTTTATTTGTAAATATGGATAAAATAGCACCTACTTTGTATACTTCTTTGAGAATTAATATTTGTTAAAATTTTAGAAAAAAAAGGCTTAATGCTTGTGCAACACACTTCTGAAACTAAGGAACAAGAGTTAACACAGATTTTACAGATTAACGGCAGTCCTCCATAAGACTGCCCTTACTTTGGGCATCGGCTGCAAGCTCAGGGGTTGCCAGCTACCCATGTTTCTGACCAACTGACCATAAATTTAGAATTCCCATTACCCCTTCAGTATTTATAATTAGATAGAAGAACTCATAGAACTCAGGAAGCTCTATGGTTATGATTATGACTTTATCATAAAGTACCACAAGTCAGAACCAGCCAAATGAAAACATACATGGGGTGAGGTCTGAGGGAGCCCAAACACAAAGCTTCTGTGTCCTCAGGGTCCATCACTCCCTGGCACAGTAATGCGTAGCACCAATCAGGGAGCTCACTCAAATTTACGGTAATCACAGGGTTGATCTTTCTGGCATGGCCAGGCCCCATCCTAAACCTATCTTGGGATCCACCATGAGTCACCTTGATAGCACATATTCAAATGTGGTCTGAGGAACCCACCATGAATAAATTCCAAGGGTTTAGAGGCTCTTTCCTAGAAACCAAGGACAAAGGCCAGCAAAATTCTTTATTATTCAACAGCCTGGTATCTGGTAAATGCTACATGAATATTAATACATACCAAGGTTTGACAAGCACTTTCTGTAAAGGACTAAATAGTAAATACTTTTGGCTTTGTGGGCAAGATGGTCTCTATGACATTCTTTTTTGTAAAAGATATAATTATATAAAATATAAAAACCATTCTTAACTCATGCTGATGCTTAAAATATACAATTGTTAACATGTTATCAATTAATATGATATATTAATAATTGTTATATACTATACATATTTAATAAAATAGTATATAGTATATGATGAGTACTTTTATTATTATTGGATTTTTGTTGCTGTTGCTGCTATTATTACTATTAAAACATTAAAGCAAAAGATGAGTTTTCAAATGATATAGCAGGGAGTCTTGCGAGAATTTAGCCAATAATCTCATTTCAACTGTTGCAATATTTGTCATGTGGCACCAATCCAGCCACATGAAATTCTGGGTTACAGTCTGAGATAGACTACTTTTGCCATAGTTTAGAAATGAAATGTGTAAGGAGAAATGATTTCTGTTTCATGCTTTGTCTGACATTTTATTTCTTGTCTTTTTGTGTTGGTTCACCGAGTAACTTCATTTAAAGGGGAATGACATTTTACAAATACTGTCTATATTGTGATTTTTAAAAAAGTTATCTGATTACTACTTTGGCTGAGAGGTTCTTCCCTTCTGTCTTTATCATTTTCCAAGAATCCCTCTTTGGACTCACTCTTTCCTGCTGAAAGAAAGTTCCATTTTCCACTTTGCTCAGGTGAAAGAGGAAATAACCATACTGTTTCATGCTTATGATTCCCAGGGGTAGAATTTGTGTGATAGGAGCACTAGTGATTGCTTACCTCAAGGTTCATATAAATTAGCATTAATAATGAAGAGAGAGAAAAAGTATGTCTTTGAGATTAAGGGACTGCTCAAAATTTTGGCATGGGACTCTCTGCAATCTTGACTAATGAGCGAGAACCAGGGAAATCATTTTAAAATTTTAAACCAGTTGTTTTTTAATTCATGTGAATGTCAGTCTCATTTCATTCTTAAATATTTGCCCTCTTTTTCAGGAGCAAGATTTGCTGCAGGAATGGACAAATTTTGTGGCATTTGTCTAAAAATGATAGGTCTAATTATCACTCTAAAATCCTAAAATGTTTTTGAGCTTCCACTAAAAAGTCAAATGCAAATAATGCATAATGATTTTTAAATTGATTTGAGGCCCCATTTCTCTATGCTGAGCCTGGGAGTGGGAGGATAAAAACCTAAGCAAAAAGAAAAAGACTTTCCTTCACCAGGGCACCTCTGAGCTTCTGGCAGTGGGCAAGAAAATTGGAGAAAAACAGAGAATGCAATATGGAAAATCAATGATTTTCAGAAAAAAAAAAAAAAGCAAAACTCACAGAGAATGGTTTGGACTCATTCTGATTAAGGAAGAAAGATATAGGTAGAATCTAAAAATAGGTGTTTCTGAAATCTCCTATATTTTGTAAATGCAACTTAAAAACATGTTTAATGCAAGCAGTTCTTCTTAACTCCAAGCATGTGATTCTGTAGAAATGAGACTAAGCATCATTTTAAAAGTAATGCTTTTAAAATGCTTTTGAGGCCTCATTCACATGTTTACTGCATTGAGTACATTCTGTGTTGAACCCTGTGGTGATGTTTTTTTGTATGGCATATGAATATTTTAAAATGTACAGAACCACTCTAGAGTTAATGTGGTTTATAAAAATGACTTTCTGTGAAGAAGGGGTGTCTTAACCTGAGAAATAGCTGGATAGATATCACTGAAGACAAAGTACCTAATGTTAGTTAGGATGAGGATGAACCCGGGCATGGAGTTGTGGGTGTAAAGGTAGTTAAATCAAAGGCAATTGAGAGCAAGGAGGATTTCTCAAATCTCTGTTGCCTGTGTATAGGCTGCTGTGTCTATCTGGAGTCCCCATTTTCTCTCCATTTCCTCAATCTGTTGCTGGTCAACATAAACACATCCTTTAAGATTCAATTTCGATACTCCCCTTCCAAGGCTTTTCCTACAGCCTCCAGCTGGATTTACACATCTTCCTTTTACTTTTACTTTCTGTTAACAATCAGTCCATGCCTCTATCATAGTGCTTACCACTGCATTGTGTCTGTTGATTTTCTCATATTTCTCCTCTAGCCTGCTTTCAAGATTTTAACCAATTGTGCTATATAGTCAATGCTCGATAAATATTAGGTGAATGAATGAATGAATGAATGAAGCACTAGATGGATAAAGAGATTCTTCTTATTTTTTTTTTAGACGGAGTCTTGCTCTGTCACCCAGGCTGGAGTGCAGTGGCTCACTGCAAGCTCCGCCTCCTGGGTCCACGCCATTCTCCTGCCTCAGCCTCCTGAGTAGCTGAGAGGACAGGCGCCTGCCACCACGCACGGCTAATTTTTTTTTGTATTTTTAGTAGAGGCGGGGTTTCACCATGTTAGCCAGGGTGGTCTCGATCTCCCGACCTCGTGATCTGCCCGCCTCGGCCTCCCAAAGTGCTGGGATTACAGGCATGAACCACCGCCCCTGGCCAAGGATGAAGAGATTCTTCTAATGCTTCGGGTAGTAGTCTGAATTTTGGTAATATGAAAATAATATTTCTATGAATGGGTTCATACATATATTCATATATATATGGGTATATATAAGATAAAAAGTTTAAGTTTAAGGTGTATTGATTCTCAAGGTAATTGATCTGCATAACGTTAAGAATGTGTTTTGGGCAAATTGAATTGTGATATAAGCAAAGTTTATACTTCTCAAACTTAATTATTATTTTCTTGGTCCATTCATAAAATTTATACCATCCAGGCCTTCTTTTCCCTGTCAATGTCCACTTCTCAGCTTTCCAGAAGAGTTTTCTTTGTACTAGTGAATAACATAATGTCATGTTACTGTTATCAAATGTCTGAGTCACAAGAGTTTATTGACATTCTGAAGCCTATTTTCACATTCCTAGAGTTTTGGATGCCAAATAATGAACACTAATTTTTTTTAAAACTCAGAAGAATATATCTATATATAGTGTGTGTATGTATATACACTCATATCAGAATATATATATATATACACACATATATCTACACACATACACACATGCCACACACACACACACACACACACGTCCTGATACTTTCTATTTGCTGAGATAGAAGTTTAGCAACAATTATTTAGTGTTGGAAGATGGTGGATTCAGTCTCAGAGACAAGAGCAATGTCAAAGCTAGGCTGATCATGAATGCAGTTAGTAATGAGGGGATCAGGAGAGAGGATTCAAATATCAAGGCACCTGAAGGCATTTTCTGAATTTTCCTGCCTCCAAAAAGAGAAGAAAGAAAAAATAATGGGTAATTTTACAGGTCTATGGATATCGGATGGTAGGAGAATTCTCTTTAAAAAAATAATGTTTAATACTAACATTTTTCTTCTCTTCACTGAGCCTCAATTATGTTATTTATAAAATGGGAATAAACACTTTTTTGTCTTGAGTAACCTATTGATTGAAGGTGAGATCCAATAATGCATTTGAAATCATTTTGTGACCTGCTAGATGTTATATAGCTGTAACTGGTGGAATTATTTACTTAGTTCCTGCTCTCTGTCAAGAAAACAATAACTGAAATTGTGTTCATATAATAGATTTTTGCTGTATTCATGTAATAGTAGATGCCAGAGGGTTCACAAACAATATTGTTCCTAACACTAGATAAGTCATTCAGGGCAAGTTGGATAAAATTAACGAAGCATCAACGTGAAATGAAGTGCTTAGAGACATGCTAAGCTATCTTGCTTTTTGTTCTTTGGTGATGTAGATAGGGAAGGGAGGCATTAAGCCTGCTTCCTGATCTCCAAGAGACATTAACTACCTTTGAGTGTGCAATTTCCACAGCAAGAGAAAACCTAATTGAAAAACCAGGGGAAAATCCTCCGATCCTTCTATGCCTTCCATCCCTAAGTTAGAGTGAAAGGTCAGAGGACAACATTGGGATTCTGATTCAAGTTATGAGTCATATACATCTCCCAAAATATCATCATATGTACAAATTTTTTCAAGTACTTTTAAGACACTTGTAAGTTTCTTAAGGTCTTTGGAAACCAGACTAATAGCCTCTATATCCTATTATAACTAGACTTTTCACTTCTGGTGAATGGAAGCCATGGTATATTTAGTGCTTCTTGCATGCTATACTAAAAATTTCCATGTATTATATCTCATATTATTCTCATAACAGACCTAACAGGAAGGTTCTATTATTTCTCCCAATTTTTCAGGTGAGAAAACTGAGACTCAAAGCAGCATAGTGATTTATCCAGGATCACACAAATAGAAGGCTGGGAATTGAACCAGAACTAATGTATCTAAAGTGAACAGGCAGAACTGGGGGTTTTTCTGAAATTATATTAAAATTCCACATTGCTATCAAACAGAGTGGTATAAGTGCCCCACCACAAGCAATGAACAGTGTAAGATGAAGCACCCTGTTGCCCTTGACTCAGGAAGACATTAGAGTGACTGCCCTGCCCAGCCACACTGCCCACAGTAGCACCACCAGACACAAATGTGGAGCCCTGCCCTGGCTCTCCCCTCCTTCAGCTATGAAAAGAGCTCAGGAATGCTACTGGCTTTATTAGTTGTGCCTCTCTAGGGATGCATGGCAGCCTCTAGGGCTGTGGTTATGGGTTGGGAGTAGCAAAGCAGTCAACCTCTGAATGAGGCGGGGGCAGCCCCTTTGTCTCTGAGGGGCCTGCAGATTGCAGGTGGCACTAATTTCACATGAAAGCAAGGTGTTTGCCAAAGGAAAGACAGATGGTTCTAGTCACTAGTTATTTATTTCTATAATTAGCTGCATGCTGTGATCTCAGGTCTTGAAGAAATTGCTGCTTCCTATGGAATTCCTCTCATCATTAGAAAGGAAATGGAAATTGGAAGCCAAGGAGCAGATATGTGTTAAATGGTAACTCCCCAAATCCCTGGGCTTGCAGCTATGCTGGGAGGAAGGGCATAGTCTGGAGAAATAATCTGACTGACCCAAAGAGACTGAGTTTTAAATCCAACTCTAGCACGAACATGTGTTTTCACATAAAATTCATCTTTTCTGGTTTTTATGTTCTTCATTTAATAAAGAAGAATATTTTGGGAAGAAAGTTAAACTATGAATGTGATAGATTCCTGTTGGCTATATAATTGGACCCATGAAACATGTTAAGATTTCAAAAATGATACTTGAATCCAATTTATTAGACAAACTATCTAACTAGCTTTGAACAAATGACTACCTTCTCTGTATATGTGAAATGGAGTAACTATGTCCACTGAACAGAGGTATTGTGAGAATGAAATGAGCATATACATGTAACATTCCTAGGCCAGTGGTTGACCCAAAGTAGCCACTCAGTAAATGGGCTTAAATTTTATTATTTTAATTCAGTGGAGGAGATGGAGATCTAAAAACAAAATATTTATTTAACATGACAGATAATAAGTCAAATGCTAAGCTGGTCTAGGGGCAATTCATTGAAGTCTGTTGAAGATAAATAATTAATATTGATAGCATTGTCTGGTCTATTTCAAAATAATAGACTTTTGTTCTCTAGAAATTCTTTCATAATGATTCCAGATTTCTGTGACTAGCCTTGTGGATTCCTGCTTGGACCCAAATTTTCCTTTTCTGTATTCCTGGGCCTTGCATTCTCCTTTAAAAGTGGGATAAGGACGCAGAACATGTTAGTATCTGTATTTCTCATATGCTCTTTGGAAGTAGCACCTCACACACCCTGAATTAAACCACAGGGTTTGTATGTGTAGAGATAAATTGAATGAAAAAAGACTATCTTTTTTTTATGCAAACCAAGAAAGAGAAGATAGACTCATAGGACAGCAAGACCCTGTCTGTTCACATATTTGTTGATCTTAATTGATATATTAAAGGCAGTTGTTCTCTTAAGGGCTTCAGGCACTCAGCATGTATTTCCTGCAAAATCTCCCACTAACTCTGTGTAGTGCAAGGGAACAAATATAGTCTTAGTAACAGCATCTTATATATGTATTATATTCCATCATGCCATGTATATGTTCTCATTTCAATAACAAGAACCCAAAAAAAGTGGGCACAGATACAGGGAGTAGAATATTATGATGATACAGATCATATCTTACCTCAAACTCACCATGCCTAAATTCTAGCTACCCTTCTCCCTAAAATGTCCAGTGGTCCTACCTCAGTTAATAGCACTCCCAATCTCCTTGTTGAGCAAGCAACACATTTAAGCCATCTTTGACGTATATCTCTCCATCTATGATCACTCTGAGTACAGTTTGGAGAATGGATTGGAGAGAGGACAAAGTAAATGGAGCTGGTGGGGAATGATCAAATAGGAGGGTATTGCAATATGTAACAGTGATTTGGATGGAGGGTATTAGCAATGGAGAATAAGACAAATGGATGGAATTGGAACATATTGGAAAGCCTAAGTAGTGTTGCATAGGATTCCAAAGCTAGGATATGACAAACCTTGGAATGTAACTTTAGTCTTTGAACCTAATTCCTGTATAATTTATTCCTGCCTGCCTCTTACTGTGTCCTTTAACTGAAGGCATACTTTGACCAGAGACTTTTCTTTTTAGGTTTTTACATAAAAAGTGAGGCTTACTGATGGTATCTACCTCACCGAGTTAGTGTGAAGATTAAATTAGGTAAGACATATAACATGTTTGGAACTTTGCTCAAGGCATAAGAGCTTAACAAATATATGCATATAAGTGTATATTTCTATTTATTATAATAGTAATAATAAATATAAGTTAAGACAAAGCAGAAGAGGAAATAAGAGTTGCAAGATTTCTCCTGCCCTGCTGCATCTGCTTCATGCTGTCTCTCATTTCATTGAAGCCAGAACCCAGGTCGTCTAAGTCTTCAGTCATTGCCTCCCACCTAACACAGATTATGAGAGGATATAAAAGGTCTTCCATTCTGCTCAGTCCTCTAGGGGGTGTGTGCATGTGTGTGCGTGTGTGTGTGTGTTTCAAATTAATTTTGAGAGACAAGCAGAGATGCTGCCTTGATTTGTCCTTGGACAGAACCTTCCTTTTCTTGATCGAAGATATATTTTTTATAGCCTAAATCAGCAGGCCAAAGTAATTTTTTGACAGGGAAAATACTTTGCTGTGACTCTCCATGAATCTTCTTCCTCCCCCTCCCCTACATCCCCTTTCTCTTGCCCTGTGAATATCTGTCTTCACAACTTACTGAGGTCCCACATCTGTCTGCCAGTGGCCTGTCACTGACCTTTCAGCCCCCTCTCTACGTCTCCCTTCTGCAGTTCCTTTGATTCTTATCCTGCTAGAATGCGGAGTCTGGCTCTGAATTTGCTCTCAGGTCTTGACGTCTCAAACCAAGATATGAGTACCCACTGGGAGAATTAGGGAGGTGTGCAAAAATCAGTGAGGACGTAAAGCCCAGGACACCTTGCCAGAATATCACACCACTTTAATTTAATAGCATTTAACTTGAAACATGCACATTTTTAATGAAATAAATTAAAAATGCCAGGTGTACCATTTACCAGTTGTGTGACCTTGAGATATGTCTTACTCATCTAATTGCAATCTTATTCTGCAAAATACCTTCTGAAAGTAAATAAATGTGTGACGCACTTAGCACATTGCCTGAGCAGGAGACTTGCTTAAGAAGTATTGAATTTTATTTCTATTTTAACATTTATCTAACAATTTCCCAATTGCACGTCAGTAAAATGAGGTTCAGAAAGGCTTATTTGCCCCAAATCATAACTGACAAATGACAGCCCAGGAACTTCAGCGTCATCTGGAACCTGGTTGGTCTAACTCCCAAAGCTATGATCCTGACCACTAAGCTATATATATCAAATAAATGGCATGCGTGGGTAGGAGACACTTAGGGTTATGCCCAAGATCCCCCTAGATTATGGATTCACTCCCTTTGCTTTTAAGTGTATGCAGCCAAGGAATAATCTGATTTTTTTTAAATTTTTTTTGAGATGGAGTCTTGTTCTGTCACCAGGCTGGAGTGCAGTGGCATGATCTCTGCTCACTGCAACCTCTGCCTCCTGGGTTCAAGCGATTCCCCTGCCTCAGTTTCCCAAGTAGCTTGGACTATAGGTGCGTGCCACCATGCCTGCCTAATTTTTTGTATTTTAGTAGATACACGGTTTCACCATGTTGGCCAGGATGGTCTCGATCTCCTGACCTCATGATTCACTCACCTCAGCCTCCCAAAGTGCTGGGATTACAGGCGTGAGCCACCATGCCCAGCTGGAATAACCTGACTTTTAATGTCTTGCTACGTGTTTTCCTTTATGAAAGATTCTGGGTTGGTTAAGCCAACCAGCCATCTAAACAGAGGGCTTTCTGTCAGTCAGCGGCCCTCCCAAACATGAGATTTTGTAAAGCAAACTATTCCAAGCTCTGATCTCATGGTTTTACCTCTCATTCTTCTTTTGTTCACCATGGCCCACTTTTGTTATCCCCCTCCAATCCTTTTATATTGCAACCCCCAGTTTTGTTTTTTCATGTTTCTTCCCTTGATAAGGAACACACCCTCCTTTACCTACTGCTGTATTTCTATTTGTCCTGTCTGGAGCACTCCCCCTCCCTCCTAGAACCACCATCCCTTCTTCTTTCTATGTAACTCTTACCTAGACACACAGTTTCTGTTTCACCATGAATGACACCTCCTCTAGGAAGCTTCCTGTAATTTCTGTATCCTCTCTACCACCAACATATAGGCACAGTTAGGCTGGATTTCGTACCTGTCTATGTGCTCCTATCTCACTGACTTTCCTGAGTCTAGCAATTGTACCTTTGTATTATATCTGGTGACCAGTCTTTATTTCCAACTAGCTTCTTGAGTCTAGTGATTGCATTTTATTCAAGATGAATTTCAGGCTACTAGCAAAATATCTGACATAGTAGATCCTCAGCAAATATTTTTTTTTCAATAAATAATTTTAATATAATTACTATTAGCCAAATTCCTCCAAGAAGCAGACACCAAGACAGAATTAAATGTGTGAAAGGTAGCATGTGCTTGGAGAGCCATGAGACATGCTGCAAATCTAACCCCATGTGAAGGAGATGGAAAAGGAAACATCCCAGACTGCCACTAAGCTTAACGGAGGTTCAGACGAGGAGCCTCTCGGCTCTCATGAATGATCCAGCCTTAGCAGCCCTGCCATGCATGGTCACTGGCTGGGAGCAGCCCATGGAAGGCTGGCCCAGGCAAGAATGCAGGGATGAGCTTCAGAGCACGGTTGCTAGGGCCTCTCAAATATTTGAAGATATTCTCATGTTGGCCACAGATACTAAACTGAGGTTATTATCCATTTAACCATATTCCTCTCAATTATTCTTTTATTCAACTAATATTTACTGCATGGATCTTTTATGCCAAGAATAATACTATAGACAGATGTATGGAAGTGAAATAAAAGGCACTTGCCCTTAGAGAATTTACTTTCTAGCAGGACACATACACGTACATACACACATTACTACAGCGCACTTCTAACTGTAGGATAGAGGTCACATAGGGTTCTGTGGGAGCATGGAGGAGGAATGAGCCACGTCAAGTTTGGGGGAGATGGAGAGAACAAGGTAGAAGTGAAAGTGACACTTGTAGTGAGCCCTTCAAGGAGAATTTGGAATTCTGCAAGAGGCAGACAGAAGAAGGAAGAACATCCAGGCAGAGAAACAAATGAAGCCTCAAGAAGTCTCAGCTTCCTGGGGATTTAACTATGATATGACAACTATGGGCAGTGAAACTGGACACACGGTCAAGGGCCAGACTACAAAGGATCTACAATAAGCCAAACCCTGAGCTAGCACTGGTGCCTGAGTCTATTTTGTGTTGCTATAAGAATATCATAGGCTGATTTATTAAAAACAACAGCTATATTTCTTATAATTCTAGAGGCTGGGAAGTTCAAGGTCAAGAGGCCTTCTTACTGCATCATCCCATGGCAGAAGGTGGAAGAGCAAGAGAGCTTGAGAGAGTAAGAAAGCAAGAGAGATTCACTCACTTTTATAATAAGCCCACTCTCTCAATAACGAACCTACTGCCACGATAACCATATTAATCCATTCATCTGGGCAGAGCCTTCGTGACCTAATCACCTCTTCTTAGGTTCCACCTCCCTACACTGTTGCATTGGGGATTAAGTTTCCAACACATAAACTTTGGGGAACACATTCAAACCGTAACAGCTTGGGGACACAGAAAATTCTCATCGCTGATCTGAGGCTTCAAGGCATTTACACTCTATTGAATTAGGCAGGCAGGAAGCTCTGTTAACAGGTGACAGCAAACCAATATCATAAATATACGAGAAGCAATGATATTTCCAAGGAGGGAATAATGATTGCTTCTTGTATATTTATGATATTGGATTGAGATCCCGGACTGAGATAGAGAGGAGAAATCAGGAAAATTTTGCAGAAACAATCAGTGAAGTCCCAAATTTTATTTATTACCCTCCCCTTTGGAGCCTGAAATTTGGTCCTCATTTATAGAGAAGAGAAAATTGTGTCACAGATGCCAGATATCTTTGGTGGACCCCCAACTTTGTTTGGCACCATTGACATCAGATGTCACTCCCAGACTTAAACTCACTATGTATAGAAAAACATTCATGCCCTTAATCCTGACATTCACAATCCCATATGGCCTGCCCCATGCCTACCACACTATCCCATCCCACCCACTTCTCTTCCCTCTCTCCCTCTCCCTCTCCACTTCAGGCACACTGGACATCTCTCAGAACCTCAAACACACAAAATTCTTCTGACCCTAGGAATCTGACTGCGGCCGCTGCCTCTGCCTGCGGTGTACCTTCCCCCCTAACTTTGCAACACTGACTCCTTGAGATTAGGGTCTCAGTTTAAATAGAGGTCATTTATGACCATACCATGAAGAGCGGCCACCCAGTTTCTGTCCATTCCATCAGCCCAACTTATTTCTTGTCATGACAAGAAACTACCTGCTAGTACGTTTTTTCTAAAATGTTTGTGTGTATTTGATTATTGTCTACTCCTCTCACATGTAAGTACTTTGAAAAATCTTATCCATCTTGTTCACAGCTATATCTGCAGTGCCTCAAAAATCACCTGACTCCTAGCAGGCAGCTACATACACTTACTGCACGGATGAAGGGATAAATACAGGAATGGATAGATGGAGAACTGTCCTGGTTTCCCAGGTCCTCTGCTCTTCATGCTGTTTCTAGGGGCTGCAGGGAGGAACAAAGCAATCACCAAAGCGCACACTTGCTCATGAGAAAAAGCACACTTTGAAAAATGAAGTGTTCCCTGTCATTAGCTTTCAGTCAAGCTTCCCATCAGGAAACTTTTGCATCAGATGTGACTGGACCTTGAGGGGGGACGCCTGCTATGCAGGTCCTGGCCCTCCTGTGAGCTGGAACAGATGGTTCCTTCACACACATCTAAATAAAGCTGTAATGGTGCTGGCCCACAAACACGGCACAGGTGAACCTTTCTATACAAAAAGGAAAGTGTTTCTTGGATGTTGTGTAAAAATCAATTTCTACAGTGCCACTGGTTTTCATTTTAGACACAGTTTGTCTTCTTTTTTGGATATCTCATCAATAGACTGCTGTTCTTCGTAGTCTAGGCTAGTACCATTATGTCTTTAGAATACCTCCCCGCCACCCCCTAGAGGTATCCGGTACACTCTATTAGGGTTATCGTCTTAGAGCATCACTCCCATAATGCACCCCTCTCCCTCAATATCTGAGTAATGAGTCACCTTTGATTATCTGATCAAGATAGAGAATCACACACAACATGTCTGTAATTAGGCTGTGTTCTGATTAGAGAATTGAAGGCATAACCACAGCCAATGCCTTACAGCACAGGAAATATCTTGGAGAGATAAGTCTGTCAACTCTTTAGGAAAAAAGCCTCACAAGACAACAACAGCACAGAAAAGAAATGGAAAAGGTGGCAGTGCACGAAAGAAGATACTATGATGTACAAAAATAAAGGGGAGATGTTTGTCTCTTCCCCACCACTGAAGCTGTGGGAATTCAAAGGAGTAATTTTAGTACTCCAAGGGACCAAGAACATAGATGAGGATGTGTTAATGTTCTCCAAGCTCATTTAATTTTCTTTCTTTCTCCCTGGACTTAAGTTTCAGGAGCTTTGGGATTATGTCTATATCCCCCATCATTATATTCCCATCACTAAGGAGAAAGTGTAGGGCTTAACAAAATTTTTGAAATAATAAACATAATAAAAAATGGAGGTGATGCTCAGGTGAGAATTCTGAGATAAGAGGGCAATAATGCCTTGTCAAGAAGCACCATGTGGAGGGCCAGTGGGGAAGCTGTGAGGAGATGCCTTACCTCTCAGCAGTGAGTGGCATAGATGCCTTTCAAAGGTGAGACTTGGGGAAAACAGAAAGTTTTAGGTTTTACATTGCACTCATGGCAAATACATTTTATGTGTGTTTCATTTGTTGTTTGCTATAGGTTAGGATTTTAATAAGACCTTGGCAGTTCTGTGTCATTGTAACTCTGGGGGAACTACAGGATGTCATTTGGAGGTGAGTGGGTTTAAGGTATGACAATTAGGACATTATTTCATATCTTCATGTAAAATCATTACATTATTTTTATAAGGGAGGAAATTCCATTATTTGCAACAACATGGGTGAACCTGGAGGGTATTATCCTAAGTGAAATAAGCCAGGCATAGAAAGACAAATCCCACATGTTCTCACTTACACATAGAATCTAAAACAATAGAGCTCATGGAAGCAAAAAATGGAATGGTGGTACCAGAAGCTGGCAGAGGGGTAGGAGGAATGAGAAGATGTTGGTCAAAGTGTAGAAAGTTGCAGTTAGGAGAAATAAACAATATGTATTTAAGATGATGAATATGTTAATTACCTTGAGTGAATCATTCCACATTGTATACATACATCATAACTTTATTTTGTATCCCATAATTATGTGTAATTATAATATATCAAAACTGATTTTTTTTCTTTTTTTAGAGATGGAGTCTCACTATGTTGGCCAGATCAATGTTGAGCTCGTGGCCTCAAGCAATTCTCCAGCCTCAGCCTCCCAAAGTGCTAGGATTACAGGTATGAGCCATCACACCCAGCCCAAAAATAAATTTTAATTTAATTTTTAAAAAAGAAAAAGACCAATATCACTAATCATCAGGGAAATACAAATTAAAACCATACAGAAAGACATTTTATGCAAGTCTTATGCTTAGAGAACTTGTAGATGAATATTAACCCTTATATGAGAAAGAGGAACTATTTTAGTAACTAGTATGTGTTGCACCCCAATGGATGGGTTAAATGTGTCGATCTCATGCAATTCTCTCAGGAAATATGAGAAATAGGAACTACTTTTGCTATATTACAAAGGACAAATTTGGACCTCAGAGAAGTAAATTAACTCTTCCATAAACACACAGAAAGTACAGGTTAGATCTGAGACTAGGTTTCCTCATTCCCAGAGAAGTACTATTTTTTCTTTTCAATCTTACATCCAAAAGATATTACCAGTAGATGGAACCTAATATTCCCCCTCATTCATTACTCAACTATATTTTTATGGCCCTCACTGGCCCAGATTTTCCTGTTTTCCAAGGCACATTGACAGATATTTGAAACACAGATAGCAAATACCTGGTATGTGTTTTATTTCTTCTATCTTCATAACAATTAATCATAGAGTGATGGAGTCTTGCTATCAGGTTCAATGCAGCCTCAGAATCCTTTTTAGCACATAGAGCACCAAATTCTACTAACAATTAATAACAATTTGCACATCTAGATCAAATTTATTGGCTCCACTTGTTTGGATATTTCTGGGAGATAGTAAATATATTAGAAAAGGTATAAGGCTAGAAGTTAGAAAACCTGGCCGGGCACGGTGGCTCACACCTGTAATCCCAGCACTTTGGGAGGCTGAGGCAGGCAGATAACCTGGAATCAGGGGTTCAAGACCAGCCTGGACAACATGGCGAAACCCTGTCTCTACTGAAAATACAAAAATTAGCTGGGTGTGGTGGCACATGCCTGTAATCTCAGCTACTCAGGAGACTGAGGCATGAGAATCACTTAAATTTGGGAGGCAGAGGTTGCAGTGAGCTGAGATTGTGCCGCCACTGCACTCCATCCAGTCTGGGCAACAGAGAGAGACTGTCTCAAAAGAAAAACAAACAAAAAAAAACCTACATAGTTCACACCCACAAGTTACCACTCCTAACTGGCTTTAGACAAGTCACTCCATTTTCTCTGTCCTCCAGTTTCCTCATTTGTAGGAGGAAAACTTGACAAAACAACCTAAATTCCCTCTTTCCACCAACATTTTGGAAGAGACAGAGGTACTTAGCACAGTTTATTAGTCCTAGGAGGTTAGTTAACTTGATAAACTAATCACTGCTATATTTTTAATGAATCCCTCTACCAAATATGTTTGTTCTATTTGGCAACATTCTTATACTTCAAAAAGGTTTTCAAGAACATAATGAGTATACTCAAATAATGGGCTCTGAGGGTGGAATTTCAGTTTTATGGAGAGTGATACTCTGTATAGGATAGGCATGTGGGTTCTTTTCTCTTTTCCTTCCAACATAAATTACAGAGAAGAGAGAGGGCTTCAGAGGTATGGGAATTCAGGTTGCATATCATGTGTTATCCTGTGAGCAAGAATGAAATGGATTCTGTTGACATTAGTGGACTGAGAGTTTTAGCTCCAGTAATCTCCTCTTAATCCAAGAGTAAGGTGACTTTATACGTGTAGATAAGGGCAGATACTACTTAAGGAGGGCCTGTGTGAGCAGAGATAAAGAGCATCCTCAGAGCCATGCCCACTTGTAAGTCCAAGCCCCAGAGTTAGCACTTATCTCTCTTAGACTCCTTGACTGCAGCCCGCCCATTGGGAGACGCTCAGTCTTTGCAAGACTTGCATGCCCAGTAGATTAGCCAGAGGACATAAGTGGCTATTTAAATTTAAATTAATGAAAAATTAAATAAAATTAAAAATTCAATTCTTCCTCCACTTTAGCTGTATTTCAAGTGCTTAATAGCCAGTGGCTAGTGTCCATAATATTGGACAGCATATATAGATAAAAACTCCATCGCTGCAGAAAGTTCTGTTGGGCAGTGCTATTCTGTATGAAGCCATATTTGTGATATTTTGGTGCACGAAAGTCCTGACAACACTTTTTTCACTGGCAATAGAAGATAGCTTCTTCCTCTCCAAGCTCTTGCTCAGCGCTAGATAGCTGACTATGGGATATGTAGAATAGAAGAAAGTTAGTTTCATGTCCCAATTCACCCTTGCTCATTCTCAAAACTGTACAGTAAGACTTAAGAAGCCTTAAATAAATATATCACATGTATAGCCTCCTTTAAAATGATGTGCTTGTTCAGGCATCATTTTAAAGGATCATTGTGTAGCTGAATGAATGATAATGTAGATTCAAGTTTTGCTTCTAATACTATTAACTAATTATTTCTGTCAATTATCAATAAATGCCCATAAGCTTATATAACATTGTAAATAAATTCATTATCCACATGTATCCCTAGGCCTCACCTCTTATTAAACTAGTTGTAAGTTCATTTCATTTCTTCAGTAATGTTTTGATCCAGAAAGACATTTAATATATTTTCAGGTTTTCTACTGGTTAAATACTATGGGTGCATTTTCTTCCCATTTATATCTCATTTTCATTTTTAATCTGAACCATTTCTCCTTCATTGACCTCAGTCAGAAAGATCTCCTATGTTTTTAGGAGCAGTGATAATAATAAAGCTGAAAATTCATTTGGGGGAACATATTCTGGACACTTGATCAATAGAGTCAAAGATTTTTGTTTACCATGTCTTTCCCCTTTTCCATGCATGTTATAGCAGAAAAGAACAAAAATTGTAACTCTGATGTTACAAAAATATTCCTTTCCAAGGAATTCAACAAGACTATGAAGAAGCTCCTCTATGAGAAAGTTGTATTTTGAGTGAGCTGAGTCGCTAACAAAGGCCAAGAGGAAGGGACTGGGGACAGAGCTTTTACCAAACACCATCTTGTGTTAATTCTAAGAGTAAACTAAATGTTTTAATCACTGAATAATGATGGAAGAGAGGGAGCCATTTATATAGGCATAAGAAAAACCAGGGAGACTCTTGAAGACCCATAGAAAATTGCAGTGAGTGAACCCAGACTTGCCAAAGCTTTAACTAGCTTTTGAGAAGCCAATTGTAAGTCTACACTGCAGCATTCAGTGAAGAACTTTTTCTCTTTTAACCCAAATGTATTTTCATTTAAACTCCAAAGCTTGGAAGGAAAAGATCTTAGTAGCAAACTCCATGTTTTACTCACATTACCTAAATACACTTTTCTTTCTCTCAAAACCTTTCTTCATTTTGATGCAGTCAATAACTCAGATAATTGCCTCAAGTAAAGAAAGTTTCAGAGATGCAGATTTCAGTTAACATGGTCACTGGTAAAGATAGCCAAATTCTTGTTAGCTAAGGAGCTTGAGTTATCATGAATTTTAATAAATAACATGGATAATAATACATATCAGACACCAGAAATGTTTGTATTTTTGCTGTTTTGCTATTTTCCCTTGCTTTTTCTGAAACTTCAGTACAGTTGGCTTATACTCCTCCCTTCAAAGCACCTCGAAATCATTGCTCTGTACAATGTCCTTCTCTTCTATTATTTTATTTTGCATCTGTGTTTCTAAGACCACAAATTTCCCACGCCTCTTTACTCTCCTGCAGGCACCTGAGTTTTAATGCATCTTTATAAAATACATCATGCTATATTATATATGATTATGTTTTAATTTTTATAATTATAATGGTCTAAAATTAATTCATTTCATTAAGGAACATTTTCATAATCAAGCCATGTTGTTATTGGTACATTAGTTTATAGCTTCTATCTGCTTCATAACATCCCAAATTATTCACAAACATTTTGTCTCTCCATTCTCTCGGTAATAGCCATCTAGGTCATAGCTTGCATTCATACAGACACCAAAATACATATCCTTATACATGTCTGTTACGGACTTGTCTCTGTAATGTTATTGTCTCTGTTAATTATGTTTATGTTAATGTCTCTGTTATGAAAATGTCTCTGTAATACATGCCAAGGAGGGAGATGTCTGAGTCACAGGACATATTTATACCCAATTTTATTAATTATAATCAGACTGTTTTTGATATCATTTTATATTCTCATCACTGGGAATTAATATGCCAGTCTCACCCTACATTTGCTCACAATTGATATTATGTCCCTTTTTGCTTTTTTTCTGCCAATCTGATAGGCTTAAAGGAGTTTGTAAATGGAAGACAGAAAATTACATTAATTATGCATACAAATGTAAAAATTCAATGCAGTATTGTTAACTTTATTTGAGTCACAATATATAAGCTAGAATTCTTTGGTTGCAATCAACAAATTGATTCTGGATAACTTTTAATTTTAAAGTAATCAAAGTAGAAGCTGAGAAAATCAGTTTGAAAAATGACAGAAACTGAAGAGAAATCCAGAGATTGGGGTAGCAGAAGACAATGGAGAGCTTCTTTAGGATTCTCTTAACCAGAAGGATGACCTCTAACTATTGCCAGTCTTAGACTCGGTCACCACTCTAAGGAGTCATATCTCAAAGAGAAATTGATTGGTCCATTTTGGGACATGCGCACAAGAATAAAGCCCTTTTATTGATGATACTATCAAGTCTGTACCCAGTAGTACATGACTCAAGTAAAATTGGAGTACAACTACCAGAATAATAAGAAACAGATGATGGAGTTTTAAAAATGAAACACAAAGAATACATAGAACTTAAAGAGAATGTACAAATAATATTTAAATGACTTAAATGCAATTTACTGAGTGCCTACAAAACTCTCTATGCTTTGAGAATTCAAGGTAGACAGTCTGATATCTGGAGAGCTTAAGATCTTTTTGAGTGGCATGTAATATCTAATGAAACATGCTTGGTAAAGTGACATGATTCACCTAGTCTAAGTTTTAATTTTGTAATAATGAGTTTATTAATAATTATTAATTAAATTTTTTGTATTAGCGCTATTAGGGAGGAACTGTGGGCTTCTTCCATTTGTGAAATAGCCTCCTTTTTGTAGATTGCCCACCCATATTTGACTTTAGTCATAAACTCTTTCCAACTAAAAGGGTGAATTTCACAAGTCTATATAGATTAGATGTTTATGTGCTTCTGAGGACAACATGACAAAACAAAACATACAAACAAAATGAGCTTTGATTTAGACATTTGTTTAAAGACAAAGGGGAGCACAAGCTGTTACTAGATGGCTCTATTTGATAGATAGGCCAATGAGCACCTAATCCTGAATAACAGAGGAAAATGATATAGGAACTGTGGCTTAATGATCTCTGAATCACCATCTCATAAATGGCATGCTCATCTCAGCTTTATTTATGAATCTCTTCCTAATCTAGGCAGAGAACTGTTGATGAAGGTCCCAGGATCTGGTCAAATGAGTTATGTGTCTGGAGTTAGAATAACTCTGTTATTTAGAGCAATGAGCCCTTGAAAAAGACACTTTACCTTCTTTACAAGCTCGATTCTCTCCTCTGCTCTACCCTCACTCAGGGTTGCTGGGAGGTGCCAATGAGTTAATGAAAGTGGTTGTATTTTGCTGACAGAACAGTGAGGATTAATATTAGCTCTGACGATAAATGTGGGCTCTTATTAATGAATTCAAAGAGTTCCCAGTATGATTGGAGATCATGATGGTCACATGTGGCATAACACAAGTAGAATGCATGAATACATGTCATTAAATGACATCCTGTAAATTACGAGAGACTTAAGAATTAGAAGAAGAAATAGTTGGCTGGGCACAGTGGCTCATGCCTATAATCCCAGTACTTTGGGAGGCCCAGGCGGGTGGATCACGAGGTCAGGAGATCGAAACCATCCTGGCTAATATGGTGAAACCCCGTCTCTATTAAAAATACAAAAAATTAGCTGGTCATGGTGGCAGGCGCCTGTAGTCCCAGCTACTCGGGAGGTTGAGGCAGGAGAATGGCGTGAACCCGGGAGGCGGAGCTTGCAATGAGTCGAGATGGCGCCACTGCACTCCAGCCTGGGTGACAGAGTGAGACTCCATCTCAAAAAAAAAAAAAAAAAAGAAGACGAAAATAGTTGAAGCTGGATTAGATGAGATAACTTCTTGAGAGAAGAGGGAATTGTATTAAGCCTTAAAATATTGAGCACGATAAGACAGAAGGGGCAAAGTAACAGCAGTGATGTGGGGCAGAGCTTGAGGATTTTTACGTCTATAGCTATTACAATTAACAGTTTATTTCAGCTGGTGAACATAGATGATGTCATTAGAAAGTGTACTGTTTTCAATTTATAATGCCTCTCTTAGAAAAACGAGAGGCATTAATAAATCCATGGTCAAATAGAATAAATTCATATTCTCCTAAGAGAGCTTCTTTCCCCATCCAATTTATCACCTGAAGTTCTCATGAAAGCAAGGATGGGGTGGGGGAGTGAGTTTTCTTTGTATTGTCAAATAGATACTCACTTTGGGAGGCCGAGGCGGGTGGATCACGAGGTAAGGAGATCGAGACCATCCTGACTAACACAGTGAAACCCTGTCTCTACTAAAAATACAAAAAATTAGCCGGGCGTGGTGGCGGGCGCCTGTAGTCCTAGCTACTCGGGAGGCTGAAGCAGGAAAATGGTGTGAACCCGGGAGGCGGAGCTTGCAGTGAGCCAAGATAGCGCCACTGCACTCTAGCCTGGGCGACAGAGCGAGACTCGGTCTCAAAAAAAAAAAAAAAAAATACTTCCTGGTGGGTTGGTCACCTCAGACTGACCTTCTCCAAAACATTTGAAAAGAAGATTTATAAGTCTAAACAGATTGCCTAGATTCTGGCAAACAGATTGGAGGAAAAAATAATATCTAGCCTTAAACTTAGAAGGGAAAGCTGGGCATGGTGGCACACCTGTACCCCCAGCTACTCAGTAGGCAGGGGTGAGAGGATCACTTGAGGTCATGAGTTTGAGGCTGCAGTGAGCTATGATTGCACCACAGCACTCCAGCCTGGGCAACAGAGTGAGATCTTATCTCATAATAAAATAAGTGAGTAACTATGGTTATGATAAAACAAGAGTCAGCACCCTATATATGGTCCACAAGTCAAAACTCAAAACCCCATATTTGTATCATATGCAAGTGTGGAGTCTGAATTTGTATCATCCATGTTGTACTAGAATACTGAGATCAGAAACTAACATTAAAAAACCTGGTTGAGGACCGATGAACACTTTGATCTTCAAAATAATCAAATGAAAACCACTTTATAGCCACTTCCAAAACCACTGTTCATGGGCATCCATGGAGAATAAAAATATTTTGGTAACGATAACAAAAAAATAAAGAAAATTGCAAACCAATCCTTTTAAAGGAAAGTAAGAAAATAAAAATATAGGAGAAATAGCATCTCATGAACTTGAGAAAAAAGAAAAATCTGAGAATGGCTATAAGGTAAGCGTAATTAAAATAAGTAGAGATAATAATGGAAACCACAATAAAATTACTGAAGTCTCTATGAAACGAAGTCATTACATTGAAAGAGAAACAAATTTTGCCTTGAAGTGAACAATTTAGTCCTGAAATTATTAAAGCAATACACATAAAAACCAAATGTATAAATTTACTCACAAATTTTAAAATTATTTAAGCAATCCGTGAATATAAAGATTATTATGTTTAGTGTGTAAATTGTTTTAATCTTATATTTTGATCCATAGGTTATGACGTTTAAAACACATGTGGGTGGAAGAGAGAGAGTTTTAAATATAATTTATGTCATATTAAGGTTTTATCTATACTTTGAAGTTTTTATGTAACCGCAATTGATAGTGAATATCTTCTGATATTAGCTCATATAACATTTGTTCATTTGTTTTAAAAATTGCACAATAATTTATTTGAATTTTCTTCTACTGATAAACTGTTACTCTTTCTTGGTATTATAAGCAATATTGCAAAGATTGCACAACCTTGTGTGCACACATTTTGTGCTTTGCTAAAGGCAAATATACTAGAAGAATAATTGTTTGTCAAAGAATATGCACCTTTAAGTTTTTGATCCTTACAAATTATCCGCAAAAAAAGTCACTCATCCTACCTAGCTGAGGAAGATCCAATTCATATCTGTCTTAATTAGGTGGATTCTGAATAAGCTTTTCTAAAAAAAAAAAAAAAAAAAAAAAAAAAAAAAAAGATATTCCAGGTCCCAAAGTAATTTGAGAAGATATCAAACCAAATAAACTTAAAGTCTTCCAGCTTTGGCAGAGTTGACGGTGATTGAGGAATGAAGTCAGAAATCCGCTCTTCTCCGCATCTCTGATTGAATATCTGTGATTTAAAAAACCACAAAGCATGCTTTCTCAATGGTGCTTTTTAGCATCTACCAGTTAATATACCAGCCTTATGTCTTTGGGCTTTTCTGCCATCTCCTGTGCTCTGCACTGTTCAGTAAGCTCCAGAGAGCCTTCTCCTCGACCATTACCACCAATGTGCTTTGAGTTGTGCACCTGCATCTCCTTTTCCAGACACAAGGGACTCCTGCTTGGCCATTGTGGATGGTTTCACACTAGCTAAAGCTAACCAATATCCCTCTAAGGAGTAGATAATCTAAGGTGGTTTAGGAACCAATAAAGGATGGCAAATCACTTTATGGAAATTAGCTATTAATTATTTATTCATTGACAATTTGACTGCAATCCAGCAGGTGTCTTGATAGGATGAAGATGACTTGGTAAGTGGATTTTTTTCCCTGTCTATAAGACAGGTTCAGCATATCCCTCCCAAAATCCACCTGAAATTAACTAATTTGAAGCGGCTATGAGAAAGAACTAGTCCATCTCCTCCACGATGAGCAATCTTGGTAAAAAATGTTGTTATTCCTTTATTCACGTATTGAATGATTCTCTTCCTCTGCTGATGAATTATTTATGGAAGAAACAGGAAAAATGACTAATTAAAAAGAGAAAAAACATAAAATAATCTGATGTGAGGTCATACTTTAACCTTTCTTCCTTTACCGATTTCCTGGAAGGAAGGCAGTGTGGTATTATGAAAAAAATAAATAAATTTTGAGCAGGCTGACCTGGGCTTGAACTAAAATGCTACCAGTTATTGGCTGTATGACCCCAACAAATCAATTAACCTCTCTGAACCTCAACTGCTTCATATGCAAATATTGGGATATTCAAATCTTGAATGAAAAGTGAAAATATAATGTGTGTGCCTGGAAAATTGTCAGTTTTTTATAAATGACAGAGAAGATGGTCATTATGCAGCAAACTGTTCTTTGAAGTATCCTAGAAAGCTAATCTCCAACTATCTGGAGTCTGAGGGCATTTGGCAGTTTACAAACTGTCCACAGGCCTATTTACATATTGTTTCACTGAAGAAGCTTGGAGTGATTAATTTAGAAACTGCTCAATAACCTTATCAATCTCCCCCCAGTATTGAAAGTCTTCTTAAATAAATGGACTGCAAATTCAAGCTTTAGAGACACAGAACTTGCCCCTTTTTCCTTTAACCTGATCATTGGAATCATGGCCACGAATAAAATAAAATTGGGGGCTGGGCATGGTGGCTCATGCCTGTAATCCCAGCACTTTGGGAGGCCAAGGCAGGAGGATCAAATGAGGTCAGGAGTTGTAAACTACCCTGAAGAACATGGCAAAACCCCATCTCTACTAAAAAAAAATACAAAGAGTTAGCCAGGCATGGTGGCATGTGCCTGTAGTCCCAGCTACTTGGGAAGCTGAACCAGAATTGCTTGAGCCCAGGAGGCGGAGGTTGCAGTGAGCCGAGATCATGCCACTGCACTCCAACCTGGGTGACAGAGTGAGACTCCATGTCATAAAATAAATAAAATAAAATAGTGTATGTAAGAATTCCTTCCTAAGCTCTGAATTGCTCCTCAAATATAATTATGATAATAATGGCATTCCAGTATCTTAGACTTATAAGAATCTGATTATTACTAATTATTAAGTGTCTATACATAAGAAGCAAAGAAAACATGGGCAGTAATACTCTAGCCCTTAGCTTGATATATTGGTTTCAGTTTATTTCCTAATTTAATATTTTAAGTTCTACTAGCAAAAAACCAGGTGGTGATGGTAAATTCTTTTTCCTTTTTCTTTTTTCTCCACTATCTTTTTCTTCCTTCCATCCTTCTGATGCTCCTTTTCTTTCTCATGGAGTTGAAATTGTTTTGATAAAATCCAAAAGGGGGCAAAAAGAACAAAATAATTCAGTGATTTTTGGCTTGTAAAACATTTCACACTTATTTTTGTCCATGATCCAACTTCTTCCCATCTCTCTAGCCTAATCTTCCACCATTTTCCTATGCAGGCTATTTGATTTGCGAGAACAGAAAGGGTTCCTGGTTTATCAAACATTACATTGTAATAGATCCCTCCCAAGCACTGAAGCCATATAGGCAATAAACTTCATTTCAGGTTCCCTGAATCTCATTAATGGTTAGTTCAACGTGAAACACAAAGTCCAGAGGGAGACAGCATCTGTGGACCCATGTAAAATCTGAGAGAAGAGAAAAGGCAATGTTGATCCCCAGAGCAGGAAGAAATTGTGAGAAATACACACTGTTTAGTAGGGCACACGCTCCCACCCACCTCCTATGAGGAATGAGGATTGGAGCTGAGAATACCTGCTCCCCTACTGTTCTTTCCACGTCTGAAACCTGTCCCATGTCTCCCCTGGGGAAAATAAAAGAATCTGAGATTTTCATAGAGAGGACAGACCGACGAGAGTGAGAGAGTAAGAAAGCAGAGAGAGAGAGAGAGAGAATCAAAAGAAAACAATAAGAAGAGAGATAATAATCAAGACAGAGAAAAGCAGGCAGAGAGAAAGAGAAGAGATAAAAAGCCAGAAAGAAAAGAAAATTCAAAGAAAAGAGGGAGAAAAAGATGGAGAAAGACATAGACATTAAAAAGAGGGAGTGAGAGAGAGGGGGGAGGGAGGGAGGGAGAGAGAGAGAGAGAAAACAAGGGTGAGGGAGAGAGATCACAATATAAAATAAAGAAAAGTAGAATCATTTAGATTTTTGGGAAAGATGGTAAGTGCTACTGTGAAGGGTCAAGGAAAATAATACTGTGTCAAAGTTGACATCAGATTAAATTAGAAAACTTGGGAGGAAATCATGGTAAAATTAAACCTAATGGTATAGAAAGAGGAGAAGAGAGGGAGGCACCAGACAGATGGTGATGAGGGCAGAGGGCAATGAGGAATTGAGGGAAAAAAAGCTAACAAAGGCATGGACATGAACTTAAAACTGGAGAAGAGAAGCTCCTGAAGTCTCTGGAAATGCTTGGGTCTGAGACCCGAGAAGCAGTGTAAAGAGAAAGTAAAGTCAAATACACACCCTGGAAGGTCTTTGGGCTTGGACGATGTGTTTAGCTGCATCATGGGGTAAGGAGAAAGGAGATCTGGACTCTGAGATTGGTCCTCTCATTCATGAACAGTGTGACCAGGGAACATTGATAAACACTGGGGAGCTTTGTTTCTTTATCTGTGAAAGGTGATGGAGAGCCTAGGTAGGCTGAAATGGTTTTGAAATCTTACAGCCGAGGTGGAGCATCCAAGATGGGTGGAAACTCAGGATGGGAGGAAGCTCAGGTTTGTAGACAACATGATAAACTTAGCTGTGACAAGAGCCCTCATGTCTGGAAAGCCCTCGCCAAAAAGGGCTTTGTAGTTGACACTGGAATAGTGGAAAGAAAGCTAGACTCTCTGCTTTGATCTCTGCCAGAAACTAGCTAGTCCCTTGACTGGTCTTTGCCTCTCTTTCCTCATGCATGCAATGTACATGTAGGTTTCTGTGTGGGGGTGAGGAGATGAGAGGTAGATGAGTTGAACCAAATTGTTTTTCTTTTTTTTATACACTTCAAGTTCTAGGGTACATGTGCACAAGGTGCAGGTTTGTTACATATGTATACATGTGCCATGTTGGTGTGATGCACCCATTAACTCATCATTTACATTAGGTATATCTCCTAATGCCTATTCAAATGCCTCTTGGGGCAAGGCAGCTTGTAGAGAGGCCAGGTGGGAACTGAGGAGAACTAGGAGTGTCATGCCCCTCCTCAAAGAGGTGGTTTATCTGACTGTTCCCAATAATGTAGGTTTATGAGAGTCAAACATTACGAGATCTTCTAATGTTTTCAAGAGAAGCTTGACTGCCTGATTTGCCTGCAAAATGCAATGGCTAAGCAAAGGCTCAGTGAGGATTTCAACCTAACAGAATATGACTGGAGCCACCAGGTTGCAGCACGCAACGTCAGGAATACATACTCCTTCAACATGGCTGTTCCATGTTCTCAGTTCTGGGATTCTATAATATAGGGAATGGTGAATTCTTAGGTAAGAAAATAAAAGACACAAAAGTAAATGATAGAGTGAGGGAAGGAGGGAAGATGGCTCATGCCATTTTCTCTTCTAGCTTTGATTTTGCTCCCATGTTTGACTGGTTTAATCCTCCCAATTTCAGTTCAAAGCTACTAGAAGCAGTGCCTCTTTAATGCCACTCACGTCCCCTTCTCTTCTATCCTTGTCTATGTCCTTTCCCTCCCACAGCCTCTCCCCAACCCCGTTTTTAAGTCCATCACTCTTTCTCATTCCATCCCTCTGCTTTTTGTCCTTGTTCCTCCAGACTTGGAGCCCTGGGGTGGCATCACCCCTGGTATCTGAAGGCAAGTGACTTTCTACTATATGAGAAGTTAAAAGTATTTCTGTGGTGGGGATATTTAATCATATGAATCCTTGATAGGAATAGTTCTTTTTATGTCTTCCAGTAATAAATCCAGACTGTATCTTATCACCGATCGCAGAAGAGAAGAAAATTAACCAGCTGAGAGTGTGACTAGAAATGAAACCCACAGAAAAGGGAGTGAAAAAGAGACCACTTTATCTATGTGCGCACAAAGTGTGGTAACACAGAATCAGTGAGCAATGGGGAAAAGCACTATTCTTGGGCACTCCTTCCTCATCAATCTGCAACACCTCTTAAAATGCTTGAGCTTTTTCCTTTTTCTAAAAATCATCTTATTTTTGCCCCTTTATCATTCTTACCCTACCTCCATGGAACTTTTTGATTATTACCCTCTTCTTGCTGAGAAAGATCTCCTTAATCATGTTTTCTTGTTTTCTCACTTTCTCTAGCTTCTGCTTCTCTCTCAAAAGGTTTTGTTGTTGCTTTTTGCTTCTCCACCAGATAGTACACTATGTACAGTCAGAGGAGTGTGTGCCTCATTCACCACTGTATCCTCTGTGTTTATGGTATGCATGGCACATAATGGGTACTCAGTATTCTGCCTAAATTTGTCTCACTGTCATACATACACAAGCAGAATAGGTACATTGATGAGCTTCTCGCCTTTCTCTCTCAGCTTATCAAGAACATACTGTACTTCTAAAAATGCTATATCTAATATACATGGCTTTCCCTTTCTAAGCCCTTTGAGGGTGGATTCCAAGCCCTACATTTCCTCTACTGCACTGGAACAGTTGTTAATTCATAACAGAGGCTCAGTTTTATACCAAATTTCCTGGGAGTAAAATTACTCGGATTCTAACCCAAGCTGTTAACCTCTCATCATCCATGTTTGCTTGACCAAGGTATTACAACTCTCTGAAGCTCAGTTTTCCCTTCTTCAACATGAAAGCCTAGAAAATTGATATGGTTTGGCTGTGTCTCCTCCCAAGTCTCATATTGAATGGTAGTTCCCATAACCTCCATGTGTCATGGGAGGGACCAGGTGGAGGTAATTGAATCATGGGGGTGGTTTTCCCCATGCTGTTCTCATGATAATGAGTGAGTCTCACAAGATCTTATGGTTTTATAAGCATCTGGCATTTCCCCTGCTGGCACTCATTCTCTCTTGCCTGCTGCTATGTAAGATGTGCTTTGCTCTTCCTTTGCCTTCCACCATGACTGTAAGGCCTCCCCAGTGATGTGGAACTGTGAATCCATTAAACCTCTTTTTCTTTATAAATTACCCATTCTTGGGTGTGTCTTTATCAGCAGCATGAGAACAAACTAGTACGATGACCTTTCAAATCTATTTGCATATTCAGGTTTTTTTTTTTTTTTTTTTTTTTTGGCTGGAGTGCAGTGGTGTGATCTCAGCTCACTGTAACCTCCACCTCCCTGGTTCAAGCAATTCTCCTGTCTCAGCCTCCCAAGTAGCTGGGACTATAGGTGCATGCCACCATGCTAGGCTAATTTTTGCATTTTTAGTAGACATGAGGTTTCACCATATTGGTCAGGCTGGTCTGGAACTCCTGACCTCTGGTGATCCACCCGCTTCGACCTCCCAAAGTGCTGGGAATACAGGCATGAGCCACTATGCCCAGCCCAGGTTTTCTAATTCTTTTTGAACAATTTTTAGTCTGAACTCTAGATAATTCCTTCCAAGAAAGCAAAAAGAACACGTGGCTCTGCTCCATTGTTCAAGAGTGTATTGTTCTTAGGACGAGGAAGAGAAAACAGGCCTAAATGCAATGCACTATTAAGTCATGATGTAACAGCAATCCCTCACATAAATATCTTACTGGGAAGAAACGCTGCCAGAAACAGCAGAGAAATTGGAACTGCGGAGAGATGTAGGAGCTGAAAAGACATCAGAAACCAAATCTACGGCCTCTCTCGAAGTCATGTTCCTGTCGTGGCATTCTGTCTTTCGCATAAAGTGAAACCTTAAACAACAAACCTTGACAATTTTATTCGGGATCAGACACTTTAGGATTGGACAAGAGCAGCTTGAGATGAGAAAGTATGAGTCCAAATTGGAGAAGAATTAAAAGTAAGTTATTTGGGTATGGGCAACATAAAGGAAACAGTGCTGAAAAGGAGATTGCAAGTTGGAGTTTCAGCCTCCATCACCCAACACCAGAGTACAAACCCTGCCTCTATCCTTATCTGCACTTCTGTAAAACTCTTTTTCTTTCCCATACATACATTTCTCTTTCTACTTTTCTTGTTTTGCTCTCCTCCTGTCTTGCAGAGACTTTGGCATGTTTATTTCTAATACTTGAAGAAAAGGAATTTTTTATTTCAGATGCATATTCTCCTTTACTGTCAACACACTTAAAAGAACATATTCAATACATCAAAGGTACCAACTAATTGCAGAAAAAAAATACAAAGTAGACAAATGCATCTTTTCAGATATGTTTTTCTTCTCTGATTAGAAAAAAAAGTGTATATAAGTATGCAATGATGCATTTAAAAACCTACATCTCTTCATTTACTTTTTCTTTCCCCAGTCAATATTATCTGTTTTCAAAGTGACACTTCTTGTGATAGCAAGAAATCAAAATCCATCCAAATGGGTAAAAAGGTAGTTTTTTTTTTATGGTCATACAATGGATTATTATATATCAACTAAAACAAACAATAAACAATAAACAACAATATGCACTGCTTTGACTTATAAACAATGCAAAATTTAATAAGATTTTACTCTGTTTTTTCCATCCTGCCCCAACTTTCCATTCCACCATAGCACTCAGCAGATCTTATGAGAAAAATCAGCCTAGCATTTGAGGCACTTCCAGATTCTGTTCCCTCATGCTAACCCATGTGGCTGTAAAAAGTTCCACTGCTTTTTTTTTCCTATCCTTGGAAAAGTCTCTCTGCCTACTGCAAGCTTTATGTCCAGCCTGTGCTTAGACTCAGAAAATGCCCTCAGTGAATAATGCAGGAAGTCTACTCATTTAGGAAGAGCTCTTTTCTGTTTGGATTTCAATTCTTCTATACTCCTTACCTAAACACATTTCTGATCACTTTTTAAAAATATATTACTTTTGTAGCATTTGCCTCCCACACCCAAGTGGTTCCAGCAAGAACAATAGTTTGCTGCTAACTTCTACTCCTTAACCAGAAGTAGAAGTATTATCAGGTTTGAGTTTCAGTTCTTCTACTTATCAGCTCTATAAACTTGGGCAAAAATCTATGAAGCTCAGTTCCTCATCTTGAAAATTGAGATGGTGAGCACACCTCCTCCATAGGGCTAGTAGGAAGTGCAATGCAATACTATATGCAATAGCTTCTCAATGATGGCTGGCATATGATAAGAATTTTTAAAAATGGCATCTATAGACTTATTGAGATATTATACAACCTAAAAACTCTAGAAGTTTAGGAGCCTGCTCTAAAGTGAAAGCACAAAATTGCAAACATCAAATACAGAATAATAATATGCAGTTAGAAAAATAAGAACTCATAATCAACTCAAATGTTTAGAGACCCCAACTTGAGAAAACAATGTAAATCTGTTTTACAAAATAATTAACTTTCTGACATAACTTCTTTAATAACTTTTTCTTATTTTTTCTTTTGACTTCATTTGATCATGACTTTTTATGACAATGCTATTGTAATATTCTCTAAAGACAGAATAAAAAGTAATTTGATCTTTTCTCTAATAATGTTGCTTACAATTTATTTTTCATTAAAGATAGTTGAGAGAAATGCCTTTGGGAACTTTCACTAATTATTGTAATATCATGTAAATTTTGTTAAGATTGTGGTCAAATTTGTGCCAATCTTTAGAAAGTTTTTTCATATATGAGCTATAAAATTTAAAAGAATTTTAGATTGCCTTTAAAAGAACTTAATCTATATCTTTTGAGTTTACAACATTAAGAACATTCCTGAAAGCCATTTCTACACTAGAATGACTGGAGATAACTTATATACATACAAAAGTGACTCTGAACCATGTAAATGTATTTTACTTAAAACCAATCACTGTGTATCCCCAACTCAACTTCCCATTATCCAGATTCCAAAAATGTTCATGCTACACAGTCACCATCTGTCTTAGTCTGTTTGGGTTGCTATAACAAAAATATTATAAGCTGGGTGGTCAATAAGCAACAGATTTTTTTTTATAGTTCCAGAAGCTGGAAGTCCAAGATCAAGACACCAACAAATGTAGTGTCTAGAAATGGCCTGTTCCCCCATAGATGGCACCTTCTAGCTGAGTCCTCACATGGTGAAAAGGACAAGGCGGCTCTCTGAAGCCTCTTTAATAAGGGTTTTACCCTCATGACCTCATCGCCTCCCAAAATGCCATCATCTTGCGGGTTAGGATTTCAACATGTGGATTTTGAAAGGACACAAACATTCAGACCAGAGCACCAGCCAACATGAGAGGAGACCTTACATAATGAAAGTCAGAGTGGAAAGGGCTCTTTGTAACAACTATTGTTACATTTTACTGTTGAAAATTTTACAGTGAAGTATATGACCATGTGAAAAATGCACAGAGCCTTAGCTGAACTCATGCAAGAGTGCAGCACTGAAATTTAAGCTTTAGGAGCTTCTCAGTAAACCCACTTTGCTTAGCCACTGTCATTCATGGCGTTTTCTTCCCTGAGGGAAGCAAACAGATCTTCTCATGTCTGCTTCACCCAACCTATTCAGGCCTTGCCAGCTTCTGCTTTTTTTTTTTTTTTTTTTAATTGCCCAGCTGTTTGTACTGCTGCAGCATTTTCTGATGTGTGTTTCCTGAAACACTAGTCTCTAGATCTGTATTGTCCAATGTGATAGTCACTAGCCACATGTGGCTATTTAAATTTACATCGGAAATTAATTTGAATAAAATTTAAACTCAGTTTTTTAGTTGTGCTAGCCAATTTTCACGGGTCTAGTAGCTACATGTGGCCGGTGGTCATCATGTAAGTTAGAGCAGATACAGAACATGCTTATCATCACGGAAAGTGGAAAGTTCTATAGGACAGTGCCACTCTAGATACATCCGGCAAATGTGAGTTCCAATGTCAAGTAGCTTTGGGAGGTGCTGCATTCAACATATTCCTGTGATATTAGTGATTTTAAAACATGAATAAATCCATGTAACTCAGCTTTTCTTAAAGCTACTGAATGACTGGATGCTTCATATCTTCTTCTTCTTCTTTATTATTATTTTTTTTGAGACACAATAGTCTCTCTCTGTCACCCAGGCTGGAGTGTGGAATGCAGTGGCATGATCTCAGCTCACGGCAACCTCTGCCTGCCAGGTTCAAGTGATTCTTCTGCCTCAGCCTCCCGAGAAGCTGAGACTACAGGCGCATGCCACCATGCCCGGCTAATTTTTGTATTTTTAGTAGAGATGGGGTTTCACCATATTGGCCAGGCTGGTCTTGAACTCCTGACCTCATGATCCGCCTGCCTCGGCCTCCCAAAGTGCTGGGATTACAGGTGTGAGCCACCGCGCCCAGCCCTTCTCACCTTCTTTTGTGTTTTTGCTTTTGTTTTGTTTCTTAGTCATACTGCCTACTGCCTTGCCTCACAATATGAACACAAAAATAAATGAAAGGAAATCTGTTAAATGACTTCCTGGGGTAATAATGCTTGCATTCATTATATCATGTAGTCCTCAGAATAATTCTATATAGATAAGGTAATACTTGTTTTTTACACAAGAGGAAACAGGGTTTTCTGAGTTAAGAAACTTGCTTAAGTTCACACAACAAATAAGCAATAGAACTGGAACCTGCCCCCTGCGTCCTTGGCGACTCCCTACTCTGCTTTCTTTTGTGATTGACTAAGTCTTAGTATGGATACTGTTGCGGGCCATACAATCAATCTGGTGGGTGGCATCTATGTTTTGGCGCTGCCTCACAGAGCCCCAAACCAGGTCTTGATGGTTTTCTTGGTGGTGGTGGTGGTAGGGTAGACAGGAGGAAGAGAGGTAGTTTTAGAACAAATTTAATGTTACTAACATCTTCTTACCTTTTTTAAATGTTTTACAACTTATAAAGTATGTGCGCTTCCAGATGTTATAGCATTGGATCCAATTTTATGCAGTAAAGTTTAGAAACTATTATATTACCACTCTGTAGCCTCATATCATAGGAAGTGTCCCTGAACAGATTGAAACATATAAAGGAGAAACCTAAGAATAGCAATGCAATTATGTGCTCTAAAAAGAAATTTTAAAATTCTAAATGAGTAGTCTGAAAACTTGGAATTGGTCTTGTCATACCAATGATTCTTTGGTTACCCACTCAGAGACGGAGTGTGGGATGGAATAAAGCATGTGATTTACCCCTAGGATTGTTGCAATCATGGCCATCTCTTTGTCTTGATGTTTCCTATCAGGACCTATAAGAACTCCTGGACCCAAAGGGAGAATTATAAAAAAAAAGATGGTTAGATGGCAATATTTCTCAGGTTTAGTTCACAGAGAAAAATAGTGAAATTAAAAGTACATACGATTAAAAGCCTAAAGACCAGATTATACTCTGAGTCTAAAATATTCTAGCCAATAAAATTAGTCCAGCTTGTTCAAAGTTTCTGTTATTTAACAAATAACCTCTTTCTCTCTCACACACACATACACACACACATGCACAGTCATCCTTGTCCTTCAGGCTTGAATGTTTATCCCTGGAGAGTGAAGGGAATGATATGTACTATGAAGAGTAAAGAACCATATAAATGTGATAAATCTTTACTATCCGTATTCCCTTTCCCTCTTCTCTTTTTCTCTTTGGCACTAGTACTCAAATCAACACTGTCAGGTGGATTGCCTACGGGCAAAAAGCCCTGGTTACATGGGGTTTTAGCAAGACCTGTATTTGACACAACTTGCCTTGGGCAATAAGTTTGGCAATGACCAATGCAGTATGTCTCTTCAAGCCCATGAGGAGATTTTTTTTTTTTTTTGAAAGACAGAAATTGCTCCTTTTGCACCACCTGCCTACACTTGAGCAGTTTTATTATTTGCAAGGTTATTTATCTAGGGAAATACAAAATTGCCAAAAAAAATGTGGCACTGGCAGATTGTCAGTGAAAGGGCTCTGTGTGTGTGTGTGTGTGTGTGTGTGTAGTGAGAGTACGTGTGTATGTGCTTTTACAAGAGGGGACATTGTGATTCCTTTGTTCTAAAGGGTAGTTCTCCTTAGAAGTGGCCAATCAGTCACTGTCACTGGGTGAGGAGAAGGTGGGGGAGGTGGTAGTGTGATGGGGACATGCCAAGTTTGCCCAGAATACTCATTGCACAGGACGATTCCCACAGCTGTTGTGTACCCAATGTAAATACGGACAGCCCCATTCATCACAGGGCTCCCTTCTGCAGCACACGTCCAAAGTACAGCAATGATTTAGTGCCTGCAGCTGGAACTATACTACGTTTCTCCAAAACAGTGGCGTTTAAAAATTAGGAGGTGGAAATGGAGAGGAGGCAGGGGTTAGAGGGAGGGAAGAACTAATCTCAGGTTTCTGAGAAGAGGGGAGAAGAGCAACAAGGGTGAGCACTCCAGTGGACCACTCCTTTACTTTACCTTCAGTTTACTTCTTAAATTCATTGGCTTTTGTATAACTCAAGCTCAAACTTTGGAACTAGACTTGCCTCTGCCTCACTGTTTGCTGTGGCCCTGATGACATGTGCACTGTGGGTCTCAAGACTTCTTCTTTATAAGATGTTGATCCAAATCTTTTGGAAACTTCTCTGTGGACAATGTACAAACCCAGCAGGACAAGAAAACAAATAGCTCAATCTTTTTCTAGATATGCATATTTATCATTCATTCACTCATTCAACAAGTAGCTTGTAGCATCTACTACATGCGAGGTCCTCTGCAGATTACTACAGGTACAACACAAAAAAACAATATTAAACGTGTTCATGAGGCACTTATATGGTAGTATAGGCAACAGACTCACAACTTAAAATATGATTTTTTTGAGGTCTGGCACATGTAATAGATGCTCCGTAATTGCTGAATGCCAGAAGAGAGAATGCTACCAAGTTTTGTAAAAAATATACATATATATATTTTTCTTTGCACATGTCATAAACCTTTTTTAGAAGAAGTTCTTTAAATGGAGATGGAATGAATACTATTTCAGGTTCCCCAGAGAAAATGAGTTGATAAGAAATTTGGGAAGCTTTTCAAGCAGGTTGTAGCATGATCAAAGTTGTTCACTAGAAAAACAACTAGACCACAGATGTAGTGAGTGGACTAGAGAAAGGAAAGGGTAGGAGATGGAATTCTCTAGCTCATTTGGATAGCCTGAACAAGAGATAGTGAGTACCTGTGCTAGAGGTGTGGCAACAGGAAATGAGAAGGTGAGGCATTCTAGCCCTGAGTGAAAGATATAATTTATAGAACTTTGTATTATTTTGAATGTGAAGTTACTATTTCTGAGTTCCAAATCCACCCTCTATTCTTGTTTTTTTGTTTTTGTTTTTGTTTTTGTTTGTTTGTTTTTTAATGCTGTGATTGGACTTCTAAAAATACACATGCTTTCTGGTACCTGACGTTCTAAAAGTTTTTGCCACCAAGGACCACTAGAAGACAAGAAGGGACTTGCTCATTCTTACTTTGATTTTTATTCTTGATGGAAACGATCTAGAGATGATGCTTTACCTGGGCAGCCCACTTTGGTTCCAGATCCCAGCTTTTATTTATTTTATTTTATTTTTTGAGATGGTGTCTCTCTCTGTTGCCTAGGCTGGAGTGCAGTGGCGTGATCTCGGCCCACTGCAGACTCCCCTTCCTGGGTTCAAGCAATTCTCCTGCCTCAGCCTCCCAAGTAGTTGGGACTACTGGCATGCACCACCACACTGGCTAATTTTTGTATTTTTTTAGTAGAGACAGGTTTTCACCATATTGGCTCTCAGTATGGTGAGAGCCATCAGGCTGCTCTCAAACTCATGACCTCAAGAAATCCACCTGCCTCAGCCTCCCAAAGTGCTGAGATTACAGGCCCGAGCCACTGTGCCCAGCCCCAGATTCCAGCTTCTTTTAACATTCACATTGCATGTTCTCAAAGGTACCAATGTGAGATGGCAAGTTCCTCCCTTCTTAGTGGTCAGAGCCCCAACTTTGTGGAGCATCTTCCCTGATATTCTAGGTTATGATAACTGCTAACTGTTCTCCTTCTCAGTGGTCAGAGTCCCAACTTTGTGGAGCATCTTCTCTGATATTCTAGGTTATGATAACTGCTAACTCTTCTCCTTGTTCTCCCAATTCTGGGGATAATAGATGATTCCTAAAGCCATTTAATCTGTTCTCCCACACCCTCCTTCCTCTCCAGCTCTCCAACACTTGCATAACCAATCCCCCATATTAAAAATGTCTCTTAAAAATACCTGGTGTGGCACCTGTTTTCCTGTCATGAACACTGACCAATGCAAAGTCATTAATTATTCCAAGTCTGGTCCGGGGACTTATGTAACATGAAGGCTGTTATGAAGATAACAAAGAAAACAAGGGTGGGCAATGAATTTGATATGAACACAGTGCTTATGATGGACAGATAAAAATATGGTTCTGAAATTGAAGAGAGGTATTATAGTTTGGAGGGTACAATATAGAAATGATAAATACATAAATAAAACAATAGCCAAAACTTTAGAATACAGGAAGACGCTCTGAAAGACATATGCTACTTTAACAGTGTCACAGAAATGTAAAGCAAATACTGGAACTGCCTCAAATAGTGTAGTGTGTTGCCTTTTTCATCTTTGATTTAGTTAGGACCAGCAGCATTATGATGTGGAAGTGTGTGGAATGTGCCCTCTATATTATAGGGTGTGTCTTGAAGGCTTCTAATACTGTATAAAATTAAAATCAATAAAGCGTTCATGCAACCCTTTCTCATGTTATTTAGTCCTCCCTGCATCGTAGCAGGGAAAGTTTTCTCTGTGTTATAATCTCCATGTATAGGTTGATTTGGATTTTCTTATCAGCTACAAGAGCTGAAAATCTAAATTAGCCTATGTTTATTCAAATCCAAATGATATATGTGTCTGGTACAGCAAATAAATCAAAATTTCAGAATGAATTATTTACATTTTAAAAAGACTTCAGATGAAATATATAAGTATGTAGGGTAGGATAGATTATGGAGAGCCTTAAAAGCGAATCCAAGAGTGCTGGACTCTCAAAAGGCTTTGGACTATATAGCAGGTGCCCCATTCTGGAAAAATTAATCTGGCTATGAGGATCTATCTAATTATGTAGAGGAGGAAAAAATTTAGAGAACCATTCTGAGGTAGTTGTGCACATTGGCAGATATTTGGGAGAATGTCGTAGTAATCTCTAAATTAGGATTATACGAATAGAAATTGAGATTAAGCAAATGTAAAGAAAATTTGAAAAAAAAGTATTAGGATAGCTAAGTGAAAACTTTCTACAGCAATTAAAAGAGACAAATAGGTCAAGCATAACTTGAAGGTTTTAATGCTGGCTAACCAGGAAGAAAAAAAACTTAAAATTTGCCTTTCACTAAGTCTAGAGCTGGTTTGTTGAGAAGCAGATTTTGTCAGAAATAGAGCTTGAGTTCAGGTTTGCAGATGTATTTTGATTTGATAAACCGATAGGGACGAATCACAGTGGCAAAGTTCAATCAGCTATTGGAGATGCATAAATCTATTTGTTTTTCAGGAAGAAATAAATGGATTTGTTCAAAACCCTTGTTAAAGAGGACTAGTGAGGATGTGTGCAATTTCTCCAATCTTCCCACTTAGTATTAAGATTAAAAGAGGCCAGGCGTGGTGGCTCACACCTGTAATCCCAGCACTTTGGGAGGCCGAGGCAGGTGGATCACGAGGTCAGGAGATCGAGACCATCCTAGCTAACACAATGAAACCCGTCTCTACTAAAAATACAAAAAATTAGCCAGGCATGGTGGCAGGCGCCTGTGATCCCAGCTACTGGGGAGGCTGAGGCAGGAGAATGGAGTGAACCTGGGAGGCAGACCTTGCAGTGAGCAGAGATTGAGCCACTGCACTGCAGCCTGGGTGACAGAGGGAGACTCAGTCTCAAAAAAAAAAAAAAAAAAAATGGAAAGAGAGGGAAAGGGAGAGATCTCACTTTTAGTAATTCAAGAAATTTGTTGTTTAAAATATTTTATTTTTACCCCTAAGTAAATTCCATGAGAAAATTTTCTGTTATAACAGACCAAAGAAGAGCAGTTCCGATTGATGTGGGAAAAGGGACCCTTGAAACCCCTTTCTGCACAGTGTCCTCTCTGCAACCTATCACTTGTCACTGCAAGGTAGCTTATGAGGCTCTGCTGTGGAACCTAAGTCTTCCCAGAACCACTGAGGTAAGCCTAGTTTTATACAAAAGATATCAAAGACCAGGGACATGAAGTCACTTCCAGTCATCTCAGCGGAGCTGTAACAAAATCCAGGGGATATCCAACATTTTCTGACTCCACTGCCATCACTTTCTATTCCCCAGGATGCATTGAGTTCTGCAAAACTGTAATTTTCTGTGCCAGGTGTGTGCTATACAAAGAACGGGATACCTTCAACTCACAAAACACTGTTGTACCACTGTAAGCCAATTTTGTTCCAAGAACCATCTCCTTGCCAAGATTTCAGTCAATGCCCTGTGTTGCCTAAAATAGTAATAATAGCTTAAGCCTCACTGGTAAGGGTTGTTTCTCTGGAAAGAATTTCATTTGTGTTAAATGACTAATGAAGGTGATCTGGAAAGACTGTCTGGGTGACTACTGGACAGATGTTTCTACATGCACTGGTGGAGCCGAAACAGCAGCATGGGGTAATGGAAAGTACACTGAACTAGAAGCTGCAAGACCTGGATCCAATTCCAGCTCTCCCTTTACCATATAAAGAACTTATAAATAATTAGCGCTTATGTTCTATATGGAGATCTGCACATGTGGAAGGGAGTATTAAATGATCACCCAACAAATTTTTCACACAACAAATTTTGAACTTGATATCAAACTTTACATCTTTGTTAATACAGTAATATGAAACTACAGTCTAGTATTAGGCCCAGGAGCAACCTTGGAGATCATGTGATATAATCTTTTCATTTAAAATACTGAAACAGGGATGGTCTAAGAAAGTGACTGACCCTACATAAAGTTGTGATTTAGTAAATGAGTCAGAGCTAACATTCAGCTCTTCTTCTTCCTTCTTCCTTCCTCCTTCCTCCTTCCTCTTTTCCTCTTCTTCTTCTTCTTCTTCCTCTTCTTCTTCTCCCTCTTCTTTTTCTTCACATTCAGCCTTTCTTCCTTCTTTCTCCTCCTCCTCCTCCTTCCTCCTCCTTCCTCCTCCTCCTCCTTCCTCCTCCTCCTCCTCCTCCTCTTTTTTGAGACGGAGTCTTGCTCTGTCACCAGGCTGGAATGCAGTGGTGCCATCTCAGCTCACTGCAACCTCCACCTCCCAGGTTCAAGTGATTCTCCTGCCTCAGCCTCCTGAATAGTGGGGACTACAGACACCTGCCATCACACTCAGCTAATTTTTCTATTTTTAGTAGAGACAGGGTTTCACCATGTTGGCCAGGGTGGTCTAGATCTCTTGACCATGCGATCCACCCTCCTCGGCCTCCCAAAATGCTGAAATTACAGGCATGAGCCATAGCACCCCATCTGTCTCTCTTTTTTTTTTTTTTTTTGAGTTGGAGTCTTGCTATGTTGCCTAGGTGCAGTGCAGTGGCACAATCCTGGCTCACTGTAGCCTCTAAACCCTGGGCTCAAGTGATCCTTCTTCCTCAGCCTTTGGAGTCCCTGGATAACCAGCACTTATTTGACTTTCTATTCTAATGGTTAAGCCCTAAATGAAAAGCCGATATTGGTGCAAATGCTTTTGAGATCATTTATTTAGTTTGTCTTGAATACTCACAATGGGTAAAATTCTGAGACCTGTGTTATGAATAAGATAATGATCAAAATTACATATGATTATTTTATGTAAGGCATCAGAAGTCAACACAGATTAACTTTAAAAAGTGGAGATTTTGAAATAATATGAGTATCTCATTAAGTCCAAACAGTTGAATGACTAAGACTCGGAAAAAGTGGAGAGCAGGGAAGTTCAGGAGACCTAGAGGAAAAGAGAACAATTTTCTCTCTATGATACTACAATCAATATGGATCATCTGTCTCTCCTTTTGAGATTGCAACTTTCCAGAAGAGAGAATCTGACTGTTCCAATCAAGTCAGCTTTTCACTCCAGGATAAAACTGCTATGGCCAGAGGTGAGCTAACAGTACACATATGGCAGTTGGCTCTCATACCCAGGAGTTCCCAGAGATTAAAAATCATTATGTCCTAGGCCACCCTTCCATAAAGAGGTCTAATTCAATAAAACACAGCACCTGCCTTTAATGGGCATGCTGTCCAATTGGGCTGTTGAATATATAAAAAGAACTGTAGTAAAAACCAGGGGTTCATATGAAACCATAGAAGCAGAGGAAAATGGCTAAGTCAGCTCCAAAGGTAGAAGAAGCTTTTTGGTAAGGAAATCAGGATTTTCATACACTGTTGTTCTCTCAAATTTTCCCATTACTTTGAATGCCTGGAATTTAGGTAAATGGTGTTTTCAACTGTTCTCCAATTTTACTAAAAAAAAAAGAAGCAAAATTATTCTACATGTGTAACATTTGAGAAAGCAGGCATAATGAAACAATCCAAATTTGCAAAGGCCATGTTTCTAAACTAAACCTATTTTGAGTGGAATACTTCTTATCTATCCCTCTAGAGCAATGCAAGAAAAAAATAAAAATAAAAACTATGTCACATAAGTAAGACTGTAAAGGAATGGGAAGAATGGGAAGAACTTACCCTATTTAGCAGAAAATGGGATTGTGACACAAATGCAGTAGGTGGTGGACCCAAAGCACTTCTGAAGCACAATCTGGATATCATTCTTGTTGAACCACGAGGACCTGTGAGTAGTCAATATTAGAGATGTGGCTTCAGACTCCGACTTAAAATAAGGTGAATGGTTCAAGAATAAGGGATATGCCACTCGTGATCAAATAGCGAAAATTACGAGAGCATGAGTATGTAAGTGGAGCTCCAAGTCTGGACATAAAGCATACCCTTCCATTCTGACTCATAAAATGAAAGTTCTGGAAGAACTAGGATCATTACAATATCTTACTACCACTGTGGTTTCACTTCCATCTTTAATCCAACCTTCACATTGTGAAGAACTTGCTTCTCTTCTCAATCTTCCATTGTGTTGACAGTGCTAATTAAATAGTCTAAATTGCTTAGACAATTTTAAGAATTCCAGTAACTTGGTTCCTAAATATTTTTTGGTCTCCTTCCCACTATATTTCTCTATGAATACTATATTTTTGCCACATTTTGCATTTTTACACACTTTTATGTTGCTCATGTTGATCTCATGGATGGAAATATTATTTTATCATGTTTTAGAATATCATTTGAATGTTTCATCAAGAAACTCCTTGATTAATTGCAATCTATGTGTGCCAACTTGCTTTCTTAATTTTGGACTTTTCTATATTTGATTAATTTTGTTTCTGGACCTTCAATGAACCTTATGCTCCCTGAGTAGGGACTGGGTATACTTCAGTGAAAAGAGAAAGACACTTAGATTGCATCGCAGATTTGCTATTACCTGGAGGGACAGCCTTGGAATAGACAATTTCTCTGAGCTCTGAGCTTTCTTCTACTTTTGTAAAGTGGGATAATAAAATCAGCCTCTCAGAGATATAGGCAAAATTGTACATACAATTGTGTATGGTTTTAAATAAACTGGCATGTAATTGTAACTACTGAATTTTTTTTTTTTTTTTTGAGACAGAGTCTCACTCTGTTGCCCAGGCTGGAGTACAGTGGCTCGATCTCGGCTCACTGCAACCTCCGCCTCCCGGGTTCACGCCATTCTCCTGCTTCAGCCTCCTGAGTAGCTGGGACTACAGGCGCCCCCCACCACACCCGGATAATTTTTCGTATTTTTAGTAGAGACGGGGTTTCACCGTGTTAGCCAGGATGGTCTCGATCTCCTGACCTCGTGATCTGCCCGCCTCGGCCTCCCAAAGTGCTGGGATTACAGGCGTGAGCCACAGCACCCGGCCCACTGAAAGTATTTTTTTAATTCTGATTTCTAGCTTGTGCAGGCTTCCTTTGGATAAAGAAGAGAAGAAACATACCAACTAACTTAAAAAAAAAAATACCTTCCAGAATCCTAGAGAGTTTAAGTAATAAAACTGTTAAAAGGGAAAAGATACAAATGAGCATCAAATGCAATAGGGCCAGTGATGTAAATTCCACCAGGAATATCTTCACCTCTAATTCCTGATTCTTTCTGCATTTTAGGATAATGCTCTCTACGTAACAGAAAATAAGGACACAGATATCCAGACTGTATCTTACAGTTTCTATCATAGAAGAAAGACTCAATCTCTGAGTTAAAAACAACCTTGAGAAGAACTTTGGCCTGACATGGGTCAAGTGCCCACTCTTGACTACCAATAACTTTGACCAGTGGAGTAGAAAAAGCAGAACATGGCACCCTCTTCTCTTGTTCTGTAGAATAGAGACACATTCTACTAGAATAGATTCCTTAGAAAATAACACTATAGATGTCCATCAAAATATCCATAGACTCATAGGGTCTCTTACATAGAAACCCAATGTATACTAGAAGTAAGCATAGCAAGGCAGATAAGGTATTTAATTTTTTGTGGGGGTTGCTTTTTAGAAAAGAAATTTTCAAAAAAAATAGAAGCCTTTGGACTTTCGTAACTGTGAAGATAGTTGCAGAGACTGTGGTCATACGCATCATCAGGAACTCTCCCTGAGAAAAGATTATTTAAGTGTTTAATTGCACCCAGAGGACTTCTGCCTAACCATCTCTCTGGATGAGTCATTCCTCAGAGTGCTTTGGCTACCCAAAATCCTCGGCTAGGCTGGCCAACATGAAGACTGAATTTGATACAGCTTTTTCTTCAATATGTAGTCAATGTGATTTGAGTTAAATTGCCAACATTATTGACACTTGCTATAGGCCCCCACCATTGACCCTTCCTTAATCACAATTGAAGTATAGTTCTGATGGGAGTAACTAAATCATGGTGGTGTAATAAATAAATGTACAGTTGGGTTCTAGCTCTAGCTTTTTAATTGACCAGTTATGCGGTTGAGGCTATTTTTTTAATCTCTCCAAAATTAAGAGTTCAATTTATAGAATATTTTGGATGAGTCTAAAGCCTCTTCTTGTTCATCATTGAAGGAATCTATGGCCTCTTGATGTCCCTGTTTGGTTTCTGGACTTTATAGTCTTGCAGGGAAAAGTTATGTGTACACATATTTAAAATATTCTCTATATTCCAAAAGCTGTGAGGCTGGAAATACAGATAACTAAGAGCAGTTTTCATTATAGATAGCCTCTCCATTTTTCTTTTCTACCTCTCCTTAACATCTGGCTTCATTCAGTGGCATGAGAGAAACAGCTAGATTAAAAGGAAAATAAAACCAAAACCAAAAACACAACCTACCTCTACCGAATGCAATCAATGGACACGAGCTATTCCTGGAGTTGAACACCTGCTCCATTTCTTTTCATCTGTATTTTCTCCATCTGTTCTAATTATGTCCCTTTCTTGGGAGTAAGAGAACTGCTACTGTCTGGTGCCATGTAAGGGTGAGAAAGGTTAATTAACACTGAAGACAGATCCCAATTGCCCCTGCATCACACCCCTGTCCATATGCATTAGACTGTGAAGGGGTGCCCACCTTTCCCATGACCTGGTGCTGCTCATGAATTTGTGTCTGCTCCTCTTAGTCTCTTACATGGCTCCCTTCTTTCCTGAGCTGTCTCCAGAGCATTGAATCCAAAGGCACTCATCCATGCTAAAGTGGCAAAATGCCTTAGTCATATGGAGGGGGTATGTCCTAGAGAGTAGAAAAAAGCATATAGAACTGCCTTCTGCAGCACTCTTAGATCCAACCAGCAGTAAGAGCTGTGACCCAAGTGAGTTAAGAGTTAAGTTCATTTATTCACACAGTGGCTTGAAGAGTTAGGCAATGCTATGATCACTTTGCAGAATGAGAGTAAGAGACTTGAGATAAAGTAGTTTACTAATCGTCACACAAGTAGCAAGATAAACACATATATACATACTTTTGTGTATAAACACATGTTATATACATGTATGTATATAATGTATGTATATATATGTTTGTCTTGCTACTTGTGTAGCAATATCTCTCTCTCTCTCACACACACACACACACACACACACACACAAACACATACACATATTTGTTTAATGCTTAAAAATGCCTTCACCCTAAATTTGAAAGCAGGGACTTTACTGTAGTTCACCACTGAATTCATAGCACCTCGCAGGTTCATGATTAACAATTATTCAGTAAATGACTTCAATAAAGACAAATTATTGTCTGTGTTTATTGATATGAAATCATATTTATTGAGTACAAACACTGCACTGTAAGGTAAAGTGAGCATTACTGGAAAAGTAGAAGGCATTGCTAAAGGATTTTAAAGTAGATTTAAGAAGGTAGCACAAATGAAAATTTAATGTTCAAATATTCTTTCATTTATTTCTCAAATATATATTCAATATCTACTCTATGTGAGGAAATGTACTTGTTGCTTGATCTGAAATAATAAACTCATGTTTTTAAATCCACAAATGTAGCCTGCAGACATATACAACTAAAGAGGATAGTATGCTATCAACAGACAAATGATGAAGAAAAATAGGTAAGTAGAGCTACAGAAATAGAGAATAGATAGGTACCTTTGAATCCATTGGCTCTCTAAGTCAAAAAAGGCAGCCTGGAGAAAGTGGTGTTTAAGGACACATAGATGTCACAGAGGCAATGAAAGTTAGGGGTGCCAATCATTTCAGTAAGAAAAAACAGCATGTGCCCAGAAATGAAAAAAATAATAATATATATTATTTAGTATAGGTAGAGGGTAGAGTTTGAGGTGAGAAATCCTAAGATATAAAGATAGGCAGATAAGTTTTGACCCTTCCAGATTTGATATTCAAATGTGGTCCTAGAACAAGCAGCATCAGCATCACCTGGAAGGTCAGCAAGTGAGAAACTTAAGGCACATCATTTAAGGAGACACGCCCTCTTAGATTCATGCAAGCATAGGATTGGCACTAGTACTGCCCTGACAGTGAGTATCTCTTTAAATTTTTCATCTGGGGATGTCTCACTTAGCTTACCCTAGTCCTGGGCCTGCACCCCAGGCCCAATGAATCAGAAGCTATATTTTAACAAGATGCCCAAGTGATGTGCATGCACATTACATTTGGCAGGAACTGCTCTCAAGAGTTTGTAAACCATGCTTGAGTTTACAGATTGTCCTGGGAACAATGGCTATTATGTTTCAGGATTTAAGCAGGTGGAGGTTCCTGTTTCATTTATAAAGGTTTATCTGTGGCAGTGTGGATAGCATGCTAGAGCAGGCCATGTCAGGAGTTAGAGAAGCGGATTAGGAGGCTGTAATACTGATCCAGGACTGAAGGGGAAGTCAGTTTGTGGGGTGTTTGACCACATTTAGTGAGTGGTTGAAGTGTGACGTAACAATGAAGGAAAAATCAAGAACACCCGGTTCATGGCTACAGTAACAAGTGGTTGGGAGTACCACTCACTGAGGTAGGGAAAAAGAAAATAAGACAGGAAAGGAGAGAAGGTGATGAGTTAACATCTGGAAATGTTAAATTTGATAAATTTTAGATTATCCAGCATGATGTATGGGTGTCCAGCTCATGAAGAGAGATGAGACACAAGTATGGATCTCAAACCTGTCACCCCTAAATGGAAATTAAGGCTGTTGAAAGAGAGAAAATGTTTAGAGAGAATCTAGAGAATAAGAGAGGTTAAAGATGTTTTAGAATGTGAAATACAAACCATTAGGTAATAACTAAATAATTATTTTCATTTTGGAAACTATTTTCACACCCAATATATCATTTGAACAACATAAGCTTTTGGGGGAATAGCCAAGGCATTATTATTATTCTCATTTCACAGATTCTAGGGCTTGTAATTTTTAGGTTGTTTTGGCTAGCAAATTATCCAGTTGAATACACCTAGAGCAGTTTCAATTGTATTGCAAGGCATTCAATTAAAAGAGAAACCGAGTGGAATGTACTGTAGGTTTAATAGAAATAGAGAGAAATGATATATACCACAGTGGTCAGAAAAACATTCGTGGAAAAAGTGCCCATTATTTCCCCAACTGATATGGGTCTCTTGGGATCTCAAAAGCTAGATATTGGCATTTACACAAAATTTACACAAAATACCAACATCTAGCTTTTGAGTTGATATTTATGGTTTCATACTTTAACAATTAGTATTATGACTAAACATTTGAGAGTCCCAGATAATTATTGATAAAGAAAAATAAGTGCTTCACTGTCTACTCAGTATAATTGACAATTTAAAATGACCCAGGCAAGATATTAAGAACTGGTTGCTTTTAAATCTTAAATGACAATATCTTGACAGAAACACTCCTTAATCGTCCTATCACTTCAGGCCAGACTAATTATGATGGTACAAACGTGTACTTTGATGGAGAATTGTGGCTAATAATTCTACCTATGTTAGGCAGTTTCTGGGACATGAAAAAAGATGTAATAACTGACTTATTATGTGATCCATGATTAAGAGAAAGCTTTTGACTCTATTAATCTCACTTCCAATTCTTAACCTTGGGTAACTCAGAATCAACTATAACAACATTCTCTGTTCTTATAAACAGTTTCCATTTTAGTCACAGAGAATTTACAAGCCACATCCTCATCCTTTCCAAGTGACCTAAGGTTCCGAGAAGCTTAAAAATCACTATTAACAATTATATGATTTGTTGTAATTTTTAAAGTACTCTAACCTGTAATATTTTCTTTGATAATCACTAAAGTCTTCTATGGAGGGCAAGACGGTAGAAAATAAAGTTTTAGAGGTTGATCTTTGCTCAGGTTAAAACATTCATTAATAGCAATAGTTTTAATATAAATAATTTATTATGAGCTTACTATATGCTAGGAATTGAGCCAAATGCTCTACAATCATTATTTTACTTAATTCTCACAATGAGCTAAGTATTATTATCCTGATTTTACAGATAATAAACTTAAACCTTGAACAAGTCAAGAAAGTTGTGCAAAGTTACAGAGAATATATAATGGAACTGGGCAATGATGCTGGTTCCAGCCTACCACGACACCTTCCTCTCTTGAGTAATTGAGTCTTCATTTGTCAAGTGCCCATTATAGCAAGGTTACCACTGGAGACACTGAAAATTTATATATCATTTTATAAATAATAGACAGAATATTAGAATATCAAAAATTAAATAACTCAGATTAAAAGATTATTTAAAATTTATACAAAATACCATTATGGCTTCCCTTTCCAACACATATAGTTCAACAGGGGTTTATAATGAGAAAATTCCAAAACAATAAAATAAGTATTGTAATAGAGACAGGAATCTAGGGGAACCTGGGACTCAGAGACTCCATTGCAGAAAAGGGGGACAATTAAGCCAAGTCTTGCCAAAGGTAGATAGGATTTTTTTCAGTCCACAGAGAGAGGAACCAATTCCAGGCAGAGGGGTCAACATATACAAAATATAAATTGTTGTTATAAAAGAATAATTCTGAGAAAAATAAAGAAACAATTTTGGATAGTTGCACCATGGTTGTAAGAGCAAAATGGAATGCTGATAGAGGAAATAAGTGAAAACGGATTATTGCACTTTCTTTAGTTGAGGAAATTGTTAGAGATACTAAGCCAGGAAATGAACATGGAAGCCTGTTTCCTAAAGAGCTAGTTGACTTCTCAGTGAGCAGGACTGGGTTCTAGAGAGGAGATGGCAAGGAAAGTAGTTTGCTGTCCAAGAGGGGATGAGAAGGGCCTGACGTAAGATCGTGGTTGTAGGAACAGAGTTGAGGTCACATGCTTTGAGTCTGAATGAATAGAAGTGCCTCAGTCTCAGTGTCAGTAATAGCAATATCTCAGCAGTGCCTTTTCACACTGAACTGCTTTTAAACAAAAAAACAAGCAAACCATTATTTTACAGATCTTCTTGCCATTGCATACGATGTTTCCCCTGCCTGGCATGGCCTTCCCTCTGCTTGTTTATCCTAATAAATCCTACTCATCCTTCAAGCTTCAGCTCAGATATTACCTCCTTTGTAATATATCTTCCTTCAACTTGGATACCAACTGGCTAACCTTCTTAGAGCAAGTCCCGATAAGTCTAATTTCTTTATTACTATGTTTCCAAATGTATTTTGTTTTTATAGATGTTTACCTGGATATTTAAGCTTTTCTTGATAGATCACCTAATTGGAATCAACTTCTCTTTCTGCCTAAGTCCTGTGACACTTCCTTTGTCAAAGGTGCTTATCATGGATTTAATAATTTCAAAGTTACTTGTTTCCATACCTTACCACGGCTGTTGTACAAATACCTAGAGAAGAAGATAAGTGTCTGATTTATTTTAAATTCACCACAAACCCAGCTCAATATTTGAAGCACAGATAAGTACACAATGTTGATTGAAAAATGAACTGTTGTTATTTATTTCCTGCCTGAGCTCAATACAGAACTTAATTCATGGTTAGGAACATCTGATATCCACTCCCATGACACTTCTTAACTCCAATTACAAGACTCATCATTGAATATTGAAACTCACATCTAAAATCTGTTGATTCTATCATTATACCCACTGTACAGTTTACAATGTTTGAAACTCCACAAATATTTATCTAATTAAGGAATGGACAAATAATTCATTAATAATGTTATCTCACTATATATGATACATTTTGACTTCCAGATCTTTTCTTTATCCTCTGCACAAGAACATGTTTGTATCTTTGCATTATCTGCTCAGCAACTTTGGCTCTTTAGTGCACATTAAAAAAATGCAAAGAAACCCATGAGAGCTCTACCCAGTCAAAATGGACACTACAACATCCATTTTGGCCACTTTCTGAGCTATATTGTGAACTCTGAAAACACAATTTCCAAAGCTGGCATTTCCATGTTAATGGAGTCATCTCACAGGCGAATTGGGTCATACAGGCTAACAGTTTCCACACATAGGTTTGGAAGGGTGAGAGTCCTGGGCTTTTTACCATTTTCTTCCCAAATACATATACTGTGTTTAGAATGTCCAGTGAAATTCAATGGATATTGATTAGTAAAACTAAGAAAAAAGCTTTCTGCTGTCAATTTTTGCTAACTTGAAAATACAGTGCACTGTGGTCGTACTAACTGGGTTAAAACATATATTGGAATCAAATTTACTTGTTAAAAAATGGGAAAATTACTTTGAGTGAGGAAGTTTTAATAACAACCTAAACACAAATAAAATGCCTTATTTTTCTTCCTTATCCATGCCACCACATCGATTGCAAACTTCTGTTCTAATTCCACCATCTAAATAACTCTTACATGACACTTATTCCAACTGCTGCTATCCTGCTTCAGGGTCTCACCTGTTCCCCTACACTGTCAAAATGATGTCCTCATTCATCTCCTATGGACAGTGTCTCCCATGACCTGGCATGTGTTTCGATAGTCTCCCTACAACCTCCAGAATGGCAATTCTACTATTTGTATCCAATCAATCTGTGCACCTGCTCAATATTTGATAATGTCTCCCTTCAACTGTAGCATCAAATCTTGCATGTATGTGTTGGGAAGACAAGTATCTCAGGAACACCTCTTCACACCAAACTGCTTTCAAACAAATAAACAAACAAACAATTATTTTACAGATCTTCTTGCCATTATGTATAATGTTCCCCCTGCCTGGCATGGCCTTCTCTCTGCTTGCTTACCCTTACCCTACTCACCCTACAAGCCTCAGCTCAGATATCACATCTTTTGTAATGTTTTCCTGCATTACCTCACATAACGAGAGACGTAAATACAATTTCAGTTTTATGAACCAGTGATGGTAAAACATTGCGTGCATCTTTATATCTCCACTTAGGTGCTCAGGTATTAGAGTGGAAGAGACCCTTTCTTTTCAATTCTTTGTCCTCTGTCCTCAAATGCAAGCGTGAGCTCAGCACAGAAACCCTGTACCTATTTGCAGAATGATTCTATTCACATCCCTAGGCTAAGAATGCCTTACTTGAAGAAATGATCCCAGTTAGATGCTCCTGTGCCAATCGTCTCCATCTCTAATACGACAAGCCCTGAACATCCATTATTCTATGATTCCATGGTGGCTCCCATATTTCAGCTGATACAAAGTCAACCTTCATAGAGATGGCACCTCTGCTCTGATTTGAGCACCAAGAAGCCATAAAGAAGAATTAGTCAGCTTAGGAAGATAATTGATAGGTGTCAAGTGTCCCTTTGTATAAAAACACTTTTGCTTCTAGACTGATTGCCTGAGGGCTCAAGAGACTCCTAGGAGACAGGCTGGATGCCTTTTTCTTACATCCTCTGAAAATCTGCATTTTTCTCCAAAATTAAGGTACCAAGGACAAGCTTTGAGTGAAGTGATGGCCTCAGGGCTAGTGTATTTAATGAGAAATCTTCTTTTCAAGGGTTGTCTGCTGATACCTTGCGCTAAGCACGCTGGCCTTGAAGTGATGGGATTGCGGTGTACCCACTTAAATTAAAAAAAAAAACGATTTACAAAGACTTATTAGTTTTACAGATTTTTGACAACTTGATTTGCTCCCCTTAATTAGTTAATGGTTAGTTCAGGCTGTGACAGCCTCCAGCAAGGCTTATAGCTTATATTTAAGGCTTATAGCCCTGAAACATAGGCTCTAAGCAGAGAGTGGCTGGGGCAGAAACATAAACAGGGAGTAATGTGTGTTATCTAGAATGAAAGTCTCCTCCCTTCTCCGTCTATCAAACAAAAAACTGTAGAATGTATTTGTTTTTCCTACAGATCGGGAAACTGACACTCTAAAAATAAAGAATTGGAAGTGGCTTGCTCAAATTCATGAGTGGTGTTTATTGCAGAGTTAGGATGAGAATGAAGGTTTTTGATTCACAGTCCAGAGTCCATTTCACACAACACTATGCTGCCTCTTGCAAAAGTCATTTGTTAAAAAACAAGGGGATAAAATGCCAGTTTGAAGCCTAACAGAATATTGGGGGGGCAGGGGGAGGAAAGACTGAAGGAGCAGCCAAACTTGTTGATTAGTATTGTTTAATGCAACTACACACCCATGTATACCATCCCAGCCCACTCATCACCGTTTTCCTTTCATGCAGACCTCATAGCCAAAGAATCAATACATCATTAGCCTGCAGGATGTTGTTTTCTGAGTATTAGGCAAACTCCTGGGAACATTATCTGAGTCATAATGATAGGGGTTGGGCTGTAATAAAAGTTTTGAATTATGCCACATTAAGAATTGTCCCCCATGAAGATAGCAAGCTGATCAAATATTCCCTTGTGTGGCTTCAGATACAACCATCAAATATTTAGCATGGATTTTGGCTAATGCGCTTCATTTATCCCTAAGATATTCTTCTAAAGCAAAGAGCTGGTATTACTACCCTTTAAGAGATTAGGAGAGAGAGCCTTGGAGAGATTAGTTGGACAAGACATGCATCCTGGAATAGCCAAATCAGTCCCTTAGATCCCTTTACTACAATAGCCACTCCCTGCTTCCTTTGGTTCCAAAAACTGGTAGGATTTTTAATAATTCTTTCCACAGACTATCTCCAGCTGCTCTATACCCAGCCAGAGAGCTCATGACCACTAGCTGGCATTAAACCTCATCATTCTCTCCCCTCCACTACCATTCCTGAGTTCACTACTTCCCAAGCCTCAGAAGTACCCTCTCACTCAGCCTCCCCTGGTCCTTACCTCCTTCCTCTCCTTCTCCCTGAATGACTCATTTTGTTTACTGAGCTGAGAAGCTAATAGAAGGCAGCAGAATTTAAGCTTCCCTGGGACTTGCTTTACAGGCTGACAAAATCATTCTTTTCTCTCTGTGTTAAATATTCATGGCTCTCAGATTTTTAGATACAAAGGTACATTTTGTTTTAAAATGTGCTGATCCAAGACATACTGGTTTGCATTGATTTCTTCCGCTTTGCATTTCTATTGCATTGGAAATAAAGAGGTCCTCATTCACTTCTGAAATATGGACCTGAATTTATCTTTGGTTTCCTTTTTAATTTGGTTGCTATTTGATGAAAGGGTTGATGTTCTTAGACATTTTGTGTGTTTATCTGTTTTTCTCTTTTGAAATTGCATACATACACATACGCAATCACACACGCATACAGAGATAGAAAAATCACATCATCTTTTCTATGTACCTCAGCCTAATGTTAATATAATTTGAAAGGGATTTCAACAAAGGCTTGATCTATTACAGATTCAAGTATTCGCACTTTGGTGAGAAAATAAAATAGAGATAGATTTACAGAGATAAAAAAGAGACTACGTAGCCCAGGACAATTCAGAGACTATAGCACACGAAATGGGAGCAAAAAACTCTCCATTTTAAAAGATGAGTGAGAGGAATGCCATGCCTAAGAACTGTGGCAAGAGAATAAATGCGATTGGGTGGGAGGAAGGATTAAAAATCCTGATTAAGGCAGGTCATTTGACAAAGTCTTAAAGTGTATGATGTAAACGCACAAAAGCATAAGGCTTTCGGATTCTGGAAGCTACTAGGGGATTTTTTTTTTTCTCAAGTTGGTCTTACATAAACTACCATATGATATTAAAAGAAAAAACAACCTGCTGATAAGGAAAAGCTGAATAGATTCTTATAGTAAGGGAATATATCATCTGGGCAGACTCAGTAAATTTTTGGAGAAAGATAAAATTAGAATATTTACAAAATTTAGGGGTCTTTCAATGAAGTGGTTTGATTAGGACTGGGTAAGAATTCAGATATAATTGTTTAGAATTGGTGAATACTTTAGTTGGAAGAATCTTTTGGGGCAAGCTATCATTTGATGCTATAGAGGCATTTAACTAGTTGGTGTTTATTTAAGTGATCTTCTTGTGAAGATCCTGGAATGAACAAGAAAATCATTTTCAAAATTTATTTTCCTAGGCAACAGTTTCTTAGAATTGTAAAGTCATGCAGATGAAAGCAATGGATTACTAAAGTGATGTTTAATGTAGACAGTAAATTGTGTGGGTGTCGATGATTTGGGATCTTAAATTTAGACTCTCATAATTAAGAAACACCTATGAGTTTATATAGTCTAGTCTCAACTCCATTTTTTAATTCTCTTATGACATGCCACTCAAATGCTCATTCAGCCTCTTGAAAATGAAAACCAATGCAAAGTTCTAAAGTCTCTGGCAGCAGACACTGGTAGGTATCTACTGGAATTTTTCAAAATTAAGGTCATTCAGGTACTCTCTGGGTCTCCACTTCTCTTTCCTTTTTGTTAGTTAGCTCACTAAAGACTAGCTTCATTGTCATTTCTCTCTTTTCTCATAACATTTGCTTATTTATTGCATTAAAATCTCATCACATGACTTTCTCAGATTGTTTTTCAAAGCCCTCCTCACTCTACCTCATAGTCTCTATGAACACTTCCATTTTTTCTTCCCCAAAGCTATCAACATAATTCTCTAATGTTAGCTGATCCAAATATGTTAGAGAAAGAGATCTAACTGGTCCAGCTTATGGTTTATACAAGATCATTTCATGGGTTGCTGACCAGATTGTGCCTGGGCTGTCTTGGGGAACAGGTGCCCGACTCTGATCAATTAAGTGTAGCAGGGATGAGAACAGTATGGAATCTTCTCAAAAAGAGTATTCTAAGGTTATTTCTATGACAAATATTATGGACAGAAAATTTTTATAACTTTTTGTAAGAAAACAATAAAGATGTCAACATCATAGTAAACGTTTACATCAGAGAAAATTACCTACTTTGACCATCCTGGACATTGGTATTGGAAAGCATTATGTTTTCAAAGATGCCAATATTGCTTGAGATGAAATATTCTTAATATGAAGTCTAAGAACATGAGTACACATCAAGAGCCCATAAAGACAGTAAAATTACTTAGAGTATTACGTGTGCCACCATGAACAGCTTAGCAGTTACAAGTGGATGCACTATCTCTGAACACAATCTTTTTGTTTTCAAGTGAAATGTTTTTTAGTTTCTTCTCTTATTCTTTCAAATATATTCTTTACCCTTAGATAATATCTTATTTGTATCATGTATGACATTTATAAAAATCAATTATAATTTTGAGTTATCTTAGTAATTTTTAAAAATTTATTTTTTAATTAACAAAAATTATGTACACTTTTTTTTGTACAACATCATATTTTGAAGTATGTATACACTGCAGAATGGCCAAATCAAGTTACCTAGCATATGAACTGGCTCACATATCATTTTTTTTTCTTTTGCGGTGAGAACATGTAAAATCTACTCTTAGTAATTTTCAAGAATATAGTACATTCCTATTAACTATAGTCACCATGTTGTACAACAGAGCTCTTGAATAGAGAGATCTGTAGATTCTTCCTATCTAACCAAAATTTTGTAATTTTTGACCAACATCTCCCCAGCTCCTGGTATTCACTATTCTACTCTTTGCTTCTGTGGGTCCAACTATTTTAGATTCCATATGTAAGTGAGATGCTGTGACACTTCTCTATTTGTGCCTGGCTTATTTCACTTAACTTAAGGTCCTCCAGGTTTATCCATGTTGTTGCAAATAGCAGGTTTTCTTTCTTTTTTTTTTTTTTAAAAAAAGGCAAAAAGGAATCCCTTTAAGTACATATGACACATGTTCTTTATCCATTCATCCATTGATGGACACTTAGATTGATCCCACATCTTGGCTATTGCAAATAATGGTACAATAACCATGGAAGTGCAGATATATTTCTTAGACAAACTGATTTCATATCCTTTGAATTTATACTCAAGAGAGGGATTACTGGATCATGTGGTGGTTCTATTTTTTAGTTTCTGAGGAATTTTTATACTGTTTTCCATAATGGCTATACTAATAGTGTACAAGTCTTCCCTTTTCTCCACTTCCTTGCCAACCCTTGTTATCTTTTGAGTTTTTGAAAAAAGTTTTTCAAACAAGTGTGAGATAGTAGCACATTATGGTTTTGGTTTGCATTTCGCTTAGGATTAGTGACGTTAAGCATTATTTCATGTACATTCCCTCTACACCTAGTTTATTGAGAGTTTTTATTATGAAATGATGTTGAATTTTGTCAAATGCTTTTTCTGCATCTATTAGGATGATTGTATGTTTTTTGTCCTTCATTCTATTAATGTGGTATATTACATTTACAGATTTGTGTATGTTGAGCCATCTTGCATTTCTGGGATAAATCCCACTTTATCATGGTGAAGCATCATTTTATTTATCTTTTAACTTTTATTTTAAGTTTAGGGGTACAAGTGCAGGTTTGTTGCATAGGCAACCTTGTGTTGTTGGGGTTCATTGTACAGATTATTTAGTCACCCAGATACTAAACCTAGTACACATTAGTTATTTTTCCTGATTCTTTCCCTCCTCCCACTCTCCACCCTCTGGAAGCCCCAGTGTGTGTTGTTTCCCTCTATGTATCCATGTGTTCTCATCATTTAGCTCCTATTTATAACTGAGAACATGTGGTATTTGGTTTTCTGTTCCTGCATTAGTTTGGTAAGGATAATAGCCTCCAGCTCCATCCATGTCCCTGCAAAGGACATGATCTCATTCTTGTTTATGGCTGCAGAGTATTCCCAAAGGCATATAAAGTATTCTATTAGAAAGATCCTTTTAATGTGTTGTTGAATTTGGTTTGCTAATATTTTATTGCAAATTTTTGCATCTATGCTTATCAGGAATATTGGCCTGTAATTTTCTTTTCTGGCAGTGTTTTTGTCTGGCTTTAGTATCAGTGAAATGCTGGCCTCATAAAATGAGTTTGGAAGTATTTCCTTTTCTTCATTTTTTTCAGACTGTGAGAATAATTGTTGTTAGTTGTTTTTTGAGTGTTTGGTAAAATTCAGCAGTGAAGCTGTCATTTCCTGAGCCTTTTTATTTTTGATGAAAGACTTTACTATTGACTTTTTCTTCTTCCTTGTTATTGGTCTGTTCAGATTTTCTATTTCTTCATAATTCTGTCTTGACAGACTGCATGTATCTAGGAATTTATTCTTTTCTTCGAGGTTATCCAACTCATTGATATATAATTGCTCATAGTAATGTCTTCTGATGCCTTTTATTGCTGTGGTATCAGTTGTAATGTCTCCTCTTTCTTTCTGATTTTATTTATTTTCATCTTCTCTTTATTTTCTTAGTCTAGTGAAAGGTTTGTAAATTTTGTTAATCTTAAATAAAACTCTTAGTTTTGTTGATCATTTTTATTTTTTTTTCTAGTCTCTATTTTGCCTACATCTACTCTGATACTAATTATTTTCTTTCTTCTACTAATGTTGGGGTTAGTTTGTTCTTCTTTCTCTACTCTCTTAAAGTATAATATTAGGTTGCTTACTTAAAATCTTTTCTCTATTTTGATGTACGCATTTATGTTATAAATGTTCCTCTTAGAACTCCTTTTGTTGCATCCCTTAAATTTTGTTATGTTGTTTGTCCATTTTTGTTTGTCTCAATTCCCACATATTTGTGAGTCTTCCAAGATTTCTTCTGTCACTGATTTCTAGCTTTATACCATTGTGGTCAGAAAAGACACTTGACATGATTTCAATCTTCTTAAATTTGTTAAAACTTTTCTGTGGCCTAACATATAATCTATCCTAGAGAAGTTCTGTGTGCTCTTGAGAAGAATGTATATTCTGCTTTTTTGTGTGGAATATTCTGTATGTGTCTGTTAGGTCCATTTGGTTTAGTGTAGTTTAAATCCAAAGTTTCATTATTGATTTCTGTCTGGATAACCTGTCCATGCCCAAAGTGGAGTACTGAAGTCCCTGGTATTATTATATTTCAGTCTGTCTTACTCTTCACCCAAGTCTATTTTATCTGATGTAAACGTAGCTGTCATTGCTCTCTTTTGATTTCCATCTGCATGGAATATTTTTTCCATTCCTTCACTTTCAGTCTATGTGTGTCCTTACAGGTAAAGTGAGGCTTTTGTAAGCAGCATATAGGCAGGTCTCGTTTTTATACTTTTAGTCATTCTGTATCTTTTGATTAAAAAAAAATCATTTATACTTAAGGTAATTATTGTTAGGTAATGACTACTGCCATTTTGTTAATTGCTTTCTGGTAGTTTTGTAGATTATATATTCCTTTCTTCTTCTCTTTCTGCCTTTCTTGGTAATTAGGTGATTTTTTTCTAATGTATACTTGGTTCTTTTTATTATTTTGGTATCTACTATTTTTTTCTTTATGAGTTACATAAGACATCTTATGGTCATAATAGGATATTCTGAGCTGATAACAACTAACTTTGATCTCATTAAAAAAAACTCAACATCTCCTCACATTTTGTGTTTTTGATGCCATGACTTACATCTCTTTGAATAGCATATTCCTTAAGAAATTATTGTAACTATTATTATTTTTAGCAGTTTTTTCTTTTAACCTTCATAATAAAGATTTAAGTGATTTATATACCACTATTTCAATATTAAAGCATTCTGAATTTGACTGTGTACATACTTTCATCAATGAATTTTATACTTTTCGTTTCTCTGTTGCTACCTAGCATATGTTTCCTTCATCTTTAAGGACTGCCTTTAGTATTTCTTGTGAGACAGGTCTTTCTGGTGGTGATGAACTCCCTCACTTTTGTTTGTGTTGGAAAGTCTATATCTCTCCTTCTCTGAAGGACAAATTCTGTGGGTAAAATAATCTTGATTGATGATTTGTTTTTTTCTCCAGCACTTTGCATATATCAACCCAATCTCTCCTGGCCTGTAAGATTTCTGCTGAGAGGTTTGTTTCTAGTGGTTCTGTAATTCTCATATATGTGATATTCTTCTTTTCCTTTGTGGCTTTCAGAATTCCATCTTTATCATTAATTTTCACAGTTTGATTATCACATGACTTGGTGTAGTCCTGTTTGGATTGGATCTAATTAGATATCTTTAACCTTTACATACCTGAATATTTATATCTTTCTCCCAATTTAGAAAGTTTTCTTCTATTCTTTCTTTAAATATCACTGTTTCTCTCTTCTCCTTCATTAATTTCTATAAATCAAAAAGCCTTGCCCTTCTCATGCTTTCCCAAAAGTCCCATAATATTTATCCATTCTTTTTTATTCATTTAGATCTTTTCTCCTCCGATTGTACATATTCAAATAACCTGTCTTCAAGTTCTCAAATTATTTTTTCTGCTCAATCAATTCTGCTGTTGATGCTCTCTATTGCATTTTAAATTTTCTTCATGGTATATTTAGCTCCAGAATTTCTGTTTGATTTTTTAAAAATAATTTCAATATCTCTGGTATTTATTTTTTGTTTTGGTCATTTATTGTTTTTCTGATTTCATTGAATTTTTTTCTCTATGTTTTCTTGAAGTTTACTGAGCTTCCTTAAAACAATTATTTTAATTTTTTGTCAGGCAATTTGTAAATCTCCACTTATTTATGGTTGGTTACTGGTGCATTATTCCTTTGTTGGTGTCATGTTTTCCTGATCATTCTTGATTCTTGTGGCCATGTGTTGGTTTCTGTGTATTTAAAGAAGTATGGACTTATTCCAAACATTGCAGACTGGCTTTGTTTCAGAAAAACTTTCAACAGTGAGCCTGTCCAGAGAGATTCTAACAGTCCATCTGGCACGGTTCATGAATGGGTTTGCTTCTGAAGTTTCTAGGCAAGCTGGTCTGGTGTCAGGGTCAGCAGATGAGTGGGCCTGGTGCCTGGGATTTGCAGAGTTGGACCTGAAAGCTGGATAAGTAGTGCTAGACCTTTTGATTAGATCCATGGGGTCTCTACTGAAGCATGAATCCACAGAGGCTAACCTGATACTGGAATATCCCTTGAGCCTGAGTCTGAAGGAGCTAGCCGGGTGCTGTGATAAGCCTAGAGCCTAGGTCTACTGGGATGGGCCTGGAGCCTAAGTCTGCAGGGTTGTTCTTAGAGTCTTAGTCCACAGGGGTTGGCCAGTCACTAAGGTCGCCTGAGGTAAGCCTAGGCCCTGTATTTTTTGGATCAGGCCTGGCCCCTGGGTCCACTGGAACTTTGGGCCACTGGGACCTGACGGCAACCTGGGGATGGCCTGGTGCTAGGGAAGACATGAAGCCTGCACCCACAGGGGCTAGACTGTAGCCTGGGATGGCAGGTGCTGACATTATGCTTGGAGCCACAGAAACTTGCCTGGAGCCAAGGGCTATGGGGGCTTGCCTGGAAGCTGGGTGTGATGATGCTGACCAGAAGGCTAGGAACATGAGGGCTGGCCTGGGTCCTGGGGTTTTGGGGGCTGGCCTAGATGCTGGGTGCTGAGGGTCAGTCCTGGAGCCAAGGTTCAGGAGTCTCACCTGGTGCTAGGATCTATTGAGATAAGCCTGGACCCTGGGCAGGTCTGAACTCTAGGTCTGCTGGAGCATGTGGCTCCGGTATCTGGCCTGGAGAATGGAGCCAGGAACCAACCTTGTATTTGGCAGGCCTAAAGCCTGAGCCAGTGGGTTCTATCCTAGTGCCTGAGGCAAGGATTGCTAACTTAGTGCCAGGGTGGGCCTGAGCCTGGGGCTGTGTGTGTGCCTAGCTCTGGGCTTTTCTGAAACCTGGGGCAGGTCTGGAGCCTGGGGTCATAGAGGCTGACCAGCTACTGGGCAAACCTGAATTCTGCATGCACAGGGTCCATCCTGATGAGTGGATCTGTGAGTGCTAGCATGATGACTAGGGATGCAGAAACTAGCATGGTGCTGGGGCAGGCCTGAGCCCAGGGTTGCTGGGGCCAGCCCAGAGACCGAGTCTGTGGGGCAGGCCTAGAGCCTGAATCTGGCAGGGCTTACCTTGTGATGGGACTAGCCCTGTGCTGTAGCTGGTCCAGAGCCCAGGGCCGCTGGGGTTGGCCTGATGGTGAGGCAGGCCTGGAGACTGAATCCAATGAGCAGGCCTGGAACCTGGAGCAGTAGGGTCCAGACTGGTGCCAGGGCAGGCCTGGATACTCAGTCCATAGGTACTACCTTGAATTTTGTGGTTGTGGTAGCCTGCTCAGTGTTGGGTTTTATTGGTGCAGATCCAATGTTGGGGCCAAAGGAAAAGTCCAAAGCTCACTTTCTTCTCCTTCCCCAAGTTGAAGAGTGTCTCTTTACACGATGTACTGCCTGGAATTTTCAAAGGGGTGACTCAGTTGATATAAAACTGCCCGTCCTACTCTCTTTAATGCACCTTTTCTGATTTCTGTGCTATGCCCAGGTGCTAAAATCACTCACCTGGTTTCCTTTGCTCTTGTGAAGGTACTTTTGTGTGTTGATTGTTGTTCAAATTGATGTTTCTGAAGAGGGAACAGTGGAAAGTCCTATTCCATCATATTGCTCTTCATCAGTATGTTTTATATTTATGACCAATGGTTTTAAAATATTGCAGGCATTTTTTTCATGTGTCTTTTGGCTGCATAAATGTCTTCTTTTGAGGAGTGTCTGTTCATATCCTTTGCCCACGTGTTGATGGGATTGTTTTTTTCTTGTAAATTTGTTTGAGTTCTTTGTAGATTCTGGATATTAGCCCTTTGTCAGATGAGTAGATTGCAAAAATTTTCTCCCATTCTGTAGGTTGCCTGTTCACTCTGATGGTAGTTTCTTTTGCTGTGCAGAAGCTCTTTAGTTTAATTAGATCCCATTTGTCAATTTTGGCTTTTGTTGCCATTGCTTTTGGTGTTTTAGACATGAAGTCCTTGCCCATGCCTATGTCCTGAATGGTATTGCCTAGGTTTTCTTCTAGGGTTTTTATGGTTTTAGGTCTAACATTTAAGTCTTTAATCCATCTTGAATTAATTTTTGTACAAGGTATGAGGAAGGGATCCAGTTTCAGCTTTCTACATTTGGCTAGCCAGTTTTCCCAGCACCATTTATTAAATAGGGAATCCTTTCCCAATTTCTTGTTTTTGTCAGGTTTGTCAAAGATCAGATAGTTGTAAATGTGTGATACTTTTCTGAGGGCTCTGTTCTGTTCCATTGGTCTATATCTCTGTTTTGGTACCAGTACCATGCTGTTGTGGTTACTGCAGCCTTGTAGTATAGTTTGAAGTCAGATAGCGTGATGCCTCCAGCTTTGTTCTTTTGGCTTAGGATTGTCTTCACAATGCAGGCTCTTTTTTGTTTCCATATGAACTTTAAAGTAGTTTTTTCCAATTCTGTGAAGAAAGTCATTGGTAGCTTGATGGGGATGGCATTGAATCTATAAATTACCTTGGGCAGTATGGCCATTTTCACGATATTGATTCTTCCTATCCATGAGCATGGAATGTTCTTCCATTTGTTTGTATCCTCTTTTATTTCACTGAGCAGTGGTTTGTAGTTCTCCTTGAAGAGGTCCTTCACATCCCTTGTAAGTTGGATTCCCAGGTATTTTATTATCTTTGTAGCAATTGTGAATGGGAGTTCACTCATGATTTTACACTGTTGGTGGAACTGTAAACTAGTTCAACCATTGTGGAAGACAGTGTGGCTATTCCTCAATGATCTAGAACTAGAAATACCATTTGACCCAGCCATCCCATTACTGGGTATATACCCAAAGGATTATAAATCATGCTGCTATAAAGACACATGCACACGCATGTTTATTGTGGCACTACTCACAATAGCAAAGACTTGGAACCAACCCAAATGTCCAACAATGATATACTGGATTAAGAAAATGTGGCACATATACACCATGGAATACTATGCAGCCATAAGAAAATGATGAGTTCTTGTCCTTTGTAGGGACATGGATGAAGCTGGAAACCATCATTCTGAGCAAACTATCGCAAGGACAAAAAACCAAACACCGCATGTTCTCACTCAAAGGTGGGAATTGAACAATGAGAACACTTGGACGCAGGAAAGGGAACATCACACACCGGGGCCTGTTGTGGGGTGGTGGGAGTGGGGAGGGATAGTATTAGAAGATATACCTAATGTAAATGATGAGTTACTGGGTGCAGCACACCAACATGGCACATGTATACATATGTAACAAACCTGCACGTTGTGCATAGGTACCCTAGAACTTAAGGTATAATAAAATATATATATAAATATATATATATATATATTTATATATATATTGCAGGCAATTTTAGCAAAAATATCAGACTAAACCCCTAACAACAAAAGTTGCTGGAGTAGAAAGTACTATGTACCCATATAGCTCATTATATAGTAATTTTTATCTATGTTCCCCCATTAAAATTAAGTGCCGTATGTCAGGGAACTTTACTGTCTTCTTCACTACTTACAACTAGTTTATAGATACCTCTTGAATAGCAACAAAATAGAGTGTAAGAAATAAGATTGAGAAAAAAATTAATTAATTAATGCAAGGACAGTGGGGCTTCCTTAACCCCATAAGGTGACCTGAAACACTCGGTTAGCAAAGATATATAATGAGCTATACGGATATACAGTGCTTTCTACTCCAGCAACTTTTATTGTTAGGGGTTTAGTATTTTTTATTTTTTGCTAAAATTGCCTGTACTGTTGTAAAAACATTTGTCATTAATATATAACACACTGATGAAGAGTATAAATATTGATAATTCTCTATCTGCTGCCTGATTTCAGAAAATCCTCTCCTGAGAAGACATTACCTGCATGGTTCTCAAGTGGAGGTGAAACTTTACAAAACGATAAGAAAAGTAGAAGACACTTTATTGATAAAATATCCACATTCGAAAATAGTTGTGCTTTCAAATCCTGGATCTGCCATTTACTATCTGTGAGACTGAGACTGTGTGCAAATGGTTTAGCCATTTTGAACCTGTTTCCTCATCTGTAAAATGGGCATGATGATACCTACCTACCTTACAAAGTGGCTGAGATAGCTAAACACCATAAGGCAATGCTTGTTACATGGTAACAAATGATGACTTTCATTTTATTGGGTATTCTCATTTTATTGGGTATTTCATTTTATTGGGTATTCTTCCATTCTATTGGGTATTTAATCCTCGCCTCATTCATCATCACCAGAAACATTGAAAATATTGTCTTTCTTTTTACATGTGAAAAAAATTGAGTATCAGAGAGTTCAAGAAACTTGCCTAAATTATACATCATGAAAAATGAAAGGATCAGATTTGAACCCAGTCATTGATAGAAGTGGGGGGAAGAAAAAATGAGAAAATTTAAGGGGAAAGTATAAAATTCAGTGCTTCCGCAAGTTTCAATAAATAAAGATCATCTTGCTGCAGACAGTCAGTCCACCACTAAAACATCTCTAGATATGCATTTTGATAGAATTGCTGGATAATTCTGATAGTTGCTCATCATTCAGGACTTACTCCACAAGACATGATTTTAAATGATTAAGTGCTTTGCCCAATGTCTCATAGATGGTAAGTGGCTGAGGTGCAATTCAGCTCTAGAGTCATATTCATAACTACTACACTCTAGCAGCTTGTCTGAGACAGATGGTTTTGCACCACACCTTGGGAAACATCACGATAAATGACTACAGAATGTGGAGGCTCAGAGACTATGTCTGCTATCAGGAGTGTGGTACCAGGCAGAACCTTTCTAAATCACCAGGCAGAACCTTTCTAAAATTTACAAAATAGTTAGATGTAATCAATGAAGCCAAAAACATAAATTAATACCAGACACACCATGCCCAATAAATATTTGTTGAATAAATATGTTTTTATGAAACCAACAGCAAGTTTTTCATCTTAGATAAAATGTTCATTTAGCCACAGAATCTTTGAAGCTCAGAATTAGAATAAAGTCACTACGACCAATCCCTAGTTCCCTGTGAATTCCACAGTTTCTTGCACAATATTTCAGGCCTGTGGTCAGCCAGTTAAACAAACTGTAGTCTCTGGCTTGTAGTTAGGAAATAAGAGAAAAGACCAAAAACCTGACCTATAGAGAACTAAGAGAGCTTAAAACGCCAGAACCAAATAGACTCCTGATTCTAGGCAGGTATTTGATGGGTCAGAGAGAGAGAAATAAATACTGCAGTAATGATGGCTACAATCTCAGAAGTGATTCTCCAGCAGCAAAAAGATGTTTGTGGACATATGGGGCCAGTATGAACCTATTGATTTCTCTCATAATCTCTTTTTATTGCTCATCTTTTCCTGTTAGCTCATGCAGCCAGTGTCTCAGGGACTGCAGTTCCTCCTGGGCCTGCCAGCCTGATCGTTGTTGAGGAACCACGAAATATGAAGGTCCACGTCCCCTTTAATTGAACAAGTCCCAGTTAATAATGCACTAGAGATCCTGAGAGTTGGGGCATGCAGGAAGGAAGAGAGAAAGGCAAAATGAGAGAGAGAGAAAAAAGAAAGAATCCACAAATGTCTTCCTCATTGAGAAAGGGAAAAAGAAACTGAAAAAAAAAAAAGTCACTGTAACAAATTCAGTCCAGGCAACATTGGTAATAGATAAGACAGGAGACTACTCTTCATTTGGCTAGCAAATAAGCTTTTCTACTCTTCTGAGATAGAGATTCTCTGATCTCAGGGATTGCTGGAGAGATTGCTAATATTTACAGTCTACTTGATGTCCACTTGGTAGAAAAAGCAGTCTTATACTATAGTCATTAAGTTACAGAATTTGTTGCTAGATTTCTTATGAAATCCAGTCACCTCCCTTTCAGTCCAGAACTTCTTTTGCTATACCACACTAAGGTACTGATTTAAGATCAGTCCATACAATAAAAGAGCCATAATCTCCAGAGAATCTTTCTTGAGAGTTAAGCTTATTCCCAGCTTAAAATAAACAGAGAAATGTCAATCATAATTTATGATGGAAATATCAGATAGTTAAGTGGCATATAATGCCCCTTGTTAAAAATAAATAGGGCACAGCGGTGCAGACCTGTAATCCCAGCTACTCAAGGATTGCTTGAGCCCAGGAGTTCAAGGCCATCCTGGGCAACAACGCAAGACCCTGTTCCTAAAAAAATAAAATAAAAATGAATAAGCCAAAAGCAGTATTTATAAAATGTATTTATTCAGCTATTTAACAAATAGTGCACATTTATTCATTACATATATAAAAGAAGTGTTCTGGATGTGCAGAATTCAGTGATGACTAAAGTGAGCACATTTCCTGCCATTAATTAGTCAGCATTTAATCTAGCCAGGTAGAGAGTTTATGCAGACACATACAATACCAGGGCATAAGTGTTATGAAAGAGCAAGAATATCAAGTTTGTGGACCACAGAAAGGAATATCTCAGCCAAACATGGAGACAATTAAGGTTTTCTGGAGGCAGTGTTTCCTAAGTTATAACCATGAGTTAGTCAGACAAAGAGAGTGTGGAAAAGCATTCAAAGCACAAGGAACAACATAAACACAGACTATGGCATATTTAAGAAAGTACAAAATAAGACCAAATCATTCAAGTTGTAGTATATGATACTATGATAAAAACTTTGAGAGAAGTAGAGTAGTAGCCAGAGATGAGAACATGGAATTCCTTACAAGTCCTATACAGTATCATCTTTATAACAACAGAATTAAAGGACTCTTGCAGATTATTAGAGCTTAATTTTTGTATTGTGTGACACTCCCCCAAGTTGCTCAATGTTTCAGAACTTTTAGTTACTGTTTTGCATTCTGATTTGAACTCCTTCACTGAAATTTCTTCCTCTGTGTTTTAGGTTATCACAGAACGCACAAAACTGACATACTTCTTTATTCATACCTTAACATCTTCTATAAATCTGACTCCACTTTATTTCCCTGGTGGAACTTCTGTTACTCTTTCCCTGAGAAGTCAGGATGTGTTACCTTCCTGCCAATGTTGTATGACAATATGCTTGGAGGACTGCCAAAAACGGAAGCTCACTAAGGCTCCTTGTTCAGAATTTTGACTGGGACTGCATGATGTAGATAGGATTGACTGATTGATTGCCCATGTGGTTGATCTCAGTCTACAGGTTGACTGATAGTGCATGATCCAAAGCCCTCACCTCAGGTAACATTATTGGTTTTCCTGGCATGACTAGCCCCAGCCCTAAATTCTGGCCAGGCCTCACCCTAAATCGTATTGTTAGACCATTTAGTGTAACCCACAGCCACCATGCAAAGAAAGAAACTCTTTTTAGGCATGGCATTCTTAGAGATTACCTTCCAGAAGCTCAAGTTAAAGTGCTTCCTAAACATTTGACTTACCTTTATCTGTGAGAATGCCTCAGGACTGTTTCCCTCTTGAATGTGCAACTCTACCTATTTTGAATGGCAAACGCCCAGTTACAGAATCTTCAACTGCGCCGAAGGACAGCTAAAATACTGCCTGAAAGAACAATGGCCAAGGCCGGGCGCGGCGGCTCACGCCTGCGATCCCAGCACTTTGGGAGGCGGAGGCGGGCGGATCACGAGGTCAGGAGATAGAGACCATCCTGGTTAACATGGTGAAACCCCGTTTCTACTAAAAATACAAAAAATTAGCCGGGCGTGGTGGCGGGCGCCTGTAGTCCCAGCTACTCGAAGGCTGAGGCAGGAGAATGGCGTGAACCCGGGAGGCGGAGCTTGCAGTGAGCGGAGATCGCGCCACTGCATTCCAGCCTGGGCAACAGAGCGAGACACCGTCTCAAAAAAAAAAAAAAGAACAATGGCCAAGTATCAAACAATTAAGAAAGAACAATAAAATAGGGTAGATTTTGCCAATTCATAACATTTGGGAATTTGTAGAAGGAATAAATTTTGGTATGGTCCAGCAAAGAGGTAAAGATAGATTTGTTCGTTCATTAATTTATTCAGGAGATATTTAAAGGATAAATATTTTGTGACAGCAAACTACCCTAGGTGCTGCGATTTTGGCTACAAACAAGATAAACTTACATATAGATTCTATTCTAGAGGAGAAATACAGTCTAAGATTTAAATTGTCATCTAGGATGAAGTAAAAGTGTTTTAGTATTGTAGGGAGGTATTCTAGTGCCTAGTATACATTTCCTCTCCATCTGCAACCTATTCTACTTATTAAGGGAAGGACACAATCAAGTAATTTTATTGAATGTTAAATAATGTGATAGTTGACTATATTTAATAATGGTTTTATGTAATAAATTGAAGCCAAAGGAAGTTAATGATTTATCCAAGGACACCAAATAAAGTTGTAAAACTTGTCTTATGCCTCAGCCTTTGTCTCTATTCTTCAAGTTTCAGAGGCAAAAATCAGTTTTATAAGTCAATGTCTTTACCATTTCTTTATCTCTTAAATTTTATGGAGTCTGAGAGTACAGTAGAGTTCTTACCTTTTAATTTTTCTGTTTTTTAAGCTTTGTATTTTTGAAAAACGTTCAGACTTATAAAAACATTGCAAAACTGGTGAAAAGAATTCCAGTATGCCCTTTACCCAGATTCCAGAAATGTTAATGTATAACCATAGTACAATTATTAAAATAAGAAATTAACATTGATAACATATGAGTATCTAAAGACTTTATTAAATTCCCCTACTTGTTCCACTGATGTCATCTTCTGTTTCACAACCCAATCCTGAATGATATATTTCGTCCTCATGTGTCCTTTAAGTGTCCTTTAATCTGTGACAGTTCATTAGCTTCTTTGTTTGTCTTTTAGGACCTTGACATTTTTTGGAGAATATTAGCCAGTTATTTTGTCAAATATACCTCAGTTTGGGTTGGGCAAATATTTCCTATGATGAAAAATTTAGATTACACCTTTTTGGCAAGGATGCCATAAAAATGATGCTGTGTTCTTATTGCATCTTTTCCCTGTCTCATCTGTACCATTTACTGATTTGTTCATAACTGATGATATTAACTTTGATCACTTGGTTAGGAAAGGGTCTGCCAGTTTTGTCTGCTGTCAAGTGACTGTATGTCCTTCATAAATTAGTAAGTATCTTGTGAGGAAATACTCTGAGCTTATGTGAACAGAGTTCTGACTTTGGAAGGGTGAATAACAAAGCATTTCTTTGGTATAATGTAATAGAATACTCACTGGACTTGACTTCAGTTTCTTCACTTACTCACTTGGAGGTTTGAACTCAAATGATGTTTTCTAAATGCAAACTAGAGGTCTTGCTGTATCAGCATCACCTTAGTAAAAAATGTATATTCCTGGACCCCATTCCAGATTTTATTCATAACCTCTGCCAATGCTGGGCCTTTAGAAGCAATGTTTAAGCACAGTCTACATACAATTTGAAAGTTTTGGAGAAGTCCCACACCGCATGGTCTCTGTGATCTCATTCACCTCTGAAAATCTCTGCCATTCTGAGTTCTTCTGCCAGGAATTCCATGGCAGAAGGTAGATGGTAGAGAAGAAATACTTCTGAGAGAACTTTTCATGTTGTTTGCTTAGATATATGGTGTCACAGGTACAACCAGTACCAACTGCAAGTGAGAAAGGGAGATGGATACAGCAGGAACTTTATCAGACTTTATCTGCTGCTCTGTTTTGTGACAGCTCATCTCTCACACAGACTGTTTTTGTGAACATTTTACTCCCAGATATATGAAGTAGAGATATTATTCAATGATCGTCAGCAGTGAAAAATGCATGGAAAGTTAAAGAAAGGAGTTTTTCTCTCTGTGACAGTGCATAAGGCACTATTCCCTTTATCAGAGCATCTGGGCTCTAATGAATGGATCCCATGATGCCTGTAGGTCACCTGCACAGGCAGCATAACAAGCCCCACAGCTCAGTTAGTGGGTACCTGGGCCTTTGGGCATGCCGCTGAGTCCATATGCCTCCTTTCCTGGATAAGTCTATGACTCCCTCTTTCCTTGCAGGCCATGAGTTTGTTAGTCTAAAGGGAGAGGAGAAACAGCCTTAGGAGCTGCCAAAATGATGCAGTGAAAAGGTTTCGGTGCTAAACTGAAAGAGATCAGCTTTCTCTTCCAGAACATCAACTGAGCTTGTATCCTCAGGCTGACTGTCTCTTCACGATGCCTTTTCAAATCAACCAAACTTTCTCCTCATTTGAACCTAAGAAAAAAATTCCAAAAGTTCACAAAAATAAATAACGAGTTACCTCAAAGAGATAAGACTGCTGGTAATGTTTAGTTTTTTGTTTGTTTGTTTATCAGCATATTCTAAGTAGTATATATTTAGCATGCATTTTTTAAACTATATTTTTCTGAAGCTGGTACCATTGTGGGAGTGTGGATTAGTGTAGATTCCTTAACTTCTTGCAGGACAATTTTAAAATATTCGTAACAATTAAAATACAGACACTTTTTTGTTATCGCAATTCTTCTTCAAGAGTACATTTTAAAGAAATCTCAGAAGTGTACAAAGATCCACGTGCAAGAATTTTCATGGAGATATTTACAAAGCAAAACTGGAAATTGCCTAAATGTCCATCAATAGCCCAGTCATTAAAAAATATATGGCTCTTTGATATGGATTGGATCTTGTCCCTGCCTAAATTTCATGTTGAATTATAATCCCCAGTGTTGGAGGTGGGGCATGCTGGGAGGTGATTGCATCATGGGGGCAGATTTCCTCCTATTGTTTAAAAGTGTGTGGCACCTGCCCCCGCCCCTTCCTTCTGCCCTGGACATGTAAGATGTTCCTGCTTCCCCTTCATCTTCTGCCATGAGTGTAAGTTTCCTGAGGCCTCCCCAGAATCTGAGCAGATGCTGCCCTGCTTCCTGTGCAGCTGCAGAACCACAAGCCAATTAAAACTCTTTTCTTTATAAATTACACTGTTTCAGGTATTTCTTTATAGCAATGCCATATGGCCAAGCACTCTATAGCTATTAAAAAAATAGTAGATTCATATAGGCTGAATGAAGAGATTGCCGAGCTGTTTCATTAAATGAAAAAGCAAGGTGCACAAGAGAACTCCTAAAATTCTGTTTTGTTCTGTTTTATGGTCTTTGTGCAGCTAGTTACATCTGAGAGTTCAGTTTATAAAAAGTCAATGAATTATACACTTAAATATACACGTTGTTTTTTGGAAGCACATGATTCTGTGACAAAAATGTTTAATCAATGTAGAGAATATTATATATAATGTCATTTGTGATTTTAAAACAGAAAATGTTTATATTAAACGCTCTGATATTTGTACAAATTCTAGGATACATAAGACATTATAAACAAGGATGAACTCTAAAATGGAGAAAGGAAGTTAGAACATGTAGACATTTAATTCTTGTTTTTGTGTGTGTTTTATTTATAAATTAAAAAAAGGAGTAGTTAAAATTATTTAAAATATTGACACACATTCCTTGGAAAGGCAAAATAACTGCTCAGTCTTCATCACTCAAAGTCAACTATAAAGCTCAATGGTGGTTTTTCTTTCCAGGATCTATGCTCCCAGCTTCTAGAATTTATCATAATATATCTGCAATGCTCTCCTCTCTTTTCTTGGCCTACCAGACCCTCTCTCCATACCTTTAGGGCTAAGTCTAAGTGGGCGAGCATCTGTTAAACAGCTGCTACTTCCAAATTGAGATAGAGCCATGTTGCAAGCAAGAGGCCATAACAAGCATCATTCTAAGTGGCAAATGCCTTGGCAGGGTCCAATGCTCTGGGGCCCATCTGAAAGGAAGAATCATTAATGTTAATCTAACTGAGTTCAGGGTGGGAGGAAGTGGAGCTGTGTTTTCTGAAGAAAACCGCTTGAGTTAAGGGGTGGTTTTATTTGACAGAGACAATGAGGAATCACTTGCTTGTGCTTAATGGAGACACAATTATTTATAATTGATACATGAATTTTAACTTTTTTTTTCTTTTTTTTTTTTTTTCTGGGGCAGAGGAGCCATAAAGAAGTATGAGGGATTCAGGTCACTGAGATTCACATGGCCCAATCTCTGCATATCAGAAGCTAGGAATTTGTTTTAACAAACTCTCTAGGTGATTTTTATGTGTACTTAAGAGAAACAGTGTGCCTAGACTAAAATGTTAGGGCACATTATTGTTACTGTAGCTGTAAGGTAGGAAGGAAAGGAGTTGACGTCTGTTTCTGTATTACTAGGGGAAAATCTCTTCTCCTTCCTAAAAGGTCTTCCTGGGCTTTTTTTCCCAGGTAACATCAGCCTTAATTTTTTTTCCCTTTTATATGCTGTTAGAGAGAGTGGAGGCAGGGTGGTATGAGCAGGAAAAGTGGTAATTACAGTTTTCTAAAGTTTTTGAGGTATTTAAACCTCTACAAGGTTTGTCAACTAAATATCAGGGGGCTTATAAATTTGGAAGGGAAAGACTTATTTTTCATAAAGCATTTCAGCCTGCAGGCTGGGCATCCCACATTCTGGGAAGCATAGCCTCCAGCCAGAAGCCAAGAGCAAGAACTTCCAGGGAGGAAAGCAGAAGATAGAAATTTATGCTAAATGGGGAGACCAAATATACATATTTATCAAGCTATAGGAAAAGTCAAAATGTTTATAAAAGGAGAAACATGCACATGCACAATTGAGCTTAATGCCTCTCCATGAGTTGCACGTTCAAAAAAATGGTGGCATTAGTGTAATTTGAGGGTGGGATTTTTGGCCCATTGACATCAAAAGGTAAAGCATGGGACCCAGAAACCCTCACTGCACAGCCTCTGTAGACTGGCCAGAACCACTCAGTGATCCATGGTCTCTTATAAGAAAGGAATGAGCTATGAAACTGGTGAGTTGTCAAGTTAACCTGCAAAGCAGGAGGGGGAGTCTGGTTGCAGTCTCCAGTGACTGGCCAAAGTTGATAAAGGTATGAATCATCTGTTTCTTGTCTTCTAGGGCTGTTTTCTGCTTACTCCTTAGGAGAGAATTCTGGCTAAAGGTTAATAATGGAGGGGCATCCTGAGGCATGTCTCACTTCCCATCCTGTCATGACCAGGAATTCAATTTTAAGGTTTATCTGGGTCCTCTTGGCCAAGAAAGGGTACACTCAGTTTGGAGATTTAACTGTGAATAAGGTAGAAGATATACCTATTTTCTGGGAGGATGTAGACTGGTGAGGAGAAAATGAAGAATAAATAAGCAAATTCAATGCAGTGAATTTAGTGGAATGATTGAGAAAACTTTCCAGAGTGGTTGGGAAAGCATTTGGGAGTCAAAGTGAAAACAGAAGAGATGGTGGTCAAAGAAGCTTGAAGAAAAAGAAGGGTACCAATGCAAATAATTTTAAATAGATCTATTGGCTGGAGCAGAGAGGAAGGGGTGGGAGTGGGAGTGGCTTGATCTGAGACCTAAGAGACAACCAGAGTTTGGAAGGAGGAGATAAAAGTAATCAAGAAAGCAGTCACTTCCCCAGAGACAGATATACTTGAGATGGCGTATTAGTCCATTTTCATGCTACTGATGAAGACATACCTGAGACTGGGCAATTTACAAAAGAGAGAGGTTTAATGGACCCACAGTTCCACATGGCTGGGGACGCTGCCTCACAATCATGGCAGAAGGTGAAAGGCACGGTCTCACATGGAGGCAGACAAGAGAAGAGTGAAAGCCAAGTGAAAGGAGTTTCCTCTTATAAAACCATCAGATTTCATGAGACTTATTCACTACCACGAGAACAGCTTGTGTTAAACTGCTGCCATGATTCCATTATCTCTCACGGGTTCCCTCCCACAACACGTGGGAATTATGGGAGATACAATTCAAGATGACATTTGGGTGGGGACACAGCCAAACCATATCAGATGAGTAGGGGAGAATGCTACTCTCTTCTCCCTCTCCCTCCATCTCAAGCTAGGATTTATGAAATGTGCTCATTAACAAAATTTCTGGTTTGAAGTATTTCCTGCTAACAGAAGAAATGCATCTGTAAGAAATTCAGTGAATTTCAAACTCCAATCTCACACAGCACTATTTCATAATTTGCTCTTCCCCATGCCTATGTGGGGACTCCTAGGACAATTTTGCTTAGTAGGTACAAATATGATCTTTAGAGTGTTAAAAGAAATACTTCAGACAAATTGAATTCAACAGTTTAACTGAGCAAAGAAGGAACTGAGCAGCCCCCAGTTCAGAAGGACTCCAGGGCTTCCAAGTGATCAGATAACATATGGACAGAAAAAAGGAAACTGATGCATAGAAAATGGAAGTGAGGTGCAGAAACAGCTAGAGGGCTATAGCTTGGCTTTGCATTATTTGAACACGGTTTGAACAGTTGGTCACCTGTGATTGGCCAACATCAACCAAGCTGTGATTGGCTGAGACTCAGCTACTTGTTACAAGAGTAGGTTAGTCTGTTTACACATCCAGTTAGGCTATGGTTCATTAGGTATGGCATAACTTTTAGGCTGAGCTTAAGATGTGTAAGGAGGCAGCTGTAAGCTAATCTCAATTTAACAGGTGTTAGCCAGACAGAGCTATGTAACCTCAAATGCCTATGCTGCCTCTTATTTCCCATGTGTCCTTGGTCAAGGTCATTAAAGTTCTCTGACCTCCCAAACCCTTATCTATATACTGCAAATAATAAAACCTATCTCCAAAACTGTTGCAAAGATTAAATAAGATAATGTATTCTTGGCACAGGGCCTGGGTATATATAGTAAGCCCTCAAGGGTTCTAATTAAAACACTCCTTGTCCTTTTATTCATTCCATCGATCAGCAAGCACTTACTTTCTCCCTGCTCTGTAAAAGCAGTAAGATGATCTCTTCTCTTCACTCTTAGGAGCAATGGAGTAACTTGTATATATATATATAGATATAACCCAAGAAAGAACATGATAAATTGTGATATATGAGGCAGAGACAATGTTTTAAGGAACTTAGGGATGAAAAGTTAACTATTGGCTGGTGAAATGGTTTTATAGCATAGAAATTATTTCAGTTGAACCTTGAAGGAGGTGATAAAGAGGAAAGGAGGCAGGTACGGGATAATAACATTCTATTGAGTGTTTATTAAGTACTAGGCACTGTTCTAGACACAATACTTGTATTAACTCATTACTCCATAAAAACTTTAGGAAGTGGGTACCATTATTGTGCCCTTTTATAGAGCAAGAAACAGAAGCAGAGAGAAGTCAAGTAACTTGCCTGAGTTTGTATAACTGTGAAGCAATGAAGCCAACGTTTGAGTTTAGGTAGAGGTTAAGGTCAGGCTCTTGACTGCTGGACTCATATTTATGTTGCAATTAATTAATTTTATCACCATTTTATTCCATATTATATTATATGGGCATGGCTGGAAGACAAAGTGTTTGAAGGGGATTATTTAGAGAAATCATCACAGAGAAGATTATAGAAATGTTGGAAGTACACAGGTGAGGAAAAAAAAGATTTCTGAGAAGAAACATTTTTAAATAATGACAATTCTGTGTGGTAGAAGTAAGTCCTCTGGTGCCCTTATTTCACTGCCTCACATTTTTATGAGCTGAAATATATTCCGCTCACACAAACCACTTCAACATATTTTGTTTTTAATCTTTCCAACATAGGAGAACAAATTTAACAATGAGATTCTGTTTCTGTTCTGTACATGTGGAATAATTAAATTTGCATCCCACTTTAGCATTGGATCTTCTATTTGAAGAGAAATGTATCAATTGGACACATGCCCCATGATTTCTAGTCTGCAAATAAGGCATTTGGAGGCAGGGGGAGAAAGGCAATATCTTTTTCCTAAGCAATAATCACAGTAAAATCTTTACTTACTGACAGCTTGTTAGAGGCTGGATTAATTTCCATTTGAGAGAGGCCAGGAGGGCAGGAAAGTGAAAGGCAGAAGCTGGAAAAAGGCAGGGCATAATTATAGAAATTCCCATTGGACTTTGAAATAAAAAGTTTTGCAAGACAGCTCAACTGGCAAGTATCTGGAAAGAACCGTGATCAGAGAGCATCAGGAACTCCTCTCAGTCTTCAGCTTATTTCTAAGGTCTCAATAATCTCTTCTGTATGGATCCAAGGAACTGGGCCTGATGGAAGATACAAATGTTGTAGGATATAATCAATGCCTGTGTTGGGAGTGAGGAGATGAATTGGGGTTTAAATTTGAGTTTTGCTACTTTGTATATCTATTAGATCATGAGCAAGTTTCTTGCCATCTCTGAGATGCTTTCATTTTCTGTGAAATAGTGTGGGATAATTATTTCTGCCTCACATTGAAGACGCAAGGGTAAAACTCGAAGATAAATCAAGGCTCTCAATCACATATTAGGTACTTTAAAAATATTTTCCTACTTCCTTTCTCCTTTCAGCATCATTCCTCCACTTCTATTTCGTGACTGTACCACTTATTTTGTTTACTTCTAAGGTTAGGAGAGGTGGATAATAAATTGCTAGGGCATTGATCGGGTTAATTTCATTGGTAACTGAGGGTATTAAAAAACAAGGCAAACGAACAGAAAACTCACCTGGCAATTGTCTCTAAGTATTCCCTTACTGACCTCAGTAATTTTTTTTTTCATTCTGGCTCTTTCTACGGCTTGAAGAAGTTAAATGAGTAAACTTTTTTTAAAGTAATTTTATTTCCTATTAGCTTGTTAGGCACATGAGGTAGGGACTATGTCTGACTTGTCATTATTTGTATCACTGTTCCCTAGCTCAGAGCCTGGAATATATGTTCAGAAAGCATGGATAGTGACAAAGACACTATCCTTGAGCAAACTTGAATCAGGACCTGCTGAGTCTTCCATTTGACTAAGTCCAACCTCAGGTGCTGTCTTTGTCCTGCTTAGTCCTATATTAGCAATAGTCCTGCTCTGTCAGATTAGAGAAAGTCCCCCATCCTTGGTATCTGATCAAATGCCTTATCCCCAGTCCTGGATATTGTATCACTCTGACCTGCCTTCAGTAAGGATATCTCTAGCCTTGATGTTTTCTTTTAGTAATTTTCTATCCACTGAATCCTCATCCTACTCCTTAGCTATAAATCTCAACTTGTTCTTATTGTATTTAGAGTTGAACTTAACTTTTGTCTTCTATTGCAAAACCCATATTACAGTAGTCTCTCTTGAAAACAATATTTCTTACTTTCTTTAACAAGTGTCATGAATAATTTTTTCTTTAACAGTACCACGAACAAATGAATGACATGGATGAATAAATTAGTGGATGATTTTTTTTTTGTCCTTGTAGTCTTCTAAATCTAAGTTTTTTTTTTGACAAACACAGAGAGAAAAGAGTGAAGGATGTTTTCTTTGGGATAAAGTAAGAGTCAATTTTTATTGGGTCAATCAATGACAAATTTCATCCTTCCCCTCCTCAACTCAAATCCTGGAGATAAGAATTGTTTTTTGAGTACAAGTAGATTAAATTTGTTAAATGGCTCCCACCATATTCAGCACTAGCTAGGTCAGTGCAATGCGGAAATAAAGATAACAACATTTTTACAATTGAAAGAGTTTTGTTGTTGTTGTTGTTTGTTTATGTTTGTTTTTCAAATGCAATGGTCTCAAGCATGTCATTGTCCTTGCCGTTTCTTCCCTCTTCTGACTGTGATGTGAAGAATGGATTGGAGAGACTTAAAAGTGGAAGCAGGGGGATCAATCAGAGACAATACTGTTAGAGACAATAGCTAGGGGATTTATGATGGCAGCCTTGACTAGAGTGGGAGCAAGCAATTGAAAAGAAGATAAATGTGACATATATTTTTGAAGAAGAACTAAAAGAACCAGAAGAGCTTTTGGTGGTAGAGAATGAGAAAAAGATCAAAATTGACTTCCAAGTGTTTGATGTGAGCTACTAAAATAGATATGAATGCCATTTACTCAGATTGAAAATACTGGGGGAGACAAGGTCTTTTAAATGGAGAGGGTGTAGTGGATATATGCACCTCACTTTTGCCTTTTTTTCTTTCTGGAAATACTGTTTGTGATGCCCATCACATCAAAAAGAAAATTTCTAGTTAGCAGTTCCCATTATTAATATGTAGTTCAAATGTAAGCTCTGGGCTGGAGATGAATTTGGGTTTCTTATGCATAAAGATGGCATTTAAAGCCGTAAGATTGGATGACTCAGCTTCTTAGGAAGTAGTATCCTCTTTCCATTTGAACACAGACCAGTCTTAACCAAGAACAACAGGTGTTTAACTTCCAAAAGTGGACTCACATGACTCTTGTAACAAAGGATAATATTCATTCTAGACTTATATATTCAAAGAAACATACTGGAAGAAGTTAAGATTTGAAGGTAAGATTTCTGTAACTAAAGTTTAGTAATAATGAATAATGATTATAAATAAACAAGTAAACAAAAAAGTAAAAAACAAAAAAACAAGTAATAAAAGGTAAACAAACTTTTTTTTCTCTCACTTAACAATCTACACAGAAAACTTCTGTCATCAAATGTGTGGAGATTTCTCCCCATCAATAAGCAAACAATCAATTCTGCAAGAGACACCAGCTGGGTGTCCTCCAATTCAATTTCGACACTGTCTACCTGGAGATAGAGTCAGATCCCACAGGTTGAGGGCTCAGTCCCACAAGACTGTATGCCTCTTCAGATACCAGCCAAAAGTCTGGGACTCTACAACTTCTGATCCACCAGCTCCAAGCTGGGGTTTCAATAGCCCCTTCTCTGGGTTTCATTAATTTTCTAGAGCAGCTTGCAGAACTCAGGGAAACATGCTTACATTTACTGGTTTATTAAAAATGATATTACAAAAATACAGATAAAGAATTGTATAGGGTGAGGTACCGGGGAAGAATCATGAAGCTTCTATGGCCTCCTTGAACATACCACCCTCCAACACTGTCCAGATATTCAGCTATTTGGGGGAGTTCTCTTAGCCCTGTCCTTTTGGGTTTTTATGAAGCCTTCATTGTGTAGGCATGATTGATTAAACAATTGGCCATTGGTGACTAATTTAACCTTCAGCCCTGGAGGTTGGGGAATGGAGGTAAAACACCAAACCCTGTAATCACGTCTTGGTGTTTACAGTGACCAGATCCCATGCTGAAGCTACCGGGTCAGCCAGCCACCAGTCAACTCGATAGCACACAAAAAGACATTACTTTGGAGATTCTAAAGATGTTAGGACTTGTATGACAGGAAACAGGGACCAAAACCTAATATATATTTCACAATATCACAAATGGTTTAACAGTTTAAGAATTAGACTTATAGAATCATATAATTTCACAGTTAGATGGTTGCTTTTAACACTTTTGAGAATCTTACCCCTTTGAAAAATAACTCTCTACCACATCTCCGGAAAGTTACCAAAAAGTTAGTGTTTACATATTTCCTATGATTGGAAGCTTATTACCTTGTGACACAGTTTGATTGCATTTATTTTCACTTATTTGGGTCATAAAGAATTAGGGTAATTGTTTTTTTCCCATGACATTGCTATAGCTATTTGAAGACAGTGATCACATTCCTCCTCTATCCCACCAGCATTAATATCCACATATGTTTTTCAATCTTTTCTCATACCCTAAGATCATTTGAGTACCTTCCTATCCTCCTCATTTCTCTTTAAATGAGCTATGAATTTTATGCAGAATACTCAAAGGATTTATATTTTTATCATGTGTCATGAAAATGTTAAAACATATATTTCTGATAGTCAACAGATGAGACATTTTGTTGAAAGAGATTCTTCAAATTATTGTGTAACACCAAGGGAAAATTGAAGGTCAAAGACACAATCAAATGTTTCTAGATTCCCTTAGAACCATTACAGGTGGATGGCACAGTTCATTTCCTTAATTGTGGGAAATACTTTTTCTGCTCATCTCATACTTTGGCCTCAGTCCATAAAGTAGGGAATTTCTGTTTTGCTTTGACTCTTCCAACCATGTACGTTTTTCCCCATGAAAAGGACGAGATGTGAATCTAATGAACTACATTTTACAAGTGGTCAGAGACAGTGATAACAATTAGTGTTTGTAAATGGAAATTTTCTAAGACTCTCTTGCCTTTTCTTTCTCCATACAGTGAGCAACTCAGCTAGGGCTTGCAAGATGTCATGTTATTTTCTCTGTGCTTGCCTTTGAATGGATCAGCAAGGCACACCTTTGTGTGCCTCACTCATGCGGGCTAGGTCATGAAGTAGGCACCTACTCTTTGGAACTCCCTTGGCTCACTCTCTTTTGCATATCTGCATGTATGGGTTTCAATACAGAGAGTTAAAATAAGAGAGAGATTGGAGGCCTGGTTTAACTTCAAGTTTAAATCATACTATGTCACTCCTCCACTTGCCACAGCCCTACAAAAAAAGACCCAGACACTCACTAAGTAATTTATAAATAGGCATTTTGCTTTCCATTTAGTTAGTTTTCTTTTAATAGCTATGACATTGGTCAAATCTGCCAGAAGGCAGACTAGTGAATAGTACGACAATTTTCTCAACAAGCATAAAACAATATTTTCCATCTTCTGCCAGTGAACCTCATTGATGAAGCTTCCTGATTTATACAAATTTACATTGATTTCCTTCATTTTTTCATCATTTCTAGCCCATAACTACAGGCTTAAGTGCCAAATTATTTTCTGCCTTAAATATGATAGTAATTGTTTTATGCTTCCTAATTAAATTATAACATCTTTGAAGATGAAACTAGTCATTATATTTGAATACTTTTTTTTGTAGCCCCCACTATAAAGTACACAAAGCATTCTTGATAATATAACAAAAATTCAATATTAAATTCAAAAATTTCCTGATAATTCAGCTTTTCCTTTTTTGAATTTAAATGGCCATTTGCACATATAAAATCATATCCTGGTAAATTAAAGGCATCAATAAAATGCCTCAGGTAGGGGGTTTTGAAGGTCAACTACATCAGACTTAAAAGACAGTCTGCATATTTTATTTGAAAAGTTTATCTGACTCAAAATATCTAAAGAGGGTTACTATTTCCTTGTTTTAGTGTAAACGCTGCCATCTCCTCTAGCCCTTGCCTCTCACCCACCCCTTGTATTTTCTACTCCCTACGCTGTCCTGTTCTACTTCCACTATTTCATTTTCTCTCCATACCTAAATTACATGACATGAAGATGCATGCAAAATATTTCTAGTTCACAAAATGCAATCCATCAACACTTCTTATACATTGCCCAGAAATTAATCCATTTTAGTTGAGGAAGTAGATACATCAATTTAAGTGGGAGATTTTTGACAGTTTAATTCAAATTAAGTCCACTTTGTTCAATTTGAAGGGATCTGAAAGAGGATGCAGGAGGATGGGGGGATATATGTATGTCTTATTAGGGGAAAACAAATGCACTTCTCCACATTAAGCATATCTGTGGAGATTTTTAGTTAAAAAAGCGACATCATAAAATGTTGCTAATTTATGTTCCCTCAACAAATGGTGAATTACTCACTTCATTTTATGTTGCTCTTTCTTTGCTTTTGGCTAGATCCTGAAAGTGCTGAGAGATTATAGGGCGAAGGAAAGGGGCACAGACTCTTTTCCAACTTTGGAGTTGGCTACACTATGTTGGCCATGATTCATTTAATGAAGCTTTTGCTAAAAGGCTTGATCAATGCATAACAGCATTGATATTTTCAAGATTTAAAATTCTGGATTTGAAATGAAAAATTCTGTACCATACCGCATTTTTGAGTATCTAAATTTTTTGGTCTTCAGAACTCAACTATCTTAATATGCAGTGCTCAGATAATTTTATCATAGTCTGAATTTTGCAGATGAATCCAACACACTGCAAAACTCTAAACCAGAAATCAGAAATCCTAATGCCTACAGAATCTTAGAAAATAGAACAAATGTGAAGGAGAATGCAGTAAGGTAATAGGGAGTGGTGGAACTATGTAAAATTAAAGGGAATGTGCTTCACTTAAAAGGGGTAATGAAACAGTACTTAGTTCTTGATCATTGTTGTAATGGGGTGATATGGTTAGGCTTTCTATCCCCACCCAAATCTCATCTTGAATTGTAATCCCCAGGTGTTGAGGAAGAGACCTTGTAGAAGGTGATTGGATCATGGGTATGGTTCCCCCATGCTGTTCTTATGACAGTGAGTGAGTCTCACAAGAGCTAATGGTTTTATAAGCATCTGGCATTTCCCCTGCTTGCACTTCTCTTTCCTGCCACAATGTGAAGAAGGTCTTTGCTTTCTCTTTGTCTTCACCATGATTGTACGTTTCCTGAGGCCTCCCCAGCCATGCAGAATTGTGAATCTATTAAGCCTCTTTCCTTTATAATTTACCCGGTTTTAGGTATATATTTTATAGCAGTGTGAGAACAGACTAATACATAGGGTAAGGACAGGCATAGTTTTACTAGACCTTCCAGTTTTTCAAGAGAATATAAAAATCCATGTATATATGAATATGTATACATGTATGTATTAAATCTTTGAATTTTTAAGTGTTTGTGCAAACAATGTAAAACATGTCTGGGACTGAATTTCATCCATGTATTGCCACTGTATATTATTGCTTTAGAACATTGTGCAGAGTTAGCAAATATACACTTTTCTTGATACTACTTCCCTCCCCTGTGCCCACGGAAGATGCTGCTGATTGATCATAGAATCTTTTTCCACAATGTCCCAAAATGAACTTAGAATTAATTCCAAAAGGCACTGCAAGCAGCCAAAACCAACTATTTAGGGATGGTGTACAAGAAAAATTTGTCTGCAATTCTAGACACAGGCAAATTAATAATCACATTTAAAGGTTTTACCATGTATACTAGAAAATCATAAAACTTGATAAAGAACTGGGTCAGATACTAAGTTACAATAATTATATCTCATTATTTGTTTGCCTTTTTCAACTTATAAATTGTGTTCAAATATATTTTCTAATTAGAGCCTCTAAGATCCTTATGAGGCAGGACAAAAATTGTGTCTATATTAGAAAGGAGAAAACAAATGTTCACAGAAGTTAAGTGAGTTGCCAAAGATCACACATCTAGTAATTAGAAGCATTAAAAAATAGTATCTCAGGCAGCTAGAGATATTTATTATAATAAAAAATAATTGAAAAAAATCCACAGGGAAAGAAAAATTAAGCTCCTAGTACTTCAGCAAAAAGAAGCAGTGAAAAGTTCCACAGAGTGTTTAGTTTGCTTATATCTTGCTAATTACCAAGTACAGTTGGGGAACAAATGCCTGGACTTGCAAAGTAATTCTACACTGTTGAAGATGAGTGAACAATTCTTATAATTTTATTGTGGCCTGTCTCATATTCTCTTTGTTGGCATCTAGGAGAGGTGGAGAGAGAGGGAGAGAGAGCTTCAGATTAGAGAGATTACAAGAAAGCATGCTTCTCTTCTTAGCTAGTCAACTGTAGATATGTAGATTATGGTTCTTTCTAACCTTTATTTCTCACCTGGGAAATTATATTGCCTTTCCACTGCAGTCACCATTACTTTTATTAGGATAAAAAAAAAAAAAAACTTACTTTCTCCCCATATGTAAGGAGGATAATTGCCCAATGGGGCATAACTACAACTTGTCCTTCCAACAAAAAAAGAGCTGCTTTAGATCTCGAATTACATTCCCCAATTACAATGCTGTCATAATGATAATGAAGACGATGATTATTTTGATTAATGGTTATATAAATAATTCCTCCCATTTTTGAAGTTTTATAAACTATAACATGCTTTCACATGTTGCTTTACATTTGATTTTCAGAAAAAACCTTCTTAGGTAAACAGAGCAAGCAAGATGAGAGGAAGAAAAATCAATGCTTGCAATTTTTAGCAATTAAATGTCAAAATCAAATCAAATAAAACCAATATCAAAGGGAAACATTTGCAATGTGAGAACACAAGAAGGGGGACCTTAAGATAAATACTGGCAGACACAGTAGAATCATACAAAGATTTATGAGCTGTTAGAATCCTGCATACACACACACACCCACTCACTTCAGTAACTTAGATTTTAGAGGTGGTTCTTTTAGATTAACAGTCCTTATGGTTAAAAGAGGTGATTAGCTTGTTATCTGTGCTGACTTTTAGGGAATGTGGCAACTATTTGTGCACAGGTAAGTTATGGAAACATTTTTAAAGTATTTTTTCCTGAATTCAAAATTTTTAACATTTTAGGAATATGTTTATGTGTGTGTAGTGAGATTTTTCCATTAGGCTATAGTCCTGAATTTTCAACATATTCAGAAAAATAGAATTTGGCTCAATTCTCTGATTATCGTTCATACAAATAATTTTGCTGATGAGAATGCAGTTTCAGTGACCTTCAGCATTCCACTCATCTCCCAGATTACTTCTCAGATATTTTGGCATTCACTTATACCAACTCCCAAGTTGTATTTCATTAAAAACATTTCTCTTGAATATCTTCAACTTATATCCAATATTCCTTTAATGCACTCATACCTAGAGCGCTGGTCATGTCAACCCACATCATGAACATTGTAATAGTTTCTTAGGTAAAAATATATATAACTTTTTATCCTGAAGTTAGCATCATTCTATTACTAACTCAGAGCATCATTAAACCCTTTGTGATTGATCCATCTTTCCAGCTATCCATCCTCTCTATACATCCATCACTCTATTCATTCATGCTATCACACCAAAGTATGTACTGAGTATTAGCTATAAGCCTGAGCCTGATGAGAAATATAGAAGCCCTGCCTCTGAAGTGCTTATTGGCTACTTTATGAGTCTCAACCAAATATGTATATTAGAATTTTTTTTTTAAATATGGCAGCGCACCAGCATGGCACATGTATACATATGTAACTAACCTGCACAATGTGCACATGTACCCTAAAACTTAAAGTATAATAAAAAAAAAGAAAAGAAAAAAAATATGGACTTCTGTGTTCCATCTCAGAAATTCTGATTTGAGTTAATATAGGGCTTAGGTATTTCAACCTTAAAACAAGCAAAACCTCAGATGATTTTGCTGTACAACCCGAAATAAGAAACATTAGATAATTCATCCCATGTTAGTATCTAACATTAATATTCCCATTTTTTGCCATGATAACTAAAATGTGAGGTGGCTTAATGAACTTTCCAGCATGACAGGCTAGGAAAAAAAAATGACTACAATCTGGCTTTAACAAAGGGGAATGGATTCCCTATTTAATAAATGGTGCTGGAAAAACTGGCTAGCCATATGCAGAAAACAGAAACTGGACCCCTTTCTTACACCTTATATAAAAATTAACTCAAGATCGATTAAAGACTTAAATGTAAAACCCCAAACCATAAAACCCTAGAAGAAAACCTTGGCAATATCATTCAGGACATAGGCATGGGCAAAGACTTCATGACTGAAACAGCAAAAGCAATTGCAACAAAAGCTAAAATTGACAAATAGGATTTAATTAAACTAAACAGCTTCTGCACAGCAAAAGAAACTATCATCAGAGTGAACAGGCAACCTACAGAATGGGAAATAATTTTTGCAATCTACCCATCTGACAAAGGGCTAATATCCAGAATCTACAAGGAACTTAAACAAATTTAAAAGAAAAAAAAAAAAAACAAATAACCCCATCAAAAAGTGGGCAAAGATATAAACAGACACTTTTCAAAAGAAGACATTTATGCAACCAACAAACATATGAAAAAAAGCTAATCATCACTGGTCATTAGGGAAATGCAGATCAAAACCACAATGAGATACCACCTCATGCCAGTCAGAAAGGTGATTATTAAAAAGTCAGGAAACAACAGATGCTGGTGAGGCCGTGGAGAAATAGGAACACTTTTACACGGTGCGTGGGAGTGTAGATTAGTTCAACCATTGTGGAAGACAGTGTGATGATTTCTCAAGGATCTAGAACCAGAAATATCATTCGATCCAGCAATCCCATTACTGGGTATATACCCAAAGGATTATAAATCATTCTACTGTAAAGGCACATGCACACGTATGTCTATTGCAGTACTATTTACAATAGCAAAGACTTGGAACCAACCCAAATGCCCATCAATGGTAGACTGGGTAAAGAAAATGTGGCATATATACACCATGGAATACTATGCAGCCATAAAAAAGGATGAGTTCATATCCTTTGCAGGTATACGGATGAAGCTGGAAGCCATCATTCTCAGCAAGCTAACACAGAAACAGAAAACCCAACACCACATGTTCTCACTCGTAAGTGGGAGTTGAACAATGAGAGCACATAATCACAGGGAGGGGAACATCACGCAGTGGGGCATGTCAGTGGGTGGGGGCAAGAGAAGAGACAGCATTAGGACAAATAACTAATGCCTGTAGGGCTTAAAAGCTAGATGACAGGTTGATAGGTGCAGCAAATCACCATGGCACTTGTATCTATGTAACAAACCTGCACGTTCTGCACATGTATCCAAGAACTTAAAGTAAAAAAAACAAAAAACTGGCTTTAATATACAGATCCTTCTTCTACCTACAGTGCTGTTTTTATATTATCCCTGCTATCAAAATACTGCTTTGTATTTTTGCCAAAAAAATTAAACCTGAACTTGATTAGTCTATGTCGTAAAACCAATTTATGCTGTATATGAAACATACAGGAGAATTCTATACAAAATCACAACACATAATTAGTAAATATGTAGACTGTGGAAAATGTTATAGAACAAAAATCATGTTTTTATATAAATAAATAGAATAAAAATTATGAAAAGAAATTCTTATACTAAAAGAGGTTTTTGAAGACACACCTACCAATTACAATGTATGAACATTATTTAGATCCTAATTTAGACACACTATAAAAATATGAGACACTCAGGAAACTTTGGACTTTGATTTATGTTATCAGGGAATTTTTGCTAATTTATTTCAGTTGTAAAGTAATGTTTTGTTTATATTTAAAAACAGTTCTTACTGTTTTGAGCCACCTATTGAAATATTTATAGAAGAAATTATATCACACCTGGCCTTTAAAAATGGGAATATAGTTGTGTGGAGATATATATATATATATATATATATATATATATCGAGAGAGAGAGTAATTGTGGAAACGAGGATTGATGTGTGGGGGTTGCTATACTTTTCTCTCTACTTTTGTATGTATTTAACATTTTCCACAATGACATACTTAAAAATACTTCTTATACGGCCTGGAAGGAGAATAAAGTCAGCTTGAATCTGGGGTCCTGGACAGTGCAATGGAGTTAGGGCAAATGGAACAAAGTGCAAAGCTGTCCCTCGTTTCCAGCCCTCTCTACTCCTATACCCCCAACTACTCAAGCCAGAAGTTTGAGATTAATTCATTCATTCTATGCATCACTATTTTCCTCAACCCTCACTTCCACCATTTTCAGTCAATTTCTAAGTCCTTCCCACTGCAGCTCCAAATATCTTTTGGTGTTTCAAGAAGTATGAGATTTTATTCCCACATCTCTACCTCCATTTACCTAATCCATAATCTCCTTCCTATTGATTATACATCCCAACCGGTTTCTTTCTTCTGCTAATCTTGAACCTCCATAACCCATTTTCTACTCAAAACCAGAGTCTCCTGTTGACATGTAAATATGATTGTGTCACTTTTCTATTTCAAATCTTCTAATGAGTTGTACTGTATTTATTTATTTATGTAATTTTATTTATTTTAGAGGCAGAGTTTCACTGTGTTGCCCAGGCTGGCCTTGAACTCCTAGATTCAAGGGACCCTCCCACCACCTCAGCCTGCCAAGTAGCTGAGTAGCAGAAACTACACTCCTGTCCCACTGTGCCAGGATATCGTTAGTATATTTGGAAACAAACCTTCATATCTTATTAATATATACAGCGTTTTACATAATAAAATTCCTGCCAACTATCTATGAGCCTCCCTCAGTGTGTTTCAAACTTACCATGTCGGGTAAGAGATATCCATTTTGAACCATTTCTCCCCCTGCTCCACAATTGTTTCATCCACTCTGATAGATTGCATTATTGTCCCAAATTCATTTTTCCCAATATCTATACTCTTTGCCGTGTAAATCTGTGATGTCCTTCCACTGTAGGTGAGATGTACTTTCCTACTCCTGACTGTGGATTTGGCCATATAACTTCCTTTGGCCAATAAAATATGGTGAAATTGATTATTACATTTCTGAGGCTCAGCCTAAGATGGCTTGCCTGTTTCTCTTTGTGCTTCTGTGCTTAAGGAGACCAAGATGAACATGCCCAGGCTAGTCTGCTGGTCCCAGGAGGAAGATAAAAGCACAAGGAACACTGCCTCCTCCTTGTACCCCTCAGTCTACATCACGAGACCTCAGCCCACTTACACACATGAACTAAATAAAAGGCTTATCCATGTATGCTATTGCTATTATGTAACTATTTGTTACACAGTATTAGCATGTCCATAACTGATTCACCCACCTTGGGGAACAGGATTTGCAAATTCCTGTTATGTCTCCCAGGGTTATGATTAAAAAAGCATAAGCATGTTCCCCAGCTATGGATCTATGGCTTAGAAGTTGTTTGATCTGGGGCGGTCATTTCATCTCTCAGACTCAGTTTTCTTAATCAAATGATGATTTTAGAAACCCTCTCTGACTCTCTCAAGTGAAAAATAGACAAAAGAAAGTTTTACAAAGTATGAAGCACCTGAGCTGTATGGGTCAAAAGGCACTTTTCCCACCCCGACCTTCCATGACCTCGACCCCGGGCAACCTTTGGACGTTTACTCCATTTCCAAAAGTGATAGACTGCCTGGGTCCAGAGTTTTCCTTTTACAGATAGGATTTATGATCTTATAAACTCTGAATCACTGTGTCTAATAAAGAGTCTTGCAGGCTTGAGTGGTGTCCAATTTCATAATTGTTAGAGTAACTCAATCATTTTCAAATATGTGGTTTCAGTAGCCAGAGACCTTGGGGACTGTGCCGACTCCAGCAAGTATGCCCCCATCACCATCAGGGCTGCCTCCTAGGCGAGCCATATCTCAAGTCTCCAAGTGCTACAGGTATCTAAAATAAATAAGAAGATGGTTGGAGTTTTTACCTTTTTAAAATTTTGTTTTGCCAAATTCGTTTTTCTACATACATAGAAGGGAGAAAGAAGTAACCTCAACTTTGTGGGGATATGATTTAAAAGGGTGTTAGCAGCAATTTTTAGTTTTCCAAATTAAATTCCTTGTGGCATGTGTATTTATACCTGTGTGCATGTAAGTGTGTAGGGGAGGTGGGTGTTTTGGTGAGGATAAGGGAAATAAAAACTGCTCTTTTCTATGTAACGTCAATGATTTTAGTCTGGAAAATAAACTACTTTAAATTTTTCAAATTCTCTCCAGTTGCTGACACTTCTCAAAGATTAAACATGATTATTCTTTCTGCTTTTCAAATATTTATTTTCTTCTTTATCCTCCTGTTCCTTTCCCTTTCTCTGCTATACACATACACATTTCTGAACACTCACCCTTCAAGTCTTAGTTTGGACAATAGCGCATAGTGGTTAAGAGTTCAAACTTCAGAGACAGATCACTTGGCACGAATGGCTGAGTCACTTGGGAAAGTCACTTAACCCCTGGGTCACACAGTCTCTTCATGCTCAAAATTCGGTAATAACAATAAAAGATTCCTCATAAAATTATGAGAATTAAATTACTTAATATATAAATGTAGTTGGTGCTTGGCACACAGCTACGTAAGTGTTTGCAGTTATTATTAGACATCATTTCCCTGGAAATTTTTCTACTCCCTAGAAAATGAAATGAAAAGGATAACTTTCTTTTTTCCTAATGATCATTTTATTCCAATTACCCATTAAACTCTAATCAGCAGGGGAGAAACCATGGCAGCCAATGTTTTATACCAAAAACCCAGCATAATTCTGATCACATAATAAGCACTAACCATTTTGTTGAATGGATGAGTAAATAAGTGAAATTATAAAACTAAGACAGATCTTCAAGATCCTCTTCTCCTACCTAGTGCATTTTTTCTCTACATTTTCCCTTTACACCTTACCTTATGGAAGGTAATCAAACTTCAGATTGAGTACCTCTAGTGACTGAGAGCTCAATGCCTACCAGATGTATTCCTGGATAGCCGTGATTGCTGGAAGAGTTTCCTTTATATTAAAGTCACTGCGTGTTTGTGTATGCATGTGTGTGCGTGACCCCTCATCATTTGAATTAAGTCTACTGTCTTCAGCCACACAAACTGTCTTCAACATGACATTTCTTTGAATTGGAGATACCGTGTTTTGCCAAAGCCTTCTCTTTGGCAGGCTAGCCGTTTCAAGTTTATTTCATTACATGTTATACTACATAGCTTCAAACTCAAGAGGATCACATATTCCCTTCATAAGTGACTCTTTTTTTTTTAACTTGTATTTTAAGTTCAGGAGTATGAGTGCAGGTTTGTTAAACAGGTAAACTTGTGTCATGAAAGTTTGTTGTCCAGATTATTTCATCACCCAGATATTAAGCCTAGTACCCAGTAGTTATTCTTTCTGATCCTCTCCCTCCTCCCACCCTCCACCCCTCAAAAGGTCCCAGTGTGTGTTGTTTTCCTCTATGTGACTCATTTTTTTTTTCAATAGCATACACATAGTACCACAAACATTTCCCAAAGTATATTCTAGGGATATATATTCCACAGATGTTAGAAGATATGACCGTAATATTTAAAAATTATTGTTAAGTTGGGAAGTTGAGGTAAACTTAATGTTGAGGTAAACAACATTAAATTTATATCTTTTTAAAAGATTTCTTAGAATTTTTAATATTCTAATGTACTTTGTGAATCTCCAAAGGCTCTTTCAATATGCAGCTTATCTCAAAAATTATTTGACCAAATAAATGATTTGTTTTTTTCTAGGGCATCTTGCAGGACTACTGTTCCATGAAAAACTCATTTACAGATGCTGAACCAATATTGGCATACACTTTTGTTTAGAAACCTCAATACCTTGCTTTTTAGAATTTTACTTATCCATTTTTTAAAACTAAACTTTTAATTTTAGACTTACAGAATTATTGTGAAGGTAATACAGAGATGTCCTGTATACCACAAACCCTGCTTCCCTTATTATTATCTTACACTGGTACAGCATATTTGGGAAAATTAATAAACCAATAGTGAAATATTATTATTAAAGTTTATGTTTTATTAATATTCCCTCAGTTTTCCCTTAATGTCCTCTATTGTTTGTTTGTTTGTTTTAGAATTCCATCCAGGATACCATATTATGGCTAATAGTGATATCTCTTTAGGTTCCTCCTAGTTGTGACAGTGTCTCAGATTTTCCTCTTTTTTTTTGATGAACCTGACAGTTTCATGGAGTACTGCCAAGTATTTTTTGTAGAATGTGTCTCAATTGGGATTGATGTGATAGTTTTTCTCATTATTAGACTGAAACAACATATTTTTGAGAGAAAGTCTACAAAGGTAAAGTGTCATACGCATCACATCATATCAAGAGTACATACTATCAGTATGTCTTATCACCTTGATCACTTGGCTTGAGGTAATGATTGTCAGGTTTCACCACTATAAAGTGATTCTTTTTTGTCCCTTTCTTTTCCCACTTAAGACATGGAGCTACATGCTACTACATTAAAGGATAGATATTTGTAATTAAAGGCAAACTATTACACAAACTATCTGTAATTCTTCTGCAAGGAAGTTTTGTTGCATATCCCTCATATATTTATATATTCAATTATTTATAACAGTATGGACTCATGCATACTTATTTTATATTTTGGATTATAATCCAATACTACCTTACTTTTTGACCAAATGTTCCAACTTTGATTATTGACAACTCTTTCAGTTGGTTACTCTATCCCTTTGACATAATCCCAACATCGTGTGTGTGCGTGTATGTGTGTGTATGTGTGTTGAAGTGTGTTTTAGAACTTTCTTACTTTCTAACACTTCAGAATTCTGCAGGCTCATCTTGTATATGTTCTGCCCTACTAGATGTGCTCCTTGCTACTGAAGTGTGTTTTGCTCATCTGATATAATCCCTGCCTTTGCCCTAGAATCAGCCATTCCTTCAAAGAGTCCTGGTTTCTTTTTTTAGAAAATGGTATTAGAAACCAAAGTTTGAGTGATAGGTGCATTCATGGCTACTGAGATGTCATTGCTTCTAGGCCCTCTCAGCTGACAGAGAAATAAAATGAAAGTATAATATATACTAATCTCCATATATACACGTTTGTAATTTTTCTATATAATCTGCATTTTGATACTATTAAGCTAAATATGAATTCATACTGCAGTCTTCACCTCTGATCCATGACTATACAAATCATTCTAGCCTCTTCCCTTGGTTATCTGTAACATTTTACCTTAGCAATGAGTAATCTGGCCCCCACCATTTGCATCCATAAACATAATTGCTCGATTCCCTTTTTTTCAGCTTCTTATATTTGTACATCTAGCTCTCTAACAAGACCAAGAAAGTTTTAATTGATTATTCCCTGAAATATATTTTCCAAACTTTTAGATTTCTCTTCTTCCTTGGGAACACTAATTATTCTCAGGTTTGGTCATTTAACATAATCCCAAAATTCTTGGAAGTTTGCTCATTTTTAAAATTATTTTTTCTTTGTCTTTGTTAGATTGGATTAATTTAAAAGCCTTGTCTTTGAGCTCTGAAGTTCTTTCTTCTACTTCTTCAATTCTATTGCTGAGACTTTCCCATGCATTTTGCATTTCTCTAAATGAGTCCTTGATTTCCAGAAGTTGTGATTGGTTTTTCTTTATCTTATCTATGATGTCACTGGAGATTTTTCTATTAATATTCTGTATCTTTTTTTAATTCCTTTAAGTTGAACTTCACCTTTCTCTAGTGCCTTCTTAATTGGTTTAATAATTGACCTTCTGAATTCTTTTTCTAGCAATTCAGAGATTTTGTCTTGGTTTGTTTGGATCCATTGCTGGTGAGCTAGTGTGATCTTTCAGGGGGTAGTAAGAAACCTTGTTTTGTCATATTACCAGAATTGTTTTTCTGGTTCCTTCTCATTTGGGTAGACTGTGTCAGAGGGAAGATCTGGGACTCAAGGACTGCTGTTCAGATTCTTTTGTCCTACAGGGTGCTCCCTTGATGTGGTGCTCTCCTCTTTCTCCTAGGGATGGAGCCCCTGAGAGCTGAACTGCAGTGACTCCTATTTCTCTTCTGGATCTAGCCACCCAGCAGAGCTAGCAGGTGCTGGACTGATACTGGGGAGTGTCTGCAAAGAGTCCTGCAATGTGATCCATCTTCAGGTCTCTCAGCCATGAATACCAGCACCTACTCTGGTGAAGGTAGTAGGGGAGTGAAGTGGATTATGTGAGAGCCCTTGGTTGTATTTTGTTAAGTGTGCTGGTCTTGTGTTGGTTGGCCTTCAGCCAGGAGGCGGCACATTGTTCACACTCCCATTGAACATCTCTAATAAAGAAGGAGTCATGCTTTATAAGACAGAACATTTCATTCCTGAAATCTATTATTTTTAGAAAAAAAGCTCCTTTAGTTATTTCAATACCATTTCATAGTAATAGCATTCATCATCCCCCATTGGTCCAATTCAATATTAGGATTAACACTGAATTTATCACCCATAGTAACTTTCTCCCAGAAACTTCTGACATCTATTTCCTTTTAGTCACAAATATCCCCCAATATCTCACTTCATCAATAAACTATTCCTCATCTATGTATTTAATCTACTTTGTCCATAGCCTACTAGCATGTGAAATTCTCCATTATAAAAGTAAATAAACAGATAATCCTTCTTCATTCTGTACTCCACTCAAGCAGTCATTTTTAATGCTTTTCTTTGGACTATTATCCTCTAAAATGGTTTTTTTTTTTAAACTACTCTACTTTTTAAGGTTTTTATCCCTTATCCCATCCAAACACAGAATTGATTAAAAATTATTTTTCTAAGTCCACTAATGTTTTCTAATTTCAAATCCATTGAACAGTTCTCTTGACCTTTTGGTGACACTTGATATTACAGTGCCTTACCTTTGTCTTCTTAATGCCATGCTCATCTGGTGCGTTTCTGGCCTGTTTGACCACTACACTTATCAAACATTTCTTTTGACTTTCCAGATCATTCTTTCCCATTAATTAATGATGTCCCCCATGAATTTTTCATTATTTCTCTCATTTGTTCAATCTACATGTTCTTGGCCAATTCATCTACTCTTGGGGTCACATTAGCTACAAATCTGACCATCCTTTCACCTATGCTGCTTCTCAATATCACCTTGTTGAGCTTGAAATCAACATAAACAAGCTCTTCAAAAGTATCATGACAGTGGCTGGTTATGTATCATTGTCACCACAAAGCCAATATTTTCAGGATATGCCTCATTGTCTTCCCTTTTACATCTCCTTCTATAGCATTCTTTCTCACTCTCTGGTCTACTAACCTTATGTCCCCATGTGCTTCTCACTCTGGTATTAGTGTCATCAGACATCGGAGTCAGAAGACCAGGAGTTATCTAGGAATAATAAATCCTCTTTCTCTGCCTAACTTCTTTAGAATCAGCCATCGAGTTTGTTTGCTCCAGCTTGGGGACCCAGATTTTCTTGTGGCCCATTTTCTTCCTTGGCAAATGCCAAAACCTTGTTTTGTCTTCCAATTCCCTCTGCAGTTTCAGTCGCAGGTATTAGAATGCTCTTCTCCAGATCTCTGAGGCAGCTCTCAGGCCCAAAAGCTAGTGGCAGAGCAAGGTGTTAAATGCCAGACCCTCAAACAAAACCTGTCTAATCTGTAAATTCCCGGGAGATTTCATATTCACATGTTACCATGAAGTTCCTTTGGGGGTCGGGGGAGAATAAGTTAACCTTTCTCTGAATGAATATTTGATTAAAATAATTTTAGAGACATTTAAAAATTTAACGTGAAAAAGAATTTAAAAAGTTTCAGCCACAAAAAGTCACTTCAGTTGTCTTGACAGCACTAAGTGAATAATTTGACCTGAAGAGATGAGGGGGGATAAGTAGCTTCACTTAATACAGTCCTCTTCCCCCCACCCTTGAGACAGCACATTAATCAGTCTCCGTTGACTGTCTCCTTTCTCTGTTAAATAACACCTGTACCAAAATGTGAGATGATGCATGTGTTTCATATCTAGAAGAGATGACTCCAGATAGGAAGTTCATGGAGAAAGTATGCAATTATAAGTGTGGTCTAAGGAGACTCAGGTGCGTGTGAGAATGCTGAAGTTTTATTTTGTTGTTGTTGTTTTAACTAATTCCTTGGAAATCTTGGAACATCTACTATCAATTAATCTAGCTGGAACAGACCTTTCAGAAAACTTACTCTAAACCCCTGATTTTACAAGTGAGAAACTGAGGCCCACGGAGATAAGTGATAGTGATGACATGAGAAACTCAGATCTTCTCATTCTTATCCCAGCAAACAATTTACTAAACCCTGTCATTTGGGTAAATAATAGCATTCTATTTATGATCTATTTTCTCAGCATATAATCTTTACTCTATTTCTTGCCATTTGGCCTCACTTTATTGAAAGGGCTCTCTTACGTTAATGCCATAGTTACCAAAGTCATTTATACTTTTTGAACATCTTGAACAATTTACACAGTGGATGCCCACATTTTTCAAGATAGTTTCTTCTGTGACAACCAACTACGTTAGATACAAAAAAAATAAACAAAAAAAAACTACTTTGGTGCTGGTCTTTTTAAAATCCCTGTTCCTATATTCAGTAGTGTGCTAGCAAAGGTTTAACAACTGGCTGTCTGGGGTGGTGAGAAGAGAAGGCTGATTTGTGGTGTTTGCTGATGTTCATGATTTAAATACTCCCACCATGACCTAGTTCAAGCTACCAGTGTCATTCGTTAGTAAAAATAGAGTTAAGAAGAACTGTGTAAAATTCACTCAGGTAAGCCTGGGCAAGCCAGGTTTAGTACATCATTGCAATCATCTACGTTCAGTCCTTAGATTTCTCATTTTTCCCCTTGCTTCATGAATCCATTCCTTTACATAGTTATTAGCTTTATTTAAATGACTACCATCTATCTTTCTTCAGTCCAGAACTTCTCTTGAGTTTCTGTGGAGCATTTTTACCCACTATTAGCTATACACTTTAATTTAAATTTGCATGTTACTGGAATTTTTGTTCTCCCTCACAACTCTGCCTCTTCTAATTTGTCATTTTCTACATCATCAACTTTCTGATCAATGACATTAGAGATGCCACACCCTTCACTCTTGATTTTTATGCATCCCTGCCCTGACATCTAACCAGTACCTAGGCAATATTAAATCTACATGCAGATTAACTGTTGCATTCGAACTCTCTTTTCCTTGACTTATGAGCCTAAGATTATTTTGATCACTGAAATGGAACCTAAAATATTCTCCTGAGTCAAACATCTCCTTTTGCAAATGTGCTATTCACATTCTTATGAGCCAGCTTTTATAAAGGTGAGAACATTCCATTTTCCACTGAATGTTCACTTAAATCAGATACAATGCACCATGATCTGAAACATTGTGGCTAAGTTCTCTGCCTAGGATATCACAAGGCTAACATCAAGTTTCTCCAAACTGAGTTTTATTCTGTAACATCTGTATAGAAACACACACACACACACACACACACTGATAGAAAGACTCTCTTCCAATCTCATTCTGGTTGTTCACAGAGTTCAGTTCCTTGTATTTGTAGAACTGAGGTCCCAGTGTACTTGGACGCCAACCAAGTGTGCTCTCAACTTTCAGATGCCACTTGCATGTCTTGCCACATAGCCACCTCCATCTTTAAGCTAGCAACAGTGCATGACATTATTCTTATGCCTCAGAATCACTGACTTCTTTTTCTGCCACCAGCCATGTCAGGTCCATCTAGATAATCTCACTATTTTAAGGTCAACTGATTTAGGACCTTAATTACACCTGAAAAATCCCATCACTATAGTACCTATAGTGGTATTTGACTGAATAACTAGGAGAAGGTGTATGTGTATCAGAGGTCCGGATTCTTGGGAGACTATTCGATTTCTGACTACCACAGTATCTGTTAACCCTTTGCTTAGAAATTTTTTTTTCTTTTTCACATTTCCTTGATATCCTTAATTCAGAACTTCAATATCACTCAATATGGAGGCTCTTCCTTCACAATCCTAAAATCCCACTCTCCTTTTCCAATACTGTTTATCTTGGATCCTTACTTGTTTTATTCACAGTAATTATCAAAATTCATAATCATTTTATTTGTTTGCTTGTTTCTACTGTCTTTTTCACTCCCACTAGATGCAAGTTCCATGAGCACAAATAAAGTGTGTTGTTCAGCAATATATAATTAGTACCTTACACAGAAGACTCTTAATAAATTTGTCCAATGAATTATTAACTGCCTTAATAACTTAATTTACAATAAATTAGTTTATTGAGTTATCTGATACATGACGATGACTTTAAAGGCCTGAGTAAATATTTTGAAGGACACTGTCACTCTTCATAAAATGTTCCCCATGTCATCTGAAATTGACCCTACTGAGGGCAAGAGTTAACTACCTTTTTTTTCTCTTTTCTATTTTCATTGTGGAAATTTTCAAATATACACAAAATAGAGACAGTAGTATAATGAAACTTAAGGTACTCATAATTCACCTTCAATAATTATAAATATTTTGCTAATCTTGTGTCATCTAAATTCTCAACTTTTTTCTAAAGCATTTTAAACCAATCATAGACAACAAGTAATTTCTCTTATAAATTCTTTGCTGTGTTTATCTATTATAACAAGGACTAACAGTGACAAAGTATCTTCTTAATATCATTTCTTATTATCTAATACCCAACACAAGCGCAAATATGTTTTATTGTTGGCATGCTTGATTCAGAATACAAATAAGTTCTACATATTCCATTTGTTATGTCTTTTAAATTTCTTTTACTCTATGATAAAAGTTTCTATTTTTAAAATAACATCCATTGATTATTTGTCTTGGTTAATATTTCACCTTCCAAATTTGCCTTACTTCTTCCTCTATCTATTTTCTCTTCTTATGTTGGTTCTTTCTATTCTGTTGCCATTGTTCCTAGGGTTATAAGTAGACAGACCTAGAAATTTTTTTAAGAAAAAGTATGATGAATTGATATATTTCCAATTAAAATTAAGAATTGAGCATTTAACATAATTGTTTGATTTTAAACCCCTGTCATGTATCTATTATGTTTGCTCTCTAGATTTCTAATATTAAAAATACAATATTAATTATTTACATATACATGCATATAGATGTATATGCATGTATATCTGTGTATATGTATATAGGTATACATACACATACTATATATAATGGATATATAATCACCTCAAGAAAGCATCATCAATATTACTGCTAATAAGACTAACAAATGTAGTTTAAAGATTAATTAATTTTTATTGTCATTAGTTATATATATATCATCAGAGATCAAATACGTCAAAATTCGGTGCTACTCTGTTGCAATGCCACCAACTTGATAAGCAGTCTGATTCATTTGTTAAAAATGTTTTCATTTATTTCCTGTTTAAATTAAATTTTCTTTGATTTTCCATTCTGTTTTGAGGTATAATTGACAAATATGAATTTTACATTTTTAACATGTACAACTGGATGTTTTGATATATTTATACATTGTAAAATGATCACTGCAACCAAGCTAATTAATATTTAATCATCTCACATAGTAACTATTTTATTTTTTTGTGTGTGTGAACAATTAAGATGTATCCTTTAGCAAATTTCAAGTACACAGTGGAGTATAATTTACTGTAGTCATCATGCTGAACAGTATATCCAGAATTCACTCATCTTGCCTAACCTTTTAACTAGCATCTTCTCATCTTCCCCCGTCCCTGCCCCAGCAACCACCATTCCAGAATGCGCTTCTGTGAATTTGATTATTTTATATTCCACTTATGAGTGAGGCCCTGCAGTATATTTGTCGTTCTCCATGTTATCTGGCTTATTTCACTTAGCATAATGTTTTTCAGGTTCACTTATGTTCCCATGAATAGTAGGATTTCCTTCTTTTTTTAAGGTTGAAATATATATATATATATATATATATATACAATTTTAAATTGTGTATATATTTAAGTATATACATTTTCAAATTATATATATAGTCACATTATAGTTATATTTTCAAGTAGTGTATCAAATTGTCTTTATTCATCTTTTGAGGGATCAATAGGTTGATTCTATATCTTGACTATAGTGAATAATACTGCAATAAACATGGGAGTGCAGAAATCTCTTTGACGTACTGATTTCAGTTCCTTTGGATATATACTCAGTAGTCGGATTGCTGGATCATATAGCAGTTTTATTTTTAATTTTTTTAGAAATCGCCATACTGTTTCCATAATGGCTGTACCAATTTTCCTTCCTACCAACAGTGTACAAGGGTTTCTTTTTCTCCAGACCCTTTCTAACAATTGTTATCTTATCTTTTTAATAATAGCTATTCTAAAAGGTAAGAGGCGGTATTTCAAAGTGGTTTGGATCTGTATTCCTCTGATTATTAGTGAGGTTGAGCATTTTTTCTTTTATCTCTTAACTATGTCTATATCTTCTGAGAAATGTTCAGTGAGGTCCTTTGTTCATTTTCACTCAAATTATTTATTTATTTATTTTGCTGTTGATTTATATATATTTGTTATTCATTTTGGATATTAACCGCTTATCAGATACATGGTTTACAAATATTCTTTCTCATTCTGTAGGTTGCCTTTTCCCTTGGTTTATTGTATCTTTTTCCATCTTAAGGTCTTTGAGGAAAAGGAGAATTCATAAAATATTTACATGATTACAAATTGAGAAAAGTATTTTATTATTTAGAAAGTATTTCATTCCTTGTCCATTCCTCCACTTTGTTTCCTCCCTGACCCTATGCTTAAGCATCTTTATTAGATTTGCTTTATCCTTTATTATTTCTCTCCCTGTGTGTGTTTGCTTACCTGTGCCTGTGCACATGTGCACACATTTATGTGTTTCCCTCTTAAACATATAGAAGGTAGCTCACTTGAAATACTAACCAGGACCTCCCTTCTACTCACTTACTTAACAATATATGTTGGAGATATTCTGTAGTTTCTATGAAGAGATTTTATTTATTCTTTTTGTACATTTTTTGTAGTATTCCATTATAGAAAGGTCATGGTGTATTTAAGCAGATTATTACTGAAGGATTCGTGGGTTGTTTTCATTTTCTTGTAATTGCAAGAAAAATAAAATAAGATGCAATAAAAGATACATCTACATGACATTTTTATATTTCAACAGTTTAACTCATTTTTTTTTAATTTTAATTCTTTTTAGACAGGATGTCACTCTGTCACCTAGACTGGAATTCAGTGGTGCAATCATAGCTCACAGCAGCCTCAACCTCCTGGGCTCAAGCAATCCTCCAGCCTCCATCTCCTGAGTAGCTGGAACTACAGGTATGTGCCACCACTCCTGTATAATTTTTTTATTTTTTGTAGATATAGAGTGTCACTATGTCACCCAGGCTGGTTTCAAACTCCTGGGCTTAAGTGATCCTCCTGCCACGGCCTCCCAAATAGCTGGGATTATAGATGTGAGCCACTGTGCCCAGCGTTAACCAATTTTTGATAAAGCTGTTGTGAATTGTTCCAAAACTCACTGGATCTTCTCTTCCCCCTACCTTTTCAAATGTACCTTCCTTTCCAGGGAAGGATGTTTTCCTGCTATGCCATGTGAGCTCTCTGTAAAGTCCCCCTTCAAGGTCTTTAATACAGGCAGAAATTACTTTCTCTCACCCATCTATCTAGCCGTATTACATTCATCATTCAGTTCACACAGTGCACTTCTGCTTTTTCATTTATTGTTCCATGAACAATTCATCTACTGTTGCATTCTTTCTTCTTTGAAATTGCATCACAGGATTACTTCTCTTGGAATATAATCAGGAACTATCCTATAGTTTTATTGAGATGTGGCATATGTCAGTATCATATTATTACAATAAAATACTACATTCCTGGAAAGCAGAAGCCATCACTTTTTGTATCACTCATAACTCTATCATTGGATTGATTACAAGATAAACATGTAATAAAAATACTTACTGAATTGAACTAAATCAAATTGGGTTAATTTTCCTGGATCATCAATATTGTTTGAGGCATGATATAGAATTATTCTACTTGGAGCAAACATGTCTTTCTAAAACACGAAGTAGAGTGGAACTTTAAAAATGATTTCAAAATATATTCCTTAACCAGAAAAGAAAACAATAGGCATATAAACAGAGAGATGGGTCACAACACAACCCTGGCAGGGTGGAAAAAAGCTCTTCATCTCCTAACTTGTTCATGAGTCAAGTGGTCTTTCCAAATCATATTTTTAAAATTATGTTTAAGAAAACTAGCATAGAATTTCTAAATCCCTCAGGCTTCTGAGTCTCCATTGTCAGTTCCTGAAGTAACTAGAAAACCTGCCAAATCTGACCTTCTTTAAACAACATACCTCTATTTTTTCCAGAGGAAAACTGTAAAGATCAAGTCACAGCTGCCTGTATTACCTAATTAAACAAGTGTAAGAAAGCCGAGAAAGGTCAGGTTGTCAAAAATCATTGCTGTATCTTTACTGGATTGTATTTAACGACTGATTGCTGCAAAGAAAATAACCCAATAAGGTGTATGAGCCTGGAATAGTAAATAAACTCAAGGGTCAGACTTCTGCTTGGAACATAGCAAAAGATTTGGAGATAAAAACCTAGGAAACAAACAAAGGGAAATGAAAGGGAGAGAGTGTGTGGTGAGTAAAACAAACAGCTGATATTTATATGGAAGAAGTTCCATGGGCTAAGTTCAAAGAAGAAACAGGACATAATTACAGATGAGAGTTTATTAACTTTATTTATTTTCTGTTTAAATCCTGGAGCAAAAATGATAGGTGTGTATGTGAGATGGTGCAAGAGGAGGATATGCAAGAGAATTATGTGATAAAGCTAAAACAGAAGAAAGGGAAATTAAATATTTTAAATAACTGAAACATGTTTAGTCAGGTATGGGGGATTTTTTAGTTACCTATACAGGCTCAGAACTTCCTAGGTTGCATGTTTATTTGAGGGGCCTTATAGGCATCTTGTTTCTCCTCCACCCATCCTTTCACTATGAGTTGAAGTTGTAGAGACTTCTAAATAGCTTACCCCAAGGAACTAAAGTACAAAACGATTGCTCCAAATTAGCAGTTTCTTCATTGAGAAAGGAAGAAGTGGAAATATTCTTTTTTTCCTCAAGTCTACTTTCCGTTTGAAACATTGTAGACATGGGCCCATTGGGAAATTCTGTGTTCTAGTTAACCTCTGAGTGTAATTTTCAGTTCAGTAAACTTTGGTCTATTTTTAAACTCTCTCCTGAATCTCTGAGGATGTTGTGTAGTCTGAAAGATAGACTCTGTGGCCTCTGGGAATGAACTGCTCATATTTGGTAAGTGAGCTGAAATATACATGTATGTATTATTTAAGAATACTTATATATTCAAAGGAAAAATATACAAAGGCATAACTTCATAAAACCAATATGTATGTATGTAATATATTCATGTGTGTTTGTGCATCTGTGTATAATTAAAATATTTTTAAATATAATCTATCAGATGTCCTCAGGTCTTTTTTTCTCAATGATATCATTTAAATATTTATGAGATAAGCTATAATAGAATCTATAACTTGTAGCAACAGAATGGAATACATTTTTATTACTGTGACAGATGAGAATTCAGCTTTTTCCCTCAATCCTCAGAATGGCACGGATGCCATCTCACCATGAACAACTGACAATGCATTTAAATAGTGCACCATTGCAAGTATAATTGCAATTTGTTGTAATTTCTGCTTAAATTCCTCCCTGACACAGTTGATTTATTTTGCAAATCAGCGCATCTAGAGAGTATACTGTGTCGCATTATGGGCCTTTGATATAGAACCTTTGTTTTATAACAGGGAAAATAATTAGCTTTTGGATAAGCTTGAGTTGCGATGTCAGGCGCTATCCGTGGTGCTGAAAGAAGTTATTAGCGCTGAGCTAATGAAGGCACTCAGCCAGGCTCTGCCACCTTACTAATTTGTCTCTTTGGGATTTTAGCAAACATTAAAAATGAGATAAGCAAAAAATAGGATAAATTTTATAGGAAAACTAGTAAATTTGTTGATAGAGTCTACTGAGACCCCGATAAAGCCAAATTTAAGAGAAATTTTTATTTAACCAGATGTTTGCCATTCAAACACGAGTTTCCTTAGTGTTGGTAATAAAATTGCTTAGACATATTTTAATTAACTTTTATATAGGTTTCTCTACGTGAAATCTTACAGCATTTTGGAAATAATCAGCAAGTTGCAATGTCAGCATTCGTTGTATGCCAAATAAGGCTCTAATTTCAGGATACTCTCTTTGAGACTGCAAAGTAGATTTGTATCAAAGGCAAATATTATATAAGAGGTAATTTTAAGTGATTGATTGTTGGTTTTAAGGTGTAATATTTCACCTAAGAGTAATCTATGCTTATCTACTTTCATCTTTTGAAATTGTTAAAATAAAATCTAATTGTTGAATACCTCATGCTCCCTTTTTCTTGATACATTGGAACTTGTTTGCATTGCAACCAGTAGCATGTTTCACTTGGTGCTGGTTAGGGGAGCATTTAGCGTCAGATCTAAAGAAGATCATCACCAGCTGGTTATTTTATACTCTTATTAGGTTGTAAAATAGCACTCAGGTATATAACAGTAATCACAAAGCTGTGATGCTGGGAAAAAATAATCACGTTAAATTGACCTTCATGAATAACAAGTGACGTTCCATTTCGCTTCATTTCTGTTCATTTTAAAACCAGCATTAGCTTTTCTGGCACATAATTTTTCATTGTTTGCTGAACACAGCTCTATTAGAATGATTCACTGTCTTTAATATTAGTGATTATGGTCCATTTCAATTACACAGTGTGTTATATAGTTTGTTATATTGCTCTCCATATCTCTGCTATTTGACTCTACTGGGAAGGATTAAATGTAGCAGTGGTGGTAAGAAGTTGGGGTTCTGTGGGTGGTAACGAACCCCTGTAAACATTTACAAAGTCATGTATAGAAAGTTTCAAATATACGTATGCTTTTCAAAATTGCAAGCTTTTCAAAATTGCAGAATGAGATACCTTTTCATGTCACTTGGCATTAATACATGAATTTTCTCTCTCTCTCTCTCTCTCTCTCTCTCTATATATATATAATCTATGTATATATAATATATATACACACATACACACATATGCACATCTATATATATGTGATTTTACATCAACTTCATAGAGACATAAATATAAAATTTACATGTAATAAAAGTGTCTATTTTAAAAGTACATTCTGAAGAGTCTGATTAAATTTTACCCTGTAAGACCACCCTGCCAAGCCAATAAGATGCTTTAATTACAGCCAAAATATTCCTTCATTCCTTTTCAGTCAACTTGTCCCATGATTAACTCCAGGTAAACTGTGCTATTATTTCTATCACAATTAATTTTGACATTTTCATAATTCTATAAAAATGGAATAATAGAGAATGTACACTTTTATGCCTGGCATATTTGGATGACAAATTCATGTTGTTGTAATTTTGGGTAATTTGTTTTATAGGTTAGTTGTGTATCATTGCATGAATATACTATAATTTGATTATACATTCATGAGTGATAGACACTGTGTTATTTCCACTTTGTGGCTATTTTGAATAAAGTGGTTATAAATATTTTGCAATTTTTGTGTGTGGACATATATTTATATTTGTTGTGGGTAAATACCTAGGTCTGCAATGGTTGAGTCATATGGTAAATATGAGAAATTAGTGAAATGTTATTCATAGTATCATTTTTAATCATATTAACTTTATATAACATGTCTAAACGTTGCACATCATAATCAACACTTGGAATTGACAGACTTTTAAACTTTAGTTGTTCTAGGGATGTGATGGTACTTTGCTGTAATTTTAAAATTAATTTCCCTAATAATGAATGACAAAAAATTGTTCATGTGCTTATCCATCATTATATTATTTTCTTTTGTAAAGTTTATGACTATATCATTTTCCCACATATGTGAGGTTGTTTATTCTTATTACTGAGTGGTAAAAATGTTTCTATTACCTTCTCCATAAAATTCCATTGTCAAATATATATAATTACAATATTTCCCCAAGTATCTAGGTTTTAAAAAAAATTAGAAAAATTTACTGTTAAACTTTTTTAATTTACTTTTTAAAAATACTGTTAATTTAAAAAAATTAACAGTATCTTTAGATGAAGTCCAATTTAATATTATTACTATTTACTATTAGTTCTTTACTACATTACTGTGTGTTCTAAGAAAGGTCTGCCTATATCAAAATTGCAAAGATTTTCTCTTTTATTATACCCTGTTTTTATGTGTGTTTATACCCATGAAATATCACCACAGCCAAAACAGTGAAATGCTCATTGTCCCCCAACATTTCCTCATACTGTATTCTATTCTCTTGCTTCTGCCCCTCTGGAGGCCTACCTACTTGTCCAGAGACAACTAATGATCTACATGCTATCACTATGGATTAGTTTGCATTTTATTAAAATTGACAAAAATTGAATTAAGTGGTAAATATTTTTTGTCTGATTTATTTTACTCAGTGTAACCTTGAGATTCACTTATGTTGTTGTGTGTATCAATAGTATTTTTGATGAGTGTTTTACTCACTTATTTTATTGTTGGATAGTATCCCATTGTATAAATAAATCACATTTTGTTTATCCATTCACCTTTTGATGAACATTCAGGTTGCCTGTTACAAATAAAGCTGCTGGAGACATGTGTAGTCAAGTCTTTGATGGACAAATGCTTTGTGTTCTTTTGGGTAAACAATTAGGAGTAAAACACCTGGATCACATGGTTGGCATATGTCTAACATTTTTTAAGAAACTGCCAAACCATTTTCTAAGGCAGTTGCACCATTTTATGTGATATCCAACAGTATACAAGAATTTCACATTTTTACTACCACTGGTATGGCCAGTCTTTGTAAGGTGTAGTGCTATCACATTATGATTTTAATTTGTAATTTCTTAACAACTTATGACATTAAGAATCTTTTCTTGTGTTTACTTCCTATCTATATCTCTTCTTTGATGTATCGTTTCAAGTCATTCACCTAAAGTTCTGTGATCTTCAGGTTTTCCAATCTGGCGGCTGGGAGCAGGTGTTATGCTTGCTTCTGTGGCTGCAGGTAGTTTCCTTAGGTAAGAGCTCTGATAGCACTCTTCTAAATACTCCAGAGCAACTCTCTGCAAATTTTCAGAACTCCATTTCAATACAGCTGTTTCCTCTGTGCTAATGTGTCAAGTATTGCGTTCTACTTGAACTCTTCCAGCTCTTCTCAGTTCTGAGTCCACTAGGCTCCACTTGTTTTCCCTCTTTTTGTGTCATGTCCTGGAAATTCCCAAGCCAATGAAATGTTTCAACTCTAGGGCTCAACTACTTTATTTCCCATATCTTGGAAATTACTCTTTTTTTTTTTTTTTTTGCCTCATGTCTAAAAAAACACTGTTTCTAGTATTTTTGGTTCATTTGTTTGTTTTTGTTCTTTTAGTCAGGAGGGTAAATCCAGTACTTGTTACATTATCTTAAATCAAAAGAGAAGTTGCAATATAATTATTTATTTTTCTTACCTTTTTCCCAGGCTAGGAGCTCTAGTACAAAATTGAATTGAAGAAATAATAATGGAAAAGTTTGCATTATTCTAGTTTTAGGGAAAAAGTAATTTTTTCTCACTAATTGTTTTAGTCTCAGTATTTTTGTAAATATTCTTTATTAATTTAAAATAATTTTTTTCTGTGTTTAATTTGCTCAGAGTTTTTCTCACGAATGAACATTGATTTTTATCAAACCATATTCTGCATCTTTTGGGAAAATTATGTGATTTTCTATGTTCTATTAATATGGTAAATTATAGTAATCAATTTCCAAATGTTAATCCAAACCTTGAGTTTCTAGGTAAACCATATTTTGTCATGCTGTAACATTGCTTTTATATATTGCTAAGTTTGGTTTGCTGGTATTTTGTTGAGTATTTTTGCATCTTTGCTTTGGGTGACATTGACTTATAGTTCTGTTTTTGTTTTTAGAATGTCCTGTGTGCTTTTGGTATGATCATTATGCTGGACTCACATGAGAGATGGAAAAGGTAATTTCTTCCTTCATTTGCTCAAAGAATGTATGTAAGAATAATATTTTTTCCTTAAATATTTGAGAGAGTTTACCCACAAAGTCATGAGGGTCATGTAATTTTTTAAGATAATTTTAAATTATGAAATTAAAATTTTCATTTTTGTGTGTGTGTCAACTTTGGTAACTTAGATACCCTAACTTAGGGTATCTCCCCTAAGTAGTGTGTCCATTTCAGGTAAGTTGCCAGATTTTTTGGCATAACGTTATTCATAGTATTTCCTTATTTTACTTTTAAAATGTGTGGGAACTATTCTGATTTCTGTTGAATATTTGAAAATGTGTGTGTTTTCTGTTTTGTTCTTGATCAGTGTAATTAGCCTTTTTTTCTTGTTTTATCGAACTATTCGAAAAGCAGTTTACATTTTATTCATTTTTTTCATTTTTTATATCTCTGTGCTTAATTAATATTCACTTTTATGTCTTTTAATTTCTTGTATTCTATTTACTTTTGTATAAATTTGCTGGGTTTTTTCCTCTAGTTTCTTATATTGGATGCTTAGATAATTTGAAATATTTCTTCTTTTCTATGACTAGAATTTAAAGCTACAACTTTTATTCTAAGCTCTGCACTATCTGCACCTCAAAATTTTGTATGTTGTCTTTTTATTCCCATTCAGTTTAAAATATTTTTCAAATTCCTATGTGCTTTCTTTTTTGACCAAGAGTTATCTATAACTGTGTGTTTGATTGCCATCTCTGTAGGATTCTCTAGGTACATTTTTGTTATTGATTTCTCATTAATTCCATTGTTATCACCGAGCATGCTTTGAACAATTTCAGCCATTTAAAATATATTGAGATGTTTAATGAGTCAGCAAATGGTTTCTTTACTTAAGTGTTTCACATGGATATAAAGAAGTAATTGTTTAACTAAGCCTTATCTGTTTAACTTTGTTTTTGTGGCATTTGCTTCTGGGTTCTTGGTCATGAAGTCTTTGCCTAAGCCAATATCTAAAAGAGTTTTTCCGATGTTATCTTCTAGAAATTTTATGGCTTCAGGTCTTAGATTTAAGTCTTTCATTCATCTTGAATTGATTTCGGAATAAGGTGAGAGATGAAGATCCAGTTTCATTCTTCTACATGTGGCTTGCCAATTATCCCAGCACCGTTCGTTGAATAGGGTGTCCTTTCCCCCCTTCATGTTTTTGTTTGCTTTGCCAAAGATCAGTTGGCTGTACGTATTTGGCTTTGTTTCTGGGTTCTCTATTCTGTTCCATTGATCTATATGCCTATTTTTATATCAGCACCATGCTGTTTCGGTGATGATGGCCTTTTAGGATAGTTTGAAATTGGGTAATATGATGTCTCCAGATTTGGTCTTTTTTACTTAGTCTTTCTTTGGCTATGCAGGCTGTTTTTTGGTTCCATATGAATTTTAGGATTGTATTTTCTAGTTCTGTGGAGAATGATTGTGGTATTTTGATGCGAATTGCATTGAATTTGTAGATTGCCTTTGGCAATATAGTCATTTTCACAATACTGATTCTACCCATCCATGAGTATGGGATATGTTTCCATTTGTTTGTGTTGTCTATGATTTCTTTTAGAAGTGTTTTGCAGCTTTCCTTGTAGAGGTCACCTCCTTGGTTAGGTATATTTATAAGTATTTTTTTTGGTAGCTACTGTAAAAGGGGTTGAGTTCTTGATTTGATTCTCAGCTTGGTCACTGTTGGTGTACAGTAGAGTCACTGATTTATGTACATTAATTTTCTATCCTGAAAGTTTGCTGAATTCATTTACCAGTTTTAGGAGCTTTTTAGGTGGGTCTTTAGGGTTTTCTAGGTATACAATCATATCACCAGCAAACAGCGAAAATTTGACTTCCTCTCTAGTGATTTGGATGCCCTTTATTTCTTTCTCTTGTCTGGTTGCTCTGGCTAGGACTTCCAGTGCTATGTTGAATAGAAATGGTGAATATATGGGACTTAATTAAACAAAAAAGTTTCTGCACAGCAAAAGAAATAATCAGCAGAGTTAACAGACAACCCGCAGAGTGGGAGAAAATCTTCAAAACCTATACAGCTGACCAAGGACTAATATTAAGAATCTACAAAGAACTCAAACAAATCAACGAGAAAAAAAAAATCCCTTAAAAAAGTAGGCTAAGGACATGAATAGACGATTCTCAAGAACAGACATAGAAATGACCAACAAACATATGAACAAATGCTCAGTATCACTAATGATCAGGGAAATGCAAATGGAAAGCACAGGGTGATACCATCTTACTTTTAAAGGAATGGCCATAATAAAAAAAAATAATAATACAAAGACGTCGGTGTGGATGCGGTGAAAAGAGAACACTTTTACACTGCTGATGGGAATGTAAATTAGTACTATGGAAAACAGTGTGGAGATTCCTTAAGAACTAAAATAGAAAACGATCCAGCAATTCCACTACTGGGTATCTACCCAGAGAAAAATAAGTCATTATACAAAAATGATACTTGCACATGCATGCTTACAGCAGCACAATTTGCAATTGCAAAAATATGAAACCAGCCCAAATGCCCATCAATCAACAATTGAATAAAGAAATTGTGATATCTATCTATCTATCTATCTATCTATCTATCTATCTATCTATCATCTATCTATCTATCTATACACACACACACACACACACACACACACACACACACACACCATGGAAAACTACTCAGCCATAAAAAGGAACAAAATAATGACCTTCACAACAACCTGGATGAAATTGCAGACCATTATTTTGAGTTAAGTAACTCAGGAATGGAAAATCAAACGTTATATGTTCTCACTCATAAGTGAGCGGTAAGCTATGAGGATGCAAAGGCATGAGAACACTGTTGTAAACTTTGGGGACTCGGGGGAAAGTGTGAGAGGGAGGTGAGGGATAAAAGACTACACATTGGGTACAGTGTACACTGCTTGGGTGACTGGTGCACCAAAAGCTTAGAAATCACCGCTAAAGAACTTATTCATGTAACTGAACACCACCTGCTCCCTAAAAACCTATTGAAATAAATAATATATTAAAAAATGTGTATTCTGTAATTATTAGGTAACATTCATTATCAAGTAGATAAACATGTTTTTTGGTATTATTTAAATATTCTTTATTATATATATATATATATATGTATTTTTTTTTTTTTGAGACAGAGTCTCACTCTGTTGCAAGGCTGGAATGCAGTGGTGCAATCTTGGCTCAATGCAACCTCTACCTCCCAGGTTCAAGCCATTCTCCAGCCTCAGCCTCCGGAGCAGCTGGGACTGCAGGTGTGCACCACCATGTCCGGCTAATTTCTGTATTTTTAGTAGACACGGGTTTTCATCATTTTGGCCAGGATGGTTTCGATCTCTTGACCTCGTGATCTGCCCGCCTTGGCTTCCCAAAGTGCTGGGATTATAGGCATGAGCCACCGTGTCCGGCCTATGTTTAATGATTTCTAAACCTACTATTCACTCAATTGCTAAAGGTGTCTTAAAATCTGAGAATACAATTGTGCAATTGTTTATTTCTCCCTTTAGTTTTATCCATTGTTGTTTGATGTTTATAGAAGATCCTTTGTTTGAGGTGTTCTTATATCATCTTTATAAATTGGCTTTTATAAGGTTATAAGACACCCTTCTTTATCTATGATAATATTCCTTGATCTGCAATCCCTTTTGTCTGATATTAGTATATCCATCCCAGATTTTTTACAGTTAATGTTTGCATGATACATGTTTTGTATCATTTTACTTTTAAATTACCTGTGAATTTATAGTTTGTGTCTTCTTGTAGAATGCATGTAGTTGAATATTTATCATCATGTCTGATATTGTCTGCCTTTTAATTTGTGTTTTAATTCATTAACTTTTAATGTAATTATTGATACTATTGGGTTTAAGTTTACCATCTTGCCATTTTTCTCATTTTTCTATTTGTTCTTTCTTTCCTTCATTTTCTTACCTTCTATTACATTGTTTTCTTTAATTTTAACTTACTTTATTAGTTTATTTAATATAAATAAATACATAACTTGACATAAACTCTTTGTTTAATTATTTTCACTGGTTGCTGTAGGTTTATAATTGTGTGTATTTACATTATCACAATCTACTTTAAAAAATTTATACCAATTAATATATTAGAATCTTAAATTAGTATACTTCCATTTCTCCCTTTGTGTCCTTTGTGCTATTATCTTTATACATGAACTTGTGATGAATCCCACAATACCTTATTATTAGTCTATGCTTTATGCAACTAATTATCTGTTTAAAGATGTCAAAAAGTAAAAAAGAAAATCATTTTATATTGAATAAGATATATATTATTTTGATGCCCTTCTGATGTTAAAAGATTTTCCCATCTTGCCTCCTTGTTGCTTACCTGGAAAAGAATATTCTTTTACTTTATTTTATATTGCAGTTCTATTGAGGGGAAAAAAAGAACTCTCAGCTTTTGTTTATCTGCAAACATCTCCATTTAACCTTCAGTTTTGGAAAGCGATATTTTGAGCAATCTTCTTAAAGGCAATATTTGTAAGGTATATTTTAAAAGGTATTCTTTTTCCTTCAACATTTAAAAAATATTGATTCATTACCTATGCCCTTGCATTGTCTCTAATTATACTTCTATTGTTACTTTTACATTTTCCTCTTTATATAATATGTTCTTATTCTCTGTGATAGTTTAAGATTTTCTTTTTATTATTAATTTAGAAAATTGATTATTATATGTCTTTCTAGTTTCTGTGTGTGTGTGTGTGTGTGTGTGTGTGTTTCTTGCTCGTGTTATATTATGCCTCTTTGTTCTAGATATTATTTTTTAATCAAAGATGCACTATTTAATATTTTGCTTTTTCAAATATTTTATGAAAACATCCTCCTTCTAGGATTTAAGTATAAAACTGCTTGAACTACACAAATATCTACCTCATAATAATGATAAAGTAGTAAACAATAGTATTTGTGATATAGATATAAATATTGGCCTCTTATGTCTTATTTTCTTATTTTCAAACTTTTTTTTTCTCTGAGCTTATGTTTGGATTGACATATAGTCAATTTCATTGACCTTTTCTTCTTTGAACTGAAATATTCCATTAAACCTATCCTTTTACATTTTCATTTCAGATCTTATATTTTTCCATTCTAGTATTCCCATCTAGTTTTTTTGAAAGTTTTAATTTTTTCAGCAATATTCCTCATCTCTTTGCTCATTAAATACATTTTTCCTTCAAATCCTTAAGCATCTCTATATTGGCTGTATAATAGCTATGTCCAAGTTCTTGACTCTAATTTCAACATCTCTAACATCTCGTGTTTTGTTCTTACTGAGTGTATTTTTCCTCATTTCGCCATTGTTTTCTACTTCTTCACATATCTACTTATTTTTTGACAAGAAGAACATAAAAATCCATCATCTTTGAGATTCTGGATTTTGTGGTTTTCGTTTAGAGAGTGCAAAATTTTCTTCTGGCAGGCAATTTGTTTCCTCATGTCTGAGCTTTAACCTCTGAAGATAGATTATAGTCATTTTTTTAGGTGGGTCTAGAGAAGTTCTTATTCCCGGGTTAAATTATTCTCCTTCCTCAATTGTGGCCCTTTTGGTGTATTACTTAAAAACCTAAAATATTAGATGAGATTCATCCACTCCGGTTGATCAGAATGCCTGTTTTCTAACATTGTGTGACCTCTGAACCTCTGGTCATCTCAAAGCTTCCCGGTACTTGTTCTCTGATAGGTCTTGTAGAGTCTGACCCTCTGCATTCATGGTTTCGAATTTATGGTGCCCACTACACATTCTGGGACTTCTTCTCTATGCAGCTCCCTTTTTGGTGCTACCCCTTCCTACAAATTCCATCTACCTCAGCAGTCTTACACCCTGTTCATTCCATCTCACATCATTAGGTCTGTAACAATCTGCTTGTGCTTTACCTGTTGTACTACAATCTAGAAATTTCCTTCCATACCAAAGTTGGGGCTATCATGAGGACCATTTTCTCATAAATCATAAGCTTGTCCATCATATTAAGCAACATATGAAAACTCTCATTGCATTTATTTTCTTTAGCTTTGTAGTTGTTTTGGGCAAGAGGACAAGTTTAGTATCATTTACTCCATCAAGACCTAAAGCAGCCACGTGAGTTTTGAAATGTGCCAGAATACTTCCCAACTGGAAGCTTATACTTCCAAAATATAATGTCCTCCCTTCTCCCATGTTCATTGTTTCAAGATATACTCTTTTGATTATGACAATGATTACAAATTAGCTTTAATCTCTTATAGCAATCATTGATTTCATGTAAATTAAAGTGCATAGAAAGATGATTTAACCTGTGAGATGCAATGCTGAAGACAGACAATGAGGAACAATAACAGAGAGTATTTTTTTTGCTCTTAAATATCACATAAATAAACTTCAATTAGATGTAAATAGCTTTAGACTTGTTGCTTTGTAGAAAATTAAATTTAGAAAGTAATTTAAGTACAACTGAGGCCACTTATTTTATCTTACAGATGGGGAAACTGAGTGCTAGAAATCCAAGGTTCATAAAGTTGGTAAGCAGTAGATTTTGGTCTTTTAAAATTTTTTATGCTTTCTACTTCAATAATCTTTCTATTATTATTTGGTTCAACAAGACGCATCAACTTATATAAAGTTGCAACTCCTTTTTTTGTTTTCTATAAACAGGCTACAGCAATTTAAAATCATGAGATTTAAGATTATTGTTTTTCTTTAAACTAAGTGACAAGTAAGTGATTGATGAAACACATATTTAACTGATTTGAGCATGCATGTTTCTAAGAAGGCCAGAAGCTTGCACAAACCTTATCCTGATCTTTCAGTGTGTGAACCTTGACCTTCAGTCTTATTGGAACAAATTGCCTCTTGAGCATTCTACTTAATTCAATTTCCATCTGTTTTAAAAATATAATAACAACATTTCTTGAGATAATTCAGTTATTATTCTATCAGAAGTGTAGAAATAACAGCCAGACTTAGGATGAAAAATAAAATCATATGAAATTCAATGACCTAATTGACAACTGTTCTCTCTTTCTCTCAAACACACACACACAAACATACACACACACACACACACACACACCACATGCACCATGAGCTTTTTCTTTATTTCCTTATAAAAGCAATGGAGATTTTTTCTTTTTTAAAAAAATCTAATCTAGTTTGCGTTAGAATTGCTAGACTCAATATTATATAAATGAATGCAAGAGGAAAATGATAACATTGTTTCCAATTTTTAGTTCTAGTACTGCCAATATGAGACCCACTGCCCAGATGGAAGTACTTTGTTGTATACAAATACTATATTACATTCTTACTATGCACATTAGATTATAGAGAAACTTCTTTGTTACTTCATTTCACTCTCCCAAAAATCCTGTTAGCAATTGTATCTATCTACATCTTACAGCCCTGTTATATTAAGAAAACTGGCCAAAGTTATATCACTAGAGAATGGTTGAAACTAAGTATTTAGATGTCAAAGCTATTAACTTTTAAAATATGTCATAATTTGCTCTTTCAGTTTAAAAAACACAGTGAAACTACATCAGAATTAACAAATGGAGTATTTTATGGGTAATTCAATTATGTCCTGATCTTGATAAGTTTTGCAACCTCGAATGGGCTGGCAAAAAATTCGGAGTATAATTAGCTCGGTTTTGAGTAAATCATTCTAACTTCACTAATAATACTTAGGGTAGGCCTGTGTTGCTAATGAATGATATTATGGTTATAGGACAAAGAAATAGTTGCATCCTAATTTTATTTATTCTCTGTTTGTTTAAAGGATTCCCCAAATGATAAACACATAAAAGATAATGGCAAATGAAATACAAACTACTTTTAATTACTTGCCAAACTCTTACCTCAAATGCCAATGAAAATGATTACAACAATCTGTGGAGTGGCAGATACTTTAACTTAAATGCTAAAATTTGAAATGCACCAGACTTGAGGGACTCTCCCTTCTCTTAAGTTAAAACCCAAACATGCACTTCTGAAATTTCATCAAAGACAAAAAAGTACATCTTATGAACTGAATGTTTGTATCCACCTCAAAGTTCACATGTTGAAAGTTCTACCCCTCAAGGTGATGGTTTTAGGAGGTACAACCTTTGAGAGGTGATTAGGTCACTAAAGTAGAGCCTTCAGGAATGGGATTTGTTTTCTCATAGAAGAGACCCTAAAAGCGTATTGACTGTTCTACCATGTGAGGACATGGCAAGAAGGCACTAGAAAGTGGACCTTCACCAGACACTGAATCTGCTGAAAACTTGATCGTGGACTTTGCAGCCCCCGGAACTGTGGGCAATATATTACCATTGTTTATAAGTCACCCAGTTTATGGTATTTTGTTACAGCAGCCTGAATAGACTAAGACAGTGCATGAATGCGTACCAGCCAGCTTAAGAAAAATAATATAGGACTTTTACGGGAGACCTTGTGGCATTTTACATATCTTGATGGACACATGAGGGAAGAAAGACTAGCCTCTTGTAAATGACATTTAAATAATCAGTGACCGTTCTCTTTATTAAATATGGCTGAATCCCTTTCTTAGAATATGACACATCATATAAACAATACTTGATAAACTAGAGACTTAATGAATAATTGAAAAACAAATATATTTTCCTTTCTATAGACTTTCAAGGTTGGATATGAAAAAGAAAAATTAATGAAAAAAATGACATTCCCAAATAGAATTTACAGAATTCACAAACTATCAATAACCTTTATTAAATAATCAAATACAAACCTTAGTTATTTCATTTTGGATATGGTAGAACAGTCAATCCAAATGTGATCAGCTCATCATATATCAAATATATGTTACATGAAATGTAATCAAGAACTCTGAAATTTTACTTAATTCTATTTCTAGAAATATCTAATTAATTAATGTTTTAGAGACACCGTCTCACTGTCTCTAGGCTGGAGTGCCATGGTGCCAATGTAGCTCACTGCAGCCTTGAACTCCTGGGCTCAAGCAATCCTCCCACCTCAGACCCCTCAGTATCTGGGATTACAGGTGTCTTAATTGTCAACATGATAGTATTAAGCAGTGGGGCCATTGGAGGGTGATTAAGTTATGAGAGCACAGCCTTCATGATTGGGATTAGTCAACTTATAAAAGAGATGCAAGAGAGCTGTTTGCCCCTTTTCCCACGTGAGAACACAGTAAGAGTCACCATCTATGAAGCATAGTATGAGCCTTCACCAGACAGCTAATCTACTCATAACTTGACAGTGAACTTCCCAGACTCCAAAACTGTGAGAAATAAATTTCTATAATTTATAAATTACCCAGTCTAAAGTATTTTGTTATATCAGCCTGGATGGACTAAGATTATATTTATATGTATATACAATGTATACATGTGTATATATAAACATACGTACATACAATGCATACATGTATATATATAAATGCACATGCACATATATATGGAAATAATATTCTTTATATATGTCTAGGAAAATCTCTTGGAGAACTGAAAAATAAGCACACATACACATATACACCAAGCTTATGGACAGTAGAATGTTTTAAGAAAGAGCTATGATGTCTAGTTTGGAAGCAAATGAGAAGATCCTATTCTTATTTAGGAGATATAAAAATAACTAAATAGATAAAAATGACTGAATTAGGAAAAAGACTGAATGCCATGGGCTGATTGTTAAGAGACATGCTTGAATGTTTGGAATATCCACAAACTTATGTTTATTTAATGTAAGCAGTTAGCCTTCTGATTCTCATATTCCACATATCCACAAATAAGACTCAAAACTTTATTCTGTATTATCAAAACACAAAACAAATGTAAATGGAATTTAAAAGCCAAAGATGCTACAAAGATTTTGACTACATGATGACATCAAAAAGACAATGAAGTTGATATTGAATAAGACAAAGGACAAAATGTGATGTAACAGATATCATCAATACTCTACCAAGCTCTCCTTGGATCCTTCATGCAGGCCCTGCGTGCTCTGCTCTGTCTTCTGTGTGATTCGTTTCTAACAGTGAGCACCTGTGACTAACTTTGAGGATGACTGTTGCATTATCACAGCACTTGCTTGGAAGGTGCAGATACTCAAAAGTATTAGACAGTCTTTATCTGCCTGTGACTGTTCTTAGCCAATGACTCTCTATTGTAGGAGTTTCAACGCCTAGCTCCTTGGCCACAAGTACACAAATTCCAATAATAAGCTACACAAGAGCTTTCCCCAGGGGCTTCCCTCAAGCATTCTTCCTTGAAATCGCTCAATTGCTTCGCATCCTCTTCTGCTCTGTCCTAATCTCCTATTACCTTACTAGATTGTTCTGGAAAGTCATGAGGACATAGTTATCTCAGGGTCTTCTTTTGGGAAACTCAAAATAAGACAGATGATGATTCCTCCTATTATATATCACTTTACGGTTTTCTTTATTATATTACTTTATCTTCAATTCATCTTGTGAGGTGTTTATTTCAAAAATGGAAAAGGTGACCCTATAAAGATTAAGTGATTAACCTGATATCATACAACAATTCAAGTGCAAAGTCAAAACTTGAACCTTTCTCAGAATGTTAGAATATATATATATTTTCAGTGACATCTATCCAAGTGTATATTATTACAGAACACTTTAGTTTGCAAGATAGCTCCCCTTGTTTGATTGGAAAATCTTGGCTTAATATCAAACACCATGGAGATATAAGAAAAAACAACAATTTTAGGGAAAGATAAGTTTATTTTACTTGCATATAATATCTGAAGATGTAAGATCTTATGAAATAAAATTTTTAACAAATTGTCTTATTTGTTACTAATAGTAAGTGTCAAGTTGAATGACCCTTAAATAAAAGAAAAACATGGATAAATTACATTTCTCCAAGAGACAATAAAAACATCCTTTTTAAGTATCTATCACTCTATCCAATCTGATGGACACTTAAAATATCACCTCTAGTGATTGCATTTGAAAGAAAATTACTTGAACATTTTAATCTTTTATAAGTTTATAAGTAATAAACTGAAAATCTAAAGACATTGATTAAATAAATGGACTACTTGGTTACAAAAACAAATGTTAACATTGACTTTTTTTCTTAATTTCTGAATATTGATGTAAACTGACTGCCTACCATTAAAAAAACTAACCAGTTGTGCTTACCTAGCTGTTTTCTGGAAGTATAAGTGAGAGGCAGAGGATCTTAGTTTTTGATCATTTTCTGTTTTGCTAAGAACTCTTGAATTCTACAGAATATCTAGAGTAAAAGGAATATGGTCCCTGTGCCAATTGTTTAAACTCTGCAGTAATCAGGAATACACAACCTTTTAAAAAAATGTGCCAGCTGCGGTGGCTCATGCCTGTAATCCTAGCACTTTAGGAGGCGGAGGCAGGAGGATCACCTGAGGTCAGGAGTTCGAGACCAGTTTGGCCAACACGGTGAAACCCTGTCTTTACTAAAAATACAAAAAAATTAGCTGTGCGTGGTGGCAGGTGCCTGTAATCCCAGTACTTGGGAGGCTGAGGCAGGAAAATCACTTGAACTCGGGATGCAGAGGTTTCAGTGAGCCAAGATCACACCATTGCAATCCAGCCTGGGCAACAAAAGGAAAACTCTGTCTAAAAAAAAAAAAAATGCGTTGATGATTCTACCTTTAGTCAAGATAGAGTAACTGCTACTGGACTGAGTCTCTTAAAGCAAAAATAGAGAACTGGACAAAATGTATGAAATAAGTGTCTTCAGACATTGGACAGAATTCTGATCTCTGAGTAAAAGAGAAGCTCAAGTGAGTTAAATGATTGCTCCAGTTTTCTACCAAAAGTCATTTCCCCAGCTGTAGCATAAAAGAGGCACAGTTTAGTAGTCTTATTGAGATGACACAAAGGAATGAATTTGGAGAGGCTAAAGTGGTTGACATATGTAGGGCAAATTATCAAAGTGAAGAGTACTCAAGAACCTACATAGAGTCTCCCTCAGTCTATTATTGCTAAATATCAGTCTCTAAATGTGCAGGATTAGAATGTAGGAGACTGTGCAAGGAAAAATCATTGGTGATAGAACAATACTTATGAGTCGAACAACTCCCAGAGTTCACAAACATTTGGGAAGCACCCAAGTTCTGATTACACAAAAAGGAAGAACCATTGTGAATACCTGGAGCATTCTTTAAAGAACCCAGAAAGCCCAAAACCTTAGAGTAGAAATAAACTACCCTGAAGTAAAGTTGTTTGGTGGGAAAATATTGGCTTAATATCAAACACCATAGATATATAAGATGAAAACAATTTTAGAGAAATATAAGTTTATTTTACTTGTCTATGATATTTGGAGACATAAGACCCCGTGAAACACGTAGACATGCTAGCAAAACTTAAAACCAGTAAATTACCTGCTTTCTTAAAAAATCCACATTGGTTAAAGAAATACAACAATATCCAGCACGAATCAGTCAGTAGCAACAAAGCAAGAAATATTAGAGATGATAAGATTAGTAGATGAGGCCTTAAAGCACACATTATAAATATGTGCAAGGACTTAAAGGAAACATAAATACAATGAAAAGTAAAAACAAAAAAATTTAAAGACCAAGGGGGAAATATCTAAAGTTGATAAATATATGTAAAATGAAAAATCACAAGGTAAGCTTAAAAAAATTGGATATTATAGGAAAAAAATAAAGATATTTCAGTTGAAACCAAATAAAATGCAAAGAGAAAAATGACTGAAATAAATGAACAGACCCTCAGTAAACTCTGGGGCAACATCGAGAATTGTAACAAAAGTGTAATTGGAGTAGCAGAAGGAAATGGAAGAAAATGGAAAAGAAGCATTCAAAATGGCTTAAAATTTCTAAAAATATATGAAGCCATGTATCCACGTAGACCAACAGATCTGAAGGAGGAGAAACACAAATAAAATCATAACAATGGACATAATGATTAAGTTGCTGAGTGCTAATTTTATATATATATATATATATAAAACTTAAATAGTCAAGATAGAAAGCTGAAGCTTTATGGGCTTAAAGTATCAGAGGACACAGTTTGAGATAACCTGGATTCTCTAGAAGCATGGGAACCACAGAGAAGGGGAGCAACTCTGAATAGGTATTTTAAAAATCAAATTCTTGGCCAATCGTCAAATAATTCAGGTCCACGTGAGGATCTTAGAGATTGGCAGGAAAATAAGGAGCAGTTGGAAGCTACATGAACAGAACAGAGACATCATCAAGTGCAATAATGGGGGAGACAAAATTTGCAGTTTAAGTTTTGTAACATTAACTCTATTAAAACAAAAGCAACAAGAATCTTCAGAAGAAGCTAACAGAATTCAGAGGCACCATGATTTATTTTATGTAATGTCCAGTTTAATTTTCAACCCAAAGTATTAGACACAAAAAGATTCTGAACAGTGTGACACATTTCCAGGAAAAAAAGAATTCAGTCAATAAAAAAAAATGAGTGTCATTGAGATCAGAGATCAGATTGAAGCAACAAATAACTACAAAAATTACTAAAAATATGTGAAGAAAAATATGGTTTTGTATCAGTGTGTAAACATGTAAGTATTCTAACAATTAAAGCTAACTTAATAAACATTTTACAGCTAAAAACTAAGTAGCCAAAATTAATTATTTACTGAATGCGTTTGTTAACACATTGTGTCTATCAGAAGAAAAGGACTAGTGAACTTGAATAAAAACTAGTAACATTTTCATTATTGGAATAATAGGGAAAATATATATTTTTTTCAAACTTTATTTTAAGTTCAAGAGTACAAGTGCAGGTTTGTTACATAGGGAAACTTGTGTCATGGGGGTTTGTTGTACAGATTATTTCATCACTCAGGTATTAAGCCTAGTACCCATTAGTTATTTTTCCTGATCCTCTCCCTGCTCTCACCCTTCAGCCTCCGAAAGGCCCCAGTGTCTGTTGCTCCCCTCGATATATCCATATGTTCTCATCATTTAGCTCCCACTTAGGAGTGAGAACATGTGTGTATTTAGTGTTCTGTTTCTGTGTTAGTTTGCTAAGGATAATGGCCTCCAGCTCCATCTATAGCCCTGTAAAGGACATGATCTCATTTTTTATTAGGGCTGCATAGTATTCCATGGTGTATCTGTATTACGTTTTCTTTATCCAGTCTATCGCTGGTGGCCATTGATAGATGGCCAGTCTATCACTGATGGCCAAAGATTTAATTTTTTGTGAATTAAATCTTTGCTATTGTGAATAGTGCTGCACTAAACATACGTTTGCATGTGTCTTTATAATAGAGAGATTTATATTCCTTTGGGCATATGCCCAGTAATAGGATTGCGGGGTCAAATGGAGAAAATATTAAAGAAGAATCTTAGCAGAAATAATAGCTAAATATATTCCAATTGTGTTTGAAAAACATTAACATGCAAGTTAAAGAAGCTCAACAAACATCAAGTAGGATAAACTCTAAGAAAATACTTTTGCATCAAGTCAAAACCAAAACACTAAAGTCTGAAGATAAAGAAAAAACCTGGAATACTCTGAAAAAAATATATATTGCTTTAAGGAACAACACTATGATTAATAGCCAATATTAATAATTATGAAGATCAGAGAACATTGGAATAACACATTTAAAGCAATGAAATAAACAGTCAAAAATTTTACATACATAAAAACTATCCTTTAAAAAGCAAGGTAAAATATTTTCAAATAAACAAAACTGACATGACCAGCTGTCAGCAGATATTCCCTACCTTAAATTAAAGAAAAATCTTATGTCTGAAGGGAAATGTTAACAGAGAGCAACTCAGATGTACAGGAGGAAATGAAAAGCACTAGAAATAGTAAATATGTGAATAGATATAAACACATACAAATATACATAGAGTTATTTTATAAATTTATGGAAGAAAAATGCCTATTTAAAGCAAAATATAACTTTTTTGTTTTTATGAAATTTTAAAATTTAATATATGATAATAGTTATAAGCATTGGGGTTAGGCATGGAGCATATTGTTTACAGTCCTCTATTTTATCTGAAATAATTCATTATTAACTCTAAATATATTGGGTTAAATTAAAGATGCATATCATCACTCTTAGAACAACCACTCAAACATTATACAATGAGATGCAGCTCAATGAACAACTGGAAAATATTAAAAATACCATTTACAATAGCATTAAAAACCATAAAAATTGAAATAAATGTAATTAAAAATGCTTTACACTAAAATTTTAAAAATAATGATGACAGAAATCAAGTAAGACCACATAAATGAAGAGATTTACTGTGTGTACTACTGGAAGACCCAATATTTTAAATGTAGGAGTTCACTTGGAATTATCTATAGATTTAGGACAACTTTAATAAAAATACTGATACATGTTTTTGTCGACATTAATAGCTTAATTTAAAAATATCTGGAAATTCAAATCACCTAGGCTATCCAAGACAATTTTGAAAAAGAGCTATTTTGGGAGACTCAAACTGTTTTTGTGTCTTACTATAAAACTCCATTAATCAATGCAGCTTGATATTGGAAAGCAATATATTCCAGAAATATATCTACATTTATATTTGTAGACCAAGAACTTTGACTAAGTTACCAAACAATTCAATGGGAAAAACAATATTTTTAACAAATTTTAACAAGTGTACCGCACGAGAGTAACTGTACATGCGTATGGGTAAGATGAATTTTGATAGCTACCTCACATAATATACAAACAATACTTTGTGGCATCATGGACGTACATGTAAAATATAAAACTATGTAGGAAGCAGCAGAAAACAAAATAGGAGATCATCTTTAAAAATTTTATGTGAAAGCCATCTTCTAAAATGGCTCCCAGTAATTCCCATCTTCTGGTATTCACAACCTTAGGTTACCTCTTCTTGAGAGTGGATTGAATCAAGTGACTGACTTTGAATAAATAGAATACTACCACATCCAAGATTAGATTACAAAGGAGTATAACATTCTGTTTTGCTTGTCTTCCTTGTGACGTCTGCTGAAACAAGCAGCTATGTTCTGAGGTGTTATATAGAGAGGCCACAAACTGAGGCCCTCAATCTAGCAGACCATGAGTAGCTGAGTCCTGCTAATATCCACATGCCTGAGCTTGGATGTAAATCCTTCCTTAGCTGACCCTTGAAATGATGGCAGCCCCATCAGACCCCTGGAAAGCATCCTTGTAAAACAACAATAACAGCAACAACAAGAATTGAGCTGTGCTAAGGGTGTTTGACCCTAAGAAAATCTGTATAATAAATACTTCCTTTCAGTTATAATAAATTCATTTTAATAAATGTAAACTGTGGGATAATAAATATGGCTTTTTTAAGATGATAAGCTTTGGTGCAGTCACATAGTAATAGACAACTAATACACTTGGAATGAACAATTTTAGGCAGGACACAGAACACACAAGCTATAAAAGAAAATAAAAGTATAGACTTCATTGAAATTTAAAAATTCTCAAGAAACCACTAAGAAAATGAACAGACAGACCACAAACTGCCAAGAATTGAAACTACAATGAGATACCACTGCCATTCACTGGTATTATTTTAAAACTTAAAAGACAATATCAAATACAAAGGGTGGAATAACTTGACTCTCATATATTGCTTTTGGGAATAAAATCATACATTACAAATACATTAGAAAATGGTTTAGGCTGGGCATGGTGGCTCACACCTGTAATTCCAGCATTTTGGGAGGCCAAAGCAGGAGGAACACTTGAGGTCTGGAGTTCAAGACCAGCCTAGCCAACATGGTAAAACCCTGTCTCTACTAATAATACAAAAATTAGCTGGGCGTGATGGCACACCTGTAATTCCAGCTACTTGGGAGGCTGAGGCACAAGAATTGCTTGAATTTAAGAGGTGGAGGTTACAGTGAGCCAAGATTGTGCCACTGCACTCCAGCCTGGGTGATGTGATATACCAATTCTAGTATAGTGAGCAGTGTTGCCCCCCAAATTTATGTTCATCTGGAACCTCAGACTGTTACCTAATTTAGAAAGAGAATATTTGCACATGTTTTTAGTTAAAGATCTTGAAATAAAAGCATCCTGGATTTAGAGTGGGCTCTAAGTTCATTGATTGGTGTCTTTATGAGGGAAAGGAAAGGGAAGATTAGGAAATAAAGAAATCAAAAAGAAGTCCACGTGAAGATGGAAGCCAACATTGGAGTGGTACAGCACAATCTAAGAAATATCAAGGATTGATGGGAGGTCCCAGAAGCTATGAAAAGGCAAGGAAGTGTTCTTCCCTAGAACCTTCAGAGGAACGTGGCTCTGCCAACACCGTGATCTCAGACTTTTGGCCAATGTGAAAGAATAAATTTCCATTGTTTTAAACTATGAAGTGTGTGGTAATTTGTTATAGCAACCCTAGAAAACTAATATGTACTCCTAGGTATTTACCCAAGAGAAAGGAAAATATATATCCACAAACAGACTTGAACACTAATGTTCATAATGGTTTTATTCATAACAGCCAAAAATTGTGAGCCATCTATAGGTTCCTTGACAACAGAATGGATACATAAATTGTGGTATATTTATATGATGGAATACAAATCAGTATATTAAAAAACCCACAAACAAACAAACAAACAAAAAATCCTCATTACAAACACATGCAACAACACAAAGAAACCTCTAAACATATGTTGCATGAAAATAAAGCCAGTCACATAAGAATATCTTTTGTATGCTTTTATTTATATGAAGCACTAGAATAGGCAATCAGAGCTTTGGTTGCCTCAGCAATAGTGGGAGGCATAATTAATGGGAAATGACATGAAGGAAATTTATGGAGTGATGGGAATGTTCTACACTTTGATAAGAGTGTGGATTATGCTAGTATAACATTTATGATTTGTGCATTTCTCTATGGAAAAATTATATCTAAATTACATTGAAACTACTTCAGTTAAAAAGCAAAAAATATTTTGCAGCACAAAAATAGATAATACAAGACAGTATATGCTAGAAGATAAGACTGGGAGCCAGAATACAAACATTATTTTAGGCAATATATGATGTGCTTTTTTTTTTCCAGCTGAATTCGTCTCTTTTTATTCTCTTGGTAATCTCTTCCAGTTAACTAATTCCATTGTAGGTGATGAAATGCGTAAAGCTCCACTTCAGATGTTGGCACTGCTATGAACATGGTCTTTCCCTTTATTGCAACACACAATCAAAACCTTTGATTTTTTTTGTATATTCCAGTCCCAGAAGTAGTTTCCACTGTAGAAGTTAATTGATGAGTCTTACTCTTTCTAGTAGTAGCTTATGACCAGGCTGTAGCTTCTCCAGGAACACAACAGGATGAATTTAGTTTAAATATGCATTAAACGAAAAGGTATTCTCTCAAATGAGTTAAAATGCATTTTATTTTTAGACAACCTACATGACATGCTTTTCTTTCTTTTTCTTTTTTTTTAGACGGAGTCTCACTCTGTCGCCAGGCTGGAGTGCAATCTTGGCTCACTGCAACCTCTGCCTCCTGGGTTCAAGTGATTCTCCTGCCTCAGCCTCCTGAGCAGCTGGGACTATAGGCTTGCGCCACCATGCCCAGCTAATTTTTGTATTTTTAGTAGAGATGGGGTTTCACGGTGTTGGCCAGCACGATCTCCAACTCTTGAGCTTGTGATCCACCCGCCTTTGCCTCCCAAAGTGCTGGGATTACAGGTGTGAGCCACTGCCCCCCAGCCAACATGTTTTTCTTAAAAACAATGCCTCCACTCCGAATAAATTATGGTAAAAATAAATGAAGAGCTCAAGATGATATTAGTCCCATTTGTCTTAGGTCCTGGTGTTGTGTGGATGACAATTAGAAGCGAGTTATGATGACAGGTAATAGATCCAAACTAATTGCCAAATTTGTTAACATTTTTCCGTTTCTAAACCATCCCTAAAGAAAATCATATATGGGGTCACACCATCCTCACCGTAGTCCAGTAGAGCAACCATGCCATCTGGATTCATGTTTTCACCAATAAAGAAATGGTAGTTTTTGAAATTAGCAAGGATGTGCTTGATTTGTTCTGCAGCCCCTGTCATAAAAGGTTTTACTCTTTCTGGTCTCAGTTCTTCAAGTTTGCCTTTGATTGATTTCATGTAATCTTTGATGTACTTCTTGTGGGCTTCTTTTGTGAAACTTGTTTCCTGCAGGTGATGGTTCATGACAACATCGACAGCAGTGATTACTGTGCTTTCGGTACCTTCACCCTCGGGGCCTTCAGCGGAGACATTTCCACCAATGAGCGAGTCATCAATGTTACCTTCTGTCCTACTGACCATTTTCCCCACCACCTCCCAGCACAGCCCGTCCACAATCTCCCAGATCTTCTAGATGTCGGAGAACATCTCATTGTGACTGATGAGGTCCTGGTAGATAATCATGATGGCGGCTGAAGGGAGACTACGGCAGCACTAGCTTAGCAGCAGCCAGAAGCTCCAAGCGAGTGTGGTGCAGCCAGGGTGGCGCTCAGGGGGACGGGGGAGCAGGTGGAAAAGCATGATGAGCTTTTAGAGCAGCGGGTTTGCATCCAGAACTTGGCTTGAACCCCACTCTAATGTTTCATATCTCTGTGAACTTATGCATGGTACATAAACTCTGAACCTCATTTTTTCTTATTTGTAAGTGGTGATATTTATACCTACATTCCACATACACAGTAGGACGTAATGAAATAAAATAGTGCATATAAAGTGCTCAGTGATTTGTAGACATGATACAGTAAATCTTCACTTCAGTGATTCTCAGATTTCCTATGAGTAATGGAGTACTGCTAGTGAATATCAAAGTTAATTTTCACCAATACCTGCATAATGAAGATGTTGAGTGAACAGGGCTTGGATAGAAAATAAGAAAGCAAATGGACAATGCAGGCATGGAGAGGAAAGCAGAAATAATATTTTCTAACACAAATAGTACCTAATTCAATTTTCTTTGGGACTATATCTGGAATATAGAGACAAAGGATTATAAGTAATTCTCTCAATCAATATTTATTGAACACATCCTATGTTTCATAAACTATTCTAGGTACTGGGTACTACAACAGTAAGTCCATTGGAAAAAGTTCCAACCAACACAGAGCTTATATGCTAGTGATGGTAGAGAGAGGCTATATATAGATATACATAAAAACTAATTTAAAAAGCAGGTAATAGAAAGTTCTGAGTTACTAATAAAAGAGGTACTGAGTTAGAGTGAGACAGAAGATGTAAAATAGGTTGAGTGTTTTGGTGAGGTCATCTATAAGGAGGTGACATTTAGGCACAGACCTTTACAAAATAGTCAACTATGTGATAATTTTTGTATTAGAGTAATCCTAGGGGCTGTAATGAACAAATGCTAAAATATTAGTGGTTTAGTGTATTAGGGCTCTCTAGAGGGACAGAACTAATAGGACAGATATATATGTGTGTGTGTATATATATATATACACCTATATACATACATATATATGTGTGTATATATACACACATATATATATATAGAGAGAGAGAGAGAGAGAGCATAGTTTATTAAGGAGTATTAAACTCACATGATCACAAGGTTCCTCAATAGGCCGTCTGCAAGCTGGGAAGCAAGGAAGCCAGTCCGAGTCCCAAAGCTGAAGAACTTGAACTCTGATGTTCGAGGGCAGGAAGCATCCAGCACGGGAGAAAGATGTAGGCTGGGAGGCCTAGCCAGTCTACCTTTTCACGGTTTTCTGCCTGCTTTATATTCTCTGACAGCTGATTTAGATGGTACCCACCCAGATTAAGGGTGGTTCTGCCTTTCCCAGCCCACTGACTCAAGATTAATCTCCTTTGCCACCACCTTCACAGACACACCCAGGATCAATACTTTGCATCCTTCAATCCAATCAAATTGACACTCAGTATTAATCATCACACTTAGTAATATAGAAACGCATTTCTTTTTCTTTCTTTTCCTTTTTTTTTTTTTTTTTTTAGGTGGAGTCTTGCTCTATTGCCAGGCTGGGGTGCAGTGGCGCGATCTCGGCTCACTGCAGCCTTCGCCTCCTGGGTTCAAGCAATTCTCCTGCCTCAGACTCCTGAGTAGCTGGGACTACAGGCATGCACCACCATGCCCAGCTAATTTTTGTATTTTTAGTGGAAGTTTCACCATGTTGGCCAGATGGTCTCGATCTCTTGACCTCGTGATCTGCCTACCTTGGCCTCCTAAAGTGCTAGGATTACAGGCATGAGCCACCACGCCTGCCCAGAAATGCATTTCTGTCTCATGTTCAATAGTTTTTCTTGCTTACCTTTCTTCCATGTGTTGATTAAGGAATCCAGGCTCCTTCTATTTTTTGGCTAAACCAGCCCTTTAGGCCTCAGAATTTTCTAATGTCAAAAAATTGAAGCAATTAAAAGGCACATTTGCTTCTTAAATTCCTTCATCAAAACTACACGTATCACTTCTGTTCACATTTTATTGGCAATAACTCATCATTTGGCTAACCTGGATGCATTGGGAACTGGATAACATAGTCTCTAATTGGATAGCCACATCTTATTGGAATTCCATGCAATGAAAAGAAAGCATGGAATTTGGATAGACAGTAAGCTGTTTTGTGAGAGTCTACTCTTTTAGCCAACAAATACCTGCATGGCTCTCCCTTGTTACATTCATGCTAAACTCAAAGATATTCTGATGTGGCTGGGTGTAATCTTTCACACCTGTAATCCCAGAGCTTCGGGAGGCTGACACGGGAGGATCACTGGAGGCCAGGAGTTTGAGATCAGCCTAGATTCTGTCTCTACAAAAAAAGAGAAAAAAGAAAACTACTTATTCGTAGTAGAACCCACCTGTAGTCCCAGCTACTCAGGAGGCTGAGGTGGGAGAATCACTTGGGCCCAGGAGTTTGAGCCTGCAGTGAGCCATGATTGTGCCACTGCACTCCAACCTGAGCAACACTCTGTCTCAAAATAAGCAAAGGTACCCTGATGACATGCATTCCTTTCTGTCTGATCAAGATATGACTCTTGAAGCTGGGCGCAGTGGCTCATGCCTGTAATCCTAGCACTTTGGGAGGCTGAGGCAGGCAGATTACCTGAGGTCAGGAGTTTGAGACCAGCCTGACCAACATGACAAAACCCCGTCTCTAGTAAAAATACAAAAATTAGCTAGGCACGGTGGTGCATGCCTGTAGCCCCAGCTACTTGGGAAGCTGAGGCATGAGAATCGCTTGAACCTGGGAGGTGGAGGTTGCAGTGAGCTGAGATCGTGCCACTGCACTCCAGACTGGGTGACAGAGCAAGACTCCATCTCAAAAAAGAAGAAAAAAAAAAAAAATATATATATATATATATATGACTCTTAATGACTAGGAACCCATGAAGTAAATGGCAGGTAATCTGTCCCTCCTCACCACCACCACACACACACATATATAATGGACATATAATTGTGAAACAAGGACAGAAAGGCCATGATAAAAATCACCTTCAAGAAAGAGGAATAGAGAACACACAGTAGTCAGCCATAGCAATAATAAAATCCTGCCGGTCAGATATTCTGAAGAGATTCTGATCAGTCAAAGGGTGGAATTACTTCACTCGATTCTGGTTCTGTTATCTTGGGAGTATCTATTTTTGTCTGTCGTTCCTATTGCTCCAGCTCCACCAAGGGGTGTGGGGGTGAGTCTTTTGCACGTTGCGCTCCATGTCCATACTGAGTGAATATTTGGAAAGGTGTATTTTCCTAGGAAGGTGTGCAGCTTTCCTTTTTTTAATTTATTTTATTTCTATATTTTAAGTTCAAGGTACATGTGCAGGATGTGCAGGTTTTTTACATAGGTAAACCTGTGCCATGGTGGTTTGCTGCACAGATCATTTTATCACCGAGGTATTAAGCACAGCATCCAGTAGCCATTCTTCCTAATCCTCTTCCACCTCCCAACCCCTGCCCTCTGACAGGTCCCAGTGTGTGTTGTTTCCCCACCATGTGTCCATGCATTCTCATCACTTAGCTCCTTCTTATAAGTGAGAAAATCCAATATTTGCTTATCTTTTCTGGGGTTAGTTTCCTAAGGATAATGGCCTCCAGCTCCATCCATGTCCCTACAAATGACATGATATTCCATGGTGTATATGTCCCACATTTTCTTTATCCAGTCTATCATTGATGGGCATTTAGGTTGATTCCATGTCTCTACTGTTGTGAATAGTGCAGCAATGAACATATCTGTGCGTGTGTCCTTAAAATAGATTGATTTATATTCCTTTGGGTATATCCCCAGTAATGAGATTGCTGGGTCGAATGGTATTTCTGTCTTTAGGTCTTTGAGGAATTGACACACTGTATTCCATAATGACTGAATTAATTTACACTCTCACCAACAGTGTAAAGGCATTCCTTTTTTTTTCTCCACAACCTTGTCAGCATGTTATTTTTTGACTTTTTAATAATAGCCATTCTGATTGGTGTGAGATGATATCTCATTGTAGTTTTGATTTGCATTTCTGTGATGATCAATGACGTTGAGCTTTTTTTTATATGTTTCTTGGCTTCATGTACATCTTCTTTTGGGAAGTGTCTGTTCATTTCATAGCCAGATATTGTTCATAAAATGTTGGGGACTCAAAAGATTAAAGTTGTAGCCTTTCAAAGCCAGAATTGCAGTTTTTACAAAGATATAATTTCCTGAAAAACAGAGTAGGGTACTCATTCATTTTCTTCTAGAGAAGCGGCAGCACGGTGTATTGATTAAGAGCATAAACCCTGATATGGTTTGGCTGTGTCTCCACTCAAAACGCACCTTGAATTGTAATAATCCCCACCTGTCAAGGGCAGGGCCAGGTGGAGACAATTGAATCATGGGAGCAGTTTCTCCCATTCTGTTCTCGTGGTAATGAATAAGTCTCGGGAGATCTGATGGTTTTATAAATGGGAGTTCACTTGCACAAGTTCTCTTGGCTGTGCCATGTAAGACGTGACTTTGCCCCTCATTCACCTTCTGCCATGATTGTGAAGCCTCCCCGGCCATGTGGAACTGTGAGTCAATGAAACCGCTTTCCTTTAAAAATTACCCAGTCTTGGGTATGTCTTAATTAGCAGTGTGAGAACAGACAAATACAGGCCCTTTAGCTATATCCACTTAATAAAATCCTGACTCTGCAACTCCATGGCTGTGTCTTAGTTTGAGTTCCCAGTTAAGTAGACACTGAAATAAGGACCTGAGTGTAAGTAATTTATTTGGAAAGTATCACCAGAAAGACAAGTAAAGAAATAGGGAAGTGAGACAGTGAAGTGAAGACAGTCAATAATTGCTAGGTTCTTAAATGAGTTACCAATGTGAGGAAGCAAAGGCTTGATTCTACTGGGAAACTCTAGCAACAAGTATAGAATGCCCACCTCAAAGTTACGCCACCTAAAGAGCAAGGAATCCGGGCAATGACCCAATGCAGCATTGTTGAGTGTGGTTAGATAGTAGAAAGCTTTATTCTCAGACATTATGGTCTGCTCTGGGCTTGGGTGAAGCTCCTATAACCAGGGAAAACTCTAAGAAAAAGAGATTCCAGTGCTGATAGCTGGAATTTGGGACACCAGAGGGAATATCGGTGTATATCAATAATGTTTGCTGTATTGTGTCACATTGGGCAAGTTACTTAATTTTGAGATGTCCCAGTTTCCTCATCTATACAATGGGGATAATAAAAATACCTACCATATAACTTTGTTATGAAGATTAATCAATTTAATATTTGTAATGCACATTTGACAGTTTCTGGCATTGTCAAAGAAATGGCTGTGTAAGAGTTTTTGAAAAAGTGAATGTTTAAAATCATCATACTCTTCAGAAGCACTAAGGTGGGAAAGAGCTTGGTGTACCTGCAGAGCAGGAAAAAACTAGTGTGGGGTGGAATTGCTAACAAAAAAGAGCATGGTCATCAGGTGAGATCTCTCAGACCAGAGGACTGACTTCAGCCCAAGCTTCAGTAAATTCGTGTGATTTTCTGTGCTTAAGGGATCATATTCCAATGGTAGAGGCACATTAGAATCAGGGAGCATTTTCAGAAGCGTCGTATGGAGTAAATAATATTTTCTGATCAACAGTAATGGGAGTTTCACGAGGGGTTGAAGTGAGCACTGACAGATATTGGACTCAAGTGCAGTTAGTCCTGTCTCTAATGCGAGATAGATCTTTGGAAACCAACATAATTCTTCAAAGTCGATAACTTATTTTTTAGAGATGTTTCCTAATTATGAACATGCATGAAATTAAGGCAATAGCTTAAAGCACTGCTTTTTGCCTTAATTTTACTATCAGTTCCTCATAAGAAAGTAAATAATGTATTTCTGGAGGAATGGAGATTGTTTTGGCCATTGCAAAAATTGTCTGTTTGGCTCAGAACAATAGAAAATAGACAGATCCAAAAGCATACTGACTCTGACTTTGTTGGAAAAATATTCATTGGATTCATAAAGAGACATCATTAAAAGTAACACTCAATACTAATTAGGGAGGCGTTGCAATCAATGTCTTCAGAGTTACATTGATAATACATCATATAAGAACCTACACTCTATAATTCTATTCTGTACCTTTGCTTTTATTATCTAACACATTCTGTTCTATATTTACTCTCAGATGATAATGATTCTGCTCACTAATTCTCAGGAAAAAATAGAAATTAGAAGACATTTTCACAAACTCACACACTTCTATACACATTAATATATGTATAGATGTGTTTAACCTTACCTCCTGTTACCTTGTATGAAGAGTCTGTGTTTATTCTAAGCCTGCTCCACTCAAAGTCTTCCCTGTTTGAGTAAGAGGTAAATACATTCTTCTTGTTGCACAGAACGTAAAACGCAGGTCATTTTGAATCTTTTTTCATACCACTCATCCAGTTCATTGACAACCTCTAAAATTGGTTGACTCTGCCTTCAAAATATTTAGAATGCTGCCATGATGATTCAAGCTATTATTTCTAGCCAAGATTATTACAAGGACTTCCACGATGGTCTTTTAGCTTTTCTTCTACTACACCTACAACAGTGGTTCTCAACTTGGGGTCATTTATCCTTCCTCAGGGGACACTTGGCAATGTTTTCAGACACTTTTGGTTGTTACAACTGGCAGGCAAGAAGCTGTAGGCATCTAAGGGGTAGATAGCAGGGACGCTGTTTAACAGCCTACAATGCACAAGACAGGCTCCTTCAACAAAGAATTTTCTGGCCCCAGATGTCAATGTCATCCAGGTTGAGAAACACTGGCCTACCATCTATTCCCAATGCAGCAGGGCTGAGTGAGCATGTGAAAGGGTGGTTCTGATCAAATCTTATGTCTGCTCAGTTCTTGTAGTGGCTCTCCAATTCTCTCAGGGTAAAAGCCCAATCTTTTTCATCACCCATCAGGCCCTCAAAAATGCAATGCCCCTGTTATGACCCCGGCCATATCACCATTCTCTCTTACAGACACTGACCCTTGGGCATCTCTGGTCATTCCAACTTCAGGGCCTTTGGATTGACTATTCCTTCTAGTGAATCACACTCTTCCAGGATATCTGCAATGTCCACTCCCGGTGCTCCTTCACTACTTGTGCAGATGTCACCATCTCAGTCAAGCCTATCCTCAATATCCCATTAATACTGAATCATGTCCCTGCACTCCCAAATCTAATTACAGACTTCTGAATAATTATTATTATAGAGTGAATTGTGCTCCCCAAAATTCACATGTTAAAGTCCTAATCCATAGTACCTCAGAATGTGATTGTATTTGGAGACAGATGCTTTAAAGAAGTAATTAGGTTAAAATTAGGTCATTAGAGTAGGCCTTAATCCAATATGACCAGTGTCCTTATGTGAAGAAGAGATTAGGGCCCAGTGAGGTGCAGAGGGAAGATGCTAGAGGACACCAGGAGAAGGTGAATGGTGTACAAGCCAAGGAGAGAGGCCTCGGAAGAAACTCGAGAACCCTGCTGACACTTTGATTTCAGAATTCTAGCTTTTAACATTGTAAGAACATAAATTTCTGTTGTTTAAACCACTCACTCTGTGGTACTTTGTAGCAGCAGCCCTGGGAAACTATTAGGTTGGTACAAAAGTAATTGCGGTTTTTGCCAGTGCTTTTAATAGCAAATACTTTTGCACCAACCTAGTAATATAATAACTATTACCTACTAACATACAATACAATTTAATTTTCAGTTACTTTCTGGCTTATTGTTATTCTTCCACCTTGATTATAATCTCCATGAAGACAAGGATTTTGTCCTTTTTGTTTGTTTATCTCAGATGTGTAAACTTGCCCTTTCCAGTGACCTATACTTTGCAAACGAGGAAAGTTTGACACAAGAAATGTATATGGCTTACCCAAGGTTGTAAGGGCAGTGAATGAATGGCAGAGACAGCACAAACTCCAGGATTCCTGATGCAGACTTTTGTTGGCTCTCTTTCAAACCACATAGTTACCTTGGCCTAGAGGATGGAGAAATGCTAGAGTAGAGCTATTACAACAGAAAATCTCACATTCATCATCCACTGCCATACACCACCAGGCATACACACACATGAGCAATGAGAATGAGCAGCCAAAACCACTCCACATTTAAGAAATACACTCATATTGTTTATGAAAAATAAAATATATACACCTGTTTAGATTACCGTACTTTTCAGCGACTGATGAGTGATAGAAAAGAAAGGAAGAAATAAAATTATCCAAGAAAAGCTACAGTGCAGAAAAACAGAAGCAACAAGCAGTGGCATTAAATATAGGGGTTTCATGGTCATTTCTGTGTTTACTAGCACGGAAGACAGATCTTTAGTTATGAACAAAAATATTCATTCCCTACCCAGGAAAAAATTCCAATTTAACACATTAGCCCCTTTCTCTGCCATCCTGCCTGTGAGCTTGGCAAATCAACCAGTTTATATACAATTAACAGAAAGGCTCCCAACACAAGGAAACCTTTGTTCTTGTGAAAGAAAACCCCTGTGTTCTCATCTCTCACAGTGGTTTTCTTTTAAAAAGAATCAACTGCCAAAAAATTAATTAATTAATGTAGTTAAATAAATAAGTAAATAGGAAGAGATGGGGAGGAAAACACACTCTCTGATTGAAATCTATTTTCATCTCATAAAAAAATCTTAATTTTCACTTATATTCCATGCCTATAGCTGAGGGCCATTAAAACTAATAAAACTGAATCATTCGTGACAGATCTTAGAAAACAGTTTCTGCAATCCACTGCGCTCTCAAATGCTCATTAGAAATAGTGGTTTTCTTTTCAGAAGAATGCTTGCTGAATGCTTAAAACGTGTTCCTTCCAACTACTGACAAGTCAAACTGGCAATGGAGTGTTTGAAGCAAAGCCTTGACATAAAAAAGATGTTGCGCAGCTATATCAAATATGATCGGGAACAACGCATCAAAGCAGAAAGCGTTAGAATGCAAGGCAGTTGGAGGAGAGAGAATCAACACATTTGTTTCTGCTTTCAACATTTTCTGGCATCAGAATAAACAAGGAATTTGCATTTAATGTAGGCAGAATATTCCACATGAGTTTGAATTAAAAAGTTCTGCCTCCTTCTTTGAAAATCAAACTACCCTTGGCCACATATCATGTAAGCACTTGAATACGTTTTTATGTGACTGTAAAATGGAAACAATAACAACAGCAATAATAATGTTAATAACAATGCTTACTTATGCCATAGAGTTTTCATGGATGTTAAAAAGTAAATGCATGGTTAAAAACCTTTCATTAATATTAATTATTAAACAAATGCTAACGTTTATTATTTGTTTTTGTTTTTTTTTTTTTTGAGACATAGTTTCACTCTTGTCACCCAGGCTGGACCGCAGTGGCACAATCTCGGCTCACTGCACCCTCCGCCTCCTGGGTTCAAGTGATTCTCCTGGCTCAGCCTCCTGAGTAGCTGGGACTATAGACGCACACCACCAAGCCTGGCTAATTTTTGTATTTTTAGTAAAGACAGAGTTTCACCATGTTGACCAGGCTGGTCTCAAACTCCTGAGCTCAGGTGATCTTTCTGTCTTGGCCTTCCAAAGTGCTGGAATTACAGGCTTGAGCCACCGTGCCTGGCCATATTTGTATTAGTGATAGCTACCTCTATTGAGCACTTACTATGTGCAGTAAATTTTATGTTTATGATTTACTTTTTCACATTGAGTTCTTAAATAGATAAAATTATCTCTATGCTACAGAATTAGGTACTAAGAGTCAAAATAATTATGGTATTAATATTAATTAATATTTTAATATTAGTAAATTTGAATATTAATTAATATTCAGTAAATTTCCCCCAAAGAGGATATAACATCTCTCATATAGTTTGGGGGTGATGTTCATTTCTTATAGCTGATTTTCATTCTCCCTTTGGTATCCTATAACTTAAACAATGAGCTCTATCTTCTGTTTCATGGAAGGGTAATGGAAAAAGGAAAGAAAACAAAAATATCGTGCATACACACATATACATACATATTCATATCAAAATAAAGAATATTTATAACTATTATAGTCCTCATCTTTGTGACTGTTTATGTGGTCAGATCTGGTATTTATAACTACCGTCTTTCACTACCCATTCCAAATTCCAACTGGAGAAATCACCTCAATTTCTTGTGATTTCCTGGGTAGTTGGGTGATCCAAACCTTGATTCCTGAAAGATCTGGACCACTAGCAGTTCTCCCTGAACTGGGTTCTTGCAACTTTTTTTGACTTTAGTCACGGACATGGGAATACTAAGAATTGCTGAGGGGTTCTCCTGCATTCCAAGCATATTCCTTCTTACACACGTTGTATAACAACTCAATTTCTCCTAGAGAGTCAGAAACAATCACTCCAGCCAATACAGTTACTCTATTCTTTGCTTGTTGATTAACTGGCACAATAAACCCAGAGCAGCCAGGTGACATTTTTAACTTCTAGCTGAATGACATCTTCGTTGGCAAAATCAAGGATTTTTTGTGCATTTTACCTGCTCATGTGTCATATTTTGTTTCTCATTCTTTGAGGCTCCTGGGACTTGTATATTTATACATTTAGAAGCAAGGAGAGGTAGTGAGGGTAGTTCCTAGGTAGAATCAGCAGTCTTTTGCAGACCATTACAATTTCTGCAGAAAGGGAGTTGCTTCTACTGTAAAGAAGCCTCCACAGAATTTAGGGGTTCAAAATCCCCAGCTTTATTGAAATATGCCCATCTGCCCCACTGCAAATTTCAAAGTCTTATTCTTTCCCAGTTAATGCCCAAATTTTAATAATAGAGACCTCCTGGGAGTTGGGGATTCAATTTACGTTGTAATTCAGTCCCCTGCAAGATTAGACTTTGGGCTTAGCTTTTGGAAGTCCCAACCCCGTGGTCACAGAAGATAAGGATTTTTGTATTGTTTTTTTAAGGTAGACATAGACAACTTCAGGTCTGTTACGTGGACCTTAGCTGGGATATTATCATTTTGTGTTTATCCTCCCTGCGACACACATATTTCCTGTATAGTTAGAAGAAACCAATCAACCCCATCGTATGCCTAATTTGACTAAAATATTCTCTGGCATCACATACTTAGTCACTCAGCGCCTTGCTTTCTATAGGCATTTGATTACACATATCTGCAGGTGATAATTTGCATAATTTGCATAACACTTTCACAACTGAATGACATAAATTACTAGTGTCTCTTTAACCACTGGAAAGGGCAGTGATTAGAACCTTTCAATCTAATCAGATCAGAACAAGCCAGATAACCCCAAACCAGTCCAGAAACCCTATCCTTAAGATATTATTTCTCTAGAATCTCTCTTGGTGACAAATTATATATCAGGTAGGGTTCAATCACAGAAGCAGAACTACAAGGACGTATTTGTTATAGGGATTTGACTCTGCCCCATTATAGGACTGGTTAAACAGTTTCTATAAGGCCATTGTCTCATGATAAAATAAATGTAAATTGAGAAGAGCAAGGACAAGCTGAAATCTTTGAGCACGAGATGAAATCCATGAGAATGATCTGAAATCCAGGTTGGTTCTCATCGCCTCCAACTAATAGTGTTCTGCAGGAGAAGCTGGTGACCTTTATCTCAGAGCTAAACACATACCAGAACAAAAAGTGGGAGAAGTTGAAGGAGGATGCAGGAAAAGGTAGAATAGTTGCAGCCTTGGTTGCTACCTTACACCAAGAAGGTAAACTGACAGATGACTGAGAACATGCGTAAGCTACTAAAGTACTTGCCCAGACTGTTGTTGGAGCATAAAACCCCAAATGGTCACTGCTTCTCTTCTGCTCTCCAAATTTCAAACGATTATGTCTTTTGCGGAAAATCCTAACCTAAAACATAGAGGGAAGGGGATTCTGGGAAAGTAATTCAGCCTGGATAACTTGACAAATTACAAAGCAACCACAAGTCCCACATTTGAGGTGATCCTTTTATTTATATAGAGGAAAACATCTAATTTTTTCAAATGTTTGCAACTTTATTTCGCAGTTAATAATCCATGGCCGGGAATAATTGTAGTATCTAAAGTTTGGTGGGCATTGACGTAAAGGCTCCAGAACAGATTAGGTGGAGAGATGCCAATGTGAGTCTAAATTACAAGGTTCAAATAAAATAGCATATACTAGCCTGTATCTCCAGTTATTTGGCATGAAATATGTACTCATCAAATATTACTTAGCTTCTACACTGATGAAATGTCTGCCCCAGCTCTTTCACTTCTAACTTTAAAAGTTGTGTTAATCCATGTATTTCTTTCTTTCTTTTTTTCTTTTTTTTTTTTTTTTTTTTTGAGACAGAGTCTCGCTGTCACCCAGGCTAGAGAGTAGTGGTGCAATCTTGGCTTACTGCGACCTCCGCCACCTGGGTTCAAGCGATTCTCTTCCCACAGCCTCCCAAGTAGCTGGGATTACAGGTGCCCGCCACCACACCCAGCTAATTTTGGTATTTTTAGTAGAGACGGGGTTTCGCCATGTTAGCCATGGTCGGCCAGGCTGGTCTTGAACTCCTGACCTCAGATGATCCACCTGTCTCGGCCTCCCAAAGTGCTGGGATTACAACTGTGAGCCACGTGCCTGGCTCATGTATTTCTTATTTATTGCTTGGCTTTCTTAGCCATCTTATGGGTCTCTGTTGACCTTCCGGGATTTGTGTGGTTATGAAAAGCAAAGCAAAACAAATCATTTGAAAGGGCAGTATACACTGAATAACATTTTATGAATGGAAAAACTGTTATAATTATCAAATTGTACTTGTTTCAAAGTTAATTTGATAACTAATTAAAAACCATCTGTATCTTATCAATGGAGAGACATTTCCTTTTGTAATCTGTTGGGATGACACTGAAAGGATGCAGCAAAGTAGTTGTTATTCTTATCTCTCTCAAAGAAATAGGGACACATGAAAGACACGTAATAAGCTTTACTATGTGAGGTAGCATATGAAAATGGATGACTAAATACTTCTTTAATCTTTGAAAGAGAGATAGAGGCCATGAGAACTAACAATTGCATTATGTTTCTATGGAACTCTTGTTTTTTTTCTTGTTGTTTTTCTTTTTTTCCTTAAAGCTACCAATGCCTGTGAAGTTCCCATCTGCTAGATACATTGAAAGCACTGGTTCTCCTTCATGCACCAAGAGAATAGGGTTTAAAGCTAAACAGGCATGGCTGGAAATACCTCTCCCACTAATTCAGTATCAGTGTGGTCTGAGTGGGCTCCAGACATAGACTGATTATCCATCCTGTCCATACTGTGAAAACTGGTCTTTACAGAGAGACAGATGTCTAGCTGCACATCTGATAGGATAAGTAACTCATGCAGGTGAGGCTGAATATCAGAAAGTATAAGAAAGGAAGCTATGCCCAATGTATACTTAAAAAAAAATAACTAGAACAGGTTGTTGAATGAATTCTTATTCAGTACCTAGCTGGCACTAGAAGTGATCAAAATAGAGATGGGTTCTCCTTTCAAGAAGTTTACCATCAATAAGGGAGAGGAGTCTGACCTTTCAGGAAAAACAAAGCAAAACAAGAATTCTTATTCTGGCTTGAGGTTTTATGTGGTAAGTGCAGACAATGCTAGATATTCTGGGCAGGGCTAGGAACAGTTATAAATCCGTGGTCAGAAGTGTGTTTTGCTCAACAAGCTCTGCTGTTTATTACTATGTACCCCTGAATTTCCTAACTTCAACAATGCTACCAGTAAACTCTCACAAAATTGTTTGTGAAATACAAACTTTCAAATATATAAGATTATATATTTGGTTATTTATTTATTTATTTATTTATTTATTTATTAGACAGAGGTTCACTCTGTCTCCCAGGCTGCATAGTGCAGTGGAGCGAACTCAGCTCACTGCAACCTCTGCCTCTCAGGTTCAAGGGATTCTCCTGCCTCAGGCTCCGGAGTAGCTGAGACTACAGGTGTCCACCACCACGCCAGGCTAATTTTTGTATTTTTAGTAGAGACAGGATTTCTCCATGTTGGCCAGGCTGGTCCCAAACTCCTGACCTCAAGTAATCCGCCCACCTTGGCCCCCCAAAGTGCTGAGATTACAGGTGTGAGCCACCGCTCCTGGCCAACATTATATATTTGAAAGTTTGTATTTGTATATGTCTTCTCATTTTACAAGACACTTTTGGAACCTTTAGTTCTGTGACTTCCAAGAGAAGTTGGAGGAAGAGTAAATACATACACACACACACAAATACACACACACAAATCATCTTTTACGTCACGATATTTAAGGTATTTCAAATCTTAAAATTACATTGACAGAATGTTTGAGAATCTTATGTTCAACCAATCAGAACTGGTTTAACAAAGGGTAAAAAAACATTTTATTTATTCATGCAAAATAGCCCTGCAAATTAGGCTTTCAGAAATTATTTTCCCTATTTCACTGATGTAGCAATTAATGTTTGGAAAGATCAAGCAGCTTGTAAGCATTTGCCCAGAGACAGAGCTCCTGTTTCCAGGATGAAGCTCCAACACCTGATGTATAGGCATCATGGACCAAGTTGCAAAAGCTACATGAGAAGTCAGGGTAAGATTGCAGCAGGGTCTTGAGACCTCAACAAGATTTCAATGTGTAGACAGCAATAGAAGTCAAGGGCATTTGTGGTTGTTAGTAAAGGTAGTTATGTGAGATTTATCCAGCTTGTTAATTCTTATGCAAAAAGAGGGAGTGTGAATTGACATATTTAATTAGTGGTTTTATTGTTCTATTTTATTTTCATACATTTTTGGTTGGATGGCAATTTGCAGAGACCTCTAAAAATGTATGCAAAGCCAGACACTAGGACAGCTGGGAAGTTCCAAATGGGAAAGGAATTCAATCATCTTCTCAATCTTTCATAGAAATTCATGGTTTAGCAAAGCGCCATAACAAATATAAAGAGTCAGGAAAGCTTTTAGTGCCTTGATGATCACAGAGCCATAAGCCATAAGCACTCTGGCTCTATAGAGAATAAATCATTCAAGGAAAACTTGATTACTTTTTTGATAGAATTAGGAGATTAGTTGTCAGAAGAAACGGTGTTGATGCAATGTATCTTGAATTTTAAGAAATCATGTCCATTGGGGAATTTTACATGAAAAATTAATTTCAGTTAGGTTGAAGATAAGCCTTGTCAAGAAGGTAAAAATCACACTGATGTGCCACAAATTATATATGTTATAAGAGAGACAGACAGAGAAGTATAAAATTAATATTAATATTAATCAAAACCAGGAATGTATTAAGGAACTAGGGGACTTTTCAGTCAGTGTGTTCTGCTGCTGAAGGCTTCTTACAGCTGTCATCAAAAGTACAATTTCTGGCTAGGTGCAGTAGCTCATGCCTATAATTCCAGCACTTTGGGAGACTAAGGTGGAAGGATCACTTGAGGCCAGGAGTTCAAGACCAGTCTGGGCAACATAGTGAGACACTGTCTCTACAAAAAATATGAATAAAAAATAACTGGGCATGGCGGCATGTGGCTGTAGTCCTAGCTGCTCAGGGATCTGAGATGGGAGGATGGTTTGAGCCCAGGTAGTCGAGGATATGGTGAGCTGTGATTGTGTCACTGCATTCCAGCCCGGGAACAGAACCAGACCCTGTCTCCAAAAAAATTAATTAATTAATTAAAATAGCAATTTTTAAAGATTCTAACATTTAAAAACATACATTGTACATTATTGTAAGAGATAGAGAGACCTTAATATATTATTTTGACTTGACTTCTAACTTCAGTTAAGTTTATGACCTTATAGGTTAAGTGGCCAAGTGTCCTTTAGACAATCTTCAGTGTAACTTGTAGAAGTGTAGCCAGCAGAACTAAGAACAGATGTTGAGTTAGGAAAACCTTACTTCAAATAAAGATTTTAACACTTATTATTTGACTTTTCTTTCATCAAAAGGTTAAGTCAAATTTTTTTCCCTTGAAGAGGTCCCAACCTTAATGACTCACTAGTAATCTATGGAATATGATAAATTTGACACTGTATGACTTCTGAGGCTGGGTCACATAAGGTGATACAGTTTTCACCCAACTCTCTCTGAGAGCATGCACCACTGGAGTCTCAAGCCCCATGCAAGAAGTTTGAAGACCCGGAAGCTACCATGCTGGAGAGAGCACTTAAAACTACAGAGAGATACCCTGGGAGACCCATCTGTTTCAGTCTTCAGCTGATTGTGTCTTCTCAGCCCAGGGGCCTGGTAAGTCAGTGGAGAAGCCTTAGAAATGATCACAGCCTTAGCCAATCTTTGGCTGACTTAAACTGCATGCCAAACCCAGGGAAAAACCACCTACCTGAGCCCAGTCAACTGCCAATATCATGAGAGATAATAAATGTTCTTGTTCTATGCTACCAAATTTGGGATGATAAACTATCCAGCAGAAATAACTAATCCAGCGTCTGTATGACCATGGGCACTTTTCCTATGTTTCAAATTCACATTATAATCATACCTACTTGATGAGTTATTTTAAATATTAATTGAGATAATCTTAGAATGATGCCTACCAATAGTTTTGAACATTTGTAGCTAGTAAAAATATTAGTATTCATCATATTATTAAAGGTAGTGTTACAGTAAAGGCAGGAGGATAGCAGTAAATATTATATTAAGGGATTTAGAAAACCCTTTTAGGATTTATTCCACCAAGTAAGAAGACCTTGTAGGGTCCAAGGGGAAACTTTCCATTCATCCTTTGAAGGTTTGCTGAAAATCAACTGACAAAAAGCAGATTGATAATGTAAAAGATATACAAATTTCTTTGATTATAGTGTTATATGACACAGGGACCTTTGGAGTGAAGACTCAAAGGTACAGGGGAGACTTTCCATCTTTATGCTTGAAGACTCAAAGGTACAGGGGAAACTCCATCTTTATGCTTTGGATCAATGAAGCATGGACAGCCCATGCAGAAATATGATTAGATAAGAGTAGAGATCCAATGCTGATAGCCTAAGTGGAGAAACCCAGCAAGCCCTGTCTGTTTAGATTCCTCTTGGCCTGTCTGTGCAGCACTGCTTCCTTCTGGGTTTGGGATAGGCCCTTCTCTGGAATAAAGGTCTTATGACCTATAATCAAACAAAATAGGTCAGATAATTTGTATATGGCCAGATTTTATGCAAAAAGGCAGGGGAGAGCTACAGTCATACTTTGGGGTTTTATAGCTGTCTTGAGGGAAAACGGGTTCTGTTTCTATAACCCTCCCTGGAGAAGAGGGATTCTAGTTTCTATGGCCAGCCTCAGGGGATTCACAGAGGCCAGAGACAAGGGGTCAGAAGAAGGTCAGATAGAAACTTTTGCTTCTGAGGCTGCTTCACAGGTCTTCATTTTGGGGTATGGTTTTCTAGGCCCCAACAGCCTCTTTAATAGGCAAACTTACTCTGACATGCCTATAAACCATTTCAATCTAGATCTTTCCAACTTAAATTAATGTATCACCTGCATTTTCCTACAAAACTTTTTGTACTCTTATAAAACTTATCACAATGTTTCAACTTTGTTCTCTGAGGAAAAATGCATGGGTAAGATTCTATCATGACCCTATTATGATTAGGTATTGTGAAATCTCAAGCCACACCCTATTAGTCACCACTCCCCAAAGAGTTCTGGAAGATGCTACAGACAGAAAGGACAATACAAGTGTAAATAAAAATTGCTTCATTAATAGCTTAGCAGACGCCCAGTAATTCTTAACTAGTTATGCCTAACATCAAATAAGAACCCCCTCAATTTTAGAAATGCCATGCTTAGCTCATGCCCATGGGAAGAAAACAACCTCTTAATCTACTTACACAACCAATTCCTTGACTTGAAAGGAAAAGATGTGAGGTGAGCAATCTTCCCCCAGGGCAGACTATACCAAAGGCCGAAAAAGCAATGCAATCATAGAAAACTGGGATGCTTCATTTAAGGAAAAATAAACCTGTCTTCTAAGGCAAAGACCAATGTATACCCTGAGCTTATACTAAGCAGAAAAAGCAACACCTCTTCCCTTAAGAGAGACTTAAGCAGGGGGTGGGAGGATCTGGGCTTGACAGGAAGAGTAGGCAAAATATTTCACTTCTTGACGATGGGACCAGGTGATTCTCTCTGAATTACGTTGAAGAAGCCTGTGCAGTTTCTGTTGGATGAAATTAACTTTGTTGTTCTGCTCACAAGTTAATTTTCCAAGGGATCAATATAGCCGATTCAAGCTGCACATAAAAAAGGACAGATACATCTGGGGTGACTTGCTATGAAACCGTTCCCAATGGTAGCACTATCAGTTAAATGTGGCCACTGATCTAATGAGACTGTCGCTGCAGATGGCATAGATACTAATTGTATTTTTAAAGTGGAGGGAGGTGATGGTAATTTAAGCCCAGATTCTGTCCCTAACAATGAGTTATTCTTCTACTTCCCAAAAATATTTACTACAGTCCAACCCAGATTCTTGGGCCTAGAGTGAATGTATTGTCAAGGGACAATATCTAGGGTATTTATTCCCTTTTGTTTTGTTTGTATTTTTAAAATAAAACTTTATAACTTCATAAACAAAGATCTCTTAGGCCTGTCCCTTCTTTGGAGCTTAAAGACCTATCTAGCATAATTTATGAGCTTATTTCTTTCCCTAAAAAATGAGTGACTGGGGCCGGGCGTGGTGGATCAAGCCTATAATCCCAGAACTTTGAGAGGCTAAGGCTGGCGGATCACAAGGTCAGGAGATCAAGACCATCCTGGCCAACATGGTGAAACCCCGTCTCTACTAAAAATACAAAAATTAGCCGGGTGTGGCAGTGCGTGCCTGTAATCCCAGCTATTCAGGAGGCGGAGGCAGGAGAATTGCTTGGACCTAGGAGGCAGAGGCTGCAGTGAGCCAAGATCGCGCCACTGCACTTCAGCCTGGGCAACAGAGCGAGACTCCATCTTAAAAAAAAAAAAAAAAAAAAAGAGTAACTGCAAGTTTGGTGTCTTATACTTTTTAAAATCAACTCTCTGTGAACCATAGCACCAAACTTAGTACCCTGCTTATATATGTTCCGTAAATTGGTTTGTAGTCCTCTTGTTCACTACCCAAAGAGCTAAAGTTTACTCCCATTCCATTCATATCTATTTCCTCCTATGTATTTTATTATGCATGAATGCTGGAGACGAATCACTCTTGAGTATCTCTCACTGGTAGAAATCTCAAATTTCATTAGTTTTTTTTTTTTTTTTAACATGACTTTCTTCCTATCTTACAGGTCACACACACTGTTCCCTTGACCTCCAGTTAGTCCCCATCCTTCTAAGAATTCAGTGATAAAAAAAAACAGACATTATTTAATAACAATCTGACAGAACTAAAGTAAAAGGCAAAGGTCATTTTCTTATGCTTGAATGACATTTATTTTATGTAATTTTAAACAATTTTACCAAAAGAACATTGCATTGTAACATAATGTAAGTTCTGTAGTAATTTCTTTAGAAAATGGTAGACACATCAAAGAGCCTTCAATCACTAGAGTCCTCTCTGAATAAGTAGTGAACCATGCCTACTTCTGCAGATGATAACAGTGAATAGATTCTTATTTAAGAGCCCACACAGAGTGCCACAGATAGGTTATCCTTTTTGACAAAGAGTGTTTTAAAACAGGTCATTCTTAGAGAGATCTATTCTGGTTATGCTGCTCTAACCTTTGGAAACTTATGAATGAGGTTGGATATCTTTGGAGAATATAAATGTCATGAATCAACCCTATACCAATTGTACATTATAACTTCCAAAATAGATGGTTCCAACTTGTGAAAGAGAATTGCAGAGGTTTAACTTTATAGAATGGGAATTACTCTACCCAACTGTCATCCTAAAATTAATTTATGCCTGCATGGTATTTTATGGTGTATATGTACCACATTTTCTTTATCCAGTCTATCACTGATGGGTGTTTAGGTCAACATCGTGTCCTTTGCAGGGCATGGGTGGATCTGGAGACCATTATCCTTAGCAAATGAACACAGGAAGAGAAAACCAAACACTACATGTTCTTACTTGTAAGCGGAAGCTAAATGATGGACACATGAACACATAGAGGGGAACGACACACACTGGGCCTTTCGGTGGGTGGGTGGGAGAGAGAGAATCAAGAAAAATAACTAATGGGTACTAGGCTTAATACCTGGGTAATAAGATAATCAGTACAGCAAACCCAAATGCCTGGGTAATAAGATAATCAGTACAACAAACCCCCATGACACAAGTTTACCTATGTAACAAACCTGCACTTGTACCCCTGAACTTAAAATAAAAGTCAAAAGAAATTAATTTATATATTCAATGTACACTACTTTAAACATAGAGAAATACACATGTAGAGTTGTGTGGAAGATCACTGAAGAGGATCACAACATTTTAGAGTTAGATAGAACCTTGGAAAACTATCAAAACAATGACTGTTTAGGAGATGAGGAAACACAATTGCAAAGAAGTTAAGTCACATTGGAAATTAGTGGCAAAGCAGCAGCTAGAATTAATGCTTTACAGTCATAGGTTTAATATTTCTTCTTTCATGCCCTATTGCTCTTGTAATCCTTAGGAAGTCTCCCCATATTGTTATAACAGTGAATCCAGGGAGGTATCAAAAATAAAATGAATGCTGTTCATTGTTCCAGTTACAATATACAGTTTAATATCTTGCTTTCTCTAACCCAACAGTGGTCTTATCAGGACCCAGGAGGAAGTCAGGACATTTTATCCTTTCTCCACCTCAGCACCATCTTTGTACCACTAGAAAATAAGGTCTGTCTCTCAAGGTGCTTACATACAGTACAATTATGCTTTCTGGAGTCCTTCTCTCAGTCCAGTTTTCCTTTTTTGGATAAACTAGTTTAAAGTAGCCCTGCTTAAAAAAAAGTCCCTACTTCCCAATAACCTTCTTTAGTCTTCCCCTTACCTTATGGTTTGTCTTCCAGGTCTTATCTCTTTGCATTTTCAAGACAATGGACACTGTTGTTTATTGAATCTGCATAAGAGGAGTAGGGATTGATATATCACTTATGCAAACATATGCCACTGGTGCTGCCTGTAATATAGCAGGGTTTCAAGGATAACATATTTCCATTTCTGCCACTCTGCATATTTCCCTTGGGGCTAGCTGGAAAGCTATGCTGTCTTTCAGTATATGATAGACCTGAATTCTATTTTGGGTGCATAAAAATCAGAAATACTCTCCTGGGATTTGTTTATGTCATTACAGTGCCAAATTCTAAAAGGGAAATGGCATTTGATATCCATCCCTTACAGACATCAGGGGAATTTATTTTTCAGGGGCAAACACTCAGGCTATGGGAAGTGATTATATCCAAATACAAATGTTGTTAAAAAGAAACTTATCCGGTAGATTACATATCAAAACCATTTTCCAGGCTTCTTATTCCTTCTCCAGAAGAAACGTTTTAACAGGGAGTGTGGTCTGTGAGTAACAATGCCTTTTGCAGCTGCCATCTATATACACTTTCTTCCTACCTTGGCCCACAGACTAACCCCATGCCTGATTGGTTTTCATGGTCATTCCATTCAGTGAGGTGATTTGTACAGATAAAATGGAAAATTGAAATGGAACTGGTGCTGGATACAACATCATCCACTTTTTCTATTTTGTCAGAATGCCTTGGCTGCTCATTTTTTCATGGCCATGAGTTGAAATGAATTAAACTTCCCAACGGCAAAATTTCTCTGAGATCAGATCGGAATATATTGATTAGCTCTTTGAGAGCTGATAGATTGGAAGCTCTTGCTTTATAAACACATTTACAAACACGCCTTAAGAAACAGTTGCTTAGCCCTGAGTAGACTGATTGTGTTTATTTAGAACTGCCAGGAAGGGCATACCTGCAACCCCTGATTTTAACCTATCAATTTTTTTGTCCTGGATCAATGGTGACAAGTGAAGTGTTGCTCCCTTTAGTGACTTCTAAGACCAGCTCAAGGCCGGCTTGCCCAATGAGGTGTAAACTAATCCATCAAAGTCTCAGAAACAACTTAGCTTGTCATAGAATACTGGAATATTAGAGCTTGAAGGGGCTTAAGACATCATCTCCTACAGCCTATGAAAAAATTCTGATGGCTTAATATATTCAGCTTACAAAGTAGATGTTTTTAGAGTCAATTTTAGAGTTAGAAAGAATCTTGGCAATTTTCTATTCCAAGGCTTAGAAATTCAAATAACTATGGTTGCCAAATATGGGACCAAAGTAAGGGAAGTGAGTCTGATAGAAAGTGTTGGGAGTGGAGGACACAGACTCGCTCCAAATGAGGAAGGAACTCCCCTATTCCAGGGGACAATTTCAAGGAAGAATGTAGGTCGAGCATTGCTATTTAGACTGATTTCTCAATATAGAACCTAGATATGTGAATATTATGTGACTAATTCCTTTTCTTTAAAAATATGCAAAATAAAATCTCTGTAAAGGAAATGAAATTGATGACTGAATTTAGTCTAAGAACCACCAGAATATGATCTCTTATTTACCCATGATCTCATACTGGTGAGAAAAAATGAGATTCAGAACAATGAATAACATGAATAAATGGCATAGCCAATACAACAACACAGATTTCCACATTACCAGTGGGCTATTTCACATATTACCTTGCCATGGAGAACATCTAGGAATTACAATCTTGTAGTGTACTCCAGGTGCTGAGAAGGAATTGTCAAACTTCAGGCCTAGGAGGTTATGTAACCTAACTCCAAACTTTGCTTCAAATAGCTGAGAGCTCATTTTCTGAATTGGCTTTTCTAAGTTCACACTGAACGTGAGGAAAGTGGAGACTAGCCTGGTCTAATGCTGTTTCATTTCCAGGGAATGGGTTCTTATGTTGAGACTTTCCAGACCTGTATCAAGCCAAGGTATTTAGAATGATGACTACAAAGCCCTGATGATCCTTAGATCTGAAGCAAGATATTTTCAGGTTTGTTCAACTTAGGAAGGCAAGGTATTTGTAACAGAAATACTTGTCACTATTATTAATAGAACAAATGAAACAAATGATACACCTTGGCTTAAGCAAATTGGTACTCTGATTATTTTATTTTATATTACATAATAAACATCTAGAGGTAGGAAGTTGTTGACATTGATTCACCATCTCAACAATATCAGGGCTGTTATCTGTGTGATCACCCTGGTCTTTCTCTCATGGTCATTGATGGGCATTGTAGTTTCTGGTATCACAGAAACATTCAAGGGTAAAAGATGGTGCCCTCCTATCTATCCTTTCCTTTTAATTAGGAAACCAAAAGTTTTCCAAGACATTCTCCTAACAGGTGTCTACCTCCATCTTGTTGACTTTAACTGTGCATATGACCATGCTAGCTGTAAGGGAGGCTGTATTTGCTTCTACTGGAGACTGAAAGTTGACATGAGGTTTGAGAGTGGATGTGAGGTAAATGAAACTGCAGTGGCTTCCACAGAAAGGAACACTGACCATTTAGGAATAGTTAGAATCGGGCTTGAGATATGAAAGTTTTGGGCCTTCACTCCACATTATAACCAGAATGCTCTATGCTGCAAGAATTCTGAGTGAAATAAAGTTTGATTGTATATCTTCCTGATCCTTAAGACTGTGTCCTCTTATGCTATCATGTAACTACTTGCCAGATCATCTTCAGCTCTGCCCTACTGAGCTACTTCCACCCTTCAGTGAAACGTATCCCTTCTAATGGCTTGGAGATGGTTATTGGATTCAGAGAAGAGAGAGTTATGATGCACGTCGGGAACACTAGGGGAAAAGGAGATATGATTCTGCTCAGATTCTGTTAGAGTAGAAAACATGCTGGATATCAAAGGGAAATTTATGTAATGTATTCTAGCATTGTTCGAGGTAGAGTATCATGTTTTATGCAAGCAGAGGCAGTTGGGGCATGCAGTGTGAGAACTCTGCTACATGCACTGAAACAAACGATAAAACAGCGAATGGACAATAGGCAGAAAATAAACCCTGTTTTTTTATGGAAAGCATTCACAATCTCTACTCTAAACCAAGACTTCTTCATCTACCTCAGTAAGAGAGTCTTTTTAAAAGCTTGTAAAAAAACAAAAACAAAAACAAAAAACAAAACAAAACAAAAGAAATTCTATTGTTTTCTTAGATTGATTCTAAGTGAATAAGTACATAGCTCCTTTAAGAATCAAGGCTGTACGATTTAAGCAAACAGAGCAGCCTTTACTAAACAAATGGGAAGCGTACAGGAGGGAGATATAGTGGTGTAACATTTATGTCCTTTAAAAGGAAGTTCAGAGTAACTCAGAAACAACAAAATGAGAGAGAAGCCTCAGAAGACTAGGATTTCCAACTGAAAGTATATGGGATTGAGTGGAGGAAACTAAAAGTGGGAAGGGAAATGTAATTCTTGGAAGGATCAAAGAAGTTGTAAATAGGTGTATTAACACCTATATCTGCCAGAAGGAGCACTAATCTTGGGTTGTTGGGCAAAGCCAAGGATTTGTTGGGAGATCCTTTCTGGAAGATGGTGAACAGCTCTTGGACTGACAGAAGATTTCAGAATTTTGATCTTTGGTTGTTTATGTGTTGTTTTCTTTCACACAAGTGTGGTTTGTACGAACTACTCAAGGTACATGTACTTGGATTTTCAGCCAGATTTTAAGAGAATGCATTAAGGCATCTGCAGTATTTGTTGAGGTAGACATAATCAGATATTAAAATCAATTAAAACTTACATATAACTCATGCAGCATTACTTCTGTGCAAGCATCATGATAACAACTTGCCCTTATGTGAATATGCATCACTGACTTTTTGGTCAATTAGTCCACACACAAATGAAACCAACTAGAAATCAAAGATGCTCTGATTCCATTTGGATCTTACAATAAGTGTTATATTTACATCACTGATTAGAAATATCTGACAAACTAGAAATAGCATTTAATGTGGATCATATGGAACAACACAGATCAATTTTAAAATTAAAGTAGTTGATTAAAATAAAAATATAATCTTAAATATTATACTCATTAAATATTATCTACAAAGGGAAATAATTATGAAAAGAAATTCGAGTACTTAACATTTGGGAGTAACTTACTATGTCCCTACCATTTTTCTAAGTAGTTAAATATATAACTCATTTGATCCTTACAACAACCTTATGTGGTGGATAAAATTATTTGTATATTATAGATGAGGAATGTGAAACACAGAAATTATATATCTTGTTCAAGTTCACATAGACTGTAAATTCTAGAGTTGGCTTTGAAAGCAGACTTCATGACTCCAGACCTTATGTTACTATGCTCTGCTGTAACAAGCAAGGATTTAACATTATTGCATCAGCATATTCCAAAAGACAAATGTAATTCGATTAAAGGAATTAAAATTTATGTGTAACTTTCACATACAGTCTTCCCTGTTCTAAACCCACCTCTGCCAACAAGGAAATATAGGTGAAATTATAAGGAACTTACATGCTGTGAAATGGATTTCAAGTGATTTTAATAATAATAGCTCCTATTAATTGAGTTCCTAGTGTGTAGTAATTATATCTGTAATAATTATATCTCATTTAATCCTCACTATGTATTACCTATTATTTGTCTACATGGCGCACATGAGAAGTCTAACAGAAAAACTAACTCACCCAGAGTCATGTGGTTTATACTTGGTAGATGAGGAATTTTACTTGTATCTACCTGATTCCAAAGCCACTAAGTCTTAACCACAAACTATGTGCTAGACACTGTGTTGAGTACTTTACATGCATTGCTAGATTAACACTCTGAATCACCTTATGAAACAAACATAAGTCCTCATTTAACAGATAAACATTTTGAGACATTAAGTGAAGGAAAGGAAAAACAAGTCTTAGAGAAGCCCTGTAAATCTATTAAGCTAGGAGAAAAACTTAGCTTTTATACTTAACTGTGCTAATTATGATTTCCTCTCTTTTCTAATGAAGAATATTTCTAAATTTATAAGTAATATTAAAATATAAAATAAGAAACAAAATGCTAATGTGCTTTCATTTAACTTTTCAATTAAGAAAATATGTTTGGAACCTTCATCCTATGATCCTTTCCTAGCTTTACTGAAGAAAAGAAGTGTTACTAATTTTACTAAAATATCGGAGAATTTTAGTAACCTATAGTTAATAATGGAGGGTTATCCTGAACCTATTCAAGTCAAATGTTTTTCGACTTTTTGTTTTCTCAGCCCTGAGCAGAAACTTCCTTTTTGGACTCACCCTGGGCAGGCCTACTCTTGCTGTGACTGTAACGGGGTCAGGAAGTTAGAATTCAATGAAGAGAATGCAAAAAGCCTCACCTGAGCCTTGGGCCTGGGTTGCATTTTCCAAGTATCTTTGGGACTCTTCAATAGAAGTAGAGATTACTTATTCAGCCACTAACAAGGCATTTTCATTATCATTCTGCTTTGTTTCTTACATATATTTCTCAGATCAGAATCCCACTGAGAGGGGTTCCTTTCATCATAATGATGTGAAATCTCCACTAATAACTTTAAAAGTGCGTATTAAGAAAAGGCATTATTACGTTGTCTATATGTCCAACGAATTTATCAATAGTGTTTAACGTTGCATCACAGGGTCCCCTTCAGGCAGCTTCAAGGAAGAGACTAGGGTTCCTATGAAGAAACAGGAACATTTTATATGCTTGCAACCTTCAAGCTGGAGTGGTTTGAAAGAATGAAAATCTTTTCAAACCTTTTTGTTTGCTTGTTTCTTTGTAAACTCCAATTGGTTTAAGTGTCTAATCTTTATAGAAGGAGATGAGCCATCTCATGAAGGGATGAATTAAGACTCTAAAATTTCTGCAAAGGAGCTGCAAGAACAAGGGAGGTAGCTGGATCCTGGATGTTAGGAAACTTGCCCTGCTGTGTTAATGATCTGAAAATGGGACAAACACCTGCTTTACAGGAGCATCTTAGCAGGTGCAGCAATCTTTCCTGGAGTGAAGGTAACAAGGAAGTCCCTTTATGGGGCCAAGTATGACTCATCATAATCTGTGACAAAGAGTTGGCTTACCCTGACTCCCTCTTGCTAGCCTCCATATACTAATTCTCTCTATTTTCTCCATTTTTTTTTTTTTTGGCACATCAAACAGTTTGAAAGTTGCTTACATTTCTCTTGACCAAACAATACTTCTCCCTTAATCTAGCTGGAAATAGTCTTAAAAATCTCCACATTTCACACTTCATTGGAGAAGTGTTTATAGCCCATCTTAAAACCCAAACAGACTCCCAAGTGGAAAACTTATGAAACCATCATTATTCATTCACACCTTGGTGTGAATTAGCTCATCAGAGCCATTACCTGGCAACACTGGGAGAGCTTGGTGATTTATGATCTGAGATGAAGGAGAACTTGGTATTGATTAATGGTAATGGCCTGGAGAATGCAAGAATGTCGAGAAGGGCATTGGCCCCCTCAAAGGGCAAGGGCAAAGCCAAGGGAAGATTTCATAGCAGAGGCTAAGAAACGCTCGGAAGCCAATCTATCTGGATATGCATTTTGCTTTCACTGTTTATCCTATGTGATCACTGTATGTGATGAAGTTATTGTTACTGCTGTTGTCTGGTCATTCACATTGTTATTTTAATATTATGTGAGCAATCCCCTAAATAAAAAGATGCAATTCGCATAGTTCAAGAAACGTGAGTAAGCTTTTTGAATAAAGATGTTTTAAATGCCAAGGCAGTAGTGTTTAGGAAAAATGATCAGACTTTGATTTAGTGACTGTAATCAAGATATCAAATTTTGGAATCAACTGTTTTATCTGTAATTTGGAGCTGGTGATTCCTACCCCAAAAGTGTAGTGTTGAAGATTTAATGTGATAATTCATGTGAAAATTCATATGAAACTAAAAAGATTATATGTGTATGCTATTAAATAATTTTATAGAAAAAACACTGAAAAGAATCTATTGACACGTATTCAAGCTGTTGAGGCTTAGTTGTTAATCATATTTGAGTAAAACTTCACAAACAGAAATACTTTACAATTCTCTCTCATCCTCACCTCTATTCATTTTTAAGATGCTGGCAGGCATCATGAGACAGAACAGCTTAAGTTGCCTCTGTAACTGCCTTTCCTCTTGTTCTTCCAGTTGGTCCAGCTAATTGTTTTCGGATGAGCCGCTAAACTTTCATATATTTTGTGCCCGTTATGTTCATGTTAGAGACCAGACTTCCCTCTGAGACTTAGGATTTTCAATTTTTGTCTCAAGGAAGTCTAAAATTGTGAAAAAAAAAAAAAGAGTCCTAAGTCATAGCTTCTTTTGGCTGTTATAAAGTACATAATATGCCAGGAAAAAAAAAATAGTAAAAAAACTCTCTTCCTGTTAACTCTGGAAAGAAAAAGGACTCTGATTTACATGAACCTGGGTCAAAAATTTGCACCTTTGAGATGTGCTTGAGAAGTAAAATCACTATCTTCTGTGGAGAAAATTGATTTCAGGAAAACAATACTATTCAGTTAATGCAATCCACTTTGTTTTGACTTTTTCAAAGTTATCTTGTAATTCTTAGGAGATTCTAGCGCAAGCATTCTATCTTAGTCTGTTCATACTGATGTAACAAAAATAGCATAAACTGAGTGGCTTAAATTCTGTGGCTTATAAACCACAGAATTTAATTCCGTACAATTCTGAAGGCTGGAAATTCCAAGTTTAAGGCCCCAGCAGGTCCCATTTCCTGGTTCATAAACAGACCCTCCTTGCTGTGCCCTCACAATAGCAGAAAGGCAAAGGGTCTCTTAGGCCTCTTCTTAAAGAACACTAATATAATTTATAAAGGCTCTTCCCCCATTACCTAATCACTCCCCCAAAACCCCACTTTCTAATACTATCATCTTGGAATTAAGATTTCAGCATATAAATTTTATGTGGGACACAAGCATTCAAACTATAGCAGGTTCAAAACAAGGAGTTCATTTATCAGAATGTGAAAAATCATGTTTATATTTTTTATCACAGCCAGAATATGAATACTAACATTCTGACTCCATAGTCATTTGTTCTTAATAATTATTTCATTGGCTGAGGAACAAGGACAGGAGAGAGATGGAAGGGTGGGAAGTATAATTTTAGATATATAAAATAGCCCAGGTAGAATGAAAGTTGTAGTTTGGGGGGAGAGTGAAGAAGGTTTTCTTTTAGAGGTAGAATAGATCGTTTTGGGTGGTGTGAAATGTGTGAGCTACGTTCTTGGGTATAAGAGACTAGTTTGTGGCAGATTAATCCTTCTTCCAATAATAATTTTAAAATGTGAAACTAATAATAAAATAATAACAATAACAAAAATATCTATTTTTAAGGCATTGGGTAGGTATCATGAAAACTAGAATTTATGGAACAAAAGCTTAGGAAGAAGGGAAACACATTGAAAAATATTCTTAGCTGCTTTGTCCATCATGTCATTTTCTGATTAACACAATATTGCCAGAATTGGGGAAACTGTGCAGTTAGTGGCTACTAATAGACAGAAAAAAAATGAGTCCCAAATTGTGGTACTCCTACACAGCTGGGAAAACAAAAGTCTTTGTTAAGTGCTACCAAAAAGCTTGACCTTGAGGGGATAAAATTCCAGAGAGTAAGGAAATGCAGAGAAGTAAATCTAAAAATGAAAGAGACAAAAATGGTCATAAAGCCAATGAAACAATAGAACACAAATAGGAAGATGATAGATATAAGCACAGTATTTTAGTAATTATATTAAATGTAAGTGTAATAATACTATAAATACAAGAAAAAAACTGTTAGAATCAACTAAAAATATACATGCTGCTTATAAGAGAAAATAAGAAATTGGACACAAAACTTGAAAATAATGGGATACTATATATACATATATATATGATACAAATACTAATTAAATAAGGCTATGTAACTATTCTAACACCTAAAGAGCAGATTAAAATTAGAATAGACAAATTTATATTCTTAGTGAACAATTTTAACATATCTCTCTTGATAAATAATAGAATCAGCACACAGCGTAAAAACTAGTGAGGATTCAGAAGATAGGAAGAACTAAATTAGCAAATGATATCAAGTTCATAAAGAAGAATGTAGGACTGAACAATTACAGAATGTATATTCTTGTCAAGAGTACAAGAAACATCTATCAAAATTAATCATATGTGAGACAATAAAGCAAATCTCAAAAAGTTTCAAAGAATTAAAGTCATACAGAGTGTATTTCTTTTTTTGCCCACAGTGGAATTAACTTACAAATTAATAATAAAAAAGGTAACTAAAAATGCCTAAAGGTTTGGAAATTAAGCAGTGTACTTATTAAAAACTTAAAGTCAGGGAAAACTTCTAACAGAAATTAAATTCGACAAATCTATTTCCCACCCACATGGTAGGATATGTGTCCACGTATTGAAATAAATAAATACTGGCTGGGTTTTGCTGTTCATGCTTTTAATCCCTACATTTTGAGAGGCCAAGGCGGGAAGATCACTTGAGCCCAGGATCTTGAGACCAGTCTGAGCAACACAGGGAGACCTGCATCTCTACCAAAAACAAAAACAAAAACAAAATTAGCCAGATGTGGTGGTGTATGCCTGTTGTCCCATCTACTCAGGGAGTGGAGGTAGCAGGCTCCCTGGGAGCCGGGAGTTACAGGCTACAGTGACTGTTGATTGTACCACTGCACTCCAGCCTGGACGAAAGAGTGAGAACCTGTCTCTAAATAAATAAATAAATAAATAAATGAAAGAGGCCGGGCGTGGTGGCTCACGCTTGTAATACCAGCACTTTGGGAGGCCGAGGAGGGTGGATTGATTGAGGTCATGAGTTGAAGACCAGCCTGGCCAACATGGTGAAACCCCGTCTCTACTAAAAATACAAAAATTAACCGGGCGTGGTGGCAAGTGTCTGTAATCTCAGCTACTCAGGAGGCTGAGGCAGGAGAATCACTTGAACCCGGGAGTCAGAGGTTGCAGTAAGCCAAGATTGCGCCATTGAACTCCAGCCTGGATGACAGAGACAGACTCCATCTCAAAAGAAAAAAAAAGAAAAAAAAAAGAGAGAGGAAAGAAAAGAAAAATTGGAAAAATATTTGTTCTCTACAAGTCAAATTACACGTTTAATGCCCTTCTCATCAAAACAACAGGAACTTTTTTTTTAACAAATGGATAAGTAGATTTTAAAATTTATATGAAAACACAAAAGTTAAAAAATATCTGCATAAGTCTTGAAGGAAAATGAACAAAATTGAAGAACATGGGCTACCTACCGTATGTCAATCCTAGCATGTCATTAAATATTATATTCACTATTATATGGTATTTGAACAAAAATAGAGCAATAGGAAACAAAAAAAGAGTGACTCCAGAATCAGACCCACACATAATTATTTAAGACCAATTAATTCCATCAGTGCAATGGTGAAAAGTGTTCTTTTCAATATATTTAGCTGAGTCAGTTGGATCTTCTTGGTGGAGAAAAGAGAAGAAACCTTCACTCTGACTTCAAAATGTTAAAAAGTAATCACTTTCAGGTGGATTATAGATATAAATATAAAAAATAGAGCAAAAGGAATTTCTACAACATGAAATAAAAACATATCTTCATAAACTTGGAATAAGGAAAGATATTTTCATTGGACACAAAAGGCACCACAAATTTAAAAGGTAAATTATACTATATTAAAATTAAAAACATGTTTTCATCAAAAGGTACCATTACAAGAATGAAAACACAACCACTAAGTGGTAGAAGACTTTGTAGTGCATCTATTTGAAAACAAAACAAAACAAAACAAACAAACAAAAAAAAAACTTTTAACCAACATAAAATTTTAAAAAGTTAAAGGAAGAAAACCAAGTAACAAAGTGGTCAAGGGACTTGGAGATACATTTTGCCAGGCAGGATATCTAAATGCATGGTAAGCATACACAAATGTGCTGAATCTCCTTAGTCCTTAGGAAACACAAATAAAATCTGCATCCACCAAGTTTGTTAAATGATAAAGACACAATGCTAAATGTTGGAGAGGATGTGGAGCAAATGGAATTCTTATACATTGCTATTAGAAATACATGTTTGGCAGATCAATAAAGCCAAATCTATGCATAATGTATGCAATACCATTCTATTCTTGAATATATTATTAACAAAAATGGGTAAAAACATTTACTCACAGACATGTACATGAATGTTTTCAGCAACATTGTTTATAAAAACCCCAAACTGGAAACAACCCAAAGGCCCATAGTGGAATAGACAAATCGTGATATATTTATGTGAAGGAATTCTATACAACAAAGATAATGAACAATTTTATGCAACAAAGTGGGTAGATATCACCATATAACTTGGGGTAAGAAAACCCAGACACAGATGATAAAATACTATATAATTCCATTAAACAGTATTTCAAAAATAGGCAAAACTAATCTGTGGTAACAGAAGTAGAGGCAGTATGCATCTTGGTGGTGGATGTTGGCTGGGAAGAACCACAAAGGGGTTTCTGAGATGTTGGAAATATTCTACGTCTTGGTCTAATTGGCAGTTATTGAACTGCAATTGTGAAAATTTATTGAGCTTTTTATCCATGACTTGTATATTTTTTATATGTCTGCTTATATCAATACAAATATTTGCTTAAAACATCTATGCAATAATGTGCAAAATGTTTATAGACAGCCAACAGAAAGCATGATTGAGAGAAGCAATAATCTGTTACTAGCTAGACAAATGTGTCAGCCATTTTCCCATATCTTTTACCTCCATTTCCATAGAGGTGAAAAAATTAAAGATAACCAGTCAATGTTTTGATCTGGGATCCTATAACTCAGGGGGCCCTTGGGTTCCTATTGAATCTTATCTCACTCCATGTCTTAACTTATCTAAATTTTTAAAAATTATTATGTACACCTAATACCATTTGCTTAGCCCAAAGGATAAATTTAATTAATATTTATTGGAACTATGGTTGATTCATAAGCTCAGGTTCTAGTTAATGCATAGATTAGACAGTGTACAGTATCAATATATTTTTCCAAGTTGTTCCAGCTTTGTCTCAATTCTTAATTTGCCTGCTGCTTTCCCTGATTCTTCATCTATTGATTGTTAAGACATCAGGGCCAAAAAAAAAAAAAAAAAAGCAAAAGTGATTGAGATTGAAACATTCTAAATGTGGGCTCTCAGTGGATATCTCCTTTGTAATCTGGACTTCACTCCACAATTCACATACCAGTTCAGGTTCCGGGGCATATAGACATATCTCCAAGATCTACCGTGCCCAGATTTTTACTCATCTATCAGGTTTCAACTTAAAGTCATTTTTTTTCCTCTGGGAAATTTTTTCCCCTAGATTAAGTCTTCTAATTTACACTTAAAAAAAAAAAAAAGAAAGCTTACTTCTATTGCGGGATCTGGCCAGCAGCCCACAACGCAATGGGGCTCACTCTTTTTTCCCAGGTGGATCAGCAGGTTGAGAAATAATAGACACACACAAGATAGTGAAAGCTGGGTCCGGGGGGGTCACTGCCTTCTGGTCCTGCAATGCCGCCAATGCACTGGATATACCAGCATTTATTATTAAGTTTAGTGAGGGTTGGGGTAGGTTAGTGAGGGATTTAGGGTCATTTGACTATGAGGTGAGATGGTCACACGGGGATGAAGTAATTCTTTAACATAACACCTGTATGCAGAAGTACAGTATGCAGAGATAAGAATTTACAATATAGTGTGTGCATAAGTAATTTCTAACAGAGCCTTAAAACAGAAACACCGTCTATCCATAACCTATGATTAGCAAGATATTAATCAGCAGTAACAGTTGCAGCGAAAGCTGGTTACAAACAATCCATAGAAACAGGACGTGAAGCTAGACAACTGGTTAGACCAGAAATTCTCAGAAGGGAGTATGCCTTAACTTTAAAGAGGCCCAGAAGAGCCGTGGCAAGTTGAGGGCGTTTATAGCCCTATCTTATCCATATGAACAGGCGCCCCTCATGAGTCCATTTATAGGCTCTCCACAAGGGTTGCATTCCATTTCCAGAGCTATGAACATCTGCTTTTCTGGGATAGGAATCTTGGTGATGTGAAACCTCCCTGACTGCACGTCCATTCATAGGCTCTCTGCAGGGGGAAGCACATCACGTGCTGTTGGCTCATTCTGGCAGTCCAACCTGGCATTGTCTTTATACAGTCCTGCATGCAATTTTGTATTTACAATAATCAGGAGCATTTCATCTTTTATTCCGTAGCAATAATTTCAGGGGGTCTCCCTGCAACTTCGCCTACATAGTGCTTACTACAACTGTTATTACATATTTAATTGTGCATTTGTTTATTATCTGTATTTCCTGCTAGACCAGAAAATCAATGACAGCAGAGCCCTGTCTGGTTTATTATTAAATTTTTAGTACCCAGGCAATTGCCTGTCATTTGTTGAAAAACATATTCAATGAATGTGAGACTGAAGGAATAAACGAACTCACTTGACTTGTGGATTCTTGGATGTCTTGTCTTATATGCCTCATTGGATACTTAATACATGACATTTCAGAATTTGGAATGAGTCTTTGGGCTTCTTTACTGCTATTCTACTGACCCACTTAGATGCACTTTCTAAACTTAAACAGAAAAATCTGTTTTCTAAAGATTGAGCCACTGTCCCCAAGTTAGTAGCATTTTCAACTTCTAAGTCATGATTTCTAAAACTAGTCACTAGTAACATTTTGGGCCAAATAAGTCTCTGTCATGGAAAGCTTGTCATGAATTCTGCAAAATATTTAGTAGCATCCCAGCTCTATCTGCTGAGAGTCAGTTATGCAGCATCCCTATCTCTCTCCAGTTGTGCCAACCCAAAATGTCCATGGGGGTCAACCCAAATGTCTCATGAGGGCCAAAATTGCCCCTGGTTGAGAATTACTGCTGCAAGGCGAGTTCCAGCTTTAAACAATAACATAAAAACAAGCTTTCATCTCAATCCTGAAATCTTTGATTTATATATGCAGATGCAGCTGAGAAGGTCTGATCAGGTTGCATTGTTTCCTCTTGGTTGGATTTCTCTGGCTGGCTAAAGTGACCCATCTCTGGCTTCGTAACAGTTTTTTAATTGGGAAGAAACTGCTGTTTGAGGGCCTGATGTGTGCTCCAGAGAGTTTGGGATTGTTGGGTATTATGCGGAGTGTTCTGTTTTCCTGAAATGCCTGTATTAAAAAAAATTTCTAAATACTAGGATAATCCTTTATCCAACCCCCACATTGACACTCTGTTTGATGCATCCCTTAAAAGGCTTAACAGTCTCCCCAGGCTAGTAAGCTGTAGGAAGTAGGAAAATAACCAAGAGACTTAAGTCTTTTATTTCACTTTATCTTTATTTTTTTTGACCCAAACTGCTTCTGTGTGAGTATGAATACCTATACAACAAAGGAAAGTAACATTAGGAGACAAAAGGAAATTTCCATTTTCAGGAATTATCACAATGTAAAAAAGCTTGAATTGCCATGGAAACAGCCTAGTCACATCACATTGAGTGGTTATTTTTCCAAAGGAGTCCTTGAGACATCTTTTGTTTCATTGAAATTGGGTGGAGATGGGTCAAGTGAGTCAGAGAAGTGGGGGATGAGAGAATTTTTTTTTATCACTGCCATTCAGAGAGCTGGCATCTGCTGAGGGGGATATATTCAGTTGCTTTTTCCTAAAGATCTTTTTACCCCAGAATGATTTGAATGAGTGTCTTCCAGGGTAGAGTGGTAAACAGGGAAAAATGCAGAATTTCATTGAAAATGAAGATATTTTGCTTAAGGGACATCACTGTAGTCATCTGAGGGAATCAGAGAGAAGCTGAAGATCTGAAGACAGATGCATCCTGAGCTGCCTCTGATTCAGGCCTGCACACCCACCCACAAGAAGTCTGGAGCCCATTCTCGTGGCTACAACTTAAGTTTAGGTCAACATCAATTCTTTGGATCACTGCAAAGAGACTCCCGATTTATGTTACCATCATCCAGATTCACCTCTCCTTAATTATTTCTTTAATGAAGTCAAAGTGGTCTTTTAAAAATGTAACTCTGATCACACCACTGCTTAAATTAAAATTACTAATAGATTGCCTTTTGAAAGTGAAGATATTTTGCTTAAGAGACATCACTGTAGTCATCTGAGGGAATCAGAGAGAAGCTGAAGATCTGAGGACAGATGCTTCCTGAGCTGTGCTCAGGATCCGTGAGTTCTGATCCAGCTCACAATCCGCCTCCTGCTAACATGTTCTGGTTTGGCTTCATCTTTGTTCCCCTCATTTTCTAAATTCCAGCATGATCAAATTTTCTTTACTTTTCTCTCACCTTTACCCTATGTTCATTTCTTCATTCTCCCAGACTAAAAAGACCTTATGAGTTTCTGGCCCCTCTACCCTATACTCCTTGATTCTTCTTTAATGTCCATTCTGGGCTGTTACCTACTCAAGTGCTACCTCTTTCCAAACCCTGTTGTCCATGCATCAAATGCAAAATTAAATGAGGACATCTTTTATGCTTTCTCCAGGAACTTCTCCCATATTATATTAAATTCATATGTCTACTTTTTCATCATCTGTACTGAGAGCTCATTGCAGGTAGAAGCTATGTTGTATCTATCTCTTTGTCTTCAGTTTCTACTGTCAAAGTACCAAATTGATGCTCAGTAATTTATTGTTGAATGAATAAATGAATGACTTAATAAGACACCAGGTATTAAGGGGTCCCTGGAGAACCTCTGACCAGCCTGTGCTCTGGGAGAAAAGAGCAGAGCCACAGGAGTTTGTGTCATTTGCAGAGGGGAGGATCCTGGCCTCTTGAGTTCCTGTGTGGTGGGGCAGGAGCTGGTTAACAGGCTTCCCTCTCACTCTGCTGAAAGTTTTTCTCTTTTTTCTTTTTTGCCCAGTAAATTCCATTTCCCCTCACCCTTTAAAGCATCTATGAGCCTAATCTTTCCTGGTCATGTGACAATAACCCAGATTTTCCTGCAACATTAATACAGAAATATATGAATAAGTGAATGAATTCATGAATTATTAAATAACATCCAACATTCTATTCCATTCATAAACAAAGTCCTATATTCTTTCACCTTACTACTACTGTGCTACTTATGTACTCTATTTTTGAATTTAAACATTTCTTGACACTTAGCCTATCTTCCTTCATGATTTTCCTCCATGCTTCCTCCCTCTTTCCCTGACTTCTTTCTTCTCTCCCTTTTCTCTCTTCTCCTTCACTCTATCTGTTCCTTTCTTCCTCTTTTACGTTCTTGCTTCCTTTCCCCATTATTCATTCAACACATGTTAATTGAAAGTCTATCATGTGCTAGACACTATACAAAGCTCTGAAGAAATGGACATACAACTTTAGTTCTAGTGGAGAGGCAGACATAAATACACAATGATGAACAGTGATGCATATGCTAAAAGGATAGAAAGAAATACTCTGTTAGAGAATGAAGAGGTGGAGGCTATTTTATTTTATATAATCAAGAAAGGCTTTCCTGAGTATATAGAAGACATTCAAATTGGCCCTGAAACATGAGAAGTTTCTATGCATATGGTGGGTGGGTGCAAAATTATTTCAGACAGAGGAAACAGTGCGTGCACAGATCTCACTCAGAAGAAAGAGCCACTGTATCACAGGGAGGAATGGGGGAATGAATGGCTGGAAATAAAGTTGGAGAGACGGGCAGAGACCTGAAAATTCAGTTTGTTGTACTTTTCTCCTAAGATGTGTGGAGTTTTTATCATATAAAGAAAAGCTATTTTTGATAAATACTTTTAATTTCCTACCTAAGTGGCATTCCTTCTGCTCCCCCTTTTCTTTGTTTTAATTGTTATTGTTATTAGAATCCTGCTTTATTCAGAATTCCAACCCTCAGGAAGATTTTTTTCAGCTCTAGAGCAAACTTGGTTAATCTAAATTAGTAATGTATTAAAACATGTTTAGCTAACTTTTCAGAGGGTATGAAAGCCTAATTTGTAGCACTTTCCAGTTTTTGTGGTGTAAATACTTCCATGGTGGTCATTTTCAGGCAAGTGACATCAATTGGTTAGCAAAATTCCTGAAAACTTAGCAATGTGTTCTCATGAGCCAGCATAACCGGGCCCTAGCATGCCACTGGAAACCAATTATAATCATCCCACTGCCCCTGAAAGTGATTCATGTAGAAACAGGCATGTGAACGCTTCTAGCCAGTTAACTGTGATGAGATGTGAGGAAGAGCTGAGAAAGGTTTTCTTAGTCATAGAAAGAAGCTCATAGGAAAGACAGATCTTTCTCCCTCCATGGGACAAGCTCATATTATTACATGACACATGGAGCCACGTTAGCCCTAACTTTCACTCCTACTCCATCAGTCTCAAGCAAGCCTGGATTTCGGTGACCAATTTAGGCATGAACTACTTTGGCTTATTATTCCAGAAGGCTCTCTCCAGTGCCTAGTGAGTGAGTATGAGAACACATTCTAGAGATATGGAGGAGACATTAACTTATGCAACCTCTTATTTCATATGGGAAAAAGGTGATTGAGATGAGGAAACAACATGATTTGTCAAGCATCACATAGCTCTTTAATGGCATAGGTGTCTATAGGACCCATTTCTTTAATTTTATTATTACTGTTTTAATTTATAATTTGTTATCTATGATTAATGTTTATTACTACTATTTTATCCATTGTTCTACACTGAAAAGACATATAGGTGAATATACGATGTCAGAGACAAGACAGGAGGGAGGATGCATGGGAAGGCTGGAAGGTTACCTATTGGACACTATGCTCACTACCTTGTTTACAAGATCATTTGTACACCAAGCCAAAGTGACATGAAATTTACCCATGTAACAAACCTACATATGTACCCCCGAACCTAAAACAAACATACAAAAAAAAAAAAAAAAAAAGAGAGAAGACATCAGAGATAACAAGTAGAGAACCATTTTGATTTGATTCTGTATTGAGGATTCTCTAGTGTTTTCACTGGTCAGAGCCTAAACTCAAAACAAAATATAATAGAACCATTTAAATATTGTAGGGCACTCATTATATTAATCAAAGCAGCATAGAATGTTCAATTTTACTGAACCATCACAGCATTAATTTTTATAATCAACATTTATATTTTTATTATTGGGTAATATACACAGAGAAAAATGCACATTGCAATTGTACAGCTCAATAAATTTTTACCAAATGTACACTTATCTATAAAACTACCAGCCAGAGTATGAAATAGAACATTTCCGTCATTCCAAAAACCCTCTGATGCCCCCTACTCTGTCACTTAACCACACCACAAAAGTAACTGCTTTATTGACTTGTAACTTTATAGATTATTTCATCTTTTTGAAAAGTTAACACATTTTATCATATATAATGTATTGTGTTATGTCTGGGTATTCCTACTCGATATTATATTTGTGACCTTATGTTGTTGCATGTAGCAATAGTTGTTTTGTTTTGGTTTTCCTTATGGTTGAATAGTAGTTCTTTCCATGCAAATATCACAAGCTGTCTGTCTATTCCACTTTTGATGGACATTTGAGTTGTTTTCAGCTTGTAGCTGTAAAGAAAATTACTGCATGAATATCTTTATACTTCTCTTTCTTTGAGCATACACGGGCATACCTCATTTTATTATGCTTTGCTTTTTTGTGTTTCATAGACATTGTATTTTTTTCAGGTATGCAAAATATAATTTTCTTTTTTTTTAATTTTATTATTATTGTACTTTAAGTTTTAGGGTACATGTGCACAACGTGCAGGTTTGTTACATATGTATACATGTGCCATGCTGGTGTGCTGCACCCACTAACTCATCATCTAGCATTAGGTATATCTCCCAATGCTATCCCTCCCCCCTCCCCCCACCCCACAACAGTCCCCAGTGTGTGATGTTCCCCTTCCTGTGTCCATGTGTTCTCATTGTTCAGTTCCCACCTGTAAGTGAGAACATGCGATGTTTGGTTTTTTGTCCTTGCGATAGTTTGCTGAGAATGATGGTTTCCAGTTTCATCCATGTCCCTACAAAGGACATGAACTCATCATTTTTTATGGCTGCATAGTATTCCATGGTGTATATGTGCCACGTTTTCTTAATCCAGTCTATTGTTGTTGGACATTTAGGTTGGTTCCAAGTCTTTGCTGTTGTGAATAGTGCCGCAGTAAACATATGTGTGCATGTGTCTTTATAGCAGCATGATTTATAATCCTTTGGGTATATACCCAGTAATGGGATGGCTGGGTCAAATGGTATTTCTAGTTCTAGATCCCTGAGGAATCACCACACTGACTTCCACAATGGTTGAACTAGTTTACAGTCCCACCAACAGTGTAAAAGTGTTCCTATTTCTCTACATCCTCTCCAGCACCTGTTGTTTCCTGACTTTTTAATGATCGCCGTTCTAACTGGTGTGAGATGGTATCTCATTGTAGTTTTGATTTGCATTTCTCTGATGGCCAGTGATGATGAGCATTTTTTCATGTGTCTTTTGGCTGCATAAATGTCTTCTTTTGAGAAGTGTCTGTTCATATCCGTCGCCCACTCATTGATGGGGTTGTTTGTTTTTTTCTTGTAAATTTGTTGGAGTTCATTGTAGATTCTGGATATTAGCCCTTTGTCAGATGAGTAGGTTGCAAAAATTTTCTCCCATTCTGTAGGTTGCCTGTTCACTCTGATGGTAGTTTCTTTTGCTGTGCAGAAGCTCTTTAGTTTAATTAGATCCCATTTGTCAATTTTGGCTTTTGTTGCCATTGCTTTTGGTGTTTTAGACATGAAGTCCTTGCCCATGCCTATGTCCTGAATGGTAATGACTAGGTTTTCTTCTAGGGTTTTTATGGTTTTAGGTCTAACATTTAAGCCTTTAATCCATCTTGAATTAATTTTTGTATAAGGTGTAAGGAAGTGATCCAGTTTCAGCTTTCTACATATGGCTAGCCAGTTTTCCCAACACCATTTCTTAAATAGGGAATCCTTTCCCCATTTCTTGTTTTTGTCAGGTTTATCAAAGATCAGATAGTTGTAGATATGCGGCATTATTTCTGAGGGCTCTGTTCTGTTCCATTGGTCTATATCTCTGTTTTGGTACCAGAGTACCATGCTGTTTTGGTTACTATATCCTTGTAGTACAGTTTGAAGTCAGGTAGCATGATGCCTCCAGCTTTGTTCTTTTGGCTTAAGATTGACTTGGCAATGCGGGCCGTTTTTTGGTTCCATATGAACTTTAAAGTAGTTTTTTCCAACTCTGTGAAGAAAGTCATTGGTAGCTCGATGGGGATGGCATTGAATCTACAAATTACCTTGGGCACTATGGCCATTTTCATGATATTGATTCTTCCTACCCATGAGCATGGAATGTTCTTCCATTTGTTTGTATCCTCTTTTATTTCATTGAGCAGTGGTTTGTAGTTCTCCTTGAAGAGGTCCTTCACATCCCTTGTAAGTTGGATTCCTAGGTATTTTATTCTCTTTGAAGCAATTGTGAATGGGAGTTCACTCATGATTTGGTTCTCTGTTTGTCTGTTATTGGTGTATAAGAATGCTCGTGATTTTTGCACATTGATTTTGTATCCTGCAACTTTGCTGAAGTTGCTTATCAGCTTGAGATTTTGGGCTGAGACAATGGGGTTTTCTAGATATACAATCATGTCATCTGCAAACAGGGACAATTTGACTTCCTCTTTTCCTAATTGAATACCCTTTATTTCCTTCTCCTGCCTGATTGCCCTGGCCAGAACTTCCAACACTATGTTGAATAGGAGTGGTGAGAGAGGGCATCCCTGTCTTGTGCCCGTTTTTAAAGGGAATGCTTCCAGTTTTTGCCCATTCAGTATGATATTGGCTGTGGGTTTGTCATAAATAGCTCTTATTATTTTGAGATACGTCCCATCAATACCTAATTTATTGAGAGTTTTTAGCATGAAGTGTTGTTGAATTTTGTCAAAGGCCTTTCCTGCATCTATTGAGATAATCATGTGGTTTTTGTCTTTGGTTCTGTTTATATGCTGGATTACATTTATTGATTTGCGTATGTTGAGCCAACCTTGCATCCCAGGGATGAAGCCCACTTGATCATGGTGGATAAGCTTTTTGATGTGCTGCTGGATTCAGTTTGCCAGCATTTTATTGAGGATTTTTGCATCAATGTTCATCAAGGATATTGGTCTAAAATTCTCTTTTTTTGGTTGTGTCTCTGCCAGGCTTTGGTATCAGGATGATGCTGGCCTCATAAAATGAGTTAGGGAGGATTCCCTCTTTTTCTATTGATTGGAATCCTTTCAGAAGGAATGGTACCAGCTCCTCTTTGTACCTCTGGTAGAATTCGGCTGTGAATCCATCTGGTTCTGGACTTTTTTTGGTTGGTAAGACACTGTATTCTTTACAAATTGAAGGTTTGTAGCAACCCTGTGTGGAGCAAGTCTATCGGTGTCATTTTTCCAACATGATGTGCTCACCTCGGTCTCTGCGTCACATTTTGGTGATTTTTACAACATTTTACATTTGTTTATGTTTACTATATCTGTTGGTAAACTGTGATCAATGATCTTTAATGTTACTATTGTAATTGTTTTGGGATGCTATGAACCGTATTCATGTGATGGTTAGTACTGAGTGTCAACTTGATTCCATTGAAGGATGCAAATTATTGTTTCTGGGTGTGTCTGTGAGGGTGTTGCCGAAGGAGATTAACATTTGAGACAGTGGACTGGGAGAGGCAGACCCACCCTCAATCTGAGTGGTTAATATCTAATTAGCCACTAGCACGGCTAGAATAAAGCAGTCAGAACAAGTTGGAAGGAGCTGACTTGCTAAGTCTTCTGGCCTTCATCTTTCTCCTGTGCTGGATGCTTCCTGCCCTTGAGTTTCAGACTCCATGTTCTTCAGCTTTTGAACTCTTGGACTTACACTAGTGATTTGCCAGGGCCTCTTAGGCCTTTGGCCACAGACTGAAGGCTGCACTGTTGGCTTCCCCACTTTTGAAGTTTTGGGATCAAACTGGCTTCCTTGCTTCTCAGCTTGCAGATGAGCTACTGTGGGACTTCGCTTTGTGATTGTGTGAGTCAATTCTCCTAATAAATTCCCCTTCATGTATACATTTATCTTATTAATGCTGTCCCTTTACAGAACCTTAATTAATACCAATGGTAAACTTATTTGATAAATATTTTGTGTGCTCTGACTGCTCCATGGACCAGCCATTCCCCCATGTCTCTCCCTCTCCTCAGGTTTCCTTATTCCACAAGACACAACAGTAGTAATATTAGGCCAATTAATAACCCTACAATAGCCTCTAAATGTTTAAGGGTAAGAAAGAGTCTCATGTCTCTCACTTTAAATCAAAAGGGTAGAAATTATTAACCTTAGTGAGGAAGGCATGTTGAAAGCCAAGATGGGCTCAAAGCTCTAGTCTCTCACACCAAAGAGTTAGCCAAGTTGCGAATTCAAAGGAAAAGTTCTTGAAGGAAATTTAATGTGCTACTCCAGAAGACACACAAATGCCAACAAAGAAAAACAGCATTATTGCTGATATGAATAAAGTTTTAGTGATCTGGATAGATCAACCAGCCACAACATTCCCTTAAACCAAAGCCTAATCCAGGGCAAGGCCCGAACTCTCTCCAATTTTATGAAGGCTGAGAAAGGTGAAGAGGCTACAGAAGAAATGCATGTTGGAAGCAAACATAAGTTGATTCGTAAAGTTTAAGGAAGGGACCTGTCTCCATATCATAAAAATGTAAGTTGAAGCAGGAAGTGCTAATGTAGAAACTACAGCAAGTTATCCAGAAGATCTAGCTAAGATCATTGATGAAGGTGGCTACCCTAAGCAACCTATTTGCAATGCAGTTGAAACAGTCTTGTATTAAAAGTAACATATTATAACATATTAAGATGCCATCTAGGACTTTCATAACTGGAGAGGAGAAGTCAATGCCCGGCTTTACAGCTTTAAAGGACAGACTGACACTCTTGTTGGGGATAACACAGCTGCTGACTTTAAATTGAAGCCAATGCTCATTTACCATTCCAAAATTCTTAGGTCCCTTAATAATTATGCTAGATCTATTTTGCTTGGGCTCTATAAATGGAACAACAAAGCCTGGATGACAGCATGTTTTACAGCATGATTATGTTAAGCCCACACTTGAGACCTACTGCTCAGAAACAAAGATTCCTTTCAAAATATTACTTCTTATTGAAAGTGCACCCAGTCACCCAAGATCCCTCATGGACATGTACAAGAAGATTAATGTTGTTTTCATTCCTGCTAACACAACGTCCATTCCGCAGCCCACGAATCAAAGAGTAATTTTGATGCTCAAGTCTTACTATTTAAAAAATACATTTGTTTTCCAAGATGGCAGACTGGAACCATTGTTAGCATGCCTCTCCCACAGGGAAAGACAATATAGTGTGTAGAAATTCACATGGAAATTTTTTCCAAGAAGCAATGCAGGAACTTAATGGGAAAACTGAAGAAAGCATAGATCCTTTGAAAGAAGTGGCAGGCTGCAGCCTACACCATGAGACAGGCAGTAAACTGTAAGTTCCCAGAGTGTGAGAGGGGGATAAACTGCTTCCAGGATATATATTCCCACTAGGGAGCCTTGCAATCCAGACCGTGGTGGAAGGCCTTAACCCTACCTAGCACTGGAACTGTTTTAGGGAGCCGTGGGAAATATAAAAGTAGGAGCAGCCAAGAAAAGAGCCTTGCTTGCATTCCCAGTCTCCAGTGCTGATGGAGGGAAGCCATTTTTTATCCTACCTCCCAGGGGACCTTGCAGAAATCTTTGAGCTAACTTAGGCAGTGGTCACAGGTTGAGATATGCTCTCAATTGAAATACACAGTATAATCTCTAGTGAGGGCGAACTCTCTTGGCCAGCACTGGAGAATGAGTGGGAAGTGTGCTGCAGCCACCAGTGCAGGAGCTGGGTGCCTGGCTTTGCAGGCAGACAGGAAGAGGCATGGACTGAAAGCCTCAGTTGCCATCTCCACTGGGAAGGTTTATCACCTGCGGGAGTTTTGAGTTCTGAGCACAGACTGCCTGGATCTTAGCTAGCTGCTGCTAATGGAACACTGCAGGTATGAGACCTGCCTTGCCAAGTATGTGAGAGCTGGGTGGGGCTTAGTGCTGCCTGCTACTCCCCACTTCTTGTGTGAACTCTTCTGTGCAACAGGCAGCTGTGCTTCTCTCTGGAATATTATACTGGGGCCAGATAACTGACCTCCCACCCCTACTGGGCCTGCTGCTTGACCCACATGTGGAGAGCCAGAGTGCAGACCTGCCTGACCCATCCCCAACCTGGCTTTGCCCCTCTACCCATCCTGGTAGCTTAGCACAATGAACAGAAAGTTTTTGGAGCTCTATGGCCCCACCCATTGCCTGAGAATCCAGAATACCTCCCCTGGGTAAGGGACAAGCACAAATCCACCACTGCCACCACAGCTGGCACTCTTTTGTAAGTACCACCTCCTGGCTGGAGGCCAAACAACACAGTCCATTACAGCACCTCCAGGTAGAATAACACAGTTCCCAGGAAGGAGAAAACTTGTATGTGACCTCAGCTATCACCATTACCCACAGCACCCTGGCTGACCAGGAGGTTCTGAGTGTGTTCGTGTGCCAGTTCATGACTACTACAACCAGTATTTGAGAAAGGCAATACGCTAAGGCCATGTATAACCAAGAAATCTTACAGAGTCTACATCACTCCACTGCCAACCCCATCAGAGCTGGTGCTGGTACCCATTACTGGGAGACTTGAGGACAAATCACACCATTTGATCCCTTGCAGAAATTCCCCATCACCAGCCTGGAGCGTGGCAACCCCACTAGGTGGCTAGACCCAGAGGAGCAGCAGGTTTCACAGTAGTATGGCTCTCAGGGGCTCCAAAGGAAAGTGTACCATATCAAGGGAATACCCTGTGAGATAAAACAATCTGGATGGCAAGCCCTGAGTCCCAGAACTTTCTTCTACTAGAAAGTTTCTTTCAGCAGAGGCACAGGGGCAGTGCTGGGCTCAGCAGGGAAAGTCCACAGCTCTACCTGACAGTCAGGCAGCCCTGGTGCATGTGAAGGGTCTTGGAGAAGGGGATGACTTTTCCTTCTCATCCACCACTGCAGACACAGCTGGGATTTTCCCATGGGAGCTCAGCATGAGTACACCTATAGACAGCCTTTCTGGAACACTCAGGGTGACTGCATCCCCACAGAAGGAGTGCCTTCCAGGTTCAGGCTTACATAATTCGTCTCTACTTGGAACACTAACAATTCTGCAGAAGAAAAGACATGCCTGACCAATCTGAATAGCTGAAGCACTGGGTCAGGAGTGTGACAAGGAGGTGAATCACTTTCCTGCTGACCTGGAAGGGGAGCTGAGGTGGCTCCCACACTATCCCTTGATAAAAACTCAGTATGTTTCACTGAGAGCTCCTTCAGCCACCTCGCTCAAGGCTGGGACTTCTGCCCGCCATTGGGTGTTGCATTTACCCACCTACTTTAAATACAAACAGTTTCTACCCAAGGACACTTCCCTTACTATCCTAAAGACTGAACTATTCAATCCAGTTAATAAAATACTGGGGGAAAAATAAATAAATAAGTGCACACCACAGGGGAATGAGATAAGCTTCAAGAGATCTCTGCCATTGCAGTCTCATGGGATACAGTGAACTTGCTCATACATCAAGCACATTGCTACTACTAGCATCTGAGAAAGCTATCATAAAAAGACCCTCTATAACCAAGGAACTCTTCACCCATGAAAGCACCAAGAGCTGAATTAGGCTACAATAAACTATAAACATTAAAGTGAGGCCCTTAAGGGTGGAAAAATAAATTTAAAAAAACACTGAAACAAAAAATACATTTAAGAAAAAAAAAACATTTTTAAGTGATAGCTGCCATAGAAGAGTGATTCCTCTGATGGATCTGGACAAAATATGTGGGAGATCTTCTGGAAAGGACTCAGCATTTTAGATGTCATTAAGACCATTCTGGATTTATGAGAGGAAGTTAAAATATCAACATTAATAGGGGTTTGGAATAAGCTGATTACAACCCTCATGAATTACTTTGAGGGGTTAAAGAATCAACGGAGGAAGTAACTGCAGATGTGGTGAAAATAGCAAGAGAACTAGAATTATAAGTAGATCCTGAAAATGTGACTGAATTTCTGCAATATCATGATAAATCCTTAACGGATAGGGAGTACGTCTTTACTCTTTATGGATGAGCAAAGAAAGCAGTGTTTTGAGACGGAATCTACTCCTGTTGAAGATGTGAACATGGTTGAAATATCAAGAAAGGACTTACAGAAACTTACTTGATAAAGCAGTGGTGGGGTTTGAGAAGATTGACTCCAATTTTGAAAGATATTATACAGAGTTAAATGCTATGGGAAAGCATTACATGATAGAGAGAAATCTTTTGTGAAGGGAAGAGACAATAGATGTGGAAAACTTTATTGTTGTCCTATTTTAAGTAATCGACACAGGCACTTCAACCTTCAGCAGCCACCACCCTAATTTGTCAGCAGCCATCAACATCAAGGCAAGACCCTCCATCAGCAAAATTATTGATTAGGATTCACTGAAGACTCAGATGATCATTAGCACTTTCTAGCAATAAAGTGTTCTTAAATTAAGGCATGTACATTTTTATACATAATGCTATTACACACTTAATAGACTATAACATAATGTAAAAATAAATTTTATGTGCATTTGGAAACAAAAAACTTATGAGACTCACTTTATTGTAATATTCCCTTTATTGCAGAGGTCTGGAATCAAACCCACAATATCTTCAAGGTATTTGTGTACCTATTTCCTGTGGATATGTAGTTAGGAAAGGAATTCCTAGGTCATGTTGTAAGTGCTATTCTTCTTCAGTAGATACTGAGGTTTTCCAGAGTGGTTGTACCATCCTAAAAATGCCCTGTGCTTCATTTATTAATTCTACCCACCACATCTCTTTTGTAGCTACTGATCCTTTTACTGTCTTTATAGTTATGCCTTTTCCAGAATGTCATACCATTGGAATCATACAGCCTTTTAAAACTGGCCTTTTCACCTGGTAATAGGCATTTTTTAGGTACCTTAATGCCTTTTTGTGGCTTAATAGCACACTATTTTTTCTTGCTGAATAATATTCCATTGTGTGGATGTACCCATTTTTGTCACATAAAATTTTATGCTTTGTTGTTAAGTGCACTTATGTTTAAGATTGTTATTTCTTCTTAGATAATTGACCCAATTGACCCACTTACTCTTTATGTAATGCCTCTGTTTATCTCGGACGAGCTTTCTTGTTCTAAAGAATCCTTTGTTTGAAAGTAATACAGTTACTCTAGGATTTCTGATTTGGTTTGTACTGTATATCTTTCTCCACCCTTTCCTTTTTAGCCTAGCAGAGTCTTACATTTGCATATAAATACCAGAGCATGAGATCTTTCTGAGATCTTCACTGCTGAGAGCTTGGTAGTGTTCCTGGAATTAAGCCATGAAAGCATTTGAGGCCACCTAAAATTGAGGACCCAGAAATTTCCTACTCTCCTTCTTTCTACATTTAGCTTATTGCAATTCATCAATATTACAATTTAAGTGTTTATACTATTTCCAGGCTCCAGAAGTTTCTGCTCTCGGTAATCATATCTCAACTGTGGGACTCTGAGTGTGTTTGCCTCTGCAAACTTCAAAATATTGATTTGTCCTGAAAGCTCAGATTTCAAATAGGTTCAGGAAAACTTGTTGATTTTTAGTTTGTTCAACTGTTTCTTATTGTAAGAACAGGAATAATGACTTCCAAAGTTTTGCATGTCAGAGCTAAAACCAGAAGGTATGTTTCATTTCTTTTTCCTTTTAATATTTTAACTTTCATTTTGTTTTCTTTTTTCAGTTTTATTTTTTCTAACTTCTTATTTATCTCTTAAAGTCTTGTCATTTTTACTTTTGCATGTGGTAATGTCTTGAGGGGAAAAACCCAGCAGGTCTGGCTTAATTTTCTGGGTTTCCTTCTTGTTAGGAACTTGGATCCTCAAGCCCAGCTGCCTTGACAAATTCAGACTCCATTTTCTGTCCCCCTATCCTTTTGAGATTGCCAAAACATCTGATTGTTTTCCTGCCTCTTAACCTTGACTTCCTGTTAGTATCTTCAAACTTTTGCTATGATCTCCAAATTGCCAAATGCTTTGAGAGGAAATATGGCTTCTAGAATGTTGGTTCATAACTTTCTGGTTACTTTTTCCCTTGAATTTTGTCCATTCAAATTCTGAATTTTTTATTGATATTTTGATGCCTTCATTCAGATGTTTTTACTATTTTTAAAATATTTTATTTACCTTTTATAATTATTCTTGGTGTGTATGTTCTGCCATAAATTATTTCACTTCAGCCAGAAATAGATACTTAGTATAAATTTTAGTTGAGTAGAAACAGTCATTATTTTTCTCATTTTGAAGATTGACATTGAACCTTAGAGACATAGAGAGATATGTCTAAATTCCCCTAGTTAACAAGAATCTGGGCTAGATCAGGAAACCATAGTTTGCTAAGTTTAACCTAGTGTTCTCTATACCAATTTCAGGCCATTTTAATTTCAGCTGATTGACCAGTTATTGACCTAGTGGAAAAATACATATGAGACTATAAATTACTATCTACACATCATGGTATGAAAATAAAATTGGAATAAAGTGGATTCAGTGACAGAAATAGTTAGTTTTATAAAACTCAAATAGTATATTTCTTTTTCTCTTCTTGGTAGGGTTGTCCTTTTAAGGATCTCAATTTTTCTCTCATATTTCTATCACATAACAGGTAGTACTTTTTGCATTGTGTTTAATATTAAACTTTTTGTTCCAAAACAAAATCTTGCCTCAGCACTCCATACTCACATGAATAATTGTCTACTTAATATTTCCACTTCAATGACACTCAGATATTTCAAACTTAAACCAAATGTTATGAATTCTCTACTCCAGCTTTCTCATCTCTATTGCTGAAGCTGGAAATCTACGAATTGTCCTTGATTTTTTATTTCCTTCTCACATCATATCTATGCATCTCTAAGTCCTTTTTCTATTTTCAAAGTATATTTCAAATCAATCTATTTTTTTATATGCCCACTGTCACATTCAAGTCCAAGTTTATGTTATCTCTGCTTTCCAATAGGTTTCTAACTCATCTCCCTGCCTCAATTTCTGCCCAATTTATTCTCATAATAACCCTTTTACAAAAACACAAACGTGATCATATATCTCACCTACTTAATATTGCTTTATTTAGAATAGGAAATGAAAAGTGCTGTTTCACTATTTGGAATGTATCTGTCCACTGTTCATTATCAAGTTCTACTTCTAGACAGTAAATCCTGACAGGACAGGGTCTGGTCTGTTATGTGCATCATCCTCTGCCTGGTACTTGCATCCAAGAGGTCCAGCCAATATCACCTGCATGAATAAATAAATAAATAACTTGTTTTTTGGATGTGTGTGTATATACAAATTTGGGTCCACTTCTGAAATGCGACTTTCTGGAACAAAAAGATATGCCTTTATTTCTTGCTATTTTACTATCTAACTCAGAGACTGGGACACTGTACATCTTAAAACATGTTCATGGGGCCAACCTTTTCCAAATGACTAACTGTACCTGAGCAGTGCTGAAAACACACTCACATTTTTCCTGTAAGTTCCTTTTTTGTCATTTATGCAGAACACTTGTGTTATTATATATTGCCAATTTTATTATTTTAGACCTGCAAGTTATGGTGGAATTGATTGACCTTTATATTTTGGTTACTCTAGAATTATTGGTACTCACAAATAGGCCTTAAAGTTACACTAATTATACTCCTGTGCTTAGATTCATAGACATGTTCAGTTATATTGTGTTTTCCATATTGAATCCTGGAAAACCTGTTGTTTTGGCTAGACCCATGGGCAATATCACTAACACAATTATCAAATGCATTTTAAGGAAATTTCTTTTTAACAGCCAATTGGCTTCAATATATCTATTGAATTGAATTAAAATCTACTTTGTGTCAAATACATTCTCTTGGTTTTCATATCAAGGGTTGGCAATTTCTGATATTGTTCCTAATTTTAAAGACTGCCGATAACTAACCTTAGCACCTTATGTGGTGGGCTGAGAGATGAGGTAAGAACGGCCAGAAATTTGCACTTGATGTGTTGCCTACAGTAGGTCTGGAGATGGAGAAACGGACCTGCATATATTATTTTATTTGTTGGGGAAGGCAGAGTCTGATCACATTCTAGGAAAGAAGCCTCAAACTTAAATGTCTAAAGGGCTATGTAAGTGAGAGAATGAGACCAGTGGGTACTTTGGTGAATGGACAGTACACATTTCACCTAAAAGGACATGATTTATACTTAGCTCCAGTTGGTAAGAGCCAAAGCAAGAATGGGACCCCTATATCATTATCTCTGAGACAAATGTTCTCAGACTGTCAGATTCCAACATCTGATGCAGGTGAACAGGGAAACAGGTCCTGCTGAACTTTGGGGGATCTTAGCCAGTGTACAAGGCACAATCCTAAAATGATAGCTGTTAGTTGGAAAGTTGGCAATGTAGATGTTAGATCAAACAACAAAAATAATCAACGAGGCCAGTCCACTGAAGAAGAGTCTAAAAACATTAAAAAAATAATGCTTCATTCTGAGAAGAAGAGATACCTGTAAGTCAGGAAAAGTCTAGAAATAGAGAATCTGAAAAAAAAAAAAGCAGAACTAATTATTTAAATTTAAACAACCGCTTATTGAGTATTTACTTTGGAAAAGACTCTGTGCTAAATTTACCTGCAACAAAATTTTACTATTATGTCCGGTAATTTTGCTAGTGCATTCTTCGATAATTTCAAAACTAGAGTAGTAGTGCTATAATAGCAGAAATGGTAGCACTTGTAGAAACGTCTTTTATTTGTATAGATCATTATACTTTGTACAAAATTTTACTTCTTGTCTTAACTCTCAGCAGAATTGTAAGAAAATCAAGGCAAATAATACAACCCCCAGTTTGTACATGAAGAAAGAGATGTTCAATGGCATTGAGTGACTTACTCATAATCATGTAGCTATTAAGTGGTGGAGTCTGTAACAGAGCAGGGATATCCTGGATCCAGTCTGTTGCTTCATCCTGCACGATGCCATTTGATTTCTCACTCCAATTTGTGTTGTTCTGGAATACAATGCTCTTGTCTTACTCTCTGCTTCAAACCTTTAATTAAGACATTCTTCTGATTCTCTGGTGGGTTCCAGTAGCCTGCCCCTCATTCCATCATTTTTTCACTTCTTCCAGACTCCTGTTTTTGATTCAGGACATGTTAGTCCCTGGTTCCCTAAAAACAATTCAACACAATGGGAAATCAACTGACCCAGGAACCAAGAAGCCTGAGTTCTGCCTCTCATTAGCTAGCTGTGTGACACATGTAACCTCTTTGATCCACACTATCCTCACCCAAAGAAGAGGACCAATGAAAACTACCTCACTGAGTTCTTTAGAAAATTAAGATGTTATGTGTGAATGCATTTTGTAAATTTTAGAGTTACCTAAAGTTGAAATTTTTATTAACTAACATCATTGCCATTCCCAAAGCTTCTTATATTTTTATGGATAAGCAACAGTTCCTGCCAAACCAGAAGGTATAATTTCTTGGGTTCTAGAATACTGTTCATTTCTACCATTTCTACCTCTTTCAGGTATATGCCAGCACCAGGAAGACAAGAGCTATAAACAACTCATTTTAGATTCAGCCAGAGTGTTTTCTCTGTCAGGATAAAACGCAGCATGACTACCCTGCACAGTCCTATGGATCCTGAATGTATCAATTAGGAATACAGCAGATACACTGTATAAAGACAAGGAAGGCATCACTGATAACCTTGCTGGATAACCCTGTAATCTATACTCTACTGATCCCAATGTCTGATTTATTGAAATGAAGGATGCAAGTGGTTCTTGGACAGGCCTATTCCTTGGACATGATTGGTGATCACAGAAGAAAAGACTATCTCTTATGTTTAATTTCATTTGGGTACCTCCAGAGTAGAACAAGAGTTCTTCCACCTCCACACTTCTTTCCTTTCGTTCCTCCAAAAGCATAAGGAATCCTTAATAACAAATATCTGAAATGGGAATAGAGTTTGAAAATTAAAGTTCAAGTGTTATAACAACTACTTTTTTCTCTTTGACACACACACACACACACACACACACACACACACACGTTTTAGGATGTTAGGAAGGACTGAATTATTGTGTCTGCCCTATTCAATTATGAGACTTGGCTGCACTCATACAGTGACTTAGCAATTGTTCTGCAAATGCGGTAATAATGCCTGCACAGGTTGCCTTCAGATTTAAATAGGCTTGTGTTTGCAACCCAGGTGTGGTGATTTTAGGCAGCCTACCTGGCCCCTTTTATCACTGTCTCCTGATATGTAAAATAGGAATAATAATACCTATATCACAAGATTATTATAAATATTAAACAGGTTGCCTTATGAAATAACAGTGCCTTAGCACAACCTAATATTTAGTAAGCATGCAATAGGCAGGGCGCGGTGGCTCACGCCTGTAATCCCAGCACTTTGGGAGGCCGAGGCGGGCAGATCACCTGAGGTCAGGAGTTCAAGACCAGCCTCAACATGGAGAAACCCCATCTCTACTAAAACTACAAAAAAATTAGCCAGGCATGGTGGTGCATGCCTGTAATCCCAGCTACTCGGGAGGCTGAGGCAGGAGAATTGCTTGAACCTGGGAGGTGGAGGTTGCGGTGAGCCGAGATCACGCCACTGCACTCCAGCCTGGGCAACAAGAGCAAAACTCTGTCTCAAAAAAAAAAAGCATGCAATAAATAGTTGAGTTATTTTTCCCTTAGAACTTAATATTGCAGATAAATTCTGTTGAACCTCGTCATTGTTCTTTGAGGTAGGGAGTGTGTGGAATATTATCCATACCACTTGAAAAGAAAAAAGTTAAGGAATGCCATTGCTGAATAAGTGATGCAAGGTTATATAATCAGAAAATGACAGAGCTGATTCTTCATACTGGATCTTTTGACTCCAACATTCATGCTATTGCTACAGTTTTACAGTCTCCCCTGGAACTTGCACCTCTGCTGGCCTTTTATGCTATAAAGTTTGTGAAATAAATATATCATGAATGACTTAAATTGCTCTTCACATATTGTTTGATTAGAAAGGAAGTACACACTGTTATGATAGAAATAAAATGTATGTAGACTGGGAATCTCTTATTTCAAAGGCTGCCAGTATACACAAATAAATAAATCTCATTGACATACAATTTCGCAAGGCACAGTGACACTTTGGGCAGGACAGCAAAAATGAGAAAAGTCCTTTCTCTGACTATAATATTATAATAAAAATTTAAAGATAATACTATTAATAATAATCATATAAATGACATTTTACAGTACTTTGCAATTCATAAATCTGTTTCAAAACAATTAAATTGGCCATGATGGGGTAGCTGGTACTGGACTTACTTTCCATTATAAACACTAACAAAACCTGAAAAAAATACGAAAACAACCCAAATAAAAATGGGCAAAGTATTTGAATAGGCACTTTAAAAAATAGGATATCTTAATGGTTGATAGATATTTATCTTTCATACTTGTTATACACCAGGGAACTGCAAATTTAAACCTAAATGAGATGCCACTGCACAATCACTAGAATGACAATTGAAAAGACTGACATTATCATTTGTTAGTGAGAATGTAGAACCCCTGGAACTCTCATGTATTGCCAGTGGAAGTGTAAATAGTTTTATCCACTTTGCCAGTACATTCTGAAACTAGATTTGATTGGTGACCTAACAATTTCACTCCTAGGTATATAACCCCTCAAACCTACCCAAATGTCATAAACAGACACACACACACACACACACACACACACACACACACACACACACACACACTATGTACAAGGATAGCTATAGCAGCAGTATTTGTAATATCCCTAACCTGGGAATAAAATGAATCCATCAATAAGAGAATAAATAATCTGTAGTATATTCCAGAGCAAACTATGACATAGCAACATGGATGAATTTCAAAAACATTGTGTCGAGCAAAAGAAGCTGGACATAAAAAGTATATACTGTATAATTCCTTTTATATGAAGTTCAAGACTATGCAAAGGGAATCTGGTTGATAGAAATAAGAATAGTGGTTACTAAGAGGAAGCAGGCATGAAATTTGCTAAGAAAAGACATGGCAGGGAGTCACAAATATTGCATGGAACATATATTAACACATGGTTTTTTATATGATATTCAACTGTAAGTGGGTGTCTCATTTTTTATTTGCTAAATCTGTAACATTATTGGGACAACCTTTTGGGGTTATGGAACTATTCTATATCTTGATCTGGCTTCATTTACCTTTATACTTTAGATTTAGGTACTTAGTTGCATACACATTTATTTCAATAAGCATGTGAAAAAAAGTAAAACTATAACAAGAAAAATTAAATTAAAAAATTAACTGTATCAGTTGATTATCTGAACAGTACTTTGATTTACTCACTAAGCCATTGATAAAAAAAAAAAAATCTAGAAGTTGTTAAATGGCTTTCTTGAGGTCACTTCACAAATAGTAGAACCAAGCCTGGGATCCAAGTCATTTGATTCTGTCACCAGGGTCTGAGCCTGTCATGAGCATGGCTAAACCTGGTAAGAAGGTAATCTTAGTGAATTTGGTGAGGAGTGCTTCAAATTCCCCTATAACCAAATATATTTTCTCATTGTCCTCTCTTATGCCTAGTATGTACTTTGGGAGGCCAAGGCGGGTGGATCACGATGCCAGGAGTTCGAGACCAGCCTGGCTAACATGGTGAAACCCCGTCTCTACTAAAAATACAAAAATTAGCTGGGTGTGATGGTGGGCGCCTATAATCCCAGCTACTCAGGAGGCTGAGACAGGAGAATCGCTTGAAACCAGAAAGCAGAGTTTGCAGTGATCTGAGATCAGGCCTCTGCACTCCAGCCTGGGCAACAAGAGCAAAGCTCAATCTCAAAAAAAAAAAAAAAAAAAAAAATTAAACTAGGTAAAGTACATAGATTGGCAACCCGTTAGTTATCATAATCCTGTCATCTAAATTTGAATCTTGCTAATCAGTAAGATTTATATGTAACTATATTGGATTGGATCTCAAAAATCATCAGTTCTGCTTATAGTTCTGCCTTTAGGAACCTACATTGTCCTGGGGGAAAGTCTTTTCTTGTCCTTGGATACTGTTCATTCACATGTAAAGTTAAGTCACAGGGAATATTCATCAAGTCTATCTAGCTTATACATTACATGATCTATAAACTGCGGATATCACAAGTCATCTCATGACATGGAATGAAGACAGAAGGTTGTGCTTTGCTAATGAGCATAGTTTGATGCAGTCTGAATGAGAATGTGGGGACACCGGGTTGATAAAGATAATGAAAACCACTTGGCTTTGACCTTACAGTGTGCCTTATGATTGACAAGTGCTATTTTGATTAATCTTCTCAACACCTTGTTTATAGGTATTAATATATGACTTTATAGAAAGGCAAACTAAGTATTAGAAATGCTAAATAACCTAACCAAGATTACACAAGTAGTAAATGGCGTAGACAGGCTGAGAACACAAATCACTGTCATTTAAGCTATATTGTCTCTCTAAATAGAATTCCTGTGGCCATGGTCTTTTGCTACATCTTGTTTTCAAGTAAATGAAAAAGAGGGAAATAAATAGTTCATTATACTCTATCTTTTCTGAGATTAAAAAAAACTTTGGCAGTGTTTATAGAAGAAGCTGTGAGTAGCACATTGAGGGTCTCCATAGTTACAATAAAAACTGTGGGGAGAGAAAAAATTGATGGAAGAGATTGACATAAAAGGTCAGTAGAAGTAAGAATTGAGAACTTATTGGAGAAAAAAGAGGATATTAAACTGAGGAAGAAAGAACTCAAGAGAAATATGACCACTTCCTGTAAGTATCCGTAGGTTTGCCATGGGAAAGATGAAGACTATAATGTCCAGGGTGACCCAAAAGCACGGCTAACACCAAAGAGAGGTGATTGATGTATCAGAGTGATTAAGAACACAGAATAATACTGGAGTTAACCCCAGCTATGGCACCTGTATACTACGGGATGTTTCTCAAAATTCCCAAGCATCAATTTTCCCATATGTAAAATGAGGATAAAAACACCTACCTGAGAGTGCCATTGTAAGAATTAACAGACCAAATATATGTGAAACAATGTACAGTGTCTGGCTTATAGTAAAGATTAATTAAATGTAGTCCTCCTTCCTGCAATGTATTTGCTCCATACTCTCAAATCTTTCCCTTTCTTTTCCCACTCCTTTGTTCCCTCTATCTTCTTTTTGTTCTTCCCAATTCTCATTCTTATTCCTATTCTCTGTTCTCCCCTACTCATTATTTTACTTTTCCTTCTTAGGAAATCACATATAACCACCAATGTGAAGCAACTATTGATCCCAAAGCACAATTTTTTTTTTCTGAGAAATTCTAATAAATGGTAGGGCTTAATTTTGGAAGAAGCTGTCTCAAGTGTTACAGTACTCCATCATTGTCATTAAGATTATCCAAACTCAGCCAGCTTAAGCCCAGATGAAGAATGAGGTAGATGGATATTCTTAGAGTACAGTATTGATCAAAACAAACAAATACATGAAAATAAAAATCCACCAATATTGTTTATAGAGTAAAATATTTAATGAGGTTTTACTATATAATGAATGGAATTTCAGTTACTTAGATATAGTTAAGAAGAATAGAAGCCATTTCCACACTTAGAGAGGTTTAAGAATGAATGTCAGAGACAAAATCTAAAGTTAAGCTTCAGGGTCCTCATTTATGTGAGTTCCTTCTCAATGCCTGAGAGTTAATAATAATTTACATTGTTCATATCCTTCCCTTACAACTCCCACACCGTCACACAGCTCCTTGTACTAGGTGTTTTTGGAGTAGCCATGAGAAGTTTTGCCTAATAATAGGCAAATAATTTGAGTTTAATGGATCACTTGCATACTATTTGCAAATATTCAAGCTGGTCTGTGACGAATAGGAGTTTACTGGCTTGAAACGTGAAAGAGGGAAATCACAAAAGAAAATGTTTAGATGGGATGGATGAATACTGGACAGAAAGATGAAGATGATGGGACTTGAAGTTGAGAAGTTTAGTTAGAGCTAAATTGTGCATAAAAGGTCATGGTCAGTAAAAGGATACATGTTGCCAAAGGAATTTTTAAGCAGGGGAATTATAAGAGGGTAACAGAATGTCATATAATGGGAATGGGCCATATCCTGGATTCATATCCTATATCTGTCCTCTCTAGATGCGTAAGCTGGTGAAATATGCTTAAGTTTACATCTAACTGGGGGATAAATTAGCATAATGATTGAAAGAATGCGCGCTTGAGTCTGCCAGCCTGGTTCTGAAGCTTGGCTTCATCATTTGCCAACTTTGTGATCATGAAAAGGTTTCCTAATATCACTGACTCTTAAGTTCTCTTCACCCGAAAAATGGGCATATAGAAAAACACAAAACAGCCTGTAATTCTTAGCATGGATTAAATAGGTAGGGAATGTAAAGGTTCTGGCCAAATGGGAGGCTTGATTATTCCACTTGAGGTTTTCCTTCTATAAAATTTATTCCAGCTGGGCATGGTGGCTCATGCCTGTAATCCCAGCACTTTGGGAGGCCAAGGTGGGAGGATCACCTGAGGTCGGGAGTTCGAGACCAGCCTAACCAACATGGAGAACCCCCGTCTCTACTAAAAATAAAAAATTAGCCGGGTGTGGTGGCACATGCCTGTAATCCTAGCTACTAGGGAGGCTGAGGCAGGAGAATCACTTGAACCTGGGAGGCGGAGGTTGCGGTGAGCTAAGATTCTGCCGTTGCACTCCAGCCTGGGCAACAAGAGCAAAACTCTGTCTCAAAAAAAAAAAAAAAAAAAAAAAAAAGATTCCTCTTTCATGGCAGAGAATTAAATCAAAGAAGGCAAGATGAGAATTCTAGTTAAGAGAAACCAAAGTTTACACAAAGATTTGAGCTATAGGAATGTGTGGAATGGAGAATGGATTTTAGAGGTGAAATAATTAGGCTTTATATTTGGTTGCATAGGCAATTTGAGAAGGGGAGGGAAGGTCACTAAGAAGGGACAGAGGCTTTTATCCTCTATTGCTGGAGTTGGCGGTGGCTTAAAAATGATGTGGTTGAAAAAAGGAAGAGCTTTATCAAACTTTTTTTATACAAATGAAAGAAAACATTTGGAAGGATAGTAGTGTTTCACAATCCAAGGAAAAGGTCAACAGCCACATCTGAGGAATAAGGCAGTTCCAGTGTAAAAATAATTATTCACTATCCCTTAAATAGGTGATTTACTACAAATATGACTTGGTTCCCCAGTGTCCTAGTCTCTCGTATCTTATTTGAAATTATTAGAAGAGATAGACTGATAGGCCATTGGCCAGACTATTATGTCTTTGAGCCAGATATTCAGCCATATGGGAAGTGGAAGGAATTCACAGAAAAGAGAAAGGACCTACTAAAGGTGGCAATGTTATTAATTTTGAATAAGCAAATTGTGTCATAGGAGCAGGAAGAGAGAAATGGAAATGAAGTACCTTCCAATTCTAAAGCCAGACAAAACAATGCAAGTTCAGACTCAGTATTTGCTGCCTTCTTTGGATGTCATCTCTGACACTTATCTTATTCACAAAAATCATATTTATTTGGTCCTGGTTTATCCACAACATCCACCTCAGGAAGACTTCTCAGCACTCACAAATGTGAAACTGTAATAACCTGGCAGGTGAATCTGAAATTGCTCTCATTAAGAGAATCAAAGAGATCTTCTGAACCTCCAGCTCACATCGGTACAAGTTGTTTCTTTTGTATAAGAACAGTCAACAAGTGCAGTTGCTTACAAACTGATATGTGACCTGTTAGCATAACCCAGACTTATGAAAGAGTCACTGTAATTATGTGCTTATTGGCATTTTGGAGTTTCAAGTCACTGGGATCTGGGATGAAGTGCTGTGGTTAGGATTCCACCTCGCAATGGCAGTAAGTTGTCCACCTCGCCATCACTGGTTTCTAAGCAACCTGCTTAAAGAGCTGCCCTTACTTCCAGGTCACAGATTGAGTTGGAAAACTGTATATAAGAATTACAAAGAAAAGTAATTGCAAGAAAGAGAAGAAGGTCACAGACATTTGTTTCTCCTGCCAGGTTCTCTTAATAGGCTTTCTGAAATTTGAGGGTCATACTGGCTGAGAGAACCTCTCAGAGGCAGAACAGAGATGGGCAATATTGCTTGACCAATGAAACAGTAGGAGTGCCTGGCAAAAAGTTTCTGTAATTTATACTGAGCTTCTCATGTAAAGCACTTAGGAAAGAAAAAAAAAAAGCACCAACTGTTTTATCAGCAGATAGAGGGTTGAGTCTCAGCACTGCTATTAATTTCCTTGGGTGATTATTGTATGTTTCTCAACCTCAGTATGTACATCTGTTAAATGCTAGCAGTCATAAAGAATTCTCTAGAGAGTTCGTCTGAAGAGATGATGAATGCATGCTGATGTGCTTTGGAACTATATAAAGCTATATAAATGCTAAATGTAATTGTTGAGTTTTAGGCTACATGATGTAGTTAAAATGAGTATACCTGTTTTCCAGGTAAGCACTAAGCTTTCCTACCCTTTTTTTTTTCTTTCTTTTTTTGAGACAGAATCTCCCTCTGTCATCCAGGCTGGAGTGCAGTGGCATGGTTACAGCTCACTGTACCTTTGACCTCTCAGGCTCAAGAGATCTTCCCACCCTAGCCTCCCAAGTGGCTGTGTCTACAGGTATACAATACCAAGCCTGGCACTTTCCTACTCTTATGTGTAAACATCTACCACCATCACTGTCTACACATACAGAACCTTGAAATGGATATGTATTTCTTACTATGTTTAGCATTGTATAAACACTTTGCTAGTGTTTTCTCATGAATCCTCACTACATACTTTGAAGTAGTAGGCATTATTCCTAATATAAAGATGAAGAAGCTGAGGCTCAGAGAAACTAAGTACTTTTCCAAGGTAGGCAATAGATCTGGGAATCAAACCCAGGTATGTTTAAGGCCAAAGACTATAGTACTCATAATGTCATACTTTCCCCCTGCTTAAATTCCATTGTTCCCATGAAGTCCTTATTGAGATGGCAAATCAAAAGTGTTTTTTTCTGTCCTTTGGACCTTCACAAAGCTTTGCACTGGGCAGTTATATTTATCTCAGTTATTTGTGAATGCTTTCTCTAGACAAGCCACCTTCTAAGAGTGGTAGCTACAAAACTGATAAGAAATCTATTTCTTTGTTAATCAGCATAGGCTGTGTTATACTGTGGTAACAAAGAGGCCCAAAATTCTCAGTGGTTTATCATAACAAAGAAGTTTTTTCTTTCTCATGCTACATATTCAACTCCATGTGGAATGATGTCAGGCTCTGCTCCATATAGTCCCATAGAGACTCAGATTAAGTCTTGAACTGTGCTTTTCCTTTTTGTAATTTTGTGTGTGTGTGTGTGTGTGTGTGTTACTGTTATCTTTTAACTTTTATTTTTTTTTATTTTATTACTATTATACTTTAAGTTTTAGGGTACATGTGCACAATGTGCAGGTTAGTTACATACGTATACATGTTCAGGGGTACATGTATGGGTTTGTTATATAGGTAAACTTGTGTCATGGGGGTTTGTTGTACAGATTAGGTATTAAGTCTAGTATCCAGTCGTTATTTTTCCTGATCCTTTCCCTCCTCCCAACCCTTCTCTCTCCAATAGGCCTCAGCGTGTGGTGTTCCCCTCTATGTGCCCATGTGTTCTCATCACTTAGCTCCCACTTATAAGTGAGAACATGCTGTATTTGATTTGTGTGTCTTTGTACCTAAACTGTGCTTTTCTAGCTTTGTTGAGCAAGAAGGAGAATGAAAAATTATACATTCATTTCTTAATTCTTCACTGCTTCAACTAAGAAGTGATACATATTATTTTTGCTCACATTTTTTGGCCTGGACTAGTCACATGCTGGTAACTGATGGCAAGAGAGAGGGCATTTTGAGGAGTAAATGGAATGACTCTGCTACATGCTTGCCTCTTAGAAACTCATAGTCCAATGTCATTTTCTAAAATACAAGCATCACAAGGACAATAATTTTTTTTTTTGCCTTTTTTGTTCACTGGCATATTCTAAGCACTTAGGACAGTGCCTGGCACATAGTCAACCTTCGAGAAACATTTGCTAGTTGATTTCCTGTAAAGAGATTCACAACAGTAGTTATTTTGGTTATTTGTATCCAGGTATTTTGTTCCTTGGTAGACTGTGCAAGCATTGAGGAAATCATCTGTATCTTATACACCTTCATCTTCCCTGCCTTTCACAGCCCAGCATAATATTTACACATAAAAGAAAGTGAACAAACATTTATTGATTAATCACATAATGCATTTCTGAACTTTGTGAGGTGGTGACAGTTCTTTCTACCCCATCACAGTTTACTTGGAAATGTGTGCATTATATATTCAAAGACAATGTACCACTCAATACATGTTGCTCATGCTCTGTCTTAAAGTGGGTCAGAGATGTTGCTAATGCACCTTTGGAGATGAGGAGAATATGGCTTCCTCCCTTCCTCTCTCCATCCATTCCTTTCTCTCTCTCCTTGTGTTTCTCTTTCCTTCCTTCCTTCCTTCCTTCCTTCCTTCCTTCCTTCCTTCCTTCCTTCCTTCCTTCCTCCCTCTCTCTCTTTCTTTCTTTCCTTCTTTCTTTCTCTCTTTCTTTCTCCCTTCCCTTCCATTCCCTTCTCCTTCCTCCCTTCCTCCCTTCCTCCCTTCCTCCCTCCCTTCCTTCCTTCCTTCCCTCCTTCCTTCATTTCTTCCTTTCTTCTTTCCTAGAAACACATTAGCAGGGTCCTGCTCTGCACACAAATGGTCTTAAATCTTAGACAAGTTCCTATTGACTCAAAACAAAGATAACTAATCATATATTAGGTCCTTCTAAAAAGTGAAGAAAAAGTGAAGAATTAGCAAGAAACCAATATAACCTGTTTTCTGTATGTTTACAGTAAATAGAATATGATCAATGTCTAATTTGGCTTGAGGCCTCATGTACATGGGACTTAAACTATACCCATTTTCCTTGGTGGCCAATCACACCTATTCAAGGCATAAGAATGTCAAAAGAAAAAAAAAATTGCAGTGCTCCCAACCATACATTTTCATTAATACCTTATTTTTAGTTTATTCATTTTTCAAACAACACTAATTTATTTTAAAATATATAACAGCATGTAGGGTTTAAAATGATCAATGGGATTTAACAATAAAACAAGTCATGTTTGGATCCGGCTGAATGGCCTTGAGGAAATGAATTAGTTGTCCTTTGTTTTGTAGTGAATATTGTATTGAGTAATACAGAAATGATGCTGAGTGTCTGAAGGAACAGTTTTGAGATTTAAATGAGATAATGTCTATAAAGTTTTTGGTCCAGTACCTTGCCTATGGGGACCACACAACAAATCATGGGAGAGAAAGAATTTTTTTTAAAGTACTGATGTGATCTTGAGTATCGAAACTTCTTGTTCTCTATGGACAAGCAAGCTATCTTTCTTCAATTTGACTCTATTTCTGTTTCTGCTGTCCCTACAATGAGAATCCAGTTATATCTTTACTTTCAAAATGAGATCCAATTAACATCTACAAGGAACCTATGACACTACTGTTTTTGGCTATAAGATAAACATTGTCTCACAAACAGTAGGTTAAATGAATTAAGAGTTTTTTGGGTTTGTTTTCTTTTGTTTTAGAAATGAGGTCTCTCTACGTAGTTCAGGCTGGTCTAAAACTCCTGGGCTTAAGCAATCCTCCTGTCTCAGGTTCCCAAAATTCTGGGATTATGGGCGCAAGCCACACGGTGGCCCAAGAGTTCATTTTCATCTCACACAAAAGAAGTTCAGATGTTAACACTCCCGGGATCACAAGTCATCAGAGACTTAGGCTTTTTCCAGCTCTTGACTACCATCTTTAGGGCGTGTTCAAACTTTAAAATGACTGCTAGAACTCCAACTATCAAGTCTGTATTCCAGAAAGAAAGAAGAGAAAGAGCAAAGGGGGACTGACCCTTTAAAAACAACAATTTAGAAGCCCTTCCTAAAACTATCCACTTACATTTCATTGACCATTTTTAGGCACATAGGAGGATAGAAAATGTAATTTTAATTTTAACTGTTTATTGCTCTTCTCCAACCCTCCCCCACCTCCACCTCAATTGGTTTGTTTACTATTCATCATGAGGGATGGAAGAGGAGATTTAGGGTAGGTCACAAGTAGTCTTTGCCACAATAGCCATTCTCCATTTATTGAGTCAATGCTTATTTATTGACCACCTCCTATGTGACAGACATTGTGTTGGGCTGCAGAAGTGATTATGGAGACAATTACCTGCCTTTACTGAGAGCCAAAGAAACAGAGAGAGTAGAGGATCTAAGTTCAGGAGATATGTGCTATACAGCCAGGAGATAAATACTGGAAGTAAGGTACTAGTAGAGTCAAGAATCAGAAGCCAGTAGCCAAGATACTGCTGGAAGCCTGGTAATCACAGCAGGGAGAGAGTCCAGTTGGCAATGAAAGGGTTACACCAGATATCAGACACTTTCTCTAATTATAAATTCCCTACCCTAAATCCTAAAGTGGATTTCCAAATGATAAAGCTTATAATTGTGTAGTCAACTATGGTTTTATGGTAATTTGGGATATTGTTCTGCATTCATTATCCCTTCTCTTTGGTAAAATTATACATTCACACCCTTTCCAAGGGAATTCCATGTCTGTCACCAGAGTAGGCAGAGAGAGCACATTTCCTAACCCAGAAATGGGCTTGGTCATGTGACTTCATTTGGCCTATGGGATGTCAGTAGATATAATGTGAGTAGGGCCACTAAGTGTGTTAATGTGGTTTGCCTTATCCTCCTCTGCTTCTGCCATCTGCCATAATACCCTGGGTAGCTTATTCGCCAGAGAATGAGAAAATATGTTGAGCAGATGTGAACAGACGTATAGCCAAGAGCCAAGCCCATTCTATTGGAGCAGAATCACAGCCAACCCATAGGGTTAAGAAATAAACTTGTTGTAAGCCACAGAAATTTGAGTTTGTTTATTACTCAGAATTATTACAGCAATATACAATGCCCTTTTTTTCTTTTTTATATCTTGCTTAGTGCCTGTGACAATCATGCATTTCATGCTCAGTTTAGAGATACGTAATTAAGGTTATAATAAGTTACATAGCTTTAATAGAAGGCACAGAAGTAAAAGATTCAGAAGAGTCATAAATATACTGATGCCTGTTAGCCTCTAAGACTTTCTAGTTTTCCAAGCTACCACTCCTAACTTTTGTCTACATTTTCTCATAGGGTTGTCATATAATCACATAAGATAATGTAATGAAAATATCTTTGTACAGCATAGGAAGTCCTCAATTTTTAGTTCATGAGTTTCAGGTGGATCAAAATCAATACCTGGCCTTCCAGGTGAGAGCATGACACAGGCCTGACCAATCAAAATACTGAAAAACTCTGGTTAAAATGACTGGTTCAGGGATGGGCAAAGTCAGGTCAATCAGAAACCTGAAACCATCCACAAAGAGTCACTTCCTCCCCCTGAGACACTGAGCACTAAGGCCCAGGTAGGCCTGAGGCTGCCAAAAGCTATCTTTGTCACCGTAAGAAGAAAACCTGCTTGCTTTTTCTCTACACAGAAGAAACCACAGCAGGGAATGCACCCCAAAAAAGACAGGGAAAAAAAAAAACAAACAAAACTAAGTTGTGATGACCTCAGTTATACAGCTGGATTCAGTCATTCCTGAAGTATTTTCTTATTTTTTGGCTAAAAGAAGAAAACAGGAAAAGATAACCAATATTAAGTACATTAGAAATATCGTGAGATCAGCACCTTGCTTTTGAGTTAAAAAAATGTCCTTGGAATCACATATTTTAGCTACCATTTATTGCCTCTGCCTCTTAAAATTCTTGGTGACAAACAGAACCAGGATAATTGAGGGGTGATATTGCTGGAGTCTGATTAATCAAATCAAAGATTCATTGTAACTGTTTCCAAATTTTGCTTACCTTCTGAAAAGCAAAGTTAACCTCTAGCACACCATCTCCTCCCTGCCTCCCAGATAAAAAACTTTACCCTTGTCTGAAAACTTATACATTTTTTATTTTTGGTTACAGTGTTTTAAATCTGTCTGCTGTATGAAGCTCAGTGATCTTTTCCACTCCTGAGTAAACCAAAAGTGGCTCTGTGTGTGGGGAAGGCATGGCATATTAGTGGCGACACATTCCTTATTCTTTCAATTTCACATATTAGAGGACTGGTTACAAAGGAATGGCCTGACGATTTGATACTCTCCCTTTTCTGATTTGTAATAACCTGCTTCCACTCAGCTCCTGCTTTTCAGAGACTATTGTCCTATATGAAACCTCTTCTTTATCCAACTGTCAGGTATTGCTAAGAAATGGGGATCATGGTGGAAGAAAGCAGGATGTACTAATTACCAGGAAAAAGATACCAGTATCTAGTTAACATTATTTGCTGAAATAATGTTGGACCACTGAGAAAATAGGGCTAGAGTATTTTCCCCTGTAGCAGGAGATAGCAGGAGGGCCTGTAAGAGAACACAGAATCTGAGCAATGGGAGGGAAAGTGGCAATTCCAAATACATGAGGATTTACTCTTTCAAGCCATCATGAGAAAATGAAGAATGTGGGATGTGTAAGATGTGCTGGTTGGTTTAATATTTTTGGTTTAGTAACCAAAATCACATAACTAGGAAATCGGGCAGTGATGATTAAACCTTGGGTTTGTGTGACACCAAAACATATATACTTTATTTTTTTATTCCTTTTTCTAAAAACATGTATGTAGGATTTTACTTGCTGCTCCTTGTGATTCTGGCTAATGAATTGTTTGCTGATGTAATGTGTATTCCTTCTAGGCTAGCATATTCAAGTGCCAGAGTAGCATCCTTGAGAGCCCCCTTCATCATTTTGCGCAGGAACCAGAAAAGGTCAAGATGATCACTTGCCTATCATCCTGAGTCTCTAAATGGCCAGAGTCAACCTCGATAGACAAGTAGAATAAGGGCAAAATACTTACTCTTTTAATCCATTAAAGCTTAAGGTTTTTTAAAAGTTACTTTTCATGAACAGAAATATTTTGATGGGCATATGTTATATTACAGACACTATACAAGGCATATTACTTACATTATACAATTTAATCTGTACAACAATGTTGCAAGTTATGTACTTTTATTTCCATTCTTATATAGACATTAAACATATCACACAGTGTTCAAATTACCTTTTGCTTTATAACAAACAAACCTAAAACCTAGTGAATTGAAACAATTTATGATTATCTCTCAAGGTTCTATAGTTGTCTTGGTATCATCTGGGCAGTTCTAAACTGGTTCTTTCATGTTATGGCAGTCAGATATTGGCTGGGACTACAATCATTGAAGGCTTGACTCAGCTGGCATCCAAGATGGCTCATGAACATGACTGGCAATTAGTGCTGGTTTGGGGCTGGGAAATCACCAGGGTTGTCAACTAAAACTCCTGCATGTGGCTTGTTTAGGTGACTTGGACATTTCAATCATGATAGCTGGAGTGCTTGACAGAGGATTACACAAGACACAAGGAGAAGCTTTAGGTCTTATTATGGCTTACTCTTGAAAGCCCAAGGATGTATTTTTCACTGCATTCCACTAGTAAAGAAAGTTGTTAAGACCAGCTCAGGCTTAAGGGGTGGATAATTTGACACAAGGCACAACATGCTTGCACAAGAAGAAAAGGAATGCACAGTGGCCATCCTTGGAGTCTTATATGTTATATGCAATTTATAAAATACAATCCTTTTCCTTGGTAAGATTATCATATGTAAGAGCTTTACAAGCTTTCATGAAAATAATCTACTTACGGGGGCAGGGATTGAAGCTGGGCAGAGCATGGTGGTTGATATGCTTTTGTGTAGGTCAAGATGGGTGAGATTATGTGTGAAAGTATACCAGCCCCAAACCACAGTCTTAACACAATAAATTTACTTTTTGTTTACACTCTGTGTACAAAATTGTTGAAATGGGAATCTGCTTATTATAATCACTCAGGGATTTAAACAGATGAAGTTTCATCTCATTAGACTGTACCTTTTGAACATTTTCAGTATCAGCAGAGCAGAAGAAGAAAACGCAGGACATTATATTCTTAATTATAAAGCTTCCATCTGGGAGTGAAAAACATCATTTTTCTTACCTCCCATTGGCCAATGCAAACCATATGGCCCTGTCTAAATTCCTGCTATGTGCCCATAAGGTATGTCAGAATATTTGAAATAGCTCTAATACCTCCACACCATGTTATCTGAATTCTTATATATTAGGACCAGATTGAATTTAGATAAAGCAGGGAAACTGAAAATCATCTTTATCTTCTGGGTCTCATATTTCTTTCAATGTACATTAATTTTCAAAGGCCATTACATTTGCTGAGTGTAATAGGCACAATTATTATATTTATATTTGATATCACATACAATTTACAGCTGGGTAAGTTCATATATAGTTACGTAAATTGATGTCTATAAGTTATATGTGGAGTTTTCACATACCTATAATTTCTGATTTTTTTTTTTCACTTCAATTTAGGTAGAGGGGTTAATATTTGTTCTGGTTTGTCAATCTAAAAGTAGAGTCAAAAAATAAAATGATTGGCTTTAGATTATATCGCACAGTTCTTTGACCCTCAAACAAGACATTTACTTCTGTACCAGGGATCCTGTACTTGTACTTGGAGTCTTAGTGAGGGTTCAAATTATCCATGAAGCCTGTAAACTTGCCGCATTGTGTATGTGAGTGTGAGTGTGTGTGTGCATGTGTGTGTGCTAGGTCTGTGTGTGTGTTCTTTTTTGAGTGGCTTAGGTTCACTATACCACAGCATTGTTGCAAACAATTAATAGGTAAATGGACATTTGAGACTGAGATGCCATTAATTCATCTGATTTCTACACATATAGTAGGTCTTAACATCAAAAGGTTGATGAATTGTTTAAAGAAAAACATGATGGGGCTTCCTAGACCTCCTCATTTAACAGATTTCATACTTGGGCTTCTTGCTGAGCCTTTTCTTCTGCCTCTTGCCATTGATTGTAAAAATCGAAGCTTCCTTCACGGGAAGCACTGAACAAGACATTCCATGTTTTCAGTGTAAAGTCCATCATTTCCAGCGTGGCTCACATCTCAGTGGGTGACAAAACTTCCTGATGTCCTGGAAAAGCTCTGCAAGTACTCAGGCCCTTGCCCACTTATTTCAGATCACTGGTTTGTTACCATTAAGTAAGCATTTTTATTTTAAATCTCTATTTACATTTATCAGGGCCCTTTCAGCTCAATTTGCAAAATGATGATTTGTATATATCTAAAACAGTACATCATGGGGTTCAGGTCATTTGCATTCCACAGTCATTTACTGAATACGTACTTTTTGCAATACAGCCATACAAGAAGTCACAAGCATAAGGCACGGGTCATGTCAGTCTTGCATATATGAAATCTAAACATCAGTATACATAAGCAAATATGGTATAGAGGAGTCAAACTGGCCTGGTTTGAATATCTTTTTCTGCTAGCTCTATGACTTAACTTTCTTGAGTTTCAGTGATTTCAACTATAAAGATGAGGCAACTGAGACCTATTAGAGAGTTATTTTGAAGATATAATGTAAAATGTCACATCAAATTGGGGGTAACACAGGTAAAAATACACAAATTAGGGGACGTGCATGACCTATTCAGGGAATAAATTTTGAGTATAAAATATAGGGAAGTTATAAGCAAAAGTGAGGCCAGAGAGAGAAACCAGGATCTTAAATCTCAAACTCACCCATTTGGACTTCATCCTGAAGTTAAAGAAAAGCCAATAAAAGGTTGAGAAAAGATTAAAAAGAATATAATCAACTTTTAAAAAACTTTTTATATAAAAACAATTTAATATTTGATAAGAAGTTTCAAAACTTATATTTTCAACATCCTTCATGCAGCTTACATCTTACATAACTATAGTACAATGCCAAATCGAAGAAATCAGCATTGATGTGATACTATTAAACCACAGATCTTACTCAGGTTTCACTAGGTTTTTTAAACATTTAATTAATTACTTAATTTTAAGTTTACAACTTAAAATTATATATATTTATCAAGTACAACGTGATGCTTTGAAATATGTACGCATTGTAGAATGGCTCAGTTGAGTAAATTGAACATATGTATTATTTCACACTTAACATTTCTTGTGGTGAGAACACTTAAAATCTACTGTATTAATGATTTTCAAAATATAATACATTGCTATTAAATATAGTCACTGTGTTGTACAGTAGATCTCTTGAATTTATTCCTCCTATCTAACTGAAATTGTGTGTCCTTCGGCTAGTATCTTTTCAACCCTGCTCTACTCCCACCCCAGCCCCTTGTAAGCATCATTCTACTCTCTGCTTCTGAGTTCAACTTTTTAGATTCCATGTATAGGTGAGATCACACAGTATATGTCTTTCTGTGTCTGGTGTATGTCATTTAACATAATAAAGCCTGTCACTTGTGACAACATGGATGAACTTGTTGGACTTTATGTTAAGTGAAATAAAGTTTCACTGATTTTTACATGCAATTTATTTTTGGTGTATAATATAATGCAATGTTATTTCATGTATAGTTGTTCTAACCACTAACACAATCAAGATACATAACTGTTCCATCACTACAGAGAAAATTCCTGCTGTTATTTCTTTATAGTCACACTCTCCACTCTCCCATAGCCCTAACTCCTGGCAACCACTGAACTCTTCTGTACCCCTAAAATTTTGTCATTTTGAAAGTGTTATACGAGTAGACTCATACAATATGTAACATTTCAGGATGCTTTTTTTTCACTTAGCATAAAGCCTCTGAGATCTACGTATTAGATGGGATGAGTGCTGTTCCATTTTGTGGATGTGCCAGAGATTGTTTATCCATCAGTCCACTGAAAGAAATACATTTGAGTTTTCTTCAGTTTAGAGTTATTACAAATAAAGCTGAAATAAAAAATTATTTACAGGTTTCTGTGTGGACATATTTTAATCTTACTTTAGAAAGAAAATAGGAAAAAAAGGCTTTAACTTTTTGAAGAAGTAGGTCTTCAGGAATGAGAGAAACAATTCATGTGTTCATCTCTAATCCTTTCAAGGATGGAGTGTAAACTTAGGACAGTTGTGGGAGGATAGAAGAGAAAGATTTGGGAAAAGTCCATCAGAATGTTGACTTAACTGATTCCTTAGATGTCAGTGGTGGTAGTTTGGATGGTGCGTAGACAAAAGTAGTTCAAAAATTTCCAGTTGGAGAATGTGGTGTTGATTTTGTCATCAATTAAAAGGCACAAAGAATAAAGAGTTTATGTTGGTGCTATTGAATAGGAAAGCAGGAAGCATTCATGTGGAAATGTGTAACAGGCATTTGGAGATTTGAACCAAGTACTCAGAAGTGAAATCAATGTTGGCAATAGAGATACATGAGTCGTTGCCAGGGAAGGGATAGATTCAGCCAAGGCTGTAGAGAAGATTGCAAGGGAAGAGCAGCAAACATCCCAATAGAAAGAGATTGGGTATGATTTCAATGTGACTATTTCTAGCCCAGATTACAACAAAAATCTTTAGACTTTATCCACCTAGGTGCATAAGATGACTTTAATCTCCAATTTATGTTCTGTAGAAGTTTACAATTCTCTCCAAGTTTCCCAGAAATTCGCAAGAGCATATTTTCTCCTGGTCACTTCTGGCATGGTGTAGGTGTACCTCCACATAAGCTGTTTTCACTGGACTCTGTCATTTGCCCAGACATCCTACTCAACCTTTTTCTTTTATCCCTTCCACCACAAACCCTCAAACAAAACAAAGCAAAACAAAATAAATAAATAAAAAATAAAAAAATAAAAAACAGGCAACGATGGCAACAGCAAAACTTTAGCACAAACCACTCAGCATCTATGTAATATTAACTTATCTCTTACTAAAGCTTCCAAGTAATTCTGTGGATGCTTTGAACAACAAAATCATCCTTAATGTGATCAAATAATTACTGAACAAAATTTAAAATTTTTGAAGCATTTTAATTTTACGGTTGTTTCCCTCAATTTGATATTTTATCAGACTATTGGTATTTTCAGATGCAACATCATTTTGGGAAGCTGAGGACAGGATAATTTATATCAAACACAGAGTCATAACTAACTAGATTTGTGATTTAAGAAAGGCACTGAATTTCTAGGAGTCTAAGTAGCCTCATCTTTGAAATGTATGCAATCTAAGTCATTTGTACTTAAGAGCACTTTGAGGATAAGATAAAACTTTTGATGGGGAAAACTTGGAAAATCAGAAGTACTGAAAAATGTTAGTCTTTCTTACTACCAATAGAGTAATAATTTTATTCTTCCATTAGTTCATTCCAGAATCATTTATTGTATGTATGTTACATTCTAAAACACAAAATAGTCCTGTAATTTTCCTGCTCAAAACACTTTTATCACTTCTTATTAACCTCAGGATAAAGGGAACATTTTTATTATGACTTCTAGGGCCATTTCTGATCTGGTCCATGTCTATCAAATCAGCCATGTTGTAGGACCAGCTCACCATGCCATCTTCCATATACTGCTTCTTCCTGAAATACTTCTCCCTGCCCTTTTCCTAATATGCCAGGACACTGTCATCTGCCTTGCATTTATGAAACATTCTTTAAAGGGATTCTTGCTTATGTTTCTGGGTTAATCTTTATTTTCTTTAATATAGCATTTATCACTCTTAATTCTACATCTTTTTAGTTATTGTGTCTATCCCTTTGATAGTAAACTCTCTGAATACCCAGGTTATACACATCATTTTTGTCTACCATTATATCTTTAGTACCTGGAACAATGCTTGTGGGATAACAATTTATAGCCCATCTCTATTAGGTGTAAGAAGTTTAGAGAGGAAAGTCACAGAGTCTTCCTTCAAGATGTTTACAGTCTAGTTAGTAACATTTTTAAAAGGGAGAGACATTATTTATTCAGTTCGTTAAAAAAATCTTAGCTTGAATTTTTGGCTTCCTTTGCAGTGGTTTGGATGTCCTCTTAATGGATGGGTCCATATGACTACTAGGTCACCAGGAGACTTGTTATTTGACGCTGCAAGCACTACAAACAAAATTAAGCTGGGTTAAATGCCTGTGGTAGAGTCCAGCGAAGGCAGAGCCCAGATTTATGGGGCAGTGTTTACAATGAAGAGACATGACCTATTTTTATTTGATCTGCACTATCCAAAAAGAAAATTGGATTTATAATTAAAGCAGGGGAAACGATAACTTAAGCATTGATTTTCCCATAAACGTGCCAACCTTCAGAACAGTGGCTGGTCTCTATGTTCTATACTCTGCTGCTAACTTTAGATGAATGAAACCTTCTTCAATAAGTCGACTTACAGCGGAGTGTATAAATTTTAGCTTGTAGGCCCTGATGACTCATCTTTATAGCTGAGATACTGCTCAGAGTTTGGATTAAAAGAAGAGACCCTTAAAAAATTAGGAAGAGGTATCCTATTGGGACCCGCAGCTTTGTATTTGAGACTCTTTATAGACCCACTGCTGATAAACATTCAGCTCCATCACTAATTTAGATTTCCGCAGTCTCTTTTGGAGATTAAATACAAAAGAATCACCATTTATCTGTAAAGGTAAAATTTACATCACCTATAATCTTTTCATAAATAGATACATCAGCCACCACATTAATACAAAAGTGCAATCTGAAGGAAGAAGGCCATTATATTTGCTTACTGTCAGATATAAAGCTGCAGTTGCAAGTCATGCATGATTTTAATAAGGCTTGATAATATGCTATCAGTTGGTGGGAGCTATAGATTGAACTCTTATAGATTTTTTTTGGCTTCAGCTTCCAAATAATCAATCATGTCAAGATATGAAAATCATTTCATTCCCTTCAATTGAAAAGAAGACGTGATTTAAAATGTCAGCTCTTGGATATATGAGCAGGATTCCTGTAATCAATCATGTGAAATAAACCATCTTATTTAGTAGCTCTTTTAAAGATAGGAAGCTTTAGGGGGAAAAATAAACTTTTATTTGCATAATTTGGATGAAGCTCAGGCATCATATGCAAATAAATAACAAAGATAAACATAGACCTGGGTTTTCTCTTTTTTTTTTTTTTTTTTTTTTTTCCGTTCAGTAACCTTGGCAAGGAATTGAGTAGATTCAGAAGACCTTAAACCCCAGGGTATGGGAGGGTAATATTGTCTACGGTATCTGAATACTGTCAACAACAAATTGGGGACTGGTTTCAGACCCAGGTAATCCTACTTCTTTCAGACCCATGTGTCTAGATTTAGTCCAGCTCCATCTCAGACTGGCTGGGCCACACAAAACAAGACTCTAAACTTGAGTTTCAGGTTCCCTAGCTCACAAGCTTAGGACAAAACTCAAAACTTGAGCTTTAATTTACCTAGCTGTGATCTGGCTGATTTCTTCTGTTCATACTCACGTAGGAGATCATGTTATAAAATAGATGACAGAGTGTTTCTGCAAATGGAAATTCTATAAAGCTCTCGACAAACCTAAGTGGTTAGCATCATGGCTAGAGAAAAAGATGTTAAAAGATACCAGGCTGGCTTCTTGGCAAACCGTAAAGACACAGCTAGACTGAAATCACACTCAAAGCAGGACTTGTCTGAAGAAATTGCTTTTACTCTCAGTAAGTGAAACTCTAGATTTTGCTAAACATTCTGTGTGCCTTTAGGCAAGTCATTTAACCTCATTGAACTGTAGTTTCCTCCTAAGTTAAAAAAAAAAAGTTTGGATGATATGATTTCTAAGGTTTTATTCCAGCAATAAAAATTGGTGTTTTTTTGAGAGTAGTTATTAACCCAGTAGAAATACAGATCACAGCTGAAACACATTCCTTCCACACCTAACAGGAACTCACAACCTGGGCCAAATCTCTTTAATTTACACAGAATTTGGAAAAGTACAATAAGATTGTGTCATTAAGACCATTATGGCAATAATGACAAGAAACAGCATAAGTAAAATCATTTTTAGCAGGCAAAATTATTTTATTTATGTTATGCTTAACAAAATTATTTGTGTCATCACAGCCCCTTCCAGATATAACCTTCTATGGGCTCTTTGCTTACATAGCCTAAGAAAGTATGCTGGGATAGAAGTCCTTAAGAGACCTAGGCCTGGCGCTGTGGCTCAGACCTGTAATCCCAGCACTTTGGGAGGCCCAGGCGGGCGGATCACCTGAGGTTGGGAGTTCGAGACCAGCCTGACCAACATGGAGAAACCCCTTCTCTACTACAAATACAAAATTAGCTGGGTGTGGTGGCGCATGCCTTTAATCCCAGCTACTTGGGAGGCTGAGGCAGGAGAACCACTTGAACCCGGGAGGCAGAGGTTGCAGTGAGCCAAGATCATGCCATTGCACTCCAGCCTAGGCAAGAAAAGCAAAACTCCGTCTCAAAGAAAAAAAGAAGTCCTTAAGAGACCTACTTTAATGATTCACTGTAAGCACACATAATTATTTTGTCAAGCCTTATGTATTCCTGGATGCTTTTAATGTGCTTTGGAATATTTAAAAATTGTAAATTATCTTGAAGTGTTTAAATATTTACACAATTGATTTCTCTATTTTTAAAAATAAAAGGACTTTTTTAATTAAGGGAAGTTTAGTACACAGTCCTTTTCTGTATGTTATTGGGGCCAAAATTCACAGGTATTGAATACAAAAACAGTTGAGAAAAGGTAATTTCATTCTTTAGAAGGAAAAAGTAGCAAGTAAAGGTACAAACTAAGATAGTCAGTGTAGAAAATGTGTTTGACATTTGCTGTCTACATCCAGAATTTTATATATATGTATGTATGTATAATAGCTTACCTTCTCATCCTCAGCAAATCAACCTTGAAGCTCTGGTTTCTTCTATCTCACTCTGCATGTGCACAAGACTACGTGTGTGTTTTGCATATTTTCTCTTTAATTTTGACTGGTTGCCAAAAGTTACCCATATTTTATGAAGCACAGAGAGTGGTAAGATAAGAGTTCCTTGCTCCATAATTTCTTCATACCGGGGAGAGATGGGTTTCTCTCCCTTCTTGTTCATTAACGATGCACGAAGCTTAGACTTTTAACTTTCTCTCGTTTTTTCCTCTCCTGGTTCTGAGGAATTTCTCACATCACTTGACATAAGAGGTTATATGATAAAGACTCGCTAGCATCTTTTTATCCTGCTGGTATGCTTCCTGAGCAATCTTAGCTCGTCAACTGGCTGGAAAAGCAGCCTCTGTCATTACAGAATGTCTGTTATATCTTTAAAAGAAAAGAAGGAAAAAATTACCATTACCTGAACATCCGCTAGCCCTGACAGTGCTGCCACTTTCTCACTTCCAGAATGTAGATGCTTTCTCTCCATTCTGCCAAATAATAGAAAATAGTGATTCACTGAGTCTGATTGAAGCAACTGGCATTGGTGATCATACTTCAATATTTCTCTCATATTTGAAGTTAGAATTAGTTGATGTGAGATATTATATTAGCCTTAACTAACTCAAGGTGTGATGTGAACTTACTATTAACCCTCTCCTTCCTGAAATTCTTCACTCAACATCCAGTCTACCATAAATCTTGTCTTTTCCACCAGGTTGCTCCTTCTCAGTCTCCTTTGCTTGCTTTCCTTCATCTCTGAGATCCCTTAGTACTGCAACGAGCCACATTACTCACTCTCCTAATGATTTATTCCAGTCCATGTATTTAAATAACATTTATACTTAGAAGATCACTCACATTTCTACCTCCAGCCCCAGACTCTCTTAACCAGGCTGTTTTATCTACCCATGTATTTGACATTTACACTTAGATATCTAAACATTTCAAGATGGTATCAGGGTATATGTATATATCCATACTTATCAAGATATTATACACTAAATATGTGTAAATTTTGGTATATCAATTATACCTCAATAAGATAGATCCAAAACAAAACTCTTCTTATCCACAGTGTTTCTCATCTTAATAATTTACAAATCTGTCTTTTCAGTTGTTTAGCGCATGTCCTTTAGAATTAGTTTTGACTCTTCTCTTTCTTATAGTTCACTTTCAATCCAAAGTAAACCTGGAAATTCAATCATCAAGAATGAGATATTTCAAACACTTCTTACCAAATTCACCAAGCTCAGCCTTGTCCAAGCCACTATGATCTCTTTCCTACGTAATTGCAATTGCTTCTCAACTGGTCTCTCTACTTCTGTCCCCATTCTTCTATGTCTGTTCTTAACAGGTGTAATCTGGTGAGACATAACACATCGTGCTGCTCCTCTGAGCAAAGCCTCCAACATATTTGCAGTTCATTTGAAGTAAAAAGCCAAAGCCTTTCAATGGCTAACAGGGCCCTATACAATGCCCCCTACCCACTACCTCTCTGAGTTTGTCTTTTAGGACTCTCCCTCTGGCTTACTCTTCTGCAGCCACACTGCTCTCATCATTTCTTAAAAGTCCCAGGGACAAGCTGTCTGAGGTTTCTGCTGTTGCTGTGCCCTCTGTGTAGAAGGCTCTTCTGCTAGATATTCACATGGCCTGCTCTCCTATTACCTTCAGGTCTTTGCACAATGTACACCTTCTCAATGAGGTCTTCCTTGACCATTTTATTTAAAAACAGACCAAGCCCAACACTACCTAAACTCCTAGAATGCAAACTCTCTGGAAACAGGGATTGTTATCTATTTTATTTCGGCTGTTCCCCAGTGTACAGAACAGTACCCAACAGAAAACACTTGCTCCTTTAATGCTTGCTGAATTAATGACAATGAAAGCTAGGCAATCTGAGGTCTCTCTCTTTTCTTGTCACTCTCTTTTAATTGTCTATGATCATTCCAATTACTCTGAAAATTCTTTTTCATCCAGAAATATACTACTGTCTTTTTTAGCTCTAGCCTTTTACCCACAGTGCTCTATAGCCTTTAACCCCTCTTTTGATTGGAAATATTTTCCAATCAAATTCAATTTTGTTACTTGTTAGCCACAAGCAACAGAAATCCCATTGAACAGCGACTTAAACAAATGGAGCTTCATTTTTCTTACTTACAGATGTGTTTGAAAGTGAATGTTTGTTAGCACTGATGCAGTAACTCAAGAAGTACTGCGAATTTTGGCTTCATAACTCTTGTGGCCCTTGTCTCTTGGTCACAAGATAGCTGCAGCAGCTCCAAGAAACATTTTTCCATGTAGAAAAGATAGGGTATTTTTGTAAGTATCTTCCTCTAAGCAAGTAGGAAAACACCTTTTTCACACTGTCATCCTTCCCCTGGTAGACTTACACTTGTATCTTTTTGAACATAAATAGGCTCCAACTCTCTGAGAAAAAAAAAATGGGGGTGGTCGGGGAGGATACCTTTTGATAGGCAAAACCTACCATTCTTTATCCCTTATACTTCCTATTACTTTCTTCTCAGGTCTTAACTCAGATCTATTATTTCATGTTGGATGTCCTTCCTGACCAGTCTTCTCCCTTCACAATTCTGGGATAAATGCTCTACTTCTTGGGTCCATAGGCCTTGAAGTTGTCTTAGATCTGTGCTTTAATGCAGAGCTATAAACCTGTGTTCATTTTATGTTCACCCCCTCCACATACAAACACATTATGCATTTCAGCAGAAGAAAGGATTGAGACCTCTGGATAAATACTAAATTTTTGTCATTCACATTTGAACTTGCAGGATCTAGCCTCCATTTACAGAATGAATGGATTTTTTTAAATGAAGAATTTTTCTCTTAGTGGTCTTTAAAATCAATTTTAATGTTAAATAAATGTTTTTATGATGATTTAAATCCTTTTCTCATGTATCTGTAGACTATGCCAACATTTAGACTTTTATTATCACCAAACTTCCTCCCTCATTTAAGAACTTGAAACCTCGCCACTTAAATAATGTAATGCACGTTACTAAATTCTTAGTTGTCATTTGAACATTGTTTGGCACAACTAGGGAAACGAAATAATATTTTGTTTTCCAAATTGTGCCAACTATCAAGATGCAGGTAAAAAAATAAAAATATATACCGTTTGTTCTCTGATTATCATAACAGACACACTCTGCCTTCAGCATGGATATACCATGACAATATTTTGGACTAAGGGTAGGCAAGGTTGAAGGTAGTGATGGAAATAGAGTCAACATAGTTACACATTAGACAGAGTGATTAATGCTAAAGTTGAGAGAAAGCATTTCAGAGCAGGTGAAGTGTGCAGGCATGCACTGGTAACTCCCGCCTGGGTTTAATTTCCAGCCTTTCTTTTTTTTTTTTTGAGATGGAGTCTCACTCTGTCACCAGGCTGGAGTGGCACAATCTTGGCTCACTGCAACCTCCGCCTCCTGTGTTCAAACTATTCTCCAACCTTAGCCTCCTAAGTAGCTGGGACTACAGGTGTGTGCCACCACACCCGGCTAATTTTTTGTATTTTTAGTAGAGACGGGGTTTCACTGTGTTAACCAGGATGGTCTCAATCTCCTGACCTCGTAATCCACCCACCTCGGGCTCCCAAAGTGCTGGGATTACAGGTGTGAGCCACCGCTCCCGGCCACAGCTTTGTTTTGTAAGCCACATAAAAATGGGCACATTAGTTAACTACCCAAGTCTCAGTTTCTTCATCTGTGAAATGGGGATCACACTTAACCCCTCTCAGGAACCATTCTGAGTTTCAACTTACATACTTCTTATATAGTGATTAGTCCAGTGTCTGGCACACAGTTTGTTTTCAATAAGTGCTAAAATTTATTATTGTCATTATTATAAACAAGGCACTGTTAGATCATAAGATGTGAAGTAATTGACTGTACAAAATTGTGTGTTCAAGTAATTATAACAAATTAAATCGATATTTGCTTCTCCTCCTGTTTGGGAATATAGTTCTCTATTTTTTCTACTTCTAGATTCAATTATCTGAAGAGTGAGCCCCCTGCAAACGGCAAAATCAACGAGATTTTGCAATGTGTCCCACTTTCCCTTGTCCTGTGTTATGCCACTATTTCAATTGCCCTGCTTCTTCCCACCATTTTATTTCAGACTTTCACTTCTAGTAACTGTAACATTGATGTGAGTTTAAAGGACTTTAAATCAGAGTACCTTTTGAGATAGAGGGTATCTTCAAGTTCAATTGGCTCGATCCCTTCTTTGCATACATGTGAAAATGAGCCCTGCTGTGATTGGCTTGAGACTGCAGAACTGTTTTGTGCAAGAACAAGAGTTGAAACACAGGTCACTGAAATGCATACTTATTCCATATCTGATGTTACCTCCTCCTGAATTATTCATGAGAGCAGGGAGTAGAAATGCAGAGGTGGTACTTTTCATCAGAGGAATGCAGGACCAAGTCAATTTCAGTACTTCTGACATGGGCGATAGGGATGATATTGGATGAGGCAATGGGAGGTCTTTAATATTCTTAATTGTTATCAACTATTTTGCTTTCCACTCAAGACAGGACTTTTGCTTAAACTGGCCATCTATTGAAGATAAGCTTATTTTCTTAGGGGAGATAAAAAAAATACATGTAATAAATTAGTAAATTTTTTAATAGGCTACAAGGTCACATGTACTATTATTAAAATAAAAAAGGGAGTCCAGGCGTGGTAGCTCACGCCTGTAATCCCGGTACTTTGGGAGGCCAAGGTGGGTGGATCACGAGGTCAGGAGTTTGAGACCAGCCTGACCAACATGGTGAGACCCCGCCTTTACTAAAAATACAAAAATTAGCTGGGCGTGGTGGCATGTGCCTGTAATCCCAGCTACTCGGGAGACTGAGGCAGGAGAATCGCTTGAACCCAGGAGGTGGAGGTTGCATTGAGCCAAGATGGCACCACTGCACTCTAGCCTAGGTGACAGAGCAAGACTCTGTCTCAAAAAAAAAAATAAATAAAAATAAAAATAAATAAAGAAGAGGAATAAAGTAGAGCAGGGTAAGTGGGATTAGAAGGGCAGGGAGTAGGAAAGCCACAAGGTAACATTAAATAAAATGGTCATTGTAGGTCAGAGTAGCCTAGATATCATTCTGAATCTCAGGAGCCTCCCATCTAAACATCTTGTTGAGCACTATTCTCTGGACAGTCTATTTCTCAAGAATTTGTGTGAAATATGTGATTATACATGAATGCATATAAACATATATGAATGTATACATGGCTAGAAAAAGGACCTTAAGATAATATATTTAGTCCCCTAGCCAGAATTTGAATCTCCTTTATAGCAGCATTATAAGCTTAGATCAAAACATAGGTGAGAACAATTAGAAAGTTCATGAGTCAATGATTTGTTGACACATTTCTTATGAAGGCTAATTGCTTGTTAGCTGAAACATGCACCTCAGTTTTAGTTAGAGACACCAGCATAACAAAGGATTGGCTAAGAATTTGGAACTCTTCTGTCATATAGAGCTGTCAAGAAACTATTCACAAAGGTTGAAATTCTAACTTTTTACATATTGCCATATAAGGCTTTAACAGAAGCAAATTCTTACTGAAAAATTTTCATCTCTCCCTCTCTCTCTCTCTCACACACACATACACACATATATACACACATGAGTTAATCAGTTCTTTATACAATACCGAGGTTTTTTTTTAATTTTAACTACCAACCCCTGCCATATTTGATAGTTTCTGATTTCTAACACTGAACCAGATTGGTCTTTAGAGTTACCACATAAAACCCAGAGGCAACAGCTGAATTTAAATTTCTGATAAACAATGAATATTTTTCAGTATAAGTATATCCAAAATATTGCATGGGACATATTTATACTTAAAATTATCTGTTGCTTATCTGAAATTCAAATTTAACTGGGCATCCCATATTTTCATTTGCAAAACCTGACAACACTAAGAGTCTTCAGATCCCCAGAGAAAATTCTGATTGAACACTTCCTGTTTTCTTTCTTGTGCTCTAAACCAGCATGACTATGTACATCTGAGCAGTACTGCTGTATAACTGGCCATGCTTCAATCATTAATTAATTCATGTATTCATTCATGCAATATTATTTTTGCATGCCTGCTACATGTCAGGCACTATGCTAGATGCAAAGTGAAATACAGTATATCTGATATAATGGTAGGCTAAATAGATATGAATCTTTACCTGATTTGGTTTATCGTAAAATAGGTAAATAATTACCTATTAGAAAAATGCCCCTAAAGTGTGATAGTGTTAGTGAACCCAGCACACACCACGAATGTGTGAATTTGCTGATATGCACAGTGGAAGTCGGTAATTGCTGTGCTGACATCCCCTGCATAAATGAGGGAGATGAAGTCTTTTCAAAGAGTGGTTTCCAAATGCTTACTGATTTTGCATCAGTCCTGGACATATTGCATGACATTTCTGAGCACTTTGTATGTGTCAAACACAGTGCTGGGCTCAGCACTTCATTTAAAACTCAAAGCAGTGCTAAAAGATAAATCCAGTTATAATCTCCATGTTACTAATGAGGAAGGTGGGACTTAGAAAGCTAAATAAATTGCACAATTCTACACAACAAAAATATGATGAAAAAGCTGGGATTCCCACAGAGGTCTGATCTTTCTAAATAGGTAGTCTTAACCTCTGTGCTATGCTACTTGAATGACTTAGGAAATTGTTAAACATTATTGATCTCCAGAGTTTCTGAATCAGTAAGTCTAGGATAAGTTTTGAAGAATATATTTTAAACAAGTCCCCTCAGTGATTCTGATAACAGCAAGATTTAGGTTCCACTAATTTAGAATGTCAAATTCATCAAATATCATCAAAGTAACTTAGAGTATTATTATACAACACTCTGGTTTACAACTGTCAAGGACATCTGCTGTAGGAGTTTCCACATACGGGGCAGTGAGAGGCATAGGAAAGGAGATAAATATCCAGGGTTCCTAGCACATGTATATTTTGTTATTATTTTTTTTAAGACCAAATTTTCCTACTTTGCACAACAATTCCTCAGGTGGTCTAACTCTAATGTCCCTTCCTCCTGATTATTCCCCTCTAAGATTAGGCTGGTTTATTAAGGACTGTGACAGGTTTAACATTAAGCATGTATTCTTTCCCAGACATGACTTTTCTAGAGAAGATGAGAAGGAACTAATTTTAAACACCTGGCCTTGGTCTGATGCATCCGTTACCTCCACCAGAAAGGATGGCTAAAGGCAGAAGAGCCTGAGAGAGGAGACCCACGTGGCACACACTGCCGTACACTTCCACAAAGAGTAAGTGAAAACTCAATGCAGAATTGAACATAGTTGACGATGAGGTCTCCACAGTGAGTTTGTGGAAGTTCCAGCAGTTTGATGAGAGGTAATGAAATGTAACCACACTATTTTCTTTCTTTCATTTGTTTCTTCTTTTTCTCCTCTTCTTTCCTTCTCACTCTCTCTTCTTTCCTTTCTTTCTCTCTTCCTTCTTTAAAACAATAATTGCTTATTTAACATTTTTTAACGATGCATACTTACATGCAGAAAAATGCAGAGATTCTGGGCACAAATCCTGATGATTTTTCACTAAGATAACATACCCATGTAACCACCACACAGATTAGGAAAGAGAGCATTATCAACATACTAAAATCCCACACTAACCCACAGGTTATCATTCTATCCAACAAACCGGACGATTATCCATATTCATATCATCAGAAATTAGTTCTGCCTGTTTTTGAACTTGTACTAGAGAAAATGATACTGATGTACTGTTTAGTCTGTGACTTATTTTGGTAAATATTATGCTTATAACATTTGTTCAAATTATTTGGTGTAGCGATAATTTGCTCTTTTCCATTTGTTCTTTTTCATTCCTTTTTCATTCTGGGGATATATCGAAAGTTATTGCTTCTACTATTTATGGACATTTGGCTTGTTTCCAATTTGGGGATATTGCTGTAAGTACCAGTAATAGAACTAATAATACTAGTGATAGTGCTAATAACTATTGCTAACAGCACTGCTGTGAGTATTCTTGCACTCCTCTGTAGGTACACATACCTGCATTGCTTTTGGCTATATAACCGTGAAGAGAATTTCAGAGTTCTAGGGTAAGCATGTTCACTTGTAGAAGATACTGCCAACAGTTTACCAAAATAGTGAGGGTCAATTACTTTACAATCAAACTGCAGTAATTGAGAGCTGTGAATGTTCCAGATCTTTGAGAATAATTGGTCTATCTATCTATCATCTATTTATCAATATATCTATCTGTTATATTCTATATTTCTATCTGTCAGCATCTACTTTTACCTATCATCTATCTATCTATCTAGATTCCATCATCTATCAATCCATCTATCTTTTCCTTTCCGTTGTATGAATGTGAATTTTTTCTCACAGTTTTAATTTGCATCTCCTTGACGTGATGATGTTGAGCATGGTTTCATTTGCATGTGCGTGTGCTTTATTTTTTGTAAAGTGTCTGTCAATTTTTTGCTTATTTTTATATTGAGTTTTCTGTTTTTTTAAACTGATTTGTACTAGTTTTCTCTATATTCTGGAATTGAATTTTTGTTATATGTATACTATTGCAAATATCTTTGTGAACTCTGTAACTTGTTTATGATGGTATCTTTTGATGAACAAAAATTCTTAATTTAAATATCTATCTACTTATATAATATTTACTTTATACTTAGAGCATTTTGTGTTCTGTTTAAGGAATTTTAATACACAAAGTCATAAACATATTCTCCTATGATATCTTCTAGAAGTATTATTGTCCTACTTTTCACAATTGAAGATGCAATCCAGCTTAAAATAATTTTGTATGGTACAATATAGAGATCACATTCTTTAAATTCTTTAAATTGACCCACCCAGCACCATTTACTAAAACACTATCTTTTTCCTACCAAACTTCTTTTTCACCTTTTCCTCAAAAGAAGTGACAATGTATATTCAACCAATATCATTTGAGCACTTAACTCTGATCTGTTTCTGTACTGAATCCCAGTTATAGAGAGAAAATATTTATTGAGTACATACTCTTGAGTCCTGTACTGGAAATATGCCAGAAGTCATCTTTTCTCTTTTAGTCATTCCCTATCCTAATTGGGGACACGGATAATAAATAAGTAAATAAGTAAACCATCAAATAAATAATTTTAGCATATAATGAGTGGGAAATTAAAGGAATAAAAGTAAAAGGAGAAGAAAAAAGATGATGTGGTAGAGAATTGGAGGAGGTGGAGGAAGGGTTCCTTGAAAGGTGCCATTTAAACAGATACCCAAAGGAACGTGCCAGCACTTTAAGAAAATACTTTTTCCAATATAAGAAAAATAAACCGTGCATTTGCTGAGGTATCACCCAGGCTGGCTTACTGTGGGAATGTCAGGAAACCAGGATGGCAAGATAGTGGAAATGGTGCTGAAGATGGCATAAAAAAAAGAATTGAGAGTCAATTGTGGGATTACCTAGTCCATGGCACATAGTAAGAGGTTTCCGTTTTCTCCTAAGGCTGTAATGAAAAACCTGGAGAGTGTTAAGAGAAAAATGTTATAATCGCTTTGCATGGTTGTACAGAAAACATCTTAAGTGTGAGAGGTGCATCAGTGTAAAAGAAGTGAGGATTTTGCCCTGATGGTCTCCAAGAATCATGTAATAGATTAGAGTAAGGACAGTGCAAGGGGTCAAGCTCTGATGCTCTCATCCTCCATTTGCCCAATTGAAAGTTTTGTTTTCTGCTTAGTAAAGAATCTTACTTTTCCTGTCCCTAAGGAACTTAAGCATTTTCAGTCCTTTCTAACGAATGACCCAGTAGTGCATTCTATATGATGCTACTGTCTCTCTATTTAACTACTCCGTATGCCTGAGTTCTGATTGCTTAATTAATTTACTAACTGTGAAAGAAAGAATAACTTTCATCACTGTCTTCTTCGGGATAGAAGGCAAAAGAAGTTCTAACAAAAAGAACAAAAAGATGAAATTATTGATTTTAATTCTGGCATTTAAAAACCATGAAATCTCTAGAACATTCAGGTGACACTCTGTGAAGAAATGGAATCCTGGGTTTTACACCCTGAACTTGTCAAAGCATTATATAGAGTTTCTGGAGAACAGTGTGCTTGGTGTTAATAACCAGGGCCACTTGGGATTGGTGTTTTGTCCCTGCCGTTTGCTCTAGGTGACCTTGGGATGTATCTCCCTTGGCCTCACTGTTTTTATCCATAGAATTAGGCATGATCCTTTTATCAGAGACTGCTATTCAGGGTGAATTTGAGGATGGAATGAGCTATTTCCCATATAAATTGTGAGCATTATTTCAATGGAAAGAAATTGTTAATACATTCAGGATTATTTGATCCAATAGCAGCCTCCTGTCCACTGATCTCCACCACTGCTATCAGAGATGTCACTTTGTGCTCATCCATAGTGGGGAGCTCAGAGTTTACTTAATTCCCTGGGGAATAGCAATTAAACCATGTTAAAGACTTTCTTTTAAACAAGTTGCTTTAGTGTCAGCCATCCGGAGCTGTGACTATGAGGACAATAGCCTTGTCTCACAGGCCACTAGATGGTGCCAGAATTCCTTTCTGGCTCTCCTTCCTCCCCATCCCTGCAATTCCCACCCATTCTGCTTTTGCATCTGCGCAGGCTCCACTGGGGTGGTGATGAATTTGTTTGCTGGGGAAAACGTTACTCCCTCAGGAATCTTTGGGACAGAAAATGCCTCCTTGTTTTGGAGACTGTGGAACTTTCTCTTTCTTCGGCCTTGCTTTGATTTACCTCCCCAAAGCTTCCCACTCTCCCAAAACTCGACTCTTCCAAAAATTTAGAAGAAAAAAAAATGAGAACATTGGTGTATGGGGGTTTTCACATCTCTGGGAGCCTTAGTCCTGAGGCAAAATCATACAGCACTTCTGTTTGTATACATGATGCATGATGCATGCCAAGCTGCTCCTAATGAAGATATTATCTGCCTGCCTCTTCCTATCCCTAAGCACCAGGAGAGACTTCTCCCATATTGTCACTGTTTCCTTTCCAGGTGGCCAGAGAAACCCTTCCCAGGATTTTCTCCCTGTGGGATCTGTAGTCATTAGTTAGGCCAAGTGACTCTTCTCCAAAGAGCAAATCCATTCTTCAAGCAGCTCATCCAAGCCAGCTTTCCCTCTCACTAGTAACACGAGATCTCTTTTGCTCTCTCTCATTCAACCACCACAAGATCACAACATTTCACAGATGGCAGGGACAAGGGAGCTTTGCATATCCTCCAGTCCAATGGCTCTTAAACTTTAGCATCAGGATCACCTGGAAGATTTGTTACAACACAGATTGCTGGACCTCACCCCAGAGTTTCTGGTGCAGTAGGTCTGGAGTACAGCCTGAGAATTTGCAGGTCTCCTGCTGATACTGATGCTGTTGCTCCAAGGACCACATCAAGAACCACTCCAATCCTATTGTTTCACAAGTCTGGAAACTGAGGTTCAGTGAAATTAAATGATTGTTCAAGGTCACAAGGCAAATTGAAATTAGATAGGAGTAGGAATTCAGGAGCCTTTTAAGCAAAAGCTTTTAATGTCCTCATTCAAATGGGGCTGCTTGAAAATGTTCTTTCTACTCTTTATGGAGAAAGGATTTGTTGAGCAAATTTACAGATGAAATCAGATTGTAGAAGAATTGTTTAATCTGTAATCACTTAAAATAGAGTTCTATTTTTTTTCAGTTTAAATTAAAGCATGAACTACGAGGAACCTGTATCTAAGTAAAGGGACTGACCTTTCAGTGTTACCACTACAGTAATGCTCTTTCTAATGCCCATTGTACTTAGGCAGAATTTCAGGGAAAATTGTTCTACTGTTTGACTCTTTCAGTGATTCATCCTCAACATTTACCCTATACTACCTTCATCTAAAACAAGAATTCTTCCTTGTAATATCTTGAACATGCTTCATTTTTTTCTTTTCCTTCCTTCCTTCCATCCTTCCTCCCTCCCTCCCTCCCTCCCTCCCTCCTTCCTTCCTTCCTTCCTTCCTTTCTTCCTTCCTTCCTCTTCCTTTCTTCCTTTCTTTTGAGACAGGTTCTCACTGTGTTGCTGAGGCTAGTCTCAAACTCATGGGCTCAAGGGATCCTCCTGCCTCAGACTCCTTAGTAGCCGGGACTACAAGCGTGTGTCGCCGCGCTCAGCTGCATTTCCTAATAAAACAAATGGAAATGGAGTAATTTAAGGTTCACTTAAAGGGGTTTATGATAATAACTTTCTCCAAAAGCTCGGTGAACCCAGCGTTTGTGGTAAGTGCATGTTTCAGGGGTGTGTGTGTGTGTGCGCGCGTGTGTGTGTAGTTATATCAATAATAACAGTTATAGTTATGGATTTATTTATACTTATACCTTATATTTGGGCCAATGGGTACTGGTTCTCAAGTAGTTCTAATAATAATATAAAGTTCCATTTCAAATGCACTGTCTAAACAATGGGGGTCAAATAAATAAAATATTATCAAATAAACAATAGGAGATGGTTTGCAAATGACAACAAACTCAATCAGCTAATATTTGAATGAGGAAGCTTTGGTAAATACTATGCCAATGACTGAAATAATTCAATTCTGCAACTGCAGCAAGTATATTTTAATTTTTGAAGATGTCCAAGTAGTCTAGTCTCTACTGAATGACCTTGCGTGGAAATGATGGAAATGTCCCTAAGGATTAGATGACTTTGAAACCCTGACTAGTCTTGTGAGTTTTGATTTTTCTCACCATTCCATTAATCTGTCAAGTCATGTCAACCTCCAAGATTTTGGATACAGTCTTCTATTTTTGGAGGGAACCCTAGATTCTGTGACTACAAGTCTTTCCTTTGCTTAAAGTTCAGTCCATGTCTCATGAAACATTCCCTGAAATCCTCATTCCCACTTGTCCTCCTCTGCTCTGTACTCTTTCAGTTTCTATGCTCTGAAACATCCATAGTCTGACTGATTCTGCCAACATTGATTGAGTACTTAACAATGTTTGAAATTCTGGCATTTGAGAATTTAACCTGCCATCAGATAGGTTCACACACTGGACAGGGAGGCAGATTTGCAAATCAATGACACTGTTATGGGCTGAATTATGTACCCCTAAAGTTCATATGTTCAAGTCCTAACACTCAGTACTTCAGAATGTGACTGTATTTGGAGATAGGCACTTTAAAGAGGTAAAATGAGGTCTCAGGAGTGGGCTCCAATTCAATATCAATGGTGTCTTTATAAAAAAAGGAGATGAGGATATAGACATAGAGGGAAGACCATGTGAAGACACAGGAAAATGAGGCCATCTATAAGCCAAGGACAGAGGACTCAGAGGAAAACTAATCTACCAACACCTCATTTTTGGACTTCTAGTTTCCAGAAATGTAAGAAAATACATTTCTGTTGTTTAAGCCACATTGTCTGTGATATTTTGTTATGGCAACCATAGCCAAGTAATGCGGGCACTAAGGTATGAATGTTAAGCAAGGAAAATCAATGGAAAATATTTTCAGAGAGCAGGAGTTCTAAGTTATTCTCTCCAAAATGAAGTCAAGTTCATGAGGCATGCATTAGGGAAGGGCATTCTTAAAAGTGAAGCATAAAATAATCAGTTGCTGTTCTATCCAATAGAAGTACCTGCTTCAGTGCACAGTGTAGAAAGATGTTCGTTCATTGAAGCATTATTTATAAAGTAAAAATGGAAATATGATAAAAGTGTCTCAATGGAGAAGAGTTAAGGAAAATGAATAAATCCATTGAAAATTACATGGAAGAACTCAGGATATGTTTCCTGTCTGCCCTTAAGTGTCCTATAATCTATAGAGAAAAGTGCTTAAATTTTTCCAGGTGACTTTGGGTATTTAAAATCAACCAACAGCATAAACATGCACACAAATAATTCTTATTAGAAAATTTTAAATTAAAGCTTACACTGATTATTGTAGTGATGGCTTGAAGATGAAATAAGAGGACTTCAACAGAAGTTGCTGTGATGAATAACAGACTATACTATATTTTCATCTGCATAATAAAGACATTTGAACAGTGAATATTAAAACATACAGTCAATGCAGTCTACTGTTAAAACAATAAATGTGTAACGGTTGAAAGCACAGATAGAGTCAGATTCTAAGTTTGGCTCTTTTGGGGTCTACTAAACTATTCTGAGATTCTTATCTCTAATTTGTAAAATGAGGACAATTTAAGTATATTATTTTCTAAATATAAAAATAAACATCTTTATTTTTCATAATTTTAAATGCACATGGACATATTTTTAAAAAATAGCCCTTTTTCTCACTTATCAAGAAATAAGCACTCATAAAATTTTTTATATACTTCCTTTCAACCTTGTTAATACACATACAATACAAATTTGTATATATTACAAATTTGGTATCATTCTGCATTTTCAAATTTGCACTGTTTTGTCACCTCATATTACATAGTGACTATTTTCTTATGCTATTAAATATTCCTTGTAAACATAATTTTAATGGCTCTATGACATTCCATAGTATGGATTTATCATAATTTATTTAATCATTCTCCTCATTTTGGACATTTGGCTTTCTTCCAGTTGTCACCATTAAGGGTTATATTGCAATGAACCTCTTGGCACATAGAGTCATAAAGGGAATTTATAATTTAATAGTATCCACTAATTTGTAAGACCTCTGATATATATTGCCAAGGTGTTTTTAAGAAATACGGTACAATTTATACTCCTACTATATTTTTCAGCTTTAGCTAGGTTATGCTGCAATAAAAACAACATCAACATTTCAGAGGGTTCAACAAACAAATCTGATATCTTGCTCCCAGTATCCCTTTACTGTGGGTCACTTGCAGCTCTTGTTCATCTGTTTCCTTCATTCTGGAATCCAGGCTAAAGCAGCAGTTTTATCTGGGACATGTTCTTCTTAAGATAGAGGGACAAGATTAATGGCACTGTGACATGATTGCTCTTAAAGCTGCTGTTCAGGTGAGGCATCTGTCATTCTGCTCACATCCTACTGGCTAAAGCAAATCACATGGCCAAGCCTGATGTAATAAGGTGGGCAGCATAATCCTCCCTCAGGGAAGGGCCCAACCACAGGCCCTATACAATGGAGCTAATAGAGGGGGGAAGCAAATATTTCAAATCAATAATATATCTACTAACACCATAATAAGTTTAATTTTCCCACAGTTTCACAAATGCTGAGATTTTTTTTTAATTTTTATGTTTGAATATTTGATAGGAGAAAATGGTAACCTACTTTACTTAATTGCATTGCTTTACTTGTGAGGTCAGAGCATTTTCATGTTTTTGTGCCATTTGGTTTGGTTTATTCAAGTTCACTACTTTTTTCTATTCTATTTTTTGTTTTTGAATAAATTATGTTTTTTTAATTAAGAACATGAAATCTTAACCATCAAGGTTAGTGTATTTTTTTTCTGATTGCACCTTAAACTTATTTATTTAGTTGTTGATAAATGGCATATTAAAATTTATCTGCAGTTAAATTGATCATTTTTTGCCAACTTTTTTTCCTGCTTTCTGCTTAGAAATTGCTTCTTCTTCCTAATATAAAATACATTCATATGTATCCTTTCTTTTACAATTTTTCCCTTAACTCTTTAACTCAATTCAGACTGCTTTGCAGTTAAAGTATGAGGTAAGGATAAAACCAGATCTTCCAGTAGTGAGCCAGCATATAAGTTATGCCATCCTGTATCTATCATTTTCTCACTTGCCTTTTTTAATTGGAAACAGAAGCACAGAGCAGAAAGCATACAGAATAGGGGGTCTGAAATAGCTTTGAGACTAAATTGTTGAATGACTTTGGGAAATTCAGATAACTTTTCTGGTTCCCTATCACTTTATCTATAAAATGAAAGCATTGGATCACAGGTAGCCTTTTTATCCCCAAATGTCTTTGGCTCTTCTGTGGATCTGGCATATTTTTATTACACATCCTACCACTGCCCACTCCTGTGGCCATGGCGGACATCACTACTATAACAGGTCATTTGTTTTTTCTTTCTCAGTCTTTCTTGTCCTTGTAATAATCCAAGAAGTTGCTGAATAAGTATGTCAATTATGACTTACCAGTAATGCTCTAAGATGACAGAGCTGTTGTAGATTCCTAATCCAAATATCTGTTCTTAGGTAATTCTGCTTATTCTATTCAGAAATTGGCTACTTATCATGCACTTTAAGGTTTATTTTGATTCTACTAATATCCAACATTCTAATCCAACTGTCCTTCATTGGCCCTGTACTAATTTTTTATCTATATTTTAAAGATTTGCTCAGATCACTGTGAGGCCATGAGGTGTGTATGGTTAAACATATTTTCAGTATTTTTGGTCTAAACCAGTTGGATTTTGCTATAACATATAGCATTAGTGTTCTTATTATAATATCAGTTCATTTTGGCTCAAATAAAAACAGTACAAAATTTAAAAGAGACAGTCTGTCAGAGTTAGAAAGAACTTCATATTATGTATTCTAAACCCATTCTATTCACAGAATAATCTTCTATAGTTCAGATATATCAACAAGCTCGCATGAGTCTCATAATATAAACCAGAAACTTAGAGGCATCAAGATTCTTGAATCCAATTCAAGGACCAAACACTAATACATACATCCTTTAAAGTCTCCTATGGTAATAAGCTTCACTGGCAAAGAGAGAGTGCTTTTAACTCACTTCTTTCATGTCTGAGGTCTGAAATCATAACTACTCAAATTTTCAGCAGTATTTCAGCTTTGTGTCATTTTGTATTCAGCCATATTATATTTTTTAGCCCATGCTTTCTCTATATTTATAGACTGTATGTTAGTGACTGAAGATAAACCCCATAGTAGCCACTCTTTTTTCCTGGTAACAGTATGTACAATCTATTTAATTTTTTTAAAAAAAAAACAATCTACTAACCCATTGCTGGTAGATACAGTTCTGCAATTCACTTTATATTTATTCATGGCTATGGGTGTAGATGTAATATACTCAGAGATTACAAGAAAAATGTGGGAGAAGCTCCTTATAGAAAAAATACTAAAATATTAAAATGTTATTTATCATATTGATACTAATAATATCTCCTCTGTATTTTGATCCTTCTACCTTCTGACACAAGAAAAGCACAATCTTGGTGTTGGGTTGAAAGGGAGTACAGAAAGCTATGGTAATGTCAGTATCTACCCATTTTTTGTGGTCTCTCTTTCTTTTTGAGTCAGATTTACACTTTGAGTTACCCGTTAATAAAGATCTTGCTACCACTGGCCTCTGTTTCATTGTAAATTACCTTGGAACCCAGTATATTTTCAATTATTCTGTGGTGTAATGGACTAGGACAAGCTATTTCAATATCTTTTGTTGATAAGTCAAAAAACCAAAAATAAACAAAAAAAAAACTAGTCAAAGATTTTGCAGGTTGGTAGTGACAGAGTAGAAACCATTACTCAGATCTTTAGACTTTCAAATTGAGTGCTTCTCAATATATTAAACCCCTTCTACAAAGTTAATCATAGCTCCTTCCATCCACATCGAGTCCCGGAGCCATGAATATTCCCCATTAGTTGGCCAAGAGGAGAAATGAAACATTTACTTTTTGTTTTCAATTGCTAGTGGCAAAAGGATATTGATGTGGTTGAGATGAAGCATTAAAATCAAAATTATGTAGGAAATAAAAAGGCAGCATAAATTAGAAGCATTTGCTTCCCTTGTGGTTTAAAAAGAGTTAGCATTACACCAGCCTCATATAACATTCTAGGGGTGGGTTTATGGATGTATTGGGCAATATATCAAACACAGCATTAAAGACCAATGAGTTAGATATGGCAAAAGGCCACTGCAGAGAAAATAAATGGTCATCAATAGAGGCTGTTCTTGTGGAAGATTGAATTTTTTTTTTTTTCTGAAAGATAGTAAGGTAGGACATGTACAATAACAGTGTTCAAGTTAGGAAGGATACATTGTTATGTTCTCTTCTGATGATTTCATTAATTTAGAAGTTTAAGGTTATGTCACCTACCCGACATCATGGAGTGAGCCGATAACAGGTTATTTATTTATTGTTGTATAACACATTACTCTAAACATAATGGTGTAAAACAACAGTACACCTTTAATATCTGTCACAGTTTCTTTGCATCAGAAATCTTTGAAAGAATTAGATAAATACTGTCTCAGAGTCCCTCATGAGGTTGCAATTAAGATGGTGATGAGGGCCAGGCACGGTGGCTCACGCCTGTAATCCCAGCACTTTGGGAGGCCGAGGCAGGCGGATCACCTGGGGTCAGGAGTTTAAGACCATCCTGGCCAACATGGTGAAACCCCGTCTCTACTAAAAATACAAAAATTAGCTGGGCATGGTGGTGCATGCCCATAATCCCAGCTACTTGGGAGGCTGAGGAAGGAGAATCACTTGAACCCGGGAGGCAGAGTTTGCAGTGAGCCGAAATTGCACCACTGCACTCCAGCCTGGCAACAGAGCAAGACTCTGTCTCAAAAAAAAAAGAAAGGATCGTAACGGGAACTGCAGTCATCTGAAGTTTTGACTAGGAATGAGGGTCTGTTTCAAAGGAGTTTCATTTGTCTGGCTGGCAAGTTGGTAATGGCCATGAGCAGAAGGCCTCAGCTTCATCCCATGTAGTCCTCTCCACAGGCTGCTTAGGTGTTCCCTTGACATGGGGAGCAGATGGCTTCACCCAGAGTAAGTGACCCAAAAGAAATCAAGATGAAGACCTTAATGTATTTTAGGATCTACTCTTAGATGTTACACATCATCATTTCTGCAATACTTTATTTGGTATAAGGTCAGCCCTACTCATTGTGAGAGGGGAGTAGAAAAGTGCATGAATCTTAAGAAGTGAGGATCATTGGAGGCCATCTTGAGGCTGTAGTGTTTAGAAAAGCACCCAGCATATTGTAAGTGCTCTGCCAGTGTTAATTGTTACGATAGTAAATTATTGCTATCACTATTAATATTTCATAGCATATAATTCTGAAGATTTATATATTTGAAGAGTACATATCAATTCTAAAGATTCATAATTTTAATTTTTTGTTATTAATTGGAGTGTAGTTTTTGATAGGTTAGAGAAAGAAGACCAAAAAGATTAGTAATAAAGTGAGAAACTGGGTTCTTTGATTGTGGCCTTTATAAGCTGTTGCTATACTTTGGACATAATTAGTTTGTCCCCACCAAAACTCATGTTGAAATTTAATCCTCAATATGGCACTGTTGGGAGGTGGAGCTAAGTAGGAGGTGTTTGGGTTATGGGGACAAAGCCCTCATGAATGTCTTGGTGCTGTTCTCACTCTTGAGAGACTGTGTTAGTCCTTGCAGGAATGAATTCATTCCCATGAGGGTAGGTTGTTGTAAAGCCAGAACACCCCTCAGGTTTTCCCCTCTTTGTAGGTGTCCATTTCCCCTTGGACTTTCTCTACCATGTTGTGATGCAGCACAAAAGCCCTCACCAGAAGCCAAGTCCATGCTCTTGAACTTCTCAGCCTGCAGAACCATGAGCCAAATAAATATATTTTCCTTATAAGGTACCCAGTCTCAGGTATTCTCTTACAGCAACACAAAACAGACTAATCTAGTTATAAATCTTCCCTTAACATAGTAGGAAAATGTAAGGAGTATAATAATGTTTTATATGTATTTGGACATGGATTGGAAGGTGAATGAGTAAAATATACAAATAACTATAATACATGCTGTAAAACAACAAAAAAGATCACAGGAAAAATTCAGAAATAATTATATGATAGTTTAGGGGTTTTGACATTTCATAGAATGAGGAAAGGCTTTAAAGGAGGAAGGTCATTGTAAGACATTTTTCGTTTTTTTTTTTGTTTTTATTTTTGTTTTTTTTGAGACAGGATCTCACTCTGTCACCAAGACTGGAGTGCAGTCATGCGATCACACCTCACTGCCGCCTCCACCTCCTCAGCTCAGCTGATCCTTCTCCCTCAGACTCCCCAGAATGTGGGTCTATAGGCACACACTACCACCTACCACTAAGTTTTGTATTTTTTGTAGAGACAGAATTTCATCATGTTTCTTAGGCTGGTTTTGAACTCCTAGGCTCAAAGAATCCACCTGCCTCAGCTTCCCAAAGTGCCGGGATAACAGGCATGAGCCACTGCTTCTGGCTTTAGCAAATGCTTTAAAAATAATTAGATTGTATATAACATAGAAAGGAAGTTACATGTGGAGGAAACAGAAAGAGTTAAAATGTGATGAGAAATCAAAGGGCATCTCCATAACACAGAGAAAACCATTGTTTCATTTGTCTGGAACATGGGCTAAAGGCGTGAAGTCTGAAGTTTATTCTTCACGCAATGTAGAATCATTGAAAGTGAAGAATAGTCTGATTGAGGACAACTCATCAGACAGTTTTTACACATCAAACTAGGGAAGTAAGGCAATGGACACAGGGAGATCAGTTAGGTGGTAATTGTAGGAGGTACCTGAGATTCAATGAGATCTAAAAAGAGATGTGTCAAGAATTAACATAGCTTATTTTAAAGATACAGTTTACAGCCTGGGGCACCTGAATGAGTGTGGGTACTGAGGAAGAGGCATTATCTAAATACTTTTTCTCCTGGAGTTAAATGAGTTGAATTTAGTAGGCAGTCTTTAATTTCTTACACCATTTAATCAAAACAATTTTGTTAGTGACAACATTGGTCTAGTTACTATAAAATTTCAGTGTGGTGAACGTGAAGAACATCCAATTTATGCCCTATTTCTCTGTTCTTGTAGGAGAAGATATCCTCAGTAAAAGTTGTTTACATGTATCTTAGATTCTTCTCCTCTCATTTCCTCTTAAACTCAGGCTAGGGTAGTCTTTGCCTCCATCATTTGATTAAAACTCTTTGTGTCAAGGTCGCCAATAACGTCCATATTACCAAAACCAGTGGTCAATTCTCAGTTCTCAACCTACCTGTTTTTCACAGGTATTTGACTCAGTTTATTTTTCTGCTTTTTCACATTATTTTCTCTCAGCTTCCTTTATCCCTCTGCTAATTTTTCTCTGGCTTCACTGGTTACAACTTCATAACTTATTTTCGTGGTTCTATGTCTTCTTCCTGATAGCGGGCTCAGTCCTTGACTTTTCCTTCTGTATTGCCACCCCTTTCCTGGTGATCACATTTAAACACTTGGATTAATCTTGGTACTCTCTTGATGCTGAAGATGTCAAAATGTATATTTTTATCTTAGATTTTTCTCCTGACATCAGAACCATGTATCCATCTGCCTAGTCAATCTGTCCATATAGATGTAGAATTGACATTTCAAATCAACGTGTCCAAAACTGAACTACTCTTTTCCCCTAAATCTGCTACTTCCACCTGCTTTCCCATCTAAGTTAGATATCTCTTTCCTTGGATTGATGCTTGGTTTCTCTCTTTCTCTTAAACCATCACATTCCATAACTACATTACAAATCCCAATGGCTCTATCATCAAAATATATTTAAAATCCACCTATTATTTTGGTCTGCTTCCCAGTCATCTCTCACCTGGATGACAGCACTAGCCTGCTATGTTTGCCTACCCTTTCTCCCTCCTCTTCCCCACAACACCAATCTAATTTTGCTACAATTCAAGAATAATTATTTTAAAATGCAAGTCATATTGTATCACTTCATTGTACAACATGATGCATTGGTTCCACATTTCACTCACTGCAAAAACCCAAGTCCTTACAATCATCTGCAAGGCACCATTCAATCTGTCCACCATCATCAACGTGTTACTGCTTTGAGATAATATTTTATCATTTTCACTATTTTATTATTGCTCTTTTTTTTTCCTCTAGGCTGCCTGGTCTTTAAGCTATTTAGAAACACACCAAGCACAGTCTTAATTTAGGATCTTTGCCTAGAAATCTCTCTCCATTGATATTGGCAAGTATGAATCTCTCACCTTTTCACGTCTAATGAAATGTCACCTCCTCAAATATCCATCTGTCCTGTTTCTCTTATTGAAAATTACAGACTGCCTCTTCTCCTCCAATACTGGCTACTATATTACCCTCTTCTCCTTTTGTTTCATTCCCTAGGTTCTCTTGTGGCAAATTATATACCTTTATAAATATATGCACATATAAGTATTATTCATTATGGTTATCACCTGTCTCTCCCTATTAGAACATATCCTTCATGAGGACAGCGATCTACGTCTTTTTGTCCCTAGAAGAATCCCTGGCACAGAGTAGATACTTGACAAATGAAATCACAGCTCTGTGGGGTGACAGATACATCAATGTAGTGTGTACAGCTATGATCAAGTACTGCTGTAACAAAGAAGGAGAAAATATGCTCCTTTCTTGGGTAAAAAATCTTCTTCAGAAAATAGGCATATCTGGGTGAATTATGAAAGTATCAATTTTGAGAACTTGATTGTTGAATTTTAATAAGGATGAAAAATCTCTTATCTTTACATCTATCCTATAATGGAGTTTCTGGTGAAGAATAGCAGAAATGTTAAAGATTTTTCTATCACATGGGAGTACAAAACTTGAGATCCAAATAAGCCCACTTGTATTAAACTTTAAATCAACATAGATGTTTTCCAGACCTACCTGCAAAAATCCTACTAATTCTCGAAGGTTCAGCTCCAATGTAAGATACTCCAAGAAGCCCTACTTACCTCCCAATAATCAGAAATAAGCACTTTCTTTTTCAATTATTGGCTGACGTCCAATTCTCTATTCTAAATTATAAGCTCATTGTGAATATAGAACTCTAGACCTATTTTTGTGTTCCCTACAATTCATTAAAAAGGTGCCTGCATAGAGTTGAAGATAAGAGGTTACACTAAATTATTTCTTAAAACTCTTCTAAACCATATAGTATATTGGAATATCTCAATCCAGTTCCATTGATATATCCAATTTTCTTGTACTGCCATAGGGCATACAGAAATTGAACCTATGAATTTGGTTTTATAGGCCCCTTCAACCGAGGAGAAGAAAGGGAAAAATCGTTCAACACCTCTTATGTTCCAGGAAACGCGTTAGGGATTTTTACATACGTTATCTCATGCAATGTTCAAAATAGCACCATTATGCAGGCATAATTGTCCTTTTTTGTTTTGCAAATGAGAAAACTGAGTCTCATAAATGTTAAATAACATCTTGAAGGTCACACATCCTGTAAGTGACAGAGCTAGAATTCTAACTCAGTTGTGTATTATTCCACTAAATCACCATCCACATGGAAAAGGAAATGAACAAATGAGAAATGATAGCAAATTCAAAATGTTGAAAAACCAAAGGGGATGCAATAAAATAGATATGATGAATGTTACACTGGGGCATAGTTTGTGGAACTAATTCCACAGTGCCATAAACAATGGGTTCTGGGAAGAGTTCACACTAAAACTTACAAGACAAGGAACTATTCTTGACTCTATCTTGAGTAAAACACTGGTGTCGTCAGAGGCATTAAAAGAGGTTACAATGCTAAGGCAGGATGATGGTCATATAATTAAGTTTGACATCTTTACTGGAGAGCACATCAGTTACTTTTGGCCCAATGAATTAAATAAAATAGAGTAAGTTAGAAACTGCTGAAGGGAAAGTTAGAAATTTAAAATCTATAGAATCCGAAAGAAACTGGTTTAAGAATTATGAGAAATCTCAAAGTTTTGTCAGTTACAGAACAATCAAAAAGCAGGAGCTAAGAGGGTGATAACAAAACTAAACTGGCTAGATGCAGAAATAGAACTTGATTTAGGTCAAGAAAGTCTATTTTAGACATTTAACATTAGTATATGTAATTTCAATGATGACTAATCTATTTAAGTGACTATAATATAAAAAAAGAAAATAAAAGAATATTAACTTATAAATATCTGAAATAAGCCTTATGCCTCATTAAATACCAGCAACAGCCCTACATATCCTATAGTTATATAATATGGGAAATTAGATGGCACTGTGCAGATGTCAGAGGCATGTGAACCAGAGCAACTTCATCTTACACAGGGGCTGGGTAAAATGAGGCTTAAGCCTACTGGGCTGCATTCCCAGACGGTTGAGACATTCCAAGTCACAGGATGAGACAGGAGGTCAGCACAAAATACAGGTCACATAGACCTTGCTGACAAAACAGCTCACAGTGAAGGAGCCAGCCAAAACCCACCAAAACCAAAATGGCCACAAGAGTGACCTCTGGTCATCCTCATTGCTACACTCCACCAGCACCATGACAGTTTACGAATGCCATGGCAACCTCAGGAAGTTACCCTATATGGTCTAAGAAGGTGAGGCATGAATAATCCACCCCTTGTTTAGCATATCATCAAGAAATAACCATAAAAATAGGCAACCAGCAGCCCTTAGGGTTGCTCTGTCTATGGAGTAGCCATTCTTTATTCCCTTACTTTCTTAATAAACTTGCTTTCACATTGCACTGCGGACTTGCCCTGAATTCTTGCGCTAGATTCAAGAACCCTCTCTTGGGGTCTGGATTGGGACCCCTTTCCTGTAACATATTTCTCTGTCCTGTAACACAGACACTATGGAAGGTCGCTCTTATTAAAACTTTTCTTCTTCTTTCTGAGCATACATTTTCCACAATTCCTTGCTTTATTTGTGGCCAAGTCACTGAATACTTGCTAGCAGAACATGACCAGAACTAGTGTGTGCCTCTCCAGGCTGAGCCATAAAACCCTCCTTATACATGAGCATCCATGTTCTTTCCCATTGCACTTCAGTAAATAAAGGAGGCATCTTTGACAGGCATGATTGACAATGATGGAAGTACAACATGAAAAGACCCCACATCACTGAGCTGCTCACCAATTAGGAACATTGCTTGTTGAGCTTATTGGAGTAAAAAGTACATTTCTATAATGTTTGACCTATCATATATTTGGGGTTTTTGTGTTACAGCAAGTAGTATTACCTTAAACAATATAAAGATTATTTATCCAACCTAATCAATAGACAAATGAGGAAGTGAAGACTAGAAAAGTTAGGATGAGGATGAAGATCAGGGATCTGGCTTTTTAAATGCTTCTGTGTGAGGCTAAGGGTCCACAACTAAGGGAAGAATTGAAGCACAGGGGCAGAAAACCAGGGAGTGATTGACTTGAGTTACTTAGTAGATATTTATTTAAGGAAAACACCTTAATTCTTAATGTAAAATATAATTTTAGGGCATAGTCTGGTTTCAGCCAGACTTCCAAACTTGGAATCAGTGAAAATCACACATATATGCAAGACTTTGCCTCAATGTGATGAAACCTATGTGAAAGTAACAATAGAGCATCCATGTTTTTGAAAATCTCTGGTGAAATTCTAGTTGTTAGTCATTGCTTGTTTAAAGATTAGGCATATTTAATAAACATTTTCTTTGGAAATTTAATGGGAGATGGTCACAAAGACAAAATTATTAATAGGTTTTTAAACTGGCAGAGGAAATGAAAATAATTTTTAAATAATTCAAATAAGTACCAGAACAGTATAACAAGAACATAAACTAGGATTCACACCATGTAGGTATTGATTCTGACTCTTTGATTAATTTGCTTAATATAAAAAAAAAAACCCGTTTAAATCTGTGCATTAGCTCTTTTATGTGCGAAATAGAAATTATGGGTATTGGTTTCTAATTTACGTTGAAGATAAAATAGAGGGGCTGTGTCCACTAGATAGTACAATATGCCAGGGATCCTACCTGTGCTCTGTTATGAGTAAGTAGATATTTATTATAGAAAAAAAAATGCTCCTGTCTTCAAAATGCCAAACTTGGCCAAGACCTTGCTAAAGACTTAAGATTCTTAGAATAATTTTGATACAGAAATTTCAGGACACACACACAAAAACAGTCACAGGTTCTACTCCCTGTAGATTACCTAAAAATACACTCAGATATTTCCTACACAGCAAACCTCCTCTGACCAATAGTAGGAATCTTTTTCTATGAATCTATTTGATTCTTCAGTGGATACCTTTTTCCTTGATTTTAGGGTATAGACAACAGAGAGGAGTTGCCTTTCTGTGGCTAAGTCTGCAGGCTTTCAAAAATGGGGAGATAGGCTGTGATCCCCTTTTCTACCCTGTTCCAGAACAGAATTTCTTGGCTAAACATGATATGAAATCACGACCCTCTTAGCTCATATGAAATACTTAGGGGCAAGCTTAAAATGCAAATTTCATCATTTACAAACAAAAATGTCTGAGGTATAAGGCTCGGCAGGTTTTATATTTTTCTCTTCCCTCAATGTAGTCATTGTTCTTGAATGAAGTTTACATCAAGGAAGCCCAGGCAAGAACTTAGATAATAGTCACTATCTGCTAATGCCACCTATTTCCAATGGAAAAGGCAACAATAGGATATGCTGATTTCCTGGTGTATCAGGGCTACTTAGGGAATTCACCAGAATCTTGAACAGAGAAACACAGCACTGGGATTTGCTATCATCTTTTACTTCCATCTATTCATTAAGAAATGAACATCATGGGAGTAGAGAACATATTGGTATTATCTCTATACTGAGAGATAGAGATTAGGTGGTGATTCAATCTTAGTGTCAAGCAATTAGCTCTAATAAAAATCAAAAAAATGCCCAATAGGTCCAAAAGCCTCCACGACCCAATAGCAGATGAGATTTTGGACAGACAGATGAGAAGTGCTGGTGGAAATTATGGTTTTAATGACTACCTGCTGATGGCTGCTGCATTAGTTGAAAGCTTTTCAAGAAAAAGATGGACGAATTATGGCAGGAAGTTCAATAAAGACTTCAGACGTTGGTGTACCCTGACAGTTGGCAAAGTGAGTTTTATAGAAAGAGAGAATTATATTCAGCTGCTACATAAGTCATTCTCACAGATTATGTTTTCAGGTTAATAATACTGACGAGGAGAAATAGAAACAGTTTTAAAAAAATGATTTGACAATTTCAGCATACTGAGGGCATTTTAGGTTTTAAGAATTTTGTTGAAAATAAAGAAATGAAAGGAATGATGAGTGTGATAATAAGTTGAAATATGTCCACAGGGTTGTCATTATAGGAAGGGATCTGAAAGCCATGTCCAAGAATTGGAGTAAGAACATGGCTAATTTTTTCCATAAAAAGAGAAAATATGTGGGCAGCAGGATAGCCACATTCAAATGTTGTAGGGCTCCATTTGAGAATAAAAGGAAGACTTGGCTGAAAGACGTTTGAACTTATATTATTAATCAGAAAATGTGGTATTATAGGCTTTAACCAAATCATCCCTTTCCATGCTCACAGTATACATTCAGAAAGGTGTTCTTTTTCTTTATTTTGTAGATGAAGATACAAGATTCAGAGTAAATTATAAAAGACTGTAAGTAGGTAGCTGGTGTTTGAAACCATGGGTCAAATTTTCCCTTTATTTGCCCAAAGGCCTCTAAGGCTTTTCACAAAATTAGCAAATTTTTATTCTTCTTTGGAAAAAAATATAAGATTTCCAGATACTGACTGTGAAGTTACAACAAGATCAGTGTGCAACATTCTCAGAAAACTATTATTTCCCATGTTGCAATAAGTAGAATACATTCCATATAAGGCTTGAAAGTTTCTGTAAGATATCTCTGTTCAAAATCCGTACAACCTTGCTTTTTTACCTTATCATAAACAGTTTATTCACCATTTCTTAAAATTTCATAATCTTTAATTTTTTTCACACATCCTCGTACAGACATATTTTTTTCTTAGTGTTTCTGATTTCCATCCAGATATTCATATCTTAAATGAGAGTAAAGATAATTGTATACATTGAGAAGATACCAGACACATAAACACGTAAAAGTTTTTGTTTTCTCTCCTCTCTCTCCTTAGCTTGTCATCTGAAAGGCACTTGGCAACTGGTCAATAAATTTTAATAAAATATTACTGCTTTACTAAAAAGTATTCAACCTTGAGCATTTCCTAAAGAAATACTGATATGACCTCTGTTATAAACAAATACCATCTATTTCACAAATGCATTAGTCATCTTAAAATTCCCAAAAATATTGATTCTAAAACTCCATCCCTGGAAGTCCATCCTAAGGAAATAATAACAAACACAGATAGAAGCTTGATGAACCAATCCCATAAAAACTGTAATATGTGTATCTATAACACATTCTTTGTATCTATAACACATGCTTCTGAAATATCAGATACCCATCAAAATATTTATATGAATTTTGTAATAAAATGAAAAAATGTGTGCATATAAAACAGATGTTAAATCAATTAATTGGAATAAAATTTGTATGTACACCATGATTTCAGTCACTGAAACATGCCCAGAAAAATTGGATAGAAATTATCAAAACATGACCAATAGCCAAAACGGAATCATGGGATAATGTAGGGGATTTTCTCTATTCTTCATAGTTTTGTGTACTTTTAAAAATATTTATCTATTACCTTTATAATGCATAAACCATTAATTAGTTTTTAAATGAATTAACTAATTTTGAAAATATTTATGACATGCAAGACTACAACATCTAATGAGAACAAAGCATTTAAAATGAATATCAAGACTCCAGCTGCCCTTGATGACATTTTTCTCTTCCCTAGAGAAAGAAAATCCAGTCACTATTATTGGTTTCAAGGATATGGTTCCTGAGACAATCTATGAAAATACATAGTTTATTCAAGCATTTGCCTACGGATACACAGCTAGCTCACCTTTAATCCACTGATAATGTGAAACAGATAAAAATAATATCTTGAAATTAAGTCATTTAGAAGCATATGTCTGGGTATTGGCCATTTTGTATTAACATTTTCTAGTGTGGTTCTTCAATCAGTGATTTGAGAGTTTTTTTAAGTAAATTATTTTTATTTACCTTTATCTGTTTCTCCAGAAGTGGAATCAAAGAGTCATTGTCTTCTTCATAGTTCATTGTCTTTTCTTGACTCCCAGCTACCTTAAAAGTGCTTTGCTTTATATTGCTCTGAAAGGCACAGCAGGAATCAAATAGCTGAAGTCACAGGGAAACACATTTCAGGGCACCACGAAAAAGTGATGTCCAGTAAGAGCAATAATGACATTGGCACGGAACTCTAATTCCATAATTATTTACCAGTTCTAATGTCCTCTCTTCTGAGCTACCTTATGAGACAGTGAGTTCTTAAGCATTGGAACTGTTCCCACAGAGCCTGGAGTGATCCATCAAATATGTTGTGGGAGAAATTATAAATGTTTGAAAGGGATGGATTAGAATACTTTCAAGATCTCTTCTAAGTCCAACATTCCCTTTTGTGTATATTAGAGGGGTTTTTGGACTAAAAATTTAGTTAACATTCAAATGAACTTGCGGTGAAAGGGTTGGAAAAGTCACTTAGCTGTTAGTTTTCCACACTATAAAAATAGTGAATGAAATTGTCATATCAGAAGGATACTACACAGATTATTAATTAGCTGATGTCTGCACAGCAATAAAGATTATACAACACAAGGTCTACCTAATAATAAAGGCTGTGCAAAAAGGCCAATTGGAATTTACCCAGCACTTCGTAATGGTAAAATGGGGGGCAGAGTGAAATGGCCCAAGAGAATTAGGAAAAAAAAAAAAAAAAGAAAAAGAGTGCATAGCACAGAAATGCAAATGCTTAAAAAAACACACACACCCGTACATACAACAATTTAATTAACCTGTAGAGACCTCTTCCACCCAATGGTTGCCAAGTGGATAGATTAGACAGGACATTTAAAAGAGTTCGTCGTTAGTAATGAGAAAAGGATCTGCAGTTAACCAGCTTATCCTGGTTTAGGCTTTTAAAATGACCTTCTAATTTTACCCGTGTTAAAATTAACTTTATCTTTTACAACAGCTTTAGATTTACAGAAAAATTGCGAAGACAGATCACAAAATTCCCATGGGCCTCATAGCCAGTTTCTTCTATTATTTACATTTTACATTAGCATGGTACATCTGTAATAATTAATAAACCAATATTTGTACCTTCTTATTAACTAACATTCATACTTTACCCAGATTTCCTTACTTTTTAATTAACATTCTTTTTTCATTCCATGATCCCATCTAGAATACTATATGCATTTTAGTCACCATGGTTCCTTAGGTTCCTGTTGGTTGTGGCAGATTATCAAAATTTTCTCCTTATTAATAACTATTACACAATGAACTATGATTTCTTCTAAATTCGTATTTCAAAGCCCTAACTCCCAATATGATGGCATTTGGAGTTAGAGCCTTAGACGTCATTAGAGATAGATGAGGTCTTGAGTGCGGAGGCCTCATGATGGGATTGGTGCCCTTATAAGCAGACACCAAAGAGTTTTTTCTCTCTCTCTGTCCACCATGAAAGGACATAGCAGAAAGGCAGCTGTCTGCAAGTCAGAAAGAGGGTCCTCACCAGAACCCAATGATGCTGCTATCCTGATCTGTGCCAGCATCCAGAACTGTGAGAAAATAAACTCCTGTTGTTTAAGACACTTAGTTTATGTTATTTTGTTATGGCACCCAGGCTGACTAAAACAATTATCTTGATGATTTTGCTGAGTACTTATCAGATTATATTGTAGAATGTCTCTCAAATGGGCTTTTTTGATGTTTTTCTCCTGGTTAGAGAAGTGTTATGTATCTGTGGGAGGAAGACCACAGAGGTAAAGTGCCATTTACAGTTCATCAGATCAAAGGAACATACTATCAATATGACTTTTCGTTCTTGATGTTGACCTTGATCAACTAGCTGAGGTCATGTTTGTCAGGTTTCCACTGTAGAGTTATATTTTTCCCCTTTCCATATTGTATTCATTAGAAAGAAGTCACCATGCACAGGCCACACTTAATGAATAAGGAGTTCTGGTGGTTAAGTGTCTACATCAATTATTTGGAATTCTTCTGTATGAGAGATTTGTCTCTTTCTCCCTACTAATCTACTTATTCAATTGTTTATTCGTATCAATATCGACTCATGAATGTTTACTTTGCATTTTGATTCATAGTCCAAAATGATTTTATTTAAATTGTTACTAAAACTTTTCCAACTTTAACAAGCAGGAACCCTTCCTATTGGACCCTATGTTTGCCTTTGACATACTCCCATACTTTTCTTTCCTTAAGTGCTGTAATTTTTGCTGCTAGAAGATACTCCAAGTTCATTCTGATACCCCTTGCATCAATCCAAGAATCAGCCGTTTCTCCAAGGAGCCTTGTTTGTTTATTTTTTAATTTATTTTATTTTAAAATGTTTACTTTTATTGATACTTAATGGATGTATTTTGGGAGTGCATGCAGTAATTTAATACATGAACTTTTCCAGAGAAAGAGGTAGAGCACGATGGCCACATAGAACCATCCAGTGATTGTCCTTGCTGCAGGAATACCACATTGAAAAATTATCCACATAAGAAAGCACCTTCATAAGTACCAAAAGTCAGGGGAGTAATCACAGTAACTTGTTTTAACATAATATCACTGAAAGAGTCACAAAAAGGGTAGGAAAGACAGTCTTGAATTGCTGACACTTCCTCCCCGACCCCTGCAGTGACCACATGTCACAGAGAGAGAATCTGTACGCTTGAGGAAGAGAGAGTACAGTGATTGTGGGACTTCACATTGGAACTCAGTACTGCCCTTTCACAGCAGAAAGCACCATGGGACAGAATTCAGCTGACATCCATGGAGGCAGCATTTAAACCAGCTTCTGCCAGAGGCGAATGTCCCACACCAGCAGTCAGAACCTGAGTTCTGGCTAGCCACACCACCATGGGTTAAAGTGCTATGGGGTTCAAAGTGAACTTGAAAGCCAGTATAGACAACAAGAACTGCAATTCCTGGGCAAGTCCAGGTGTTGACCTGGGCTCAGAGCCAGTCGACTTGGGGTGCACATGACCCAGTGACACAACGGCCAGGACAGCCAAGGGAGTCCAGTGCAGCTCATAGCTCCAGGAATGATTTCTTCCTTCTGCTTGGGGAGAGGAGGGGAAAGGAAAGAGTAAAGAAGGCTTTGTTTTGCAACTTGGATGCAATCTCAACTACAGTAGGATAGGACACTGGGAAGAGTCCTGAGGTCTCCATTCCAGGCCCTAGCTCCCAGAAGACATTTTTAGACACACCTGGGCCAGAGGGAACCTGTAGCTTTGAAGGTAAAGAACCAGTCTTGGCAGGATTCATCACCTGTTGACTAAAGAGCCCTTGGGCCTTAAATAAACATCAGTGGTACCCAGGCAGTTCTCACTGAGGGCCTTCGGTGAGACCAGGGCAGTGCTGGCTTCAGGTATGATCCAGCACATTCCCAGCAGCTGTGGTAGACATGGGGAGAAACAACCTCTGCAAAACAAAACAAAACAAAACAAAACAAACAGGAAAGGAGCAAAGGGGACTTTGTCTTGCAGCTTGGGTACCAGCTCCACCGTAGTGGGGTAGAGCACCAAGCAGGCTCCTGAGGTTAGTGATTCCAGGCCTTGGCTCTTGGACAGCATTTCTGGACCCACTCTGGGCCAGAGGGAAGATCAATACCCTGAAAGGAGAGATGCAGGCCTGGGAGCATTCAACACAAGCTAATTGAAGAGCCCTTTGGTCTTCAGTGAATATTGGCAGTAGCCAGGTTATAATCACCATGGGCCTGGGGAGTGGTGGCCATAGGGAGAGAATTCTTCTCTATGAGGAAAGGAGAGGGAGGAATGGAAAGGACTTTGTCTATGGGTTGGGTATCAGCTCAGCCACAGTAGAATAGAATACAAGGTAGATTCCTAAATTTCCCACCTCCAGGCCTTTGGCTCCCAGGTGATATTCCAGGACCCGCCCTGGGCCAAGGGTTAGTCACCACCCTGAAGGGAAGGACACAAGCCTGGCTGGATTAACCACTTGCTGACTGAAGAACACTTGGGCCTTGCATGAACATCAGCAGCAACCAGACAAGGATTGCTGCAGGCCTTGGGCAACACCCAGTGCTGTTCTGGTTTCAAGTCAGACCCAGCCGAGTCCCAGTGGTGGTGGCCACAGTGGTGCTTGTGTCACCCCTTCCCCAACTCCAGGCAGCTCAGCATGGAGAGAGAGACTCTGTTTGTTTAAGGTTAAGTTTGAGGAAAAAAAAAGTCTCTGCCTGGTAACCCAAGGAATTCTCTGGGATCATATCCAAGACCACCAATGTGATACCTCCATGAGTGTGCAAGAGTTAGTAAGCTTGCGGCACCCCCTAATGCAGATATGGCTGCAGTGACCAAAATTTAGATCACAATACTCAATTCCCTTTGAATGCTTGGAAAACCTTCCAAAGAAGGACAGGTACAAACAAACATAGACTGCAAATACTGCAATAAATACCTTACTCTTCAGTGCCCAGGCATCGATAAACATCCACCAGCATCAAGACATTCCAGGAAAACATGACATCATCAAACAAACTACATAAGGCAGCAGTGACCAATCTTGAAGGACAGAGATATGTGTGTGACCTTTCAGACAGAGAATTCAAAATAACTGTGTTGATGAATGTCCGTGAAATTCAAGATAACATAGAGAAGGAATTCAGAATACTATCAGATAAATTTAAGAAAGAGATTGAAATAATTTTTTAAAAACATCAAGCAGAAATTCTGGAGTTGAAAAATGCAATTGACATACTGAAAAGTCTCTCAACAGCAAAACTGAACAAGAAAAAGAAAGAATTAGTGAGCCTGAAGACAGGCTATTTGAAAATATTCAGTCAGAGAAGACAAAAGAAAAAAGAATAAAAAATAATAAAGCACAACAACAAGATATAGAAAACAGCTTCACACAGGGCAAATCTGAGAATTATTGGCCTAAAAGAGTACATAGGGAGAGAGATCATTGTAGAAAATTTATTTAAAGGGATAATTAAAGATAACTTTCCAAACCTAGTGAAATATATCAACATTTACATGCAGGAAAGTCATAGAACACCAAGCAAATTTAACTCAAATAAGACTACCTCAAGGCATTTAATATTCAAACTTCCAAAAATCAAGGATAAAGATAGAATATTAAAAGCATCAAGAGAAAAGAAACAAATAACATAAAAAGGAGTTCTAATATGTCTGAAAACAAACTTCTCAAGTGGAAACCTTAAAGGCCAGAAGAGTGTGGGATGACATATTTAAAGTGCTGAAGGAAAAAAGTCTTTTATCCTGAAAATGTATATTCACTGAAAATATCCTTCAAACATGAAGGAGAAATAAAGACTTTCCCAGCCAAAAAAAAAAAAAAAAAAAGCTGAGAATTTTTGATCACCAGACCTGTCCTACAAGAAATGCTAAAGGAATTTCTTCAATCTAAAAAAGAAGAATGTTAATGAGTAATAAGAAATTAACTGAAGATACAAAACTAACTGGTAATAGTAAGTACACAGACAAACACAGAATATTTAACACTGCAATTGTACTGTGTAAACCACTCATATCTTGAGTAGAACGACTAAACAATGAACCTATCAAAAATGATAACTACAAGGCTGGGCACAATGGCTCATGCCTGTAATCCCAGCACTTTAGGAGGCTGAGGTGGGCGGATCATGAGGTCAGGAGTTTGAGACCAGTCTGGTCAACGTGGTGAAACCCCATCTCTGCTAAAAATACAAAACTTATGGGTCATGGTGGTGCACACCTGTAATCCCAGCTACTCACGAGGCTGAGGCAGGAGAATTGCTTGAACCCAGGAGGCAGAGGTTTCAGTGAGCCAAGATTGCACTGTTGCACTCCAGCCTGGGTGACAGAGCGAGACTCCATCTCAAAAAAAAAAAAAAAAAAAAAAAAAAAGATAACTACAACAACTTTCAACAACTTTTCAAGACATAGATAGTATAATAAGATATCATGGAAACAGCACAAAGTCGAAAAGTGGCAAAGAATGAAGTTAAAGTGTACAGTTTATATTAGTTCTCTCTTTGTTAGCTACTTTGTTTTTGCAATCAATGTTAAGATGCCATCAGTTTAAAATAATGAGTTATAAGATGTTATTAATATTTGCAATCCTCATGGCACCCTTAAATTAAAAAAATCTACAACAGATACACAAAAAATAAAAAGCAAGACATTAAAATACACAACCAGAGAAAACCACCTTCACATAAAGAAAAATAGTAAAAAAAAAAAAGAAGGAAGGAAGAGAAAACAATAAAAAAAAAAAACAGAAAACAAAGAAGAAAATGTCAGGAGTAACTCCTTACTTATCAATAATAGCATTGAATGTAAATGGACTAAACCCTCCAATTAAAAAACATAAAGTGGCTGGATGGATTAAAAAAACAAGACCCAGTGATCTGTTCTCTACAAGAAACACATTTTACCTATAAAGGCACACATAGACTTAAAATAACAAAATGAAAAAAGACATTTCATGCAAATGGAAACCAAAAAAGAGCAGGAGCAAATCTATTTCAAGATAAATCTATAAAAAAGACAAAGGAGATCATTATACAATAATAGAGGAGTGAATTCTGCAAGAGGATATAATAATTATAGATATATATGTAGCCAACACTGGAGCTCCCAGATACATAAGGAAAATATTATCAGAGCTAAAGAGAGAGATAAACTCCAATACAATAATAGCTGGAGACTTCAACATCCCATTTTCAGTATTGGACAGATCATCCAGACAGAAAATAATAATAATAAAAAAAACTTTAGGCTGAATCAGCACTATAGGCCAAATGGACCTATTGGACATTTACAGAACATTTCATCTAATGGCTGCAGAATGCACATTCTTATCCTCAGCACCTGGGTCATTCTCAAGGATGGAACATATGTTACACCACAAAACAAGTCTTAAATATTCAAAAAATTGATATTATATTAAGTCTCTTCTCTGACCGCAATGTAGTAAAACTAGATATCAATAATGGGAGGAAATTTGCAAACTATAAAAACACATGAAAATTTAACAATAGGCTTCCGAATGACCAGTAGGTGTATGAAGAAATAAAGAAATAAATTTTAAAATTTCTTGGGCAAATGAAAATGGAACATTCAAGAGTTTATGAGCTAGAGCAAAAGCAGTACTAGGAGGAAAGTTTACAGCAATAAGTCTACAGATAAAAAATAGAAAATTTTCAAATAACAACCTAACAATGCATCTTAAGGAATGAGAAAAGCAAGAGCAAACCAAAAACAAAGTTAGGAGGAGGAAAAAACATAATAAAAATTAGGGCAGAAATAGATGAAATTAAAACAAAAATTACAAAGATTAATGAAACAAACCTTTGGTTCTTTGGAAAGATAAAAAAATTGACAAACCTTTAGCTAGATTAAGAAAAAAGAGAGATGACTCAAATATGTATAATTATAAATGAAGAGGAGACATTACAAATGATACTGCAGAAATTCAAAAAATCATTAGAGACTTCAATGAGCAACTATTTGACAACAAATTGAAGAACTTAGAAGAAGTGGGTAAATTCCTAGATACATACAACCTAGCAAGGCTGATCCATGAGCCAATCTGAAACCTGAATAAATTTATAACAAATAATGAGATTGAAGCCATAAGAAAAAATCTCCCGGTAAAGAAAAGCCTTCACTGCTGAATTTTACCAAGCGTATTGAAAAAAAAGTAATATCAATCCTACTCAAACTATTCTGAAAATAGAGCAGGGAGTACTTCCAAACTCATTCTACAAGGCAAGTATTACCCTTATATCAAAACCAGACAAGGACACATGAATGAAAGAAAACTATAGGCCATTACCCCTCATGAATATTGATGTGAAAATCCTCAACAAAATATTAGCAAAGTTAATTCAACATCACGTTAAAAAGATCACTCATCATGACCAAGTGGGATTTATCTGAGGGATGCAAGAAGAATTCAACATATACAAATCAATCAATGTGATATGTCATATCAAAAAATTGAAGGACAAAAACCATATGGTCATTTTAATTGATGCTGAAAAAGCATTTGATAAAACTCAACATCCCTTGGTGTTTAAAATAAAAACAAAAACAACAACAAAACCTCAGGGCTGGGCGTAGTGGCTTACGCCTGTAATCCCAGCACTTTGGGAGGCAGAGACAGGCAGATCACCTGAGGCCAGAAGTTCAAGACCAGCCTGGCCAACATGGTGAAACCCCATCTCTACTAAAAATACAAAAAAATTAGGTGGGCCTGCAGGTGGGCACCTGTAATCCTAGCTACTTGGGAGACTGAGGCGGGAGAATCATTTGAACCCGGGAGGCAGAGGTTGCAGTGAGTCAAGATCACGCCATTGCACTCCAGTCGGGACAAGAACAGCAAAACTCCATCTAAAAAAAAAAAAAAAAAAAAAAAAACAGAAAAACAAACCTCAAAAAACTGCAGATAGAAGGAACATACCTAAACAAAATAAAAGCCATATACGACAGACTCACACATAGTATCATACCGAACAGGGAAAAACTGAAAGCCTTTCCTCTAAGATCTGGAAAAAGACAAGGATATTCACTTTCACCACTCTTATTCAACATAGAACAGGATGTCCTAACTAGAGCAATCGCACAATAGAAAGAAATAAAAAACATCCAAATTGGAAAGGAAGAAGTCAAATTATCCTTGTGTGCAGATGGTATGATCTTATATTTCAAAAAGCCTAAAGACTCCACCAAAAAAAAACTGATAAACAAAATCAGTAAATTTTCAGAATACAAAATCAATAGACAAAAGTCATTAGTATTTCCATAGCCAACAGAGAACAACATGAAAAGGAGAACAAGAAAGTAATTTCACTTACAATAACTACAAATAAAATAACATACACTGGAATAAACTTAATCAAAGAAATGAAAGATCTCCTTAATAAAAACTATAAAACATTGATGCAAGAAATTGAAAAGGAAACAAAAAAAGGTAAAGATACTCCATGTTTATGGTTTGCAAGAATCAATATTACCGAAATGTCCATACTACCCAAAGCAATCTACGATTCGATGCAATCCCTATGAGAATACTAATGACATTCTTCACGGAAATAAAAAAAAATCCTAAAATTTATATGAAACCACAAAAGGCCCAGAATAGCCAAAGCTATCCTAAACAAAAAGAACAAAACTGGAAGAAGCACGTTACCTGACTTCAAATTATAATACAGAGCTATAGTAAACAAAACAGCATGGTTTTTGGCATAAAAACATACACGTTGATAGATACAACAGAATAGGGAACCCAGAAATAAATTCATACATCTACAGTGAAATTATTTTTGACAATGGTGCCAAGGACATACAATGGGGAAAGGACAGTCTCCTCAATAATAGTGCAAAAGAATGAAACTAGATTATGCAAAAGAATGAAACTAGATTTTATCTCTCATTGTATACAAAAATTAAATCCAAATTGATTAAAAAACTTAAATCTAAGAACTCAAACTAAGGAACTGCTAAAAGAAAACATTAAGGAAATTCTCCAGGACATTGGTCTAAGCAAAAATTTCTTGAGTAATATCCCAAGAGCACAGGGAACCAAAGAAAAAATGGACAAATGGGAGCACATCAAGTTAAAAAGTTTCTGCACACCCAAGGAAATAACTGACAAAGTGAAAAGACAACCCACAGAATGAGAGAAAATATTTGCAAACTATCCATATATATATATATATATATATATATATATATATATATCCATATATATGGATATATTTATGGATATATATAGCATATATATAGCATACATATTGCATATATATAGTGCATACATATAGCATTCGTATATATAGCATATGTATATATAGCATATATATATATGCAATTAATTCCTAAATCAAAAAAGTAAAAAAAAAAAGTTCAAATAAAAAGAGAAAGCTCAAATAACTCTCTCTCTATATATATATGTGTGTGTGTATACACACACCTACTATGTACACATAAAAATTTACAAAAAATTAAAAATACATTGATATAATTTTTGAAGATCAAATCAGTATAATTAAGGCATCCATCACTTTAAATATTTGTCTCCTCTTTATCCTAGAAATTTTGAATTATTGGAAATTTGAATCTCTTCTAGCTCTTTAGAAATATTCGGCCAGGCATGGTGGCACATGCCTGTAATCCCAGCACTTTGGGAGGCTGAGGCAGGTGGATTACGAGGTCAGGAGATCAAGATCATCCTGGCTAACACGGTGAAACCCCATCTCTACTAAAAATACAAAAAATTAGCCGGCGTGGTGGTGCACACCTGTAGTCCCAGCTACTCTGGAGGCTGAGGCAGGAGAATAGCTTGAACCAGGGAGGCGGAGGTTGTTGTGAGCCGAGATCGCACCACTGCACTCCAGCCTGGGAAACAAAGTGAGACTCCATCTCAAAAAAAAAAAAAAAAAAGAGAGAGAGAAAAAAAGAAGCGATTGATTGTATTTAATTGGTGAATAGTATTGGAGAACAATATCTAGGCACTAAATAATATGGACTCGCACTTTTGAGACAGTGTTTTAAAATTTTTCCCAGGGCTATACATAAGAAGTTTCTGCTGCTGCTGAGAACAAAACTGCTTAGTTCTCATGTTAAGCAAGATGGTATATGTGATGGATATTGGTAAGCTATTAAGTGCACAGATATACAAGTGATGTCTTCTATCTAATATTAGTATTACATTATAATACAATTACATTAATAAATATTATATTATATTAATATAATTAATGTTTATTATTACACATACTATTATATTATTATATAATTACTCTATTAATTATAGTAGTGTAATATAATATATTAATATAATTAACATAATAATAGTATGTATATTAGTATAATATAATAATGTATACTTATAGTATCTGTGTTACATTATATTATTATATTATAGGTCATAGGATGAATTATCATATTTAGAGTACTTATACATGGCTAATGGGCAGTAACCAAAGAAATGAGGGAAAATATTACCTACGCCCATGTACACACACGTACACACACACACAGCCCCCGTGTATCTCTTTAGTCATTTTCACTCACTAAGATTAATAACTTTAATAAGCTGGTTTCCAGCTTATTAAAAATAACAGTATCAAGAATAGTGTGGTCTTTTGAAGGAAATACGATTCTGGCTTTCTCTAAATTTTGGACTCCTCTGGATTTATCTATCAAAATATGAATGTCTCCATTAGCACCGTCTTCTGGATTTCAAGAATTTTTTTATTTGCCTGTTTTTGCATTGTTTCTTTCACTTAAAGAGCCTTAATATTATTAGTTCTAATTATCTAATTTTGGACAGTATAAATATTTAAAGTGTTCTGAAAATACTTCAATAATAGTCTAAAATAGATGAGTATATTGGCCAAATTATTCATGCAAAATTAAAATTAAAGCAGCCTATAAGTGTAGAACAGTGGGGATTAGGAATATTGAGGTTTCATTGGTCAAGTTTTTCAGTGTCATAAGGAAAGCTGACTACAATCTCTAAGAGGGAGAGAAACTGAGTCAAATAGATTGTCAAGTGGAATTTGTAGACAGCACAGTTCTGGGCAATCCCATGAAAAAGCAGGTCATTCACCTAACAAGATTGTTTTGGTTGGTTGGGCCTGAGTTTTAAAAGGAAGCTTCATTTTTTTTTAGAAAAGATTGTTCATTGTTTTCAGCTCTATCACTGATATCATATAATCTCCATGATTTTGGCTATGCACATGTAAATAAAACCTTCCCATTGTACTAGAAATCAAATTCATTTCTTACCATAGCTCAGAGCAACCTACACTGACACCTGTCTTTTTCTCCAGCAAGATCCTCTTCTGCTTTTAATTCGTTCTCTACACATAAGCCATACTTTCCTTCTCTATACATAAGCCATACTCTCCCTCTTTCTGTTCCTCAAACAAGCGATTACGCTGTACTTAGGTCCTTCATAAACTCTCAGTCCTGGGTGGAATTTTCTGTGCTCATTTTTTTCCCAGGGCTGGCTCCTTATTACTGTTTCAGTTCTTATCTCAAATGCTCCAAAAGACCTTTTTTAAGTGCCACTTCTTTAGTCTTTTATTCCATTGTTTTCTTATTTTTTTCCCCCAACTTTTAGGTTCATGGGGTACATGTGCCGAGTAGTTACATGGGTAAAATGTGTGTAGCAGATGTTTGGTGTACAGATTATTTCTTAATCCAGCTAATGAGCACAGTACCCAATAGGCATTTTTTGTTTGTTTGTTTTTCAGTCCTCGCCCTCCTCCCACCCTCCACCCTCAAGTAGGCCCTGGGGTCTATTGTTCACTTATTTGTGTCTATGTGTACTCAGTGTTTAGCTCACACTTATAAGCAAGAATATGCAGTATCTGGTTTTCTGTTTCTGTGTTAATTCACTTAGGATAATGGCCTCCAGCTCCATTCATGTTGCTGAAAAGGACATGATTTTGTTCTTTCTTATGGATGTGTAGTATTCTATGGTGTATATGTACCACATTTTCTTTATCCAGTCTACAACTGATAGACTTCCAGGTTAATTCTCTGTCTTTAATATTGTGAATAGTGCTGGAATGAACATAGGCATGCATGTCTTTTTGGCAGGATGATGTGTATTATTTTGGGTATAAACCCAGTAATGGGACTGCTGGGTTGAATGATGGTTTTAAGTTATTTGAAAAATTGCCATACTCCTTTCCACAGTGGCTGAACTAATTTACATTCAGGCCAGCATTGTATAGGCTGTGGGAATGTAAATTTTCTGTGCTGCCTCACCAGCATCTGTAATTTTTTGACTTCTTAATAGCCATTCTGACTGGTGTGAGATGATATCTCTTTGTGGTTTTGATTTGCATTTCCCTAATGATCAGTGATGTTCAGTATTTTTTCATATGCTTGCTGATCATGTGTATGTCTTTCGTTGAGAAGTGTCGATGTCCTTTGCCCATTTTTTTAAATGGTATTGTTTGTTTTTGCTTTTTAATTTGTTTCAGTTACTTGTAGATTCTGGACATTAGACCTTTATTGGATGCATAGTTCACAAATTTTCTCCAATTCCATGGGTTGTCTATTTACTCTGTTGGTAATTTATTTTGCTGTTCAGAAGCTCCTTAATTTAATTAGATCTCAATTGTCTATTTTTGTTGTTTGTTGTAATTGCTTTGGTGACTTCATCATAAAATCTTTGCTAGGACCTATGTATAGAATGATATTTCTTAGGTTTTATTCAAGCTTTTTTAGTTTTAGGTTTTACATTTAAGTCTTTAATCAATCTTGAGTTGATTTCTGTATATGGTGTAGGGAAGGGGCCCAGTTTCTATCTTCTGACTATGGCTATCCAATTATTGCAGCGCCACTTATTGAATAGGGAACCATTTCCCCATTTCTTGTGCTTGTCTGCTTGTTTGAAGATCAGATGGTTGAGGATGTTTTGCATTCTTCTTGAGCTCTCTATTCTGTTCTATTTGTCTATGTGCTTGTTTTTGTACCAGTACCATGCTGTTTTGGTTACTGTAACCTTGTAATATAGTTTGTAGTCAGGTAATGTGATACATCCAGTTTTGGTTTTTTTTGCTTAGGACTGCTCTGGTTAGCCTGGCTCTTTTTTGGTCCCAAGTAAATTTTAGAATAGTTTTTTTTCTACTTTTATGAAGAATGTCATTGGTAGTTTGATAGGAATATCATTGAATCTGTAAATTGCATTGGATAGCATGGCCATTTTAACAACATTGATTCTTTCTGACTTTGAGTAGGGGATGTTTTTTCATTTGTTTGTGTTATCTCTGATTTCTTTCAGCAGTGTTTGTGATTCTCCTTGTGGAGGTCTTTTAACTCCTTGCTTAGTTGTATTCCTAAGTATTCTTTTTCCTGTGGCTACTGTGAATGCTATTGCATTTTTTATTTGTCACTGTGTCTGCTAGAAACCATAAAATTACATGAAAATTAAACCACCTGTTCCTGAATAACTTTTGGGTAAACACTGAAATTAAGACCAAAATCAAGAAATTTTTTGAAACTAATGGAAAGAAAGATACAATATAACAAAGCCTCTGGGACACAGCTAAAGCAGTGTTAAGAGAAAAGTTTATTGTGCTAAACATGCCCATAAAAATTAGAAATATTCAAACGAGCAACCTAACTTCTCACCTTGGAGAACTAGAAAAACAATAACAAACAATCCCAAAACTAGCAGAAGACACAAAATAACCAAACCAGAGCTGAAATGAATTAAATCGAGATGTGAAAAACCATGCAAAAGATCAATGAAACAAGAAGTTGGTTCTTTGAACAAATAAAACTGATAGACCACTAGCTAGACTATTAAGAAAAAAAGAGAGAAGATCCAAATAAGCAAAGTCAGAAATGCCAAAGGAAATGTTACCACCAATCCCACAGAAATTTAGAAAAAACCGTCACAGACTAATACAAATATCTCTATAAACACAAGATAGAAAACCTAGAAAAAAATGGATAAATTCCTGATAACATGCTATCTCCCTAGATGGAACAAGGAAGGTATGGAATCCCTGAACAGACCAATAACTAGTTCCACAATTGAATGAGTAATAAAAAGCCTACCAACCAGAAAAGCCCAAACCAGATGGATTCATGTTCAAATTCTACCAGATATAGAAAGAGGAGCCAGTATCATTCCCACTGAAACTATTCCAAAAAATCAAAGAGGAGGGACTCCTCTTGAACTTATCCTATGAGTCCAAAATTTCTTGATACCAAAACCTTTCAAAGACACAGCACAAAAGAAAATTTTAGGCCAATATTATTGATGAACATAGATGCAAAATTTCTCAGTAAAATACCAGCATACTGAATATAGCAGTTTATCAAAAAGCTAATCCACCATGATCAAGTAGGCTTTATCCCTTGGATGCAAGTTTTGTTCAACATATACAAATCAATAAATATGATTCATCACATAAATAGAACTAAAAAAAACCCCACATGATCATCTCAATAGATGCAGAAAAAAGTTTTGATTAAACTCAGCATCTTTTCATGTTTAAAAGCCTCCATAAAGTAGCCATCAAAGGAATATAACTCAAAATAATAAGAGCCATCTATGACAAACCCACAGCCAATATCATACTGAACAGGCAAAAGCAAAAAGCATTCCCTAGAGAACTGGAACAAGACCAGGATGTCCACTATCACCACTCCTAGTCAACATAGTACTGGAAGTCCTAGCCAGAGCAATCAGGCAAGAGAAAGAAAAGTAATCTGAATAGGAACAGAGTAAGTCAAACTATCTCTGTTTACAGGTGATATGATTTTATACCTATTTTATTGTCTCTGTCCAAAAGTCCCTAGATCTGATAAACAGCATCAGCAAAGTTTCTGGATACAAAATTAATGTACAAAAATCAGTAGCAAATCAATATACCAATAGCATTGTTTGTTTTTGTCGTGGCCAGTAATGGTCTTTTATTTCCATGTTTAGCATTCTATTAAGGACGTCTTGTAAGTCGGTCTGTTGGTAATGAACTCTCTTAATATTTGCTTGTCTAAAAAGGATTTATTTCTTCTTCACTTATGAAGCTTAGTTTGGCTGGATATAAAATTCTTTGTTGGAATTTCTTTTCTTTAAAGATGATGAATATAGGTCCGCAATCTCTTCTGGCTTGTAGGGTTTCTGCTGAAAAGTCACTGTTAGCCTAATGGGGTTCCCTTTGTAGGTGACTTGCCTCTTCTTTCTAGCTGCCTTTAACATTTTCTTCTTTCATGTTGAGCTTAGAGAATCTAATCACTGTGTGTCTTGGCAGTGGTCATCTTGTATAATATCTCACAGAAGTTCCCTGAATTTCCTGAATTTGAATGTTGACCTCTCTAGTAAGACTGGAAAAATTTTCACAGACGATATCCTCAAATATGTTTTCCAAGTTGCTTGCTATATCTCCTTCTTTTTTAGCAATGCCAATGAGTCATAGGTTTGGTTTCTTTACATAATCCCATATTTCTCTGAGGTCTTGTTCATTATTTTTTATTCTTCTTTATTTATTTTTGTCTGACTGAACTGCTTTGAAGAACCATTCTTCAAGTTCTGAGATTCTTTCCTCAGCTTGGTCTATTCTGTTGTTAAAAATTCTTATTATATTATGAAATTCTTATCATGAGTTTTTCAGCTTTATCACATCAGTTTGATTTTATCTTAATGTAGCTATTTCATCTTTTAGCTCTTATTCCATTTCACTGGATTCTTTAGATTCCATGGCTTGGGTTTCAACTTGCTCCTGAACCTCAATGTTCTTAATTGCCATCCAGATTATGAATTCTATATCCATCATTCTAGTAATTTCAGTCTGTTTAAGAACCATTGTTGAGAAGTTAGTACAGTCATTTGAAGGTAAGAAGATACTCTCGCTCTTTGAGTTGCCAGGGTTTTTGTGCTGGTTCTTTCTCATCTGTGTGAGCTGATATTCTTTCAATCTTTGAAGTTGCTGTTTTTTGGATAAGCATTTTTGCCTTTATATTTTTTGATGCCCTTGAGTGTCTGACAGTGGTATAAGTGGGGTTCAGTCAACTGGCTTTGTTTTTGGATGATTTCAGGGAGCCAAGAGCTCAGCACTCCTGGGCTGCATGCTCTAGACCTGAGGGGCTTAGACCAGGCCTACTGCTTTGAGGGCACCTTTCCATCAGTGGGCATGTAAGCATACTTAATGAAACAGTGGAGTTAGTAATGTGGATCCAAGCAGAAAAGATTCTGAAGCATAAATGCACTTGTATTTGGAGAGCAGCATCAGAGTCTGGGCTTTGTGAGTGGATGAAGTGAGGCAGGGAGTGGTAGTTAGTGGACAAGTTTCAAGATAAAATGACCATGTAGGAGATTGAAGCCACTGGGAGCACTGGCTCTTGCTCTGGGAAAGATGGGAAATGACAGAGAGAATGAGTGACATGATCTGACTTAAATTTTAAAAGGATCAATCTGAGGCCATCTTGAAGACAGATTGCAGGGGTGCAAGTGCCTAAGCAGGTGGGGCCAATTCATAAATATATACCCATTTAATATGTAAATTTGTAAAATGAAAATTCTTTGAAAGCAGAGATTGGTCTGTCTCTCTCTCTCTCTCTTTTTTTTTTTTTTTGACAGAGTCTTGCTCTGTTGCCCAGGCTAGAGTGCAGTGGCATGATCATGGCACACTGTAGCCTTAACCTTGTAGGCTCAAGCAAGCCTACCACCTTAGTCTCCCAAGTATCTGGGACCACAGTCGTGTGCTTCTGGATCTGGCTAATTTTTTAACTGTTTTGTAGCGATAGGGTCTCACGAAGTGTTCCAGGCTGGTCTCAAACTCCTGGGCTCAAGCGATACTCTTGCCTCATCCTCCCAAACTGCTGGGACTGCAGGAGTGAACCACCATGCTTGGCTCATCTTTCTTTTTCAATAATTTATACCCTAATGCCACTCACAGTATCTTTTTCATGGATATGGTTTTTCTTAGCTATAAAATGGGGAGGTAACACTCAACTCAAGGTATTAAATGAAATAATAATCAGAAAGTTTTAATATCTCTTCCCTGAAACATTAAACAAAATTCTTATTTTTAAATGTCACAATGGAAGATTAATTCACTAATTCCTCCATAAATATGAAGGCACCTGCTCTGAAAAAATTGGAAATAATAAGATTTTCCAACCTCCCTCTCCACCCTCTCCAGGAGTAGGGGGGAAGGAACTATTTAGTATTACTCCAAAGAGCTGAGATTGCAATAGGTTCAGAAGTGATGATGATAGTAAAATATCAGAGTTGAATTACTGGGAGAGTGATTGCTACATCTAATTCATCAGGTCTAGTTCAATGATTACATAAATATATTATGAAAGCTCTTTAGGTTAAAAAAAAGTCATACAATATTCTTAAACAGAGCTAAAAAGAAAATTAGCCATAGTTGTTTATATGTAGTTTGTTATAGCTTAAAAATACTGTAAAATGTAAGCAGGTGTTTTAAGAAATAGAATTTAATAATATTAGTGAAGGCTTAATTCACATAAATTAATTTCGTGTTTGTGTGTGTGTGTGCAGAGATGTCTTATCCAAAAGTCTCCATTCTTTGGCCAAATTCTTGTTGTAACTCTCAATCTTGGTTTTCTCTTTAAAGATAGCATCTGCATTAGATAGATATGCCAAAAGTGTCATGGATAACAGATAACAGTATTTTTTACGGGTACTATGAAAATGATTGATATTTGTGAAGAATAGTGTTCTGGAATGTCATCCTAAACATCATTTTGGGGAAAAAAAAAATCCAAAATGGAGTCGGGCGTGGTGGCTCATGCCTGTAATCTCTTGAGATCAGGAGTTTGAGACCAGCCTGGCCAACATAGTAAAACTCCGTCTCTACTAAAAATACAAAAATTAGCCGGGCGTGGTGGTGCGCACCTGTAATCCCAGCTACTTGGGAGGCTGAGGCAGGAGAATTCTTGAACCTGGGAGGCAGGGATTGCAGTGAGCCGAGATCACACCACTGCATTCCAGCCTGGGCAACAGTGCGAGACTCTGTCTCAAGAAGAAGAAAAACAAGGTGTTCCTTTTACCACAAATATGTTGTTTATCATGATATTCACACAGATATCTTTAATCCACAAAATGAGTCATAAATATGATTGCATTTGATCCATCATACCTACCCTTTGAAAACAAACCCAGTTTTGCTGTTTCAGCTCTACAGATAAGGAAACAAAATTGTCCATGCTTACCTGGTAAGTCAAATCATCAGATTCCAACTGAAAACGTTGAAGACCAAAGGGCTGTTGTGTATTTCAAGTGATGTTCCTAGTCAATGTTAATGTTTGACTGAATGCTTGATTTTTTCTTATTTTTCCCTTTTTATGGATGTCTGTAGTTGTAAACTGAGGAATTCATGAGTGAGGTGTTCAAAAATTTCTGGCTATACTACAGAATTGAATTAAAATCTATTAATCCTTTCTCCATTACTGATATCCCTATACCAGCTCAAATTGTTTCTTTATTGGGCAGGCATACCATACTAGCGTCCCAGGACAATTTAAAGAGCATAATAGCAGGATATAAATATGTATCAAAATGGGTAACTCATCATATCTCCAACTGATTTGTGCATTTTTTAAAATGAAAGCAAAATTGCCAGAAGATATAAAAGAATGCTTCTATGACAATTTTGGACCCTGCTTTCATTCCCAACTTGACCATTTGGTCTCCAAGACATACCACTATTTTTCCTTGTGCAATAATGTTGAGATCTGTCCCCAGTTCACAAAGGCATTGTGGAGCTTATTAAATATAGGTAATGTGTTTTGGAGCTGTCTTTGAAATGAATGAGGTGTATGCAAAACAAGATTAGCCTCTGTTGCGTGGCTGTTCTGAGTCTAATCAAATGCATAACACAGCTTTTTCAAAATGTACATGGGAAAATCTACAATATATGCAAATGTTAATAAACTTCCCCTAGCTTTTATGATCCTTGTTAGGACATGACTAAGTTTGGTTGTATTATCAAATGTATTTGAGAGGCACATTTGGTTGTACATAATGTACAAAGGAGGGAAAGATATTTTCTCCATTAGAGGAAATTCATTTCATCTCACTGAATGATTGAAACTATGGTTTGGGAAAGGGAGGTGCAGTAAGCATGAAACTGAATAAATTTACTTAATGCAGATACTGCAGGAACTACTAAGTCCACCAATAGTAACAATAATTGTAATTATGATTGAGATTATTAAAACACTATGAAAGCTATATAACAGTTTCTACAGGCAAAAAAAAAACTTAAAATTATTAATAATCTCAGACATGTTTTGTTTCTTCTGTTAAACATTCATTTATTCATTCATTCATATCTGTATTAAATAAATATTTATCAAAAAAACTGCTAAATGCCAGGCATTATATGAGTACTTGTAAATATAGCAGTGAATAAAAGGAGGTGAAAACCTCTCTCCTTATTGAGCCTAAACTTACAGTTATTAGTTGATCATATTGGTGTTTATTATGTTATATAAAGTATCTTAGGTGCTGGAGTTGATTTGAGAAAAAATAATGCAAGAGATGTGTGGCAATGGTGTGAACAGGGTTGCATTTTAAAATAGGGTGGTTGAGGAAAGGCACAATGAAAAAGTAAAATTAGAGCAGACTGGTGGCGGAGCAAAGAATGAGCCATGTAGATTCTTAAGGTAAGAGTATTTCTGGTGGAAGTGAAGCAAGCAGTTGAAATGGAGGTAGGTGTGAGTGCCTAGCAGTCATTGATGATGTGACCAAAGTAGACTCAGTGACAGGAAGAGTAATAAGAGCTGGAGTAAGAGATAATAACAAAACGGATCTTATAGGGCTTTTTAGGTCATTTTAAGGATCTTTGGTGTTTGGAAATATAAAGAAGTTAATAAGTTAGGAGACAAAAAGAAAGATCTTGGCACACTAGAAGCCAAAAAAGGAGAGAGTTTCCAGGGTAATTTTAATAGTACTTGGTACAATTACATTCTAATAAAAAAAATCGTTTGTTAAATACTGGGATATATACAAAGCTTTAAGCTGTATGTGAGGGGCTATCATGCTTATCTCAGTTCTCTATTGTCTCTGCTGCAATTGGCCCATGCCGGACACATAGAGACTCCAGGAAACGTGTATTTTTTAAAAAAATGAATGCGTTTTCTAATTTAATGATCACAGCATTACTTTATCATTCTTCCATTTTACAAATGAGGGAGAGAAGACCAAGAGAGGGTAAGGAACTCCAAGAGAACCCCTCAGTTTTCTTAGCCTATGTCCCGTATTTCTGGCTTTGATAAGAGACCCCCAAATTTTCAGAGTAAATGCCTAAATGCCTGAAATCTGAGACTTTCCCTCCCATTTGGATATCAGAAAAACCTGAACCTTACCTGCTGCTCATTTCTGGCTGCAAATAGACCTCTAGGTGCCAATTTGCCTCCCCACTCTCAGATGTCACAAGCTACCCTGCTGAATTCTCATCTTGCCAGCTATGGCCTAGCTTGGGCATCAAATGGCCAGGGTAAACAAACAAGGAATTATCACTTGGAACAAACATCTGATTATCTCAGCAGCAATTGCTATGAAAACAGAACACAGGAAAGGGCAGCTGCTGGCTTCTCTACTTTAATTCCAGGCTCTGATTGTTATGGAATGAGGTGGCCTTTCCACCTGGCAATGGATCATAGGGCCAGGTGGTGCCAGGTGGCATGGACTGTGGGGAAGAAGTCAGAACATCTGTGACCCACCCATTCAAGCTCTGATGAGTCTTTTCAAGTCTCCAGGGTGCTCTAATACGGAAAAAATAAAAATAGAAGAAAGAAGAATCCGAGAGACCTGGTTTGGGACCCTGCCTGTACAACTTATGTACTGGAGATTTTAAGCAAGTTTTTTTTTTTTTAATTCTCTAAGGTATTGTTTCAACAGTGATGGAATGCTGTTCATAGTGCCTAATTTAAAATATAGTTGTGGGACTTAATGCAAAAGTATGTGGAAATAACTGGTTTCAGTGGAGACCAAAAATGGTAGTTGACTCTAATTAAAAATGGCCCTTGTACTGTCCAGCTTACTAGAGTTCTCCATGAGGATCTGGAGTGCAAGCATATTCAATTAATAAAATATTACGTGCATTGCCTAGACACCATAAATGGAAAACTTTCTGTGCCTGAAGGCAAAATCTTGGTATTACTGGCATATGATCTTTTGGCTTCATGCTAGAAGTAATTTGGAGGCCATCTTTAACAAGTGCATTTTTATTAGTTATAAATTGATCTCATTAGTTATGGATGCATCTTAGTAAAAGTGAGGTAGATCTTCATAGCCAACTGTGATTGAATAGTGCTTTTGAGAATCGAATGAGAGAAAGTGAGGTGCATGGTAGACATAAAATAATTAAACTTTCCTTGGTTTGTGAAGACAAGATGGACATTTGACTAATAAAGGTCTTAGAAACCGCTGGGCGCAGTGGCTCATGCCTGTAATTCCAGCACTTTGGGATGTCCAGGTGAGCAGATCACGAGGTCAGGAGTTCAAGACCAGCCTGACCAAATTGGTGAAACTCCATCTCTACTAAAAGTACAAAAATTAGCCAGGCAAGGTGACGCATGTTAGCTGTAATCCCAGCTACTCAGAAGGCTGAGGCAGAAGAATCACTTGAACCCAAGAGACAGAGGTTGCAGTGAGCCGAGATCACGCCACTGCCCTCCAGCCTGGGCAACAGAGTGAGACTCTGTCCTGAGAAAAAAAAAATCTTAGAAACAATTTGTCCTGTGCCTCTGAGGAGACATAGGGAGCAGAGAAAAAGAGGAAGATCAGGAAAGATGCTTGTAAGGTTGTACAAGTCTCTTGGGGGGTTAAATCTAGTAGGTCAGTAAAGGTAACACCAATGCTAATCCAAAGGGACCACTGTGAAAATCAGAAAAAAGATGCCCCTTGCTCCACAAGCCTTATTGCTACCTGCCTGAAGGTTATCACGAATATGCAATGTTGTGGAAACTAGGATGTGAACAGGGACTGCTAGAGGTTTTCATAGCTCGATTTGCACAACCATGAGCTGCAGCTTTTAGAATTAAAAGATTTAAATTTGGAAGTTTGATTATATTTGGTTGTTAAGTGCTTGGAAGGAAGGGGAAGTTTTCTGTGGTGGATGCCTTTCTCTTAGTCTTCAACATCCAGCAACTTTTGTTGTTTTTTTGGGTGGCAACTTTGTACATTAGTTGCAGATGTGTATCAGGTGCTAATGGCAAGAAGAAATAAGACTATTTTATGAAACATATACTAAGTGCTAGATATTATATCATTAACTTTATATGTATTTTTCATTTAATTCTTATTTTTTAAAAAACTTAGGTAGAGGAATTATTTATTCCATTTTATGAGTGAGAAGAATGAAAAAGTTAAAAATTTCTAGTATGTGGCAGACTGGTATTTGTATCTGGACCTGACTGACTCCAAGGTAGTGTTAGTTAGAATAATACAAGTAAAACCAAACAAAACCTCACCTTTTCTCATTTCAATTTAGTTTAGCTCTGCCAGCAAAGATGATGATTCTGGAAGGGCTGTCCTTTTTGAAGCCTTTTTCATATCCTCAAAAGGGTGGAAGCATTTTAGGTCATTGGTGTTCAAAACGATGTCTATGGATAAGTAGAACTGCCAGCATCTGAGAGTTTGTTAGCAATTCTGAGTCTCATCCAGACCTACTAAATCGGAACCTACATTTTTAACAACATCTGTAGCTAACTTGGTCATTAAAGTTTGATAAATACTAATCTAGGACTTTAAGATCTTCTTCAACTTTAATATCCTTTGAGCCCCTTTGCCTGCAGCTCTTAATTCTAAATGAGGCAGTGTGTCATAAAAAGTGCATAAATTTTGGAATCAAGAAGTCCTCACTCAAATATGAGCTACCTTTTATTATCTAAGTTGTTTTGAGTGGTCTCTTATCTTTTCTGGGAAAGTTAAAAATGGCCTGACTCAACAGCCAGTTTCTTATGTCCTGCAAATAGGAAGATCCAGGCTGTCTTCCTGCCACTAGGTCAAAATAGAGAGTTTAGTGTCAGATGTGTTCACATTTTAGGAAGACAGAATCCCTTTGAGTCATATGCCTCATCTCAAGTTATAGACACCATCCTGCCCTCCCTAGTAATCCTGAACTCAGCTACTGTGTAGCAACAACAAATTTGCTTTAATGTTCCTGCTCTCTGGCTATCACTCAGGAATACTCTGATTAACTGCATCCTAAGGAATGACAAATGGATGCATGAGCTGTTTCTTTTTTTGTGGTTAGATTCTATCTGTGCTCTGTGATTAGGTTCAGGAAGGAGAGTGAACCTGTAGTGAAGTCTGCATAACCTCACCCCAACCCTTTGGCAAGTAAAATAACATTTTTAAACCATCAGTGTTTTGAGGCCATCTATTCTGGGTTTAGACCACTCCTAATTTTTGAATCCTATTTTAAACTCTCCTCTGTAGCTAACAAGCTGTAACAAATAGATCTTTTCCTTGTCATTACTCATTCTCCTGTGAATCCACTTGTCTTCCTGGGCCCATACCTGGATACCTGAGGAAAACTAAGACAGCCAGTCCACTCACAAGAATGCTTCTCCCTGACTCCCCCATACATGAGGAAGGTGGAAACACTGGAACTAGGGCAGGATAGAGATAAAAGACAGAAAGAATGAGAATGTGAGTGGGAGATAGACAAGAAGATATAGCCACAGATAGAGATGAGGGTTGGGGAAGGAAGAGAGGCGATTAAAAAAGAATGAAGAACAAGAAATGGAGATAGCTATTTGAGAGGGAGATGGCTAGGGACACAGTGTAAAGGGAAGAATAAAGAGAAAGAAAGAGAAAATAAAATGCTTAAGTAAAAGGAAGACTTAAAAGAGGAGTAAAGTAACCAGAATACAATGAGATTGAAATGCATGTTAAAAAAGAGTAAATGTGTGTGTGTGTGTGAGAGAGAGAGAGACAGAGAGACAGAGAGAACAAGAATTATAGAGGGAGATACAAAGGCTGAAAGGGTAGAATGGCTATATAATAACTTATCATCCAAACCTCAGTAGTAAAAAAGAAGGAAATTAATAATGGCATGAAGCCAACAGAGGAAAACAAGATTTTCCTGAGCAAATTGGGATATGTGGTCAGTAACCAAAATGCCTCTTTAAATTCTATTTAACTTAATTCCTACTTCCCATATATCACTTGTTAATTGAGGCTCTTGATGGATCTGTTTCAAGACAGAGGGACTGTAGGGTAGGGTACAGTGTATAGTGTAGGGGATATGTTGGAGGAAAGGAAAAAGGTGAGCTTGGGGCTTAGAATTGTTTTCCAGGAAATAAAGCCCATAAGTCTAGTGAAGTTGTTTGATAGAAAACCATTTTGTGGTATCTACAATAACCAGTTATTCCCACACACTCTTTCATTATGTTTTAGAACAACATTGTGAGTTAAGCATTATAATCAGAATTTCACCCCTGATGAGGAAAAAAATATATACGAATGCCTGGAAAGGCACTCTGAGGATAAGTTAAGGTAGGCTCAATTCTGCAATGAAGCTTTATTCTGCCACCAAAATCAGTCTCTAATCTGTACACATCTTTATCATACCATTCTCATCATTCCTTCTGCTCCACATTATTTCTGCTCTCCCGGTCCCATTCTCCATTTCCTTCTGTGTTGCTCTATACTTCCCAGAGGAAGAGCAACTGCAACCTCACCCTGCTTCTCCTCCCTTTAAAGCCCTCCAGAGCCCACTAAAGAAGCCCACTCATAACTTAAAGTCCACCTTGTCCAGCTCTTTGCTATTTGTCCTCTACCTGAGTCATTGTTTATTAGTCATCTCCTATTGCCTATCTATACTAAACTTTAGTGCATTTGGTAAATTAAGCAAATATCTATAATTACTTGCTTCCTGTTTGGCTTGCCTTCTATTCTTGAGGGTAGGATCTATCTCAGACTTTTCTTTTTACCATTTTATTACACCAGAGCCCAGCCCTATTATAGACATAATGATAGGGTTTTAATTATTTTTTTGAATGCATGAAGAAATGAACTCAGGTGGCCATAGTAAAAAGATCTGAATTAGTTATAGGAAAATAGAGGCAAATACTATTAGCCAGTACCAAAGTGACTATAGTTATACGCAGCAGAGACAAGTTCATCTCGAAAACATGTCTTTTTAAAAAATAATTACTTGTCATCACTTCCATGTGAGAGATGAAAAGTGCTAAGAAGGAGCTGCAAGGTGTAGTTCACAAAGCCTTTCCTGACAGGCTGAGAGGAGGGACAAGACATCCACCTCTTTATCTGCAGAACCCTGCATAGTGCCCGGCACAGCACAACACTCATAAGTAGTATTATTTAGCAGAGAAAGACTAGATGTACTAATACATTCAACCTTTTGCTATTATATTTCAGCCCATGTACAAGTTCCAGGTCAAATGACATAGCCATATAATCTTGGCTTAAAATTAGTTCCTTAATATTATTTTTAGCCTGAACATCCTTGCTTTAAATGAAATTGTACTCAGGAAGCTTACTATATAAAACAAAGGAAAGAAGTACTACTTTGTTTGAGATAAGGGATTAGGGCAGGTGTCTGACCACCAAGCACCCTCTTAATTTCCTGAAGTTCTTGAGGTAATTCCTTGAGAAAAGTTTGAAAACACTTGTTAAGAGGACAGAGTACAGAAGAGTTTCAATCTGCAGACAGAGCTGATTAGTTGGGGCCTGGAAGTCATCAGTCCTGATGCCAAAATTGGAATATAATCAAAATCTATGGGCAAGCCTTCTATCCATTCATCTATTTATTCATCTATCTATCCATCCATCCATTATTCTATTTCATCATCTGTAAAGTAAGTTTAATAATCTTTTCTACCTTGATCAAATAGAACCTTTAAACTACTAAAAGTTGTCTAAAATAATGAATAAGTGAAGGTGTTCTAGATTAACTCCTGCTTCTGTATTTATAAGAGAAATTCTTGATTCTATCTGTATGTTCTATCTGTATCAAGCTTTAAAGTTGTGAATATATGCATAACTTCCAAAACGCTGGAAATGTTTAAGGAAGCAGTTAATACAGAGATGAAGGTCTCCATGATGATCAAGAAATAGAATCTCTAAGTTCAAATGACAAAACTGGGATTTAGAACCATACTCTCTATTTCAGTAGCCACTAGGCACATGTGACTATTAAGCATTGTAAATGCATCTAATATGACTGACACACTAAATCTTCAATTCTATTTAATTTTCTGTAATTTACATTTAAATTTAATAGCCACATGATGCTAATAACTGTCATATTGGACAAGAAAATATAGAACAGTCCCACCCATCTTGGAAAGTTGTATTGGATATTGCTATTCTAGGAGAGTAAATTACTTTTTAAGTATCATAGAATAGCATAAAGATAAAAATTCAGTTCAGTCTTATACTAAATATGAAACTCTTTACAATGGATGATTGGCTAGGAATCAACAGACCTAGTGCTAAATGCCAGCTCTGCCAATTCCCAATAATAGTTTACAGGAAAAGTCAACTTGATTCTCAATTTTTTTTTAACTACCAAGTAGAAGTATGATATAAAATGACATTACATGTAAACTAATTATTACTTACTTATAACAATATATAACACTTGTACACTTAGGTAATACTGAATAACAAACTACCATAAAACTTAATAGCTTACAACAGCAATGATCTTCGATCTCTTGTGACACTATGTATCAGCCAGGTGGCTCTGCTGATCAGGGCAAAGCAAAGCTTATCAGCTGGGCTGTTAATATGTCTGGATCAGCTATGAACTGACCTGGAAAGGCTGCAGCTAAGACAATTGGGGTGACTTGGCTCTACTCTCCTTGTCTTATCCTACAGCAAGATAGACCTGGAAATGTTTATGGAGATGAAAGGGCAGCAAGAGAAGAAAGAGCAAAAGTGAAACTGTTTGCCATTCTTACAAGTCCCTTTGTCAAGTCCTTTAACATCCTGTTGACCAAAGCAAGGCATAGGGCTAAATGGTGACCATGCCCACATGAGAGTCTGTTTAGTGAGAGGAACCTCAAAGTTATAGCACAGAGGGTGAAAACTGGCACATTTAATGAATTCAATATAAAAGTGTTTAATAGCAATACTCAATTTTTACTTACATGGAAAATAATATCCAAGTCAAGGAGTTATTTTGAATAAAAGTTTAAGTTATTATTTGATAATATTTTATAGTTATTTCAAATAAAGCATGTTACATTACTTTGCAAGTTTTAAAGCTAATATAAGGTCCCGGATCATTTGAGTCATACTTGCTAGAAAGGAACTATGCAAAGATAAATAGATGCAATGATTACCTTGGATCCAATGTCCTCCAGAAAAGTGAACAATATAAAGGGAGCATATGAAACAGGAAAGAGACAAGTGGACTGGTCTCAGCTTAAGTACTAACTGTGAAAACTAAAATCTCAAAATTCATTTTGTCTTTCTAGTCTCAGTCAATTAACCTGTGTAATAAGTGTTTTGGCGGGAAGGACATATTTAGGGAATCCTTGCTGTCCCTCATCCTTCCTATGCCAGTAATAGCCATCATTAATTGGTCAGAACACACTGTTCCTCCCTTGTGGTAGCTTCAGAAACCGCCCTAACAGAATACTTCAGATAGCCGTCAACAACCAAATAGTGACTAATATTGTGTAGGATGTAGAAGATCTTGGCATGTTTTTTTGTAAGTTTGCTTTGCTTTTGTTTTATTTTTTGATGTAGAAAACCAATTATTTCTTAATGTCTATTTCACATGACTCATGTGTTCCTTTCTACTATCATGGTAAATATCTAGTTCAAGGTTTGTATCAATTTATTCCTGAAGCATTATAAAGATTTCCCTAATAGTTTCCCTGCCTCCAGTCTCTGCCCTCACCATAATTGCAATGGGATATTTCAAAAACTTAACAAGCTTGTAGCATGATGTTATTATTAACTTCTTAACAGCAGAGTCACAAAATTAGTCATGTAAGTATGGCAAGCAGCAAAAATGTACTTCTTTATTTTCGACATAAGCAGTTAGATTGTTAGCATGATCTATAAACTATGCATAATCTAGCCCCTGCCTACCTAACCATCTTCATTTCACTTGCCTCCCTCTCTCTCTCTGCCCTCTAACCACACAGTCCTTGTTTTAGATCTTCAGTTATGGTCCACACTCCTACACTATCAGCACATAGAAGGTTCCCAAAAAATATTTGTGAAATAAATAAGTAATGAGCTACCATCCAGAGTAACTAAATGGCCAGTGTCAAACAAATGTGCTTACTAATGACAGAGACTAGACCTAAATCAGCTTTTCTAATCTGATGTCCAGTATACATGTTTGAGTGAGTGCATTTATCAAAACACAACGCTGCCTTTCTGAATATTAATTTATTATTTTAAAGAAGGAAAGGATGATAGACTGGATAAAGAAAATGTGGCATAGATACATCATGGAATACTATGCAGCCATAAAAAAGAGATGAGTTCATGTCCTTTGCAGGGACATGGATGAAGCTAGAAACCATCATTCTCAGCAAACTAACACAGGAACAGAAAACCAAACACCACCTGTTCTCACTCATAAGTGGGAGTTGAACAATGAGAACACATGGATACAGGGAGGGGAACATCACACACCGGGGTCTGTTGGGAGGTGGGGGGCTAGGGGAGGGATAGCATTAGGAGAAATACCTAATGTAGATGACAGATTGATGGGTGCAGCAAACCACCATGGCACGTGTATAACTATGTAACAAACCTGCACGTTCTGCACACGTATCCCAGAACTTAAAGTACAATAATAAAAAAACCACAACATTGCCTTTCTGAATATTAATTCATTATTTTAAAGAAGGAAAGAGTGAAAAGAAGGAGAGAAGAAAGGAAGGAAAGAAGAAAGAAAAAGAAGAGAAAAAATACATTTAAAAAAAGAAATGAATGGAGAAAAAGATAAAAAGAGAGAGAAAGAGAAAGAAAGACTTACAGAATTACAAGGACAAGTCATCTCTCTTGTAGTTCCCTTTAATGGTATCTTCAGTGTTTGACCAAGACTAATAAAGCTTCACTTTGAAAGGAAATACATAAACTGGGATTAACTGAAATGAGAAGTGTTAATAATCACCAATAATTTCCAAGTAGTCTTAAATGGAAGGCACTTTGGTTTCTGAGCTGAAGGTTATTCTTGAAGACTTCCAACCAACTCAAAGAAAAGACAGCCAACATTTTGTAAACTCTTCTTTATTTGTTGCGTACTGACATCTGTTGGTGTCATTTGTTGGTATTTGACACCTGGAACTTTTTTATACACACAAGAACTTAAAAGGTAAATACTTGTATTATGTTAATTTTATAGGTGGGAAAAATTAAGACATAGATAAGTTACATTAATAAGTGGAGAAATACTCTTCCCCAGTCCTCATATGAAAAAAATAATTGTAGTATACATTGTTAGTGAGAATATAGAGAAAGGGTACTCACATATATTGATGAAGGGTCATAATTTTCTACAACTTTCTATAGGACAATTTGGCAGTAGAGATCAAAATTGCAAAGAGCTTATCATCTGGGTGCAGTGGCTCACACCTAGAATCCCAGCACTTTGGAAGACTAAGGCGGGAGGATCAAAACTTTGTAGTACAATGTTTAAGGATTGATGCCATTTCTTTTTATAACTCAAATATCTGTGATTATAATTATCTAACAGAAAAACATTAAATTACGTAATATAAAGATGATAAGTGATACACAGAAACACTCCTATACAATGGATCAGGACGGAGTGAGAGGTGACTATGACATAAAAATTTTACTTAGTATTGATTGATTTTTTGAATCTTATTTTTTAGGAAACATCATATATTACTTCTATAATTTTTAAAAAATAGGGAAAGCATTCATATTTCACTAATTTTAACCATACTTTGTGGCCCTGACATTCAAAGCCTTCAAGTAGAAGGGGTCATAGATAGAATGTAGCCCACTTGTGCTCACACAGAAAATTTTGTATCCACAATGCAACAGATAATACTCAATCCTTTAATTGGATCCTTTGAGTAACAGGCATTTCTTTCCATCCTTCATTCAGTTGTTCATTAATTGAACAAAAGTATTTGAGTACCTGCTCTGGGTCCTTTTCATGCCTTTTCCAGATCTAATATTTCATAATCATATTTTTATTTACATTAAAATGACATAAGAGTAGGTTATTAATATATTAAGACAAAAAGGGTAATATGTTTGGAAGAGTTTATGGTGTTTAAAAGAAAATAGAACATATTTAATTTAATATTTATGGAAATATGTTATGTAAAAGATCTAAATAAAAGTTGGAAAAACTAATACTCTCCTTTCTGTAGTTTTGGTTTTGTTTATACTTTTAATGTCTAATCTTCCAAATATAATTTTCTGGTGGAATTTATTACTTTTTCATCCCCAGAACCCAGCAACTTTCTTGGCATAGAGTAAATACTCCACATAAACTAGTTAAATTAATTGCCTTATTAAAAATAAGTAAGATAAATGTAAAACATTTTCAAAAGCATAATATGTTACATACGAGGCTCCACTTTCTGGTGAAAAGACCTCTGAGCTTGGAGTCAGCTTTTTGGATTAAAAACCATCCTCTGCCTTTTATTAGTTGCTTAACCCTCTGAAAGTCACTCAGTGTCTCTGTACATGGATGTCCTTTGCAGTAATCAGTGGGTCTACATATTTTTTCGAAATAGTTTACATAGCTACTTTCAGAATCAAATGGGATAATGGACACTGTGGGTTTTAAGAGTCTTTGAGTTTACTATAAATGTTAGCAATTATTAATGCTACATATGCAAATAAATTAATTCATCCATCACTCCCTCAGCTAGATTACTGTAGCACGATGTTAGTACTTGCTTATAGCTTGTTCATAAGGGTCATGGCTAGTCCATGAAGCTGAGCTCTGTGAAAGGAAAGGCTCTGTTTTCTACATTTTGAATCCACAAAACAGACATATTATTTTTTAAAAAAGAGTTTATTTACCAGGCATATGATAAAAACATTATTTTAATATTTCTTAATGAAAATTAAGGAAATGTTATTTGATCTATAATGATTTGAGTAATTAAAGTGATATATGTTTTACTATTACCATTATCATTATGACAAAAGTGGAAAAAACCCTATAAGTAAAAGAAAAATAAACAAAACCAGGAAAACAAATGCCCATAATACCACTTTTTTAAATAGTTTCTCTTAAATTTTTAGGGTGTAGTGTTTCAGGCCTTTCTCTGAGCATTTTTGGAGGCTTGAACTGCAGAATGAGAGTCATCTATGAGGTGCTTATAACACTGAACTACTTACATAACAGTTCTAAACTTGGTGATTTACTCATGTTCAAAATGGGAATAATTGTACCTCAGGAAGTGATTGATGGTTAAGAAATTAGCACATATCAATTGTTTAGTACAATACATATTGTTTCCTATATTCTGAGCATCTTCAAATGTCAATGAATATACTTATCCAATACTGTATTAAATGATGACCATTGTTTAATTCCAATAGAATTTATCTAAGTGGATGTGC